>NC_000008.11:67177265-67802265 GCF_000001405.40 Homo sapiens | reverse complement strand
CTTGATAAGAATTCCATTCTTCTCATTGATCTGGACAATATTCTTGAAGTATCCTTGACTCTTTCCTTCTTTCACTCAGTTGGATCTGTTAAGAATTCATATTGGTTCTATCTGCAAAAATAGATCAATCACTTTTCTACCTTCTCACTACCTCTTCTGCTACCACTCTGATGAGAAACACCATAATCTCTTGCTGGATAATCCCAGTAACCTCCTGACTGGTCTCTCCCTATCCCTTATTTTATGTTATTTTATGTTATTTTTTGTTTTTGGAGACAGCATCTCACTCTGTTGCTCAGGCTGGAGTGCAGTGGTACAATCAAAGCTCACTGCAGCCTTGACTTCCCAGGCTCAAGCGATCCTCCCACCTCAGCCCCCCGAGCAGCTGGGACTGCAGGCATGCACCACCAAACCCGGCTAAGTTTTTAATTTCTTTGTAGAGAGGGGATCTGGTTTTATTGTTCAGGCTGGTCTCAAATTCCTGGCCTCAAGAGATTCTCCCACCTCGGCCTTTCAAATTGCTGGGATTACAGGCGGGAGCCACAGCACCCAGCCTTCCTGCTTCTATTCTCCTACTCTATAATCTATCTTCAACATACTATCTAGAATGTATCTCACATCTCTGTAATATGTGTACATTTCAAAAAACTCTTCACAGTGCCCTACAAAACCCCAAAGAGCTACTACCCCTTTCCTAACATCTCTCTTATCTCTTCCTACCAACTCCCCGCCATTTGCTGGTCTCTTTGCTATTTCTCAAACAAGCCAGGCACAAACCCCGTGAAAACCCTGAAGATATTAGCATCAGCTGTTCCTTCCACCTAGCATGTTCTTCCTCAGGTGTGAGCTTGGTGCCTATTTCAAGACGTTAATCAAACCTTACTTCTTCAATGAGGCCTACCCTAAATACCCATTTAATACCACAAACTGCCTCCTGCTGGCATTCCTGAACTGCTTTATCTCCCTCTACTTTTTTTGTTGTTTGGTTTTTGTTTTGTTTTTTTGTTTTTTTTTTTTTTTTTGAGATGGAGTTTCACTCTTGTCACCCAGGCTCCAGTGCGGTGGCGTGATCTCGGCTCACTGCAACCTCTGCCTCCCGGGTTCCAGTGATTCTCCTGCCTCAGCCTCCCAAGTAGCTGGGATTACAGGAGCTCACCACCACACCCGGTGGTATTTTTTAGTATTTTTTTGTAGAGACAGGGTTTCACCATGTTGGTCAGGCTGGTCTTGAACTCCTGGCTCCAGGTCATCCACCCACCTCAGCCTCCCAAAGTGCTGGGATTACAGATGTGACCCACTGGGTCCGGCCCATTTACTTTTTCCTATAGCATTTATTGTCCTCTATCATATAGTTGAATTCATTTACTTTTACATGAATTGTACTCACACAAATTTAACTTCCCAAGAACATAAATCTTTGTCATCTTTGTTAACTAGTATATTCCACACACCTAGAACAGTGCCTGGCATCTAGTTCATGCTGAATAAATATTTGCTAATGATTGAATCCCAGTCTTTTTGGACTAGAATCTCTGTAGTTAATTTAGCTATTTGATACCTGGTTAGGAAAACCTGTCCCCACCTTACCAAAAATTACCAATTATCACCAAAATACAGCACCATCCTTTTTCTATTGGTTAATATAAGGCCTCTGAATTTCTTTTCTCATAAACTCGGCTTTTCAAGTTTGTAGAAGTTGGCAGCATCACATAGTATTCTAGGCCACAGGTACAACTCTTTTGGGCTTTGGGGTTCTCCCTGCATTCTCCCATGTCTCCCCAGCCTTAACTTTAAAATCCAATACAGCAATGCGTCTTCAGGTGCTTTGGGACTGTCCCAACCTAGAGTGAGGACATCACCTTGTACTTGTGAGGTTTTCACATTAACATTCCTATCCAAGAATAAGTGGGGAGCAGGTGGCCTAGCAAGAAAGACATCGTCCACACCACTTGAGCCTGCCTTATCTGAGCAAAACAGTCAGGAAGTTTTGCAGATGCCAAGTTCACCTGGGAAACTATAGTGGGTTTAGGGCCCAAAGCCTCAATGAAGAATCAGATGTTCCCCTGTGCATATCCTCCCTCAAGGACCCAGAAGAGGTGGCAGCAACCACTCTTGTCTCTTGATCCTGGCCACTGCCCAAAGGTATCCTCTCTGCCTTTCTCCCCTTTTTGTTTGTTTGCCTGTTTGTTTGTTTGTTTGTTTTTGAGACAGATTCTCCCTCTGTCACCTAGGCTGGGGTGAAGTGGCACAATCTTAGCTCACTGCAGCCTCCGCCTCCAGGGTTTAAGCATTCAAGCGATTCTCCTGCCTCAGTCTCCTGAGTAGCTGGGATTACAGGCGCGCACCACCACACCCAGCTAATTTTTGTATTTTTAGTAAAGACGGGGTTTCACCATGTTGGCCAGGCTGGTCTCAAACTCCTGAACTCAAGTGATCCACCCTCCTTGGCCTCAGAACCTTTCTGCCTTTTGAACCTGCTAGTGCATTGAGAGGCCTGGGCAGAACCAGGGCATTCAGGATTTCGGATCTCTCACTCTCTTCACTTGGGTTCCCTGTGGGCTTGTGCCTAACACGTATTACTGCACAGTTTTCGAGAGCTGAATTGGAATGGAGGTAAGAACAGGAAACTATTAGCTAATTTGGAATGTGAGATTATCTTCAGATTTCAGTTACATGTGCTTTTTCTCTCCTGTTTTTGCATTGGCCTTTACTATGATTGATTACAATTGTGTAAAATTGTGTGTTAGATTGGTAAGGGGAGAAAAAAATATTAACCATTAACATATCTATATTTTTCTGCTGAGGCAACACCAAAATCTTATTTCAGCTTTGAAAAAACAAGGTCTCTAGTCCTAACCTGACATCGATCTTTCTGTTGGGAATGCAGGTTCGCATAACAACTTACTCTGGGTCAGACATTAATAATGTTCGTACTCATCTCCATCGACCTTTCACTTATTGTCCCCAGCAAGTTGGGACGTGGAAGCCACTAATTTCCATCTCCACCCAGTCAATAAGAACCCCACTGCCCAAAAACAAAGATTTAAAACCAGGTGCTATGTCCTGTATCAAAGATGTAACCAGGGCACTCAACTTAAAAGGTTTCATGAAATATCCATGCATAAAAATGCATAGCCAAGGCTTAAAGGAATAAGGGGGAGGGGGGGCTTCTGGTATTAAAAAAAACTTGTCCCCCTGATATTAAAAACACTAAAGGACTCCCATACAGCCAAGTTCAAGAAAGCATTTTTCAATGTGTGCTTAGTATAGAGACATTTAAAGCATGTGTCTCATACTATAATGCTCAACAGCTGCAGCAGTAACCTTCCATGTGTTCCATATGGAACTGGGGTTATAATCAACTCCTTCTGGAAAGGCTCCCTCGGACTTCTTCTTTAATTAGGATTGAAATGTGCCGAAGGCCCACAGGAGATGCGAGAGACACCTTTTATTTCAGTCATTATCATTTCTCTCAGGCAAGATCACCTTTCAGAAAAAGATGTGTAGACTCTCTCTAATCTTCACAAAAAGAGGTCCAGCCTGTTAAACTAATTTCCCTCTCTTTTTTTTTTATCATCTGAAAATAACTTTAAGGCAGCAAACTTCAGCAGAATGGCAACTGCTCACTGCTCCACTAAAGATAATGCTGGGATCAGTAGTGAGTGGTTTGGGGCATTTATGAAAAAAAATCAAAGCGTACTTCATTAGGAAGGGCAGACACAGGAACCTGAGAAGGAAAAGTAACAGGTCATTTTAATGAGATGATGTTCCCCCTAATGGACATAAGGCAATTATGTAAATTAATATTCATTAAAGGCTTGAAAGATATCAGTAAAAAAGCTCCCAGAAATCAAGTATGCATGCAAAAGCAGAATTCATAAAAGGAACACATAGATTGACTACTGTATATATAAAACTTCTATATGACAGAACACTATAAGCAAATTTATAAGGCAAACAACAAACTTGGTGGAGAGACTGCAATATACACGTCAAACTGAGGGTTAATATTCTCAGTATAGAAAAAGTTCTTAGAACTCAATAAGGAAAAAAATATATAAAACACCTCAAGGCTGGGTGCAGTGGCTCACACCTGTAATCCCAGCACTTTGGGAGGCTGACGTGGGCGGATCATTTGAGGTCAGGAGTTCATGACCAGCCTGGCCATCAAGGTGAAACCTTGTCTCTACTAAAAATACAAACATTAACTGGGTGTGATGGTGGGCATCTGTAATTCTAGCTGAGGCAGGAGAATCGCTTGAATCTGGGAGGTGGATGTTGCAGTGAACTAAGATCACACCACTGCACTCCAGCCTGGGTGATAGAGTGAGACTTCATCTCAAAAAAATAAAGAAATAAAAGACCTCAAAAGAAAACTTAGCAAAGCCAAAGAACAAAAACTTTACAAAAGAAGAAACACCAATTGTATTACTCAGGGTTCCCTAGAGGAACAGAACTAATAGAATTTATACATATATATATATGTATATGGGAGTATATATATATATGGGAGTATGTGTGTGTATATATATGGGAGTATATACATGGGAGTGTGTGTGTGTGTATATATGTGTGTGTATATATATATACATATATATACACATAGGAGTTTATTAACTTACACGATCACAATGTCCCACAATAGGCTGTCTGCAAGTTTGAGGAGCAAGGAGAGCCAGTCCGAGTATCAAAACTAAAGAATTTGGAGTCTGATGTTTGAGGGCAGGAAGCATCCAACATGGGAGAAAGATGTAGGCTGAGAGGCTGGGCCCATCTCACCTTTTCACATTTTTCTGCCGGTTTCTATTCACTGGCAGCTGATTAGATGTTGCCCACTAGATTAAGGGTGGGTCGGCCTTCCCCAGCCCACTGACTCAAATGTTAATCTCCTTTGGCAACACCCTCCGAGACATACCCAGGATCAATACTTTGCATCCTTCAATCCAATCAAGTTGACACTCAGTATTAACCATCACACCAATACATATAACAAAAAAGATAGACTTCATAATTAAAGAAACTCAAATTAAAGCAACAAGGAGAGATCAGTTTCTGCTATTAAATGCATGCAGAATTCAACAAATTTTTAAAATAAAGATACTTTGAGAAATTTTTTTTAAGAAGAGTTACTTCCAATATGGCAAGAGTATCAGGAAGAAAAAGTAGAGGTAAAATAAATTGTTACAAAAATTTAGAAGAACAATCTGGCAATAAATATTTATACCCAATAAATATTGCCAGATATCTCAAAAGTTTCACTGTTAGGAGCAATTCCCCCAGAAGTGTATTCATTCATTTATTCACCTTGTAGAGGTGAGACAGAGCTATTTTTATATGTGATGAATCAGAATTTTTTTTTTTTTTTTTTTTTTTGGGATGGAGTCTCCTTCTGTCACCCAGACTGGAGTGCAGTGCCCCATCACAGCTCACTGCAACCTCCACCTCCTGGGCTCAAGCAATCCTCCCACCTCAGTCTCCTGAGTAGCTGGGACTACAGGCGTGTGCCATCACTGCTGGCTAATTTTTGTACTTTTTTATAGAGCTAAGGTTTCACCATATTGCCCAGGCTGGTCTCAAACTCCTGGACTCAAGCAATCCACCCGCCCTGGCCTCCCAAAGTGCTGGAATTACAGGTGTGGGTCAGAATTTTAATATTACATTAGCAGCAATGGAATTTTAGACACCCACATTTAAGGCATCAATAGGCAGTAAAGTAGAAAAACATGAATAATGTTTATTTATAAATATTTTATGAAAAGATTACCCTTCATTAAGTGTTTAGGATGAGGCAGGACCTATAGTAAAAATGCAGAGAAGAAAGCACACACTCTTACAACAAGCACCCTCAGAATCCAGGGTCAGCCTTTCACAGCCCGTTGTGATGAAGGCCACAGAACATCTCTAGGTCCGTAGAAAGAGTGTAATATTCTGCAAAGTCAGGAAGCTAGAAAACATCACATTTTTCTCCAAGGCAAGAAGTCAGAATCAGGAAGCTCTGGATTAAAAATTCTGAGTCAGAAATCTGGGTTAGGGCCCAACAATCTGTGTTTTTACTAGTCTTCCAGGTGATTCTGATGCCCTAAAGTTTGAGAACTACTTATCTACCCCATTATAATTTTTTTCTCCATCTTCAGCTGAGTCTGAGATATGTTCACAAGCACATCATCTCACCTGCAACTTACAAAGAACTCCCTACTCATTTTTCTCTATTACATCTGTCTATGAGAGGCTCTATTTCACCTAAATAATATAATACGTTAAGTTACAGTAACATTTATTCTGCCACAGCTGTGTGTGTGTGTGTGTGTGTGTGTGTGTCTGTCTACCCAGACATAGGGGAGTCAGCTGGAAAACTGAAGCCTGAGACCCCTGAGATTTTAAAAGTGGCTTCTAACAACAACAAAAGTGCATTCTAATATACTGAGCATCTGATCAAGGAGTTATCACATTGCATCAACACAATCTCTATAATTCTTCCCTACAGCTTATTCTTGTAGTCAGACTTCATTCTAATCTTATAATCCTTAGTAATAATTCAGTCAGCATCCATTCCTTTATATCTTTTTTTAATAGTACATTGAATGCATTCTCAAGCATTTGGTGCCAAGTTCTAGCTGCTCTATCTGGCCAGTGCTAGTCAAGCTTAGGTGTAATTTCCCAATGGTAAAACACCCCAAGTGTGCTTATTTTTTGAGAGCCTAGTAACTAAAAGTCAGAAAGGCAAATGGCCTTTGGGTCTTCATCCCACCATTGTGGCTGACTAGCAATTTCTAATGGGTTGTGCTGTAACATTTGCATATGATACAGTCTTAGATGTCCTGGCCACCATTCAAGCCACTTTCTTTTCTCAGGGAGAAGAGCCCACATTTAATAGGAGTTGAAATAGTTGAAATAGTTTTCCAAAGGAGCTAACACCAAGACTGATACAACTTTGAGCTGCTGAAGTCTGCTTTTATCAAATGAATGCTATACTGTTTTTGCAATTAGATTCACAAGAAAATGAATTTATCCATGAGGTTTTTCGCTTCCTTTCTAATGGCATTCTATCCAGAAAGCAATTTCCAATTGAGCTCCACAGCAAGTTGCCAGGGATGACATAACTCACGCCAGGGACTGTGGTGGCGCTCTGTCCTCAGCGAAGCACACACTGCTTCTTCAGCACAGGAATGCTTTCTGTTTCAACCTAGGAGCAAAGCCTGTGTCTCTGTGTGCTTTCCTCCCCAGGTCATAGAACCCGGCGCCATGGGGCTGCTTTCCAGACTCTCTCATGGCAAGAACTAAAATATTAGGCTGAAAAATATCTAAAAAATTAGAATAGAATAGAATAGAATTGAATTGAATTGAATTGAATTGAATAAAGACATGCTTTGCAATAATGGACGAAATAATCCATTATTCAACAGATCGGTGGCTGAATAACACAGTTCAATCTGGCAATGTCTAAAGTGCAGCCACCAGGACTGCCAACAAGATGGTGTTTCAATGACTTCCATGGCTACTTGGCATCATTTGGTGTTTAAACTGCTGCACCCACCCAGCGTATTGAAATCTAGACCATTTTGTTAGTGTCCCCAGAATCCGCTATTCCTCCTCACCCCATTTCTCCAATGGTCCAGCCACATCTCGCTGAGATTCCACAGGTTGAAATTCAATGGAATGCTGCTTTCACTTCCCCAAGCCTCAGTAGCAGAATTCCACAGATCAGAGATTCCATGGGAGGAAGTTCAGAGGCTGGGCTTTTTCTCCGCACCATTCAGAGCCAGCCTGGCAATTTTCAGTGTACCCTAATGTTCAGCCTTCACCCTCTAACCTTCCCACTGACCACACAGTCACATAACAAGAACATGTATCTGACCCTAGGCCTTCAAATTCACAATAAAACATTGTAAGAATATATGTACCTGAGTGTGCTCCAAGTCTAGCATTTTCTTGCATACGGACTAAGTGGGCTTTGGCATTCACAGTTGTATGTGGTGTCATTACATTCCTGCTCTCAACCTATACTAAGTCATCCCCCATGGCACTATTTTCTCACCTTTTTCACACCATGACACCTTGCCAGATGGAGGAGGGCAGCCCAAGCCCACCTCCTCAAGGTCATTCAAGGGTCAAGCCATCTGTCCCGGCATCTTGCCTTCCACTTCCAGTTGCTTTATTTGAACACATACAATCCCAGACACCAGCTGTCCTCATCTTCTGTGATTTTCTAACCAACCATACCAGGAGACAAAACTTGGCAAAGAAAAAAGAAAGACTTCAGGCAGAACAGGACCATATCGAGATAAAGTTGTGAGGTTGACAGGGTCTCACTTGGCTGCCTTTGCATTTCAGAATTCTCCTTCCATCCGGGCTGCCCACACAGCCTCATGCTATTCTCTGGCAGCTGCAGGTTACCACTGTGGGGTCCTGCCTGCACTTGGCCTTCCAGAATAGCACCTCATTCTCTGAATAATCCTCTTCTCTTCTCATAAACACAATCAAATGTTATACGTTCTATTTCATTCTTATCCCTGAGAATCTTGGTATCTTCTAGCTTCTCTGAGAAAAAAATCTATAATGCAATTAATAGGTATTAATGAATTAATGTTATGTCTCCCTGGAGAAGAGTTCATTTTCTTGTCCCATTTTTCTTAGTTAACTAACATCTACTGAGTATTTAACTATGAAGGAAACCCCATTTTACAAAAATGAGTAACATAAGATCTCTGCATTTAAAGAGTTTACGTTATGGCTAAAAGGAAGGGTGCTAACCAAAACACTATTAAATAAACTGTAACACAAAGTCATTAAGTGCTGTAATAAAAGTGTGCAAAAACTGATATGCAGACTGAACAGGAAAAAGAATGAGGAGAAGAGACAAGAGCATTTGGAAGTGAAGCTAAAAATATATATATCTAAAGACTCGTTGTACAAATCTTTGTGTCATTCTAATAAGTTAGACTTTTCTCTCTTCCTGCAAGTGTAAAATGTAAACAATAATTTTCTGAGGATAACTTGGCCTATGAGGTGACTGTAAGAGAAAGGTTTTAGGCTTCTTGCTGGTAGAGAATATGCTTTGGGTCAGGGAGTTCTGGCAGAGACCCCTATAGTACTGGTCTGGTTCTTCTGCTATCCTGACACTGTTTGGGAAGTAGTTTATTGTTTGGTTGGTTGTTTTTTAGAAATGGGGTCTCACTCCGACACCCAGGCTGCAGTACAGTGGCACAATCAACTCACTGCAGCCTTGAGCTCCTGGGCTCAAGTAATCCTCCCAGCTCAGTCTCCCAGTAGCTGGGACTAGAGGTGTGCACCATGGCTCCTGGCTAAATTTTTATTTTGTATTTTGTAGAGACAGAGTCTGGCTATGTTGGTCTCAAATTCCTGGCCTCAAGTGGTCCTTCCACCTTGGTCTCCCAAAGTGCTGGATGACAGAGGGAAGTCATTTTTTTAAATATCATTTTAAAATATCTTTCACTCTGTGTAGCCCTTTCCTCTCAGATGATTTTAAGAAAAAGACCAAATCAACATCAAAAAGAATGAGGGGCAATGTTATCTAAATGAAGTTTGGGAGCACAATATTCTAACTTGTTTGGAAACAGCAATATTAAAATCCAAATAACAATACTAAAAAAAAATAAATCTCAAATTAAATTGACAGATTATTAGCAGAGATCACATGAAAAATAATGAAAAATGTATGGAATAAAAGGTATGCAATAAAAACTATAATTTAGAAATTAGTAATAGGGCTGTTTTCTTAATATAATGCTTGGAAACCCAGCATGTAAATGCGATAAAACATAGCATTTAACATTGTACATTTCCTTGTGAATTTTTTAAAACCACTACCCACAATTTTGACAACCACAGCTATGCACTATGGGAAAATCTGAGCCAAAACATATGGGAATGTGAGCCAATAAGAGAGGGAGAGACACAGACAGAGAGATTGGTGCATGTTAAAGTCGTGAAGGAAAAAAAAAATTGAGGATTTTCCAAAAGTACAGAACTAAATTCAGTCCTACAGCCACATAAGGAAACTCTTAACTGTAATTGATATACCATCCGGTATTTTGAAACTCTAAGTGGCCTCTCAGCATTATTTTGCATTTAGTCTCCTTTAACTATTAATCTGGAAATACCAGCCTCTACCAATGTGCCTTCCCTGTGCCCTCATTAGTTTCTTTAGTATACAAGAATTTCAAATTTTTGCTGAATGACTTCAAGTGCATTCTAAATAGGATTATATGCGTTTGTACACAAGAATGCTAGTAAGCAGCCATGGGCAGTTCCCAATCTAAAACACGATTGCCTCCCAAAGATGTATTTGAAAGTTGGCTAACCGGGACTCAGAAGGTATTTTCTTGTGGAAATACCATTTGAGAGATCAAATTGTCATTGACAGGATTAGAGACACATTTCCAGTTAGTTCCAGTTATATTAGCAGCAGCGATTCCTCTAATTGCTTCTTCTGGCTTTTGAGAGATCAAATTGTCATTAAGAAAAAAAAATCAATACATTATTTGGTGCTAATGGTAAACAGTTTCCTGGACTGCCCACCAGAGTAAAGCCAGGCCACAACACACCTAAGCCATAGTTCCAAGAACACAGTGGAAATTGTGGCTCCAGGGAACAGGGCCTTTTTGGTGGAGTGGGAGGAAAGGTCTATTGAGACAGGAAGACATTGGGAGGTCTGCTCCTCACTCCTAGTCTCTTAAGCCTCTTACGGTATTTTGCAAAACAAAATACCATACACTGAGTGGTTTATACACAACAGAAATGTCTGTTGCACAGTTCTGGGACATCCAAAACCAAGTCACCAGCAGATTCAGTGTCTGATGAGGGCTCTCTTCCTCACACACAGTCACCTTCTGACTCCAACCTCACATGGTTGAAGGAACTAGGGATCTCTCTCAGGTCTCTTTTATTTATTTATTTTTACACTTATTTTTATTGTATATCTTTGAGGTGTACAACATGTCTTAATAAACAAATACATGCTGAAATGACTATTACAGTCAAATAAATTACATGTCCATCCCCTTCCACAGTTAACGTGTGTGTGTGTGTGTGTGTGTGTGTGTGTGTGTGTATAGCAGGAACACCTAAAATCTACTCTCTTAGCAAATGTTCAGTATACAACATCATTAACTGTAAACCTCATGCTGTCCATTAGATCACTAGACTTATTCATCCTACAGATCTGCAAATTTATACCCTTTGATCTACTTTTCCCCATTTTCTCCCCTTGGTAACAACCATGATTCCATTCTGTTTATATTTATTCCACTTTTCAAGATTCCACATGTAAGGGAAATTATACAGTATTTTTCTTTCTGTGCCTGACATTTCACTTAGCATAATGTCCCCTAGATTCGTTCATGTTGTCACAAATGGCAGGATCTCCTTTTCTAAGGCTGAATCTATTATATATCTAAACATTTGTTGGCTGGGCGTGGTGGCTTATGCCTGCAATCCCAACACTTTGGGAGGCCAAGGTGGGCAGATCATTTGAAGTCAGGAGTTCAAAATCAGCCTGGCCAACATGGTGAAACCCCATCTCTACTAAAAATACAAAAATTAGCCAGGTCTGGCGGTGCATGCCTGTAATCCCAGCTACTCAGGAGGCTGAGGCAGGAGAATTGCTTGAACTGGGAGGCAGAAGTTGCAGTGAGCCGAGATTGCACCACTCTACTTAACCTGGGTGACAGAGCAAAATTCCGTCAAAAAAAAAAATTGTTAACCCGCTGATCTGTTGATGGACACTTAGGTTGTTTCCATAACTTGGCTATTGTAAAGTGCTGCAATGAATATGTGGGTGCAGCTATCTTTTCCATATGCTAATTTCATTTTCTTTGGTTATGTACCCAGCAGAAGAATTGCTGGGTTATATAATAGTTTCTATTTTTAATCTTCGAAGGAACCTCTATACTGTTTTCCATAATGGATGCTCCAATTTACAGTCCCACTAAAAAGTCTACAAGGGTTCCCTTTTCTCCACATCGTTGTGGCAACTTGTGATCTCTTGACTTTTTGACAATAGACATCTAACAGGTATGAAATAATATCCCATTATGGTTTTGATTTGCATTTCCATGATGACTGGTGACGTTGAGCACATTGATATACACGTGTTGGACATTTTTACATCTTCTGGGAAAATGTCTATTCAGGTCTTTTGCTCATTTTATTAATTGGGTTACCCATTCATGACCTTATCACCTTCCAAAGGCCTCACCTCTTATTATAATCACCTTGGGGCTGAAGACTTCAACATATGAATTTTGGAGGGACATAAACATTCAGACCATAGTATCTAGGATTCTTATATTACATATGAAATAGATTGAGTGTTTTGGCCATTCTCTTGCCTCTCGTTTAGTATTCCCGCTCCTTGCTAGGGATCCTCTGGGCCACCATGGGTCATCAGCTAGCTTCTATGGCACACTCCCAGACCCTCCTCCCTCCCAGAAAAGTGCTCCAAGTTTCAAAAGTACCTTCGTTGCCTTCACCCCAACCCAACCCTCTGTCTGAATGCCGACACCTCAGCAGGATGGGGGACAGCATTAGAGACACGTTTACAGTTAGTTCCAATTATATTAGGAGCAGCTATTCCTCTAATTGCTTCTTCTTGAGACATCAAATTGTCATTAAGAAAAAAAATCAATAAATTATCAAGTCTCTCATTCTTGGCAGTAAAATGGTCCTGGCAGGTGCCTAGATAGCAAAGTACCTGTAGCCATTATTTCTTGTTCCTGTGCCACATTTAACATTTTTAAAAAGCTGTCTGTGGCTTATCTCTCCTTTTGTCTTTCCTTGAATGTTCTTCAGCATATTCTATCTAAATACACAGTGCTTTTTAAAAGTGAGATCTGCTGCTTTTGAAGGAGGTGTCATTTGTCACTGTCCTATTCTAATCATGATGCTCATTGCATGAGTCCATGCTGCATGCTGTCCTTGAAACAGGGTCTCACTCTGTCACCCAGGCTGGAGTGCAGTGGTATGATCACAGTTCACTGCAGCCTCCACCTCCTGGGCTCAGGTGATCCTCCCACCTCAGACTCCTGAGCAGCTGGGACTACAAGCATGCACCACCCACATCCAGCTAATTTTTCAAAAAAATTTTGTAGAGATGGGGGTTTCACTTTGTTGTCAGGCTGGTCTCAAACTCCTGGGTTCAAGTGGTCCTCCCACCTGATTGCATGCCGTATGAACTTAGGTCGAGAGAAGCAGGTGGAGAACATGGATAGCAGGGAAGGCTCAGCTCAGTCCAAAGCCTGACTGATTGGACTGGTGGCGCAGGCTGGAGGATTGGCCAGCAAGTGGGACCTCACACATTCATGCGCACTCCCAATGTGCAGTCAGATGGACCTGGGTTCAAATCTGAATTTTTCCACTTACTAGCTGTGACTTTGGGCAAGTTACTTTAACTTTAGTTTCTTTGCTTGAAAACAGAGACAAAATCTTCATGAAAAAATCCTTGTGAAATAAAAAAAGAGAATCTATGACCATAGACATGAAGAAAAAAATACTTGTGATAAAGCCAACTTTTGTAAGGATATTAAAATGCCTACTAATTCTCATACCCTTCTTATACATGGTCTGCCTTTGTCTGTTCATCAACTGAGTTCATAAGGATTGGTCCCAGCCCTTTTTTGTTGTTTTTATCTCTCAAATGTGTGATTTTTTTTGTTATTTAAATTTTAACAAATGTATTTTTATCTCTACAATGATTATTTGGAGCAGACCATATGTCTTTCTTTCACATAATCCCTTACTTCTAACATGGCATTCATTGTAAAATGTCTTGAATTAAGTTTATAACATAGTTTTTTGATGGGGATGGGAATGTATACATTCAGAAGATATAATATACACTTTATCTGTACATTAAAAATTCCTAATTTTCAGAAAGGCTA
Source organism: Homo sapiens (assembly GCF_000001405.40). NCBI lineage: Eukaryota > Metazoa > Chordata > Mammalia > Primates > Hominidae > Homo > Homo sapiens. Next base: position 67,788,367 of record NC_000008.11, on the reverse strand, counting down.
AAAGTGAGATTTCTAAAACTTGAGTAAATCAATTTGTTTCTGCTCTATTTTGTTACCTATCAAGAAACAAGTTATATAAAGCAATGCAATGCTAGCCGAGTCCCTTTGCTCTTCAAATGTTTAATTGCAACTGCACAAATTTAAGAATTTGCACAAATTCTGGATTCCCCTAAATTTTTGCAAATTCCCAACCGCTTACTTTTTTTAGGCTTCCATCTGCAGCCTGGGCATCCCTACAGGGCTGGGCTGTGTGCTTTGCCCCCTTTAACTCTGATATAAACAGGACAGGGTTTGACAGCCCTAAGAATTCTATACAGTTTGGATCTGTGTTGGATTGTAATCTCCAATGTTGAATGGAGGTGGGGCCTGGTGGAAGGTGATTGGATCATGGGGGCAGTTTCTCATGAATGGTTTAGTACCATTCCTTGGTACTGCCCTCACAATAGGGAGTGAGTTCTGAGATCTGGTCGTTTGAAAGTGTGCAGCACCTCCCATCCTCACTCTTGCTCCAGCCCTCACCCTGTGACGTACAAGCTCCCACTTCACCTTCCGCCATGATTGTAAGCTTCCTGAGGCCTCCCCAAAAGCAGATGTCGCCATGCTTCCTGTACAGCCTGCAAAACTGTGAGTCAATTAAATCTCTTTCTTATAAATTACCCAGTCTCAGATATTTCTTTATACTCATGTAAGAATGGTCTGACACAAATTCCACTCCCCAAAGCAAGCATGAGCAGCCCCCACTCACCAAAGTTTCCCAAGCACAGACAAAAATCATGTCACTATGCACCATAGGCATCCTTGTTCTCAAAATATCTGTCAGGCAGCCACCACTCTGGAGCTTCACTTGTCCCAGACTTATCAGGGCCGCAGGCTTCCTCCTGTTCTTCCTTTCTCCTCCTCCCTTCCACCAGTGAGGCTGTAGAATTCCTGCTGAGACTCAGGAGAGCATGTCCACTCTCCTATTCAGGCTTGGTCCTACCATTACTGGGACTGTCCTCTGTCCCCAGCTCTTATTGAGACCTTCCAAGAAAGAATGATGTTCTCCCTAAGAAGTAATGCTCCTCTTCCCAGAAGCCTCCTAACCAGAAGGCCCATCATGCTGAGAGGTGGCCCCTGTCTTTGAAACATGATCATGAAAATTGTTCAGAGACAGTGGGTTCTCAGGTCCCAGATATCTAACAAACTTCACATATTTTGCTTCTTTAAAATTGTACTAAAAATTATTCTGTCGTTTTATATATTCTAGACATTAGGTGACTCTACTTACTATGGCTATTTCAGATACAATTACATGTGAAGTTGTAGAAATGATGTGGATTTGGTCAAATTGTGTTGGGTCCCAGTTCTGCCGTTTAGCAAGTGACTCTAGTCTGTTTTTTAACTTTTTTTTTTTTTGGCTCATTTTAAAATCATTATTCTGAGCCTCAGTTTCCTTATCTCTTAAGTGGGAATAATAAATGTGGCCTCAGGTGGGTTTTTCCCTGGTTGTTTTCACTTTTTATTTGTTTTGTTTGTGGGCAGAATGTTAGCCTTATTCCCTTGCTTCTCTCTTGTCAGGTATTCTTCCCCATGTACTAAATGTAACAATATTGAAATTGTCTGTTCCTAAAGCCTAAATGGAAGCTATCAGTCCTTTTTATTTTCTAAAACAATTAATAAAATCAACATTAAATGATAGAAAGATGATAAGCCTAGGAGCCAGACAGATGGCCACAGGTTCTTTTTTTTTCTTTAGATCTTTCTTCTTTTTGGCAAATAAAAATTGTATACATTTGTGGTACACAGTGTGATATTTTGATACATGTATACATTGTGGAATGGTTAAATCAAGCTAACAAACATATCCATCACCTCACACACTTAACATTTTTTGAGGTGAGAACATTTACAATCTACTCTCTTAACAATTTTCAAAGATACAATCTTTTTAAAGATACAATCTATTATCATCACCTCTAGTCACCATGCTTGGCCAGATGTGGGTTCAGAAGGTAACCTTGGATAGAGTCTTCTCTCTGTCAGTTTCTCCTCTATAAGTGGGGTTGATAACAGCCCTTGCCAAGCAGGTGTGAGGAGTGGAGATGCTGACATGGAACTCCAGCACACACTGAGTGACTGAGAGCCCGGAGATGGAGTGTGCCAGTCCCCAGCTCACTTCCTGTCACATTCAGATGGAATGCTAACCCCCCTCCCCCGCCATTCATGCAGAGACCATGACAGGGATGCCAGTGGGTAGCTCACGCACTTCTAAGGGACTCTCTGACTGTGCTTGTTAAAGGGAGGCACTGTGTCACCACTGTGATCGTCAATAAGGAGTAGCCACAGAAACAGCTGGCTCCAGAGCTTGCATTTCTAGGTAGGCCCTCCATCTGCAACCAAACATGTTTCTGTCCTCAGTCCTAACCCACGTGTCCCATGAGGCAGGATCATGTGTTTTAAAGGATCTCTACGGATGAGAATCAGTGACCTAGTCTGTAGTGCATCTGGTGTTATTTCCATCCGAACACTCAGGAAGCCAGAGCTCCAGCCAGGCCTGAGCACTGTGGTGTGTGGAATGAGCTCCTTCACCTTTGAGTTCAGTCACTTAGCGCCAACCACAGCATCTAGCACAGAGTACACACTCAATGAGGTGTCTATAAATTAATGGTACAAGCACCACCGACTCCTGATTATGTTCCCTAGGAATGCCAAAATGTTCAGAAAGTGAAAGCAGTGAAGCAGCCAGTAATTAGAATTCCAAAAACTTTTAATGCCACACTTAATCAAATCGAGCAATTCTGCCTTATTTAGTCCTATTATAACCATCAACCACTTTGGTTGTTTTTATCTCTGGCTTAAACTCCCAGGCTGGTTATCCCACCAACTATCAGCTAAATTTAAAGATTCAACTGAGTATAATATTTAGGGGTCATTTTTTAGAATTAGTAAATTTCCTTCAATTCTGATATTTTACTTAAGATTAAAGATATTAAAATTATCCATTTTCTGGTTGTTACAAGTTTTCTATAGTATATACCTTATAATTTTAAATATATAGGCCACGTATAGCCAAGTGAAAGCTAGAAGCAATACTCTGACTTTTAATTAAGTAACAATTTTAAAGTCATACATAAGACTCCAAATAAAATGCTTTCTCCAAATAAAAATGGTATATATTGCACTAAAGTTTAAACTTTAGAGCATTAATGATAGCCAGACTTTCTCATCTTTCTTGTCTCCAAATTCTCTAATATAATTATTTGCTAATACTAAAGCATACAGAATTTATTCAATATAAAGGCATGAATGCATTATTTTTGTCACTAGAGGGCAGGAAATTAAAGTACATTATTTCCAAAACCTCATAGAGATAAAAATACTATATTTAGGGAATCATGATGATTTTCTAAAAGAAGGAAAGAATTCAGTAAATAAATATCCTAATGAATAATTCATGAGCACTAATAAATGTAGCAAATGGTCAACTCAATTGGTTTTCCCTTAATAATTTTTATAGGAAAGGGATATGAATTTGTATTGGAGGATAATCTTAAGAATAAATATTTTCCTAACACACAATGCATCTCTTGTTTAATAGTTTCAATTTGCTGTAAAAGAAAAACTCTCTTCTTGCTTTCTTCTGTGGCTATTCATGTGCTGTGGGGTTTCTCAAAAATGTATCTAATCTGTTAACTCTTTAGCTAATTGTTTAAATTTTAAATAATGGAACTCCTTCTGTTGACTTCCAGTTACCTTCTAAACAGCTTTCCAAGTGCTTTTCCATAACTGGCACCCTATAAATGCCTCCTTGCCCTAGATCTCCAGCTAAACCTCCTAAGAGGTTTTTCACACCTAACATTTCTGGAAGCACCCACTAAATGAACCAGACAGGGCTCAGTGGCTTTCTATACTCCGTGAATCCAAAACACATAGCTAAAATTAGACATTTAAATAACAAAATAATACAAAGAAAAATGACCAAAGGTTAATGCTGTGGACAGAGAATTCAAAGCAAGTAATCTTGGGCGTTAATGATCCCTTTGTCTCAATGCTAGTGGGGTAGGCAGAATAATGTACCCCTAGAACCTGTGAATATGTTACTTACATGGCAAAGGGACGTGCAGAAATGACTAAGGTGAAAAACCTGGAGATGGGGAGCATTTCTTCTGGATTGTCCAGGTGGACCTAATGAAATCACACAGCTCGTAAAATCAGATGAAGGAAGCGGAAGAGGAGATAGACGAGATGGAAGAAGAAGAGATTGGAAGCATGAGAGGGAATTGACCCACACTTCCTGGCTTTATAGATGTGGGAGTGTGGTTACCCTCAAGGAATGTGGGTGGCCTCTAGAACCTGTAAGGAGCCCGCAGCTGATGACAGCAAGCAAATGAGGACCAGGGTTCCATGGCTGTGAGGAACAGAATACTTCCAATGACCTGAATGAGCAAGGAAACAGATTCTTCCTTAGGGCCCCAAAGAGGAGAACAGCCTGTCCACACCTTGATTTTAGCCCTGTGAGACCCGTGTTGGACTTCTGACCTGCAGAACTGCAGGACAATATATTTGTGTTATTTAAGCTGCTAAATTTTGTGTTATGATACTCTAGGAAATGAATGTGCCTGACCATTAATGATGGGATGGCAGTCTCCCTTTCCAGGTCTCACCCACAGCCTTGGCTTTGCATGCTGTTCTCAGCGTCTGGAACATACCCCTAAGTTTTTCTGTTTACCCACAACTCCACTAAGCCCTCCTATAAACAATAGTGCATGAACTGAGTCCTGTAGGAGTAGTTAGCCAGAAGAAATGGGAGCTGTTCTGATCCTGCCCTACTAGGCTTTGAGGGCAGGGGGCCTCTTATCTAGAGAAATGCCCTCAAAGAGCAACCAGTAGGCGTGACATAGAGTTGGCCAGTGTTGGCGTCTACAGCCATTACCGAGAAAGGTATCCACTGCCATTGCCTGCCCAAGGGCCTTCTAAAGTTGCGGAGAGTGTCAGGAGGGAGGCCACCCAGGCTGTTTTCCAGGAGAGACCACGGGAGAAAGGGAGCCTATTCAGGGGCATTTAAAGAAACCTTTTGTGCCCAGGGGCTTTTCATTAGAGCAGGGGAGAATATTTCAATGATTTCTTAAACATTCACTGGGGCAGACTTGAGCATGAGGGAGGTTTTAAGCCAGGCAGAAAGTTAGTTTTAAATACTGGTTAATAAATCTATTTTTTATTTTCTTTTCTTGCACAGAAGCTGGTAATCTAGGACTTACATGTGAACAACTTTATATGAATATTTTTTCTACTTGGTTTACTTGAGTTGGTATGATACATTATATGTAAGTTCCTTGAACACTGTGGATCACCCCTAATGTGTATGAATATCTGAGGTTTTGTAAATTAAGGGATGTTTGTGTGAATAAAGTTATTTGATAGGGTCAAAAGAGCAAAAAAAAAAAAAGAGAAAAAAAGAAATAGCTGTCTCAGGCAGAAGGGTCAGTGTGAATAAAGGCACAGAGACAAGAAATTGTATGATGTGTGTGAAGGAACTGAAGGCTGCTTGCATGTTGAACAATAAAGTAAGACAGGGAGCAAAAAGAGTGAAGCTGAATGAAGCAAACCAAAAACAAATGGCATGTTGAATGTCACCTCAACCTGTAAGCAATAGGGAGTGATATGGTTTGGCTGTGTCCCCACCCAAATCTCATCTTGAATTGTAGTTCCCATAATCCCCACCTGTCATGGGAGGGACCAGGTGGGGATAATTGAATCACGGGCATGGTTTTTCCCATCCTGTTCTCGTGATAGTGAGTTAGTTCTCATGAGATCTGATGATTTTATAAGGGGCTTCCACCTTCGCTGGACACTCATTCTTCTCCTTGCTGCAGCCATGTGAAAAAGGATGTGTTTGCTTCCCCTTCTGCATAACTGTAAATTGCCTGAGGCCTCCCAGTCCTGCAGAACTATGATTCAATTAAACATCTTTCCTTCATAATTTACCCAGTCTCTGATATGTCTTATTAGCACATGAGAACGGACTAATACAGGGAGCTGTTCATGGACTTGTAGGCAGAGTTGAACAGGGTTTAAGCATGATGATCATAGGCAATCATTCTTGTAGCTATAAGGAAGACAGAGGCATTGGAATGTTTCTGTAAAAGGCCAGGTAAGATAAGACAATGGTAGTAAGGATAAGAACAGCTGTGTGAGGATGAATCCAACTAGTATCTAGTTCATGAAATCAGCAGAATGGTTAGTTACTATTGTAGTCTCCATTTATTTTTCCAAATGAAGAAACCAAAGCCAGACAAATTATGTAACTTTCCCAAGGTTGCCCGCAAATATTCATGTAACAGTTCAAATTCAGGAGATCTGGCTCCAGATTGTATGCATTTCACTGTGACATACAACAACAAGGAAAGGTGTAATAGAATAGGGGTCAGGAGAGAGAAACCATGAAGCACTTTGGGCATTCAGAGTAGAGAGAAAATAACTTTTGCCGATGGAATCAAAAAAGGGTTCTTGAGGAGGTGACATTAGGTTAAGCCATAGTGGACACGAGATGCCTGGAGCACTGAAAGAGAGGGGACAATGCTGAAGGAGGGAGGTGACTGAAGGTCCAGAGGTGAGCTTGTACATGGGAGGCATAAGGAAGAGCTGTGTCTGGTTTGGTGTAAAAGGAACAATAGCATGTGATAGGGCTGAAAGGGAGGTGTGGTGAGAATTTGGAAGAAGCTAATTAGGCCTTTTTAAAGTAATCAAGAAAAAAATCTACAGAGGATTTTGAACAGGGTTAAGATTATGATCAATGGTGTATTTTTAGGGGGAATTCATTCAGCAGCAGTGTTCAGGGAGAGTTAAAATACCATCTCTAGGCTAGGCACAGTGGCTCACACCCATAATCCCAACATTTTGGGAGGCCAAGGTGGAAGGATTACTTAAGGCCAGGAGTCTGAGACCAGCCTGGGCAACATAGCAAAATCCCATCTCTACCAAAAATTAAAAATGTAGCCAGGCATGGTGGCACTCACCCGTAGTCTTAGCTACTTGGGAGGCTGAGGCAAGAAGAGTGCTTGAGCCCAGGAATTTGAGGTTACAGTGAGCTGTAATGGTGCCATCTCATTCCAACCTGGGTGACAGAGTGAGACCCTGTCCCAAAATAATAATCGTCTCCCTTTAATGCTACCTGCCTCCCAACATTGCCCTGTCAGAAGTTATCAAAGAATTCTATATTGGTTTCCTATGATGTTATAACTAATTACTGCAGACTTGGTAGCTTAGACAACACACATTTACTCTGTTAGAGTTCTTGAGGCTGGTAAGCCCAAAATCAAAGTACCACCACATTCGGTGTCTGGTGAAGACCTGATTTCTGGTTTATATATGGCACCTTCTTGCTGTATCCTCATATGATAGAAGGGGCAAAGAAGCTCTCTAGGGCCTGTTTTATCAGGGCACTAATCCCATTCATCCCTTTAATCCCTATCACCTCCTAATAGCATCACACTGGGGATTAGCAACATATAAATTTGGGGGGACACAAACATTCAGTCCATAGAAGCTACCATATTGATAAATCTCAGAAATGGAAAGGAAATTATCCACCTTGGAAACCCAACTATCTGTCTATGAAGAGGTCTACAACTAGATGCCTTGAAGTCCTGAAATAAAATAGATGGCATCATCAGGTAGGGTTTTTAACGAGATCGTTTTGGCGAAGGAATTGTTTGCATTGGTGTAGATAGGGTTAAGGGAACCAACAGGGGTGTTGAAGCACACTCAAGGGCTATCTACGGCTGGAAACCATTACCACTGGTAGGCCTGAGGGAAGAAGGGGAGAAAGATGGGCCAGATATGGTAGCTCACGCCTATAATCCCAGCAATTTCGGAGGCTGAGGTGGTCAGATCACTTGAGCTCAGGAGTTAGAGACCAGGCTGGGCAACATGGTGAGACTCCACCTCTACAAAAAAGTTAAAAATTAGCTGAGTGTGTTGGCATGTGCCTGTAGTCCCAGCTACTCAGAAAGCTGAAGTGGGAGGATCACCTGAGCTTAGGGAGAGCGAGGCTGCAGTGAGCCGTGATCGTACCACTGCACTCCAGCCTGGGTGATAGAGTGAGAACTTGTCTCAAAAAAAAAAAAAATGTTGAAGAGGGAGGCTTTTCTGGAATCAGGCATGACCAAGCCCTTGGGAGAACAGAGAGTAATAATCATGCTCACCAATAACGTACATTTTCATAAGGCTTGGAGATGTCAAGAACTAAAACTAAGCCACATCACCCCTTTTCCCACCAGTCATAATATATAACATCCTGCTTTGATCTCTAAAAGTTGGTTACAACCCCAAACACAGATGTTTTCTGGAGATCACTTTTGAAAGATTGTGTGCAGTAACACCCTCAATTTCATCCAAACGAATTAATTAAGGTATCTATTAGCAGCCTTATGTTCATCAGAGCTCTGAGTTGGTTTGACACAAACTGGATAAGGTTAGAGGAACCTGAAGCACGGACAGTTCCATCCTGTCACCAACCCTATATGAAATGCTGATCCTCACTTAGGCCCTGAGCAACAGTCTCACTCTATCTAGTGAGGATGAGAATTGTACCTTATCTCTACTTTCCAGGCCACAATGTCATGAGATTTTGTACAGTGTGCTGACAAAGGTGAGTCTTGAATGCAAAGACTGGGAGGAGGCTGGTCACTCCTCAGTGCAGCAAACAATTCCTGCAGGATTCGAACCCAAAGAGACTTCCCTGAAAGGTAATAGAAAAGCTGTAAACAGGAAACCAACACTTCTACAACAGGATTCCGCATATTCTAAAAGCCTAAAATATTATTTTTATTGTCATTATTATTACCTTCACTGAAACTCTTACAAGAAAACCATCACACATGGACTTCACAGTTGAACTGGTTTTTTTTTCCTGTTTTTCAGTTCCTCTATAGGCCCAAAATAGGTAATTACAGAGGCAAATGAAACCCTTTATACAATCCAAAGGTTTTGAGGGAGCCATCACCACCTACACACCAGGCAGCAGGTCCCATGGGAAACATTAAGTGTGAACCACATCTGAATGAAAGTGGAAACCGACAGCTTTAGTTCTGGCTTTGGAACATATGGTGCAATATATTATCAGCATGCAGACTATAATTAAGGACACAGTTTCTCAATAATAATGCCTAAATGTGCATGTCCTCGGCTGTATATTGCCTTCTGGAATGGAATCAGATGTGGTCAAGTTTTGGTCTTGGGGCAACACTGAAGTTTGTTGACTGCAATGATCAGGCTCCAAGTGACACGTGCCTCCCTCACCCACCGCCACCAGCCTTCAAGCAGCCAGCGGTATTTTCTTGCCCACAAGTTTCATATTTTGTGTAATATGACCCCATTATCTTGATCCCAAGTAAATGGGATCAGGGCCTGGAGTCTGAGTCAGTGACTTTTTTGTGGTCAGCAGCCTATAAGGTGGTTTAGCCTGAGAATCTCTCAGAGGCACTCTGCACTGAGAGTGTCAACCCCATGCAATTAAATATTCTCTCTAGAGAAACCTCAATGGAGGCAGAAGCTGGGTGGCAGAAGCACCCAGGAGTAGGCACAAGCCGTGATGTAAAGAATAGTCGTGAAGAAGGCAGTGGGAAGTGGCGGAGAAGCTGTAGCTTGGCATGAAGCACTGCCATAGAATCTGAAGCTCCAAATAATTCTGTAAGCAGAAAAGAGAGCAGGGAGCTGTGGATGCCCCATTCTGATGCAGCTACTGCAGCACCCTGAACAGCCATGAACAACATTTCACCTCCTTAGTTGCCTCTCTGTGAAATTGTGTTTCCCTATGTATCCTGATAAAAACTCCTCTCACTGAGGTAGCATGTGCACATCTCCATGCCTTGCAACTGAGAAAAAATAAAATGAACACAGAAGACTTTGTGTTGAAAGCACATTTGTACACATGAAAGTCATTCCCATCAGGAACATTCTTTTGGCACACATAGGACAGTGGGTAAGTACAGGGCTTGGAGAAATAAAGCAGCAAGCACCGTGCTACAGTTTTGCCAAACCAGCCAAGTGCCTCCCATGTGCCAGAAACTCTACCAGGACAAAATTGGTCACAATTTGGGGAAATTGTTGCAAGTAATTTGAAAGAAACATTAACTATTACAGATTTTAATTCCTACTGAGCATAACACTACAATATTTGTAGCAACACAACTACATTGTGGGCTCCCTTAGTGCCAGAAATGCGTCCTATTGTTTATGCCTGACCTTGCATACCTATTGGATGGTGTGATGCTGGTCACTGCTTCTTATGTCTAGGTTGTCAAGGCACCTGGTCCAACATTTAGGTAGATGTAGCCATGAAACAGTGGTGCCTTGGGTTTATGGCTGTGTAGAACCCCCCACCTGGAAACCAATGAAAGGACAAAGAGTAATCTCCATTATAAATGTTAACATATATCTTATTATTAAGAGCAGCAAAAGATAACTTCCACCAATTTCTTCATAGGAATAGCACTGTGGCTTGCAGTGGAGGCAGTTCTTTCTCAGAAGGCTGGCTAGTTGACTGGCCACTTCCAAAATGGCAGTAAATTCTGATTAATTCCACAACAGCACAAGGATCAGCACAACGAGGATCTCATCCTCGGTTTTGCAGACTCGCATAGATGGATGTATAGAAACTAGGATGTCAGCTTATTAATTCACATTAGCAATGTAACCACCAGGTGGTGGACATTTACATCTGCCTGAGCACGGTCTCCAAATGATAGGTACATAGAAAGCCATATTCCAGACAGTTCCTTAGTTTGAACAGATTGAAGGAACCATGGTACATTATACTTTTATGTTTTATGACATCTGTCGTCTCATCGCAGCCATATCCACAATGGGCAGGTCTTTACCAGGCATACACTGGGCTCACACTGGCACCATGGGGCACCCTTTCTTCTAAGCAGGGCTTGGATGAGCATGGGCACCAAGTTTTGGCCTTTTGGGTCTCTTTTTATGTTATAGAGCCCGGAATTATTACCTTTGTTGGCCACCTACCTCTTTGGCAGTCTGACAAAGCCCATAAATCCCTGCTTAGAATAATACTTTTAAATGCGTAAAATAATACATAAGGTTGCAAATGAAACCAATTATAATGAAATGGTTCTATCCACTCAGTTTAAGATGCCCTGAAAACTGATGCATTCCCACAGTCTTTCTCCGAATCAGGTATAATAAAATCGATTGCATTTTTCTTACTAAATTAAACTCACATTTTTGCCTGGCCTCTTGGAGATTATTTCTAGATTGCCTTGGTTAGAGTTTGGGAAATTTCCAACTCTTCTGTTCTGCCGCATAATCACAAACTGTTTCCTGCTCATGCCAACACATGGCTCACACCAACACATGGCTGACAAAAACCATCATTTCTCCTATCTTCAATTCCTAGGTTCCTCACTATCATTCCCAAGTACTGATACACAGCAGAAAAAAATTAAGAAGCAATGCTGTACAGTGATAACAGTCTAGATGGAATGCCCTCATCTTAGCTTGCCTAATATTTACTAAATACCAACTGTATATTGAACATGACAGAGATCCACCCCTTGTTCCCTGGAATGTCCGAAGTCCAGAGAGCTCTTCTTCAATTCAATCTCATCCCCCAAGAGACTCTAGGCAAATCACTTCACTCTCTGGGCTTCAATTTTCTGCTGTGTAAAAGATGTAAATAACAGCAATATCTCTACAGATGATTGTGAATTAGATAAATGGAAGAATGTATGTGAAAATTGTGTGTATTACCAAATAGGGCATTGAAAAAGACAAACACCTAGATACTTTGAGAACATTTATCACACCTAACTTCAACTCCTGCCAATTACCACTAAGCAGACCCCACCTCCCCAACATTCTTCAAGGTAAGAGGCATCAGGTCTTATCCTCTTTCAATGTATCATATCATTTTTTTCTGTTATATGTATTAAAGTATAATTTGCCATTAAAATAGCAGCATCTTAAAATATCCTTGGTCCTCCTAAGATATTTTAGACCAGAAAACCACTGTGGGTGGTTAAGCTCCACGACTTTAACTACCTGCTATTGACTTCTCAGAAACTGAGCTCCCCATTCTTAGAGGTGATCAGACAGGAGCTTATAACATTTCCTGGGAGGGTCTGATTTGTGTGACCTGCATGCCAGGAAGCCAACAACCTACACTCTCTTTGTTTTATGGGTCTCCTAATCAGGACTTCTAAAACAGTCTGCCCACTCTCTCACCACAGAGCTGGTGTTAGACATTTTCCTCTTAGGCATCCTTTCAGATTGCCTCTTTACTCAATCTGTTGGTGTCACATATAGGTTACAAGCTGCACTCACATATACAAGGACCTGCAAAATAGCCCAAGAGCATTTCTTCCTATAAAACTGCTGAACATATACCAACTGTGTAAAAAAATCATCACTGAAATCTAAGTCTTGATAAGCTCAGAAAGGACTGTGAGTCTCTTTTCCTATGCTCTCCATTTCAGACTATTTTTCTTTTACACCAGAAAAAGCTGGTTTTTCTCCCTCTCTCTAAAACATAAGAGAAAACTTATGTTTACCCCTCATAGACATGGCAATCATCACACAGTCCTCACCATTGTCTTACTCATGGTGAGGAATTTTTCCCCTATTTGAAATAAATTCATAAGAAATAAATTCTGCTAGCTACAACATCAGATTCCCAGAAATGTCACATTTTCTAGAAATGTTTAAAAGTTAAAAAAAAACATTTTTTTTTTCATGAGACCTTGAATACAACAGAGTAGCACTTATGCCATATTTCTTCACATTGTTATTGCTGAGCTCTGACCTTTTGGTTACCCCTCTGGCAGGTGTGTGCTGTGCTGACCAAGTAACCACGAGGAAGACGTGATCCCTGCCCTTGGGTAACTTACTATCTGTCTGTGGCTTTCAACACTGGCATCATTGCACACCCGCTAAGAGGTAATTTGTTACCATCAATAGTACCATTACTAATCTACTGAAGTTAGTGCATGATTTTACTTTCCTCTTTGTAAATTGGATCACATTTTAAATTATCCCTAAAATGCATGCAATCATTCTGATTTGCTTTCTTGAGTGGGATACAATGGGGGGAGTTACAGTGGCACCCAGATTTTGCTCGAAGGATATGTGAACATCACCTTTCATGAGTGTCACAGAAGAGGAAGAGGGGTTGAGAACAGCTTGCCTGGCACGTCCAATGATGTGTTGGCCTTGACAATTGTAAGAAGATTAAGATGTAGCTCCTACCCTTAAGGAGCTTATAATATAACCAGCAAGACAATTTAAACACAAATCTATCAGACACCCAATGGATAAGATATAATTCAGAGCTAAATTATGGGATTTGGGTGATGGAAGTGAAAGAAAGCAGAATTCAGTGAGGAATGACTTCATATAGGTCTTGGCACATTTTGTGAAGGTGGAGAGACTTCAAGGATGGGAAGACTTTGACTGGGCCATAGGCTTAACAGGTGAGCGTCACAGAGAAAGGAATATTGAAGAGGCGTGGGCTCCCTCCAAAGTGAGACTGACCAAGCCTACTCTTGCTGCTTTCAATAGTCTTTCCACATCTCCCACTAATCTACTCAGAGCTACCACTCTCATTAGGTCAAATCTCAAATCTATCCATTTCTCCTCAACCCCATAGCCTTCACCTTAACTCAAGACCTCATTAGGGCTCAGCTCTTTTCCTGTAACAACTTCCTAATGGCTCTTCCTGACTCCATTCTTGGCTGGCTCATCCTCTACAGAATGACCCTCCTAATATCAAATTGACCATGAAACTAACTCCTCTGCTTAAAACTGCTCCATGACTCTCCTCTTGCCTCTGGAGAAAGCTCAACATGAGGCTTATGATAGTGTAGTTTTCACTCACCTCTTCAGCTTCATCTCTTGCCCTTCTCCACTCTGCATTCTCCTCCCCAGCCACGGACTTATTTGACATTCTCTGAGTGCAGCATGTTTCCCACAAAACGCTACGCCTTTATATAAACTACCTAGGTGTTTGTATTTCTCAGTGTATAAGCTGTTACTCCTACCTGGCATGCTCTTCTCTGAATCATTCCTCAACCTCCCATCTGCCACCTCACCCACCTGTTGTCTTTGTTTGGCCAATTCCTTTCTATGTCTTGAGTTCAGGTTGGGCTAGGTGTTCCTCCTATGGCTTCCCATGGAGCCTTGTGTTCTCAGCATTATGCTGTAGCTGTCTGACAAAAGGATTATAATTTCCCTCAGGGCAGGAACAATGTCTTATCTATCATCATGTCCCTGTTGCTTAGCACAAAGCTTGTCACATGTTTGTTGCATGAATGAATGAAAGGAAAGGAAAGGCCATGATGTAGGAAAAAACGAAGCAGAAAATTGAGGCTCAATTAAATAAGTAGCATGAAGTCCTTATAAATTCTTCAGCAGAAAAATATGATTCAAGTGGTTTTAGAAGGATGATTAGAAGGTTCATTCAAGAAAAATAGGTGATGGGTAAGGAGAGTAGCTAGGAGAACATCATAATAATTGCATACTGAGGTAATGACGTTGGACGTAATAATAGTAACAATCATGTCTAACATTTATTCAGCACTCAATAAATGCCAGATACTGCTGTGTCTTACATGTATTAACTTATGTTCACAACAACCCCTGCCTAGAAGATAAGGAGAGATTTCCAAGAAAGAAAAAAAAACATATTTTTTATCTCATTCTACATATGAGGAAGACTAGGTATGGAGGGGTTAAGTAACTCACCCAAGATAGCAAAGCTACAAAGTGGCAGAGATTAGAAGCAAGCTGTACAAAATATTTCAAAGGGCGAAGAAACACAACTTGAGAGCCAGGCTATTAGAAGACAATGGCATAGGAGAATCAAAAATAACTTTCAGGTTTCTAACCTAGAAAAACATGGAAGAAGTTGGGAAGATAAGTCACCTTGTTGGGAGATACTGTGATCATTTGGGATAGACTGGACTTAATGTCATGGCTAGACATCCCAGTCAAAATGACCCGTAAACAGTGATAATTACTCACGGCAGCCCCACACAAACTTCCTGCAAGCCTATTGCCATACACTTGCATGGGTTTGAGGAGTTGCAAACACGAATGTGAAATGACATTTTTTAAAGTATTGACTTAATGATGTTCAGAAGGTGAAGAGGAGTCAGTGAAGGGTTTTAAATAGCAGGGTGACATGGTTTTAGTTCACTTGGGTGACCAAGCAAAAGGTGGCTTTGAGGAGGATGTTCTGAAGTCAGGAGCACAGGTTAAGAGTTGAAAAGCTGTGTACACTTAAAAATGGCTGAAATGGTAAATTCAAAGTATATGCATTTAACCATGATTAAAAAAAAAAGACTTGAGAGGTTGTTTCAGGGGTCTAGATAAGAAATAAAGGCAGGAACTGGGACAAGGTCAAGGGAAACTTAAAGATTTATTTTGTCATCAATCCTCCCAGTTATTCTAGCTAGAAATATAGGAGTGATGTATTATTTAATACTTATTGACCTAGTGCAACATGCCTGGCACTGTGCTAGGACACAAAGATGGATAACAGTCTGTGCTTAGATTGCATAATGCAGTTAATTGTCTAGGGAAGTAAACGTATATATATATATACAATATTCAGAATACACCATGTCAGGGCAGTATTAGAGATAAGTAAAAGCCATTATGGAAGCACGGTGGAGGGCACCCAACCCCTATAAGTTGGGAAAATAGTTGTGGAAGTGTTCTGAGACATAGTGGTCCCTGACTTGGATCTTAAACAGCGAAGAAGACCTTACCAAGTAAAGGAGAATTGGAGGGATAAAAGGCATTCCAAGTTTTTTTTTTTTTTTTTTTTAATGAGAGAGAGAGAAAAGAAGAAAAGAGCACATGAGGTATTGTTAAGGCATTTTCTGGTAGGCATGGGGGTAAAGGAAGAGACTGGGAGGTCTGGCCCCTGAAGGTTCCAGCGTAATTGCTGCTCTCATGACACAGCCATTCCCTTTTCCGGCTGTATTAGTTCGTTCTTACGCTGCTAATAAAGACATAACTGAGACTGGGTAATTTATCAAGGAAAGAGATTTAATTGACTCACAGTTCCACATGGCTGGGGAGGCCTCACAATCATGGCAGAAGGCGAAGGGGAAGCAAGACACGTCTATATGGCAGCAGGCAAGAAAACCTTGTATAGGGGAACTCCCCTTTATAAAACCAACAGATCTCAGGAGACTTATTCACTGTCACAAGAATAGCATGGGAAAGACTGCCCCCATGATTCAATTATCTCCCAGCAGGTCCCTCCCATGACACATGAGAATTATGGGAGCTACAATTCAAAATGAGATTTGGGTGGGGACACAGCCAAATCATATCACCTGCATAGGTGGTGATGGAGCCCAGAACCCTCATGACTCTGGTGGAGAGGGCAGCATAATCAGGCAGGGTAGACAGCTTGTACCTTTGGGAGATATTAGGAGACAGCCCCCATGACATGCTTTCATCCTCCCTCCAGAACAGAGAGCAGGGAGGAGCCTTCTTCAGAAGATTCTGAGGATGGAGCAGGCCTTGGCAACAGTCATCACTGAGATAAGATTGAGTAAGAGTGGAGAAATGGAAGTTTCCCAGAGCTAACTGTAGAGTTATGAATGAGTACCCATGGGGCACATCTTAGAGACTCCCAGGACAAACACAGGAGTCACCACCTGCAGGAGAAATGAAATTCTAGGGATGTCTTCGATGGTGCAAAAGTCAGAAAAATGTATTACATAACACTTAAGAGCAGTATCTGAAGTCAGACACTTATTTTAAAATTCAGACTTTATCAGTTGATAACTGTCGAGCTGGGCAATGCTGTTAACCTCTCGGATCCTATGCTTCTTTTTCTACAAAATGGCTATAAAAATAACACCTGCTTTACGGTGCTGCCAGGAAGACTGAATGTGATGACACCCTGTGCTTTGTTCAGTCCCTGACACAGGAGAAGATGCCCAGGATTTGTTACTACAACCATTACTACTCAAGATACCCCCATTTTACCCTTCCCAGTCAGAAGGACAAGACACTCAGAAATGTAGACCCCGGTGGTATCATTTTCAAATTGATCATGTCAATCAGTGTTTTTTAAGAGTTAGTTTTCTAGAAATTTTTCTTCCACAGAGTGAAGGACACTTACCTAGTTACTCTAACATAGCTGAGTATCTCTACATAAAGCAAAAATAGAAAAAAAAATGCTTACCATTTACTGGTAATATAAAATAAAATATGCCAAATATGGCTTCTTAACACTAATTTTGGAGTGAACTAATTAATGAGAAATTCTCTCTTTCTGTCCTATAGTTTCCTTGTTTAGTAAAAAATTAAGTAGTCTTGTTATAAAATTAGTTCAATAGACAGAGTTGATGTCCTTGGAGAGGACTTCAGGGGAAGGTCTGGTATTTCACACACAAGATGAAAGAGCACATAGCAGCTATTTCTGGAGCTGAGAAAAGGGGCCATTAACACATTTCAGTGAGTTTTTCCCTCGCGAAATTGTGCCAGGTACACATTTTACATTTTCACTTACTAAGAAAATGAATATCTTAAAATACAAGAACTAATTTAACTCCAGTGTAACATACTAACAATCCCAAGTCACCCTTATCATAGGAATGATTCAAAAGTTAAGTGAAATGAAGATTTCTACACTGTGTTTTTTAAATAAAGTCAAGGCAGAAAAATGTTACTTGCTATCAGAAATGTATGAACTCTAATGAATAAAAATATAATTTACAGGGAAAACAAAATTTGTCTAAGTGAAATTCAATCTGTTAATCATATTGCCAAACAATACTTCCAATTTGGTATAGAAACTGACGCCTTAAAACAATTGAGAGTACAAAACTATCTGGCAATGTTAACTTTTGAAATGATCTTCAAACTGTGTAGAAAGGACTAACATTGTTAAGCAGGAACTGAATCCCAAGATACAGAGGAAAATAAAGTACTTGGTCACAGTAGATGGTATCAAACTTTCAGACCAAGACATATTATATCTCAGGATACAAAGGGAATGTGCAGGTGCAATCAGGGACCCAAATAGATTCCCCAGGAGAAATCAGAGAAATGAAAATATATTAAGACTTGGGGTAAAATGCCTCTCTCTTCAAAAGATAAGCCATAGAAAATACCACAGAATAAACTTCATATCTATATCTAGAAAAATTCTAAAATGGTTTATAGGTTGCCAATATTTAGGAAAGAAAGAGGTGGTCAAGAGGTTCCATAGGTTCCAAGTGGGTTCACTAAGGAAAGGAATTGCCCAAGTAACCATCAGTTTAAGGAATTGTCATAGATACCATATAGGATTTTAGCAAAGCAGTTTAAAAGCTTTTCTACATGATCCAAGGATAAATATACTATATGAATCAAGGCCATATTTGCAGGCTCATTTTAACTGGATTTGTAGATGGTTGAATAATGTTAAATATGGATAAGAATCCACCTGGAAGGGGGTCTCTAGGGTTTTGTATTTGGTCTTGTTATTTCTTATAATGTTGTCAATGACCTAAATGAATACCTAAAAAGGTACATAAATATCCATTGAATATTAGAATAAAGATTTTAGTAGATTTTGCCTTTTCTTTCCCCAGACTGAAGAAAAAATTGGGGCCAAAATAAATAAGAGGAAATTTATGAAATTTAAATAGAAACTTTTATGTATTGATTCAAAACACAAATATACAAGGCATTTTATTTCATAATGACCCTGTGATGTGGGTATTACACTTGCATGTTGTAGATGATAAAACTGAGGTTTGCCAAGTTAGTAACTTTCCCAAGTCACTTTACAATCTCTTGCTTCCGTGGTCACATCTCTTTCTACACAATCTGATCCTCCTGCATCCCTCTTACAAGGAACCCTATGATTACTTCAGGCCCACTATTATAAACTAAATGTTTGTATCCCCCCAGAATCCATATGTTGAAGCTTAAATCCCTTGATGTTATGGTATTTAAAGGTGGAACCTTTGAAGACAATTAGGTCATTAGGGTAGAGACCTCTTGAATGGGATTAGTGCCCTTATAAAAAGAAACAAGAGAGGTAATCTTTACTTTTCTGCCATGTGAGGACAGAACAAGAAAACAGCTGTCTACACACCAGGAATAGTGTCTTCATCAAACACCAAATCTGCTGGTACCTTGATCTTGGACTCCCCAGCCATCAGAACTGTAAAATATTAATTTCTGTTTTTTAAGCCACCCAGTCTACAGGATTGGATTATAGCAGCCAAAACTTAGTAAGATGCCCATGCAAATAATTCAGGGTGACCTCCCTATTCAAAATATTTAACTTAATCCCATCTGATATGGGTTGGATCTGTGTCCCTGCCCAAATCTCATGTCAAATTGTAATCCCCAATGTTGGAGATGGGGCCTGATGGAAGGTGATTGGATCATGAGGACAGTTTCTTATGGTTTAACACCATCCCCCATGGTGCTGTCATCACAATAGTGAGTTCTCCTGAGATCTGGTTGTTTAAAAGTGTGTGGCATCTCCTCCTTCTCGCTCTTGCTCCTATTCCAGCCATGTAAGATGTACCTGCTTCCCTTTCACCTTCTGCCATGATTATAAGTTGCCTGAAGCCTCCCCAGAAGTCAAGCAGATGTCAGCATCATGCTTCCTGTATAGCCTTTGTAACTCTAGCCAATTAAACCTCTTTTCTTTATAAATTACCCAATCTTAGTTATTTCTTTACAGCAGTAAATGGGAATGGACTAATATATAATCGGCAAAGTTCCTTTTGTTATGTAAGGTCACATTCACAGGTCCCAGGGATTTGGACATGAACATCATTGGGAGACATTATTCAGCCAATCATACTGGTACAGAGTGATCAGGGTGTAAGTGTTACAGATGAGGTCAGAGAAGTGACGAGGAACTAAATCACATGGGCCCTGAAGGTCACTGTAAGAATCTTGGGTTTTATCATGAGTTAAGTGGAAAGACATGCAGAGAAATGACACAATTGAACTTGCATCTTTAAAGGACCACTCTAGCCAATGCATTGAGAGGGGTCTACAGAGAGCCATGATATATGTAGGAAAAACAGTAAGAAGGCACCTGCCATGATCTAGGTGAGAAACCAAGGCAACTCGCACCAGGGTGGAATCAGTGGAAGTGGTCAGAAATCATTGGGTTTGGAGATACCTTGAAGAGTAGAGCCAAAAGCATATTTTGACAGATTCAGTGTGCTCAGAGAAAGAGTGATCAAGAATGATTTCTTTTTGATCTGAGCAATTAGAATCATGGAATTGCCACCAACTCAAATGGAAACTTCTGTAGAAAGAGTAGGTTTGGAGGCAGATGTTAGGATAGAGCTGTGCATTCTGTTTGGGATATGTTAATGTTATCATTACTATCCAACATCAAAGTAGAGCTATCAAATAGGAAGTTGGATTTAGGAATCTGGCGTTTAGGAAAAAATCATGAGCTAGAAATATAAATATGGGAACATGGGAATTGTCAGCGTATCAGTGGTATTTTCAGCTATGAGACTGGATGAGATCATCAAGGGGATACATGTAAAAATAAATAAGAGATGATTAAGAACTGAGTTCTGGAGCATGTCCATGTTCAGAGGACAGGGAGAAGATGGGGAGCTATAAATAGGGACTAAAAGAAAGTGACTGTGCAAGAGCAGTTTCTTGGAAGACAAGTGAAAAAGTATACTAAGGATGATGAGTTATCCTCTCCAACACATGGGGTGAGCACTGAGAACTGGATTGACCAATCTCTGTGACCTGGAATAGTCTGATAACTCTGAGCAGTAAAAGCCAAGACAGCTTTGCCACTGCTTCAGCTGGGGTCAAACCAGCTACAAGCAACACAATCTACATGCTATACAGGGCTTTACATAATCCATAAGCTGGGTTCCATTACTTTCAGTCTACTGAAACCAATGGGCTATTTGCAGGGTTTATCTTATTTGGATTCTCAGTGAGGAAAAATGTAGTCGACCACTCCCACCTGAAATGCTCTCTCCCTTGCTGCTACCATTCTCTTTGTTAGAGAACCATGGTTTGGGCCGGGCGCGGTGGCTCACGCCTATAATCCCAGCACTTTGGGAGGCTGAGGCGAGTAGATCACAAGGTCAGGAGACTGAGACCATCCTGGCCAACATGGTGAAACCCCGTCTCTCCCAAAAGTGCAAAAATTAGCTGAGTGTGGTGGTGCATGCCTGTAGTCCCAGCTACTCGGGAGGCTGAGGCAGGAGAATTGCTTGAACCTGGGAAGAGGAGGTTGCAGTGAACCCAGATCATGCCACTGCACTCCAGCCTGGTGACACAGCAAGACTCTGTCTGAAAAAACAAACAACAACAACAAAAAAAACATGGTTTGGGAAAATTACTGGAGCATTTTAGGCAAAGAAATGACATGACTATATTTGCACTTTGGAAAAAAATCACTCTGAAGGTATGTTGAGCCATGCAGAGAAGTAGTATAGGAGGATCTCAGGGAAGAGACTGAAAGAAAGGAAGCCATGTGAGAGCTAGCTGCATGGAGATGGTTCAAGGATGAGAAGAAAAACAGTAGGTAAATGTATAGGAAGTAGAGTTGATTAGACCAGAAAACCCAGTTTGATGTGAGGACAGTGGAGGATGTGGGTTCAAAGATGACTACTAAATATATGGATAAATAGTGGATGATTGCATCCGTGGGAAACATTTTTAAGAAATAATATTTCTGTGACTCTGTGTGAAAATGCGATCATTTTCAGAGACTCTGATTCAGTAGATCTGAGGTGGAGCCTAGGATTCTGCATTTGTAGTGAATATCCCAAGTTAACCTGGTCCAGACATCCGTGCAACATACTTTGAGAAACACTAATACAGGCAATGCTTGAATCCATGATAGAATGTGCAATGCTCATTCTCTTAAGACATATTTACTAGGCTGGGCATGGTGGCTCACACCTGTAATCCCAGCACTTTGGGAGGCTGAGGTGGGTGGATCACCTGAGGTCAGGAGTTTGAGACCAGCTTGGCCAACATGGTGAAACCCCATCTCTACTAAAAATATGAAAATTAGCTGGGCATGGTGGCACGTGCCTATGGTCCCAGCTACTTAGGAGGCTGAGGCAGGAGAATCGCTTGAACCCAGGAGGTGGAGGTTGCAGTGAGCCAAGATCGAGCCATTGCCCTCCAGCCTGGGCAACAAGAACAAAACTCCATCTCCAAAAAAAAAAAAAAGAAAAGAAAAGAAAAGACATATTTACTAAGCTCCTACAAGGTGGCATATATGGTGCTAATTGATGGAGATGCAAAAATAAAAACAAAAACGGACAAGGCACCTGTGCTACAGACTGGTGGAGCTGTTGGAGGGGACAGACATGCAAATTTATCATTACAGACTCTGAGAAATGCTTTAAGAAAAAGTAACAAGCCTTGTGGGAATACAGGAAAGGAGAACTAGATCTAGTTTCGGGAAATTAGGAAAAGTCTCTCAGAGGAGGCAGCATTTGGGCTGAGATCAAACGAATGCCTAGGAGTTAACTTGGAAGTTAAGTGGGCAAGGAGGTAAGATTATAAAGAGTGAGAAGGAAAGAGGGCTGAGGCAGAACTTCTGGAGAGCCATTATCAGAAGTCAGGCAGCAGAAAAGGATAATGAGAAGGAACAACCAGAGAGATAGAAGAAAACAGGGAGAGAATGATGTCATGGGTCCTGCAGCAGAACATATAGAAAAGGAAAGGAGTGGCCAATAGTGTCCAGTTCCAAGGAGAGTCCCGTGAAGTCAGGACTGAAGAGTGACCTTATGCCAGGACACTGTGGGACTGCAGAAGAGAGGCAGGGAGGTGTGGAGGCTAGGAGGGTGGATTCTGAGGTCACCTGCCTACAAATCCCAGCCCTAGCACTTACTATCAGTGAGATCTTTAGGAAGTCTCCTAATATTTCTAGTGTCAGTGATCCCATCCGTAAAATCTAATATGATGGGAGGCTCATTAGTACAGAGCTATTTATCTGGCTTATTCATTGGAGTATCTCCAATACCTAGCACATGCCCAATATATTGAAGATAATAAATATTTATCAACTGAGTAAGTATAGTAATAGTAATACCTCACAGTGTAGCTAGCATTCAGTGAGTTAGTATGGATAAATCACTTAGAACAATGGTTTCCAAACTTTGCTGTATTTGGGGATCATCTGAGAATCTTTACAACATAATGATACTTAGCTCCATCCCTAGGTACTGATTAAGAGTTCAAAAAACTCTTCAAGTGAATTCAATGTGCAGCAAACTTCGGGATCCATTAATTTAGGGCAATGCCCAGCATATAGAAAGCATTTTCCAAATAAACTCAGTTGAGGAAGCTTGCAGGAAGAGACAGAATTCAGGGGGAGGGTGGAAACCAGTGTGCAACTGACAAATTACATGTACAACATAATTGTGAACTGAGTGCTCATTATCCAAGAGTTACCCCCGCTAGTGTAATTGCAGACTTTGACCCACTTGGTGCATTGAATTCTTTCCTCTTTCTACCAAAATTAAGTAGGTATTATTTGTGCTCAGCATCTGTTGGAAAGAAGCAAAGAAAGTGTCTGTAAGAGTGAGACTTGTCTCTCCAAAAGGTGGGCAAGGCCAAAATGCACACTGTATAAAAGAAAAAAGAAAAAGCCAGTGAAGTCACCTGCAGTCCCTGTGGTAATACGTACCGATGCTTCCAAGCAGTTTTGAAAATGATTCCTACCATCACTTCAGATCAGCTGAAGAATTCAGCTCACAGATAGGTTTTATTTCATCTGTAGCTTATGTAACCCTATCCAGACTATATTTTCTCCCTCCGAGAAATCTTGCAGCTGTGAGATTAATGCCAAGTTGTGTGTTTCAAATACAATTCAATAAAGAAGGCTTCCCTCAGATAACAAGAGGCTCTCTGAGATTATTTATACAACAGCTGTTAACTTTTGTGTTGAATTCTGGTTGGATATTTGATGCTTTCCTTTAATTCAGAAAAGCACTTAAAGCACTTAGAAAGGCACTGGATTGATCTTCAGTTTTGGAATCCCAAGTTGGCAGAGCAAAATAGACACAGTTCAGTAAAATTTTGGGAGCAAATTTTCTGCTCTAGCAAGCAGGTAAAAAATGGAGTTAGAAAAGCAGTCTGGACAAACAAGAGTTTGCTTATGACAGAATAAGGAGTTCACACTGAAGGAAATGTGGACACAACTGAGAGGGAAGTCAGATGAAAGTAGGGGTAGAGGATTTCAAGGTTAGTGGAGAAGGTCAAAGATTAGGAATTAGGGTGGCATTTGCAAAGGAAAAGGCCTGGAAAAAGGAGGAGAGAGGATGAGGAGCGTTCCAGATCAGGGAGAAGGGGTAGATAAAATACTTAAAAATTATTCGTTGGGAACATGAGAGAGAAGAAATGAAAGAAACAGGCAAAGAAGAGGCTTCCCAAACAAGGGAGAAAATGAATAAGTAGGCCACTTAACACGAAAAAGTCTGGGGCAGGGTCCAGGAGTGGTGGTGTTAGGATTACATGCTTGTAATCCCAACACTTTGGGAGGCCAAGGTAGGCGGATCACATGAGCCCAGGAGTTGGAGACCAGACTGGGCAACACGGTGAAATCCTGTTTCTTAAAAAAAAAAAAATACCAAAATACAAAAATTAGCCTAGTGTAGTGGTGCACACTTGTAGTCCCAGCTATTTGGGAGGCTGAGGCGGGAGGATCACTTGAGCCTGGGAGGTGGAGATTGCAGTAAGCTGAGATGGTGCCACTGTACCCCAGCCTGGGCAACAGAGCAAGACCCCGTCAGAAAAGAGAAGAGAAGAGGCGAAGTTATTAGCATAGAATGCTTTTATCATTGCTACCTTTGAAGAAATCTGTAAGTAAGCATTTTCAAAAGTTCTTAGTTTCAATTTCCAATAGAGTCAATATCAGTAGTTGTAACCCACATAAAAGAAAAGAAAAGAAAAAAGAAGGACAGAGGGAGGGAGAGACAGAGACAGAGAAAGGAAGGAAGAAAGAAAGAAATGTTGATGTGTGAACAAGATGATAAGGGCAGTTAAGTCAGGAGCCTAGGAGAGCCTGGGTCGTGTTCTGATTTGAAGGAGGAAGGAGAAGGTGGAAAGAGAATCGAACTCACTGTTCTCAGCCATCATTGATGACTTCTCCATTTATCCTGTCTGCAGCAAAAAGCAAAGTAAAATGAAAACTATCTGTGGATGATAGAGATTTAAATAGTTGTGGTTAATTTATTACTGATAATTTTCAAATGTTAAAGTTCTGATAAGCGCTCATACAAGAATAATGCAACTGACAAGCAAATTTGGTGGCATGAAAAACAAGGTAATAAAACCATTCCAATAAACTTAAATGCCTTAAAGGACCATGATTAAACCTATTTTCAAAGAAGTCAGCAAAATTAATCTTAATTTATAAAATTAGATGAACATACCTTTTTTGTACTTTTTTTGTATTTTTTTATTACACTTTAAGTTCTGGGGTACATGTACAGAACGTGCAGTTACATAGGTATACACGTGCCACGGTGGTTTGCTGAACCCATCAACTCATCACCTACATTAGGTATTTCTCCTAATGCTATCCCTCCCCTAGACCCCAGCCCCTGACAGGCCCCGGTGTGTAATGTTCCCCTCCCTGTGTCCATGTGTTCTCATTGTTCAGCTCCCACTTATGAGTGAGGACATGTGGTGTCTGGTTTTCTGTTCTTTTGTTACTTTGCTGAGAATGATGGTTTCCAGCTTCATCCATGTCCCTACAAAGGACATGAACTCATCCTCTTTTATGGCTTCATAGTATTCCATGGTGTATATGTGCCACATTTTCTTTATCAAGTCTATCATTGATGGACATTTGGGTTGGTTCGAAGTCTTTGCTATTGTGAATAGTGCCTCAATAAACATACATGTGCATGTATTTTTATAGTAGAATGATTTATAATCCTTTGGGTATATACCCAGTAATGGGATTGCTGGGTCAAATGGTATTTCTAGTTCTAGATCCTTGAGGAATTGCCACACTGTCTTCCACAATGATTGAACTAATTTACACTCCCACCAACAGTGTAAAAGCATTCCTTCTTCTCCACAACCTCTCCAGCATCTGTTGTTTCCTGATGTTTTAATGACCGCCATTCTAACTGGCATGAGATGGTATCTCATTGTGGTTTTGATTCGCATTTCTCTGACGACCAGTGATGATGAGCATATTTTCATACATTTGTTGGCTGCATTAATGTCTTCTTTTGAGAAGTGTCTGTTCATGTCCTTTGCCCAATTTTTGATGGGGTTGTTTGTTTTTTTCTTGTAAATTTGTTTAAGTTCTTTGTAGATTATGGATATTAACCCTTTGTGAGATGGATGGATTGCAAAAATTTTCTCCCATTCTGTAGGTTGCCTATTCACTCTGATGAGGTCCACTCCAGACCCTGTTTGCCTGAGTATTACCAGTGGAGGCTACAGCATAGCAAAGATTGCTGCCTATTCTTTCTTCTGGAAGCTTCATCCCAGAAGGACACCTGCCAGATGCCAGCCAGAGCTCTCTTGTATGAGGTGTCTGTCAGTCAGGATGTCTCCCAGTCAGGATACACGGGGGTCAGGAACCCACTTGAGGAGGCAGTCTGACCCTTAGCAAAGCTCAGATGCTGTGCTGGGAGGTTCGCTGCTCTCTTCAGAGCCATCAGGCAGGGACGTTGAAGTCTGCTGAAGCTGCACCCACAGCTGCCTCTTCCTCCAGGTCCTCTGTCCCAGGGAGACGGAGGTTTTATCTGTAAGTCCCCGACTGGGGCTGCTGCCTTTTTATTCAGAGATGCCCTACCCAGAGAGGAGAAATCTGGCAGTCTGGCCACAGTGGCCTTGCTGAGATGCCATGGGCTCCGTCCAGTTCTACCTTCCTGGAGGCTTTGTTTACACTGTGAGGTAAAACCGCCTACTCAAGCCTCAGCAATGGGGGATGCCCCTCCCCCCACCAAGCTAGAGTGTCCCAGGTCAATCTCAGACTGCTGCTTTGCTGGCAGTGAGAACTTCAAGCCAGTAGATCTTAGTTTGCTGGGCTCCATGGGGGTGGGACCCGCCGAGCCAGACCACTTGGCTCCCTGGCTTTAGCCCCCTTTCCAGGGAAGTGAATGGTACTGTCTCGCTGGCATTCCAGACGCCACTGGGGTATGGAAAAAAAAACTCCTGCAGCTAGTTTAGTGTCTGCCCAAATGGCCACCCAGTTATGTGCTTGAAACCCAGGGTCCTGGTGGGATAGGCACTGGAGGGGATCTCCTGGTCTGCAGGTTGCGAAGACCATGGGAAAAGTGCAGTATCTGGGCCGGAGTGCACAGTTCCTCAGGCTCAATCACTCAGGGCTGAAAAACACAGCACGAGAACTTCGTGAAGCACACACAGGTATCAATAGCCGAATCGATCAAGTGGAAGAAAGGATATCAGAGATTGCAGATCAACTTAATGAAATAAAGCAAGAAGACAGGATTAGAGAAAAAAGAATAAAAAGAAATGAACAAAGCCTCCAAGAAATATGGGACTATGTGAAAAGACCAAATCTGTGTCTGATTGGTTTACCTGAAAGTGACAGGGAGAATGGAACCAAGTTGGAAAACACTCTTCAGGATATTATCCAGCAGAACTTCCCCAACATAGCAAGACAAGCCAACATTCAAATTCAGGAATTACAGAGAACACCACAAAGATACTCCTCGAGAAGAACAACCCCAAGACACATAATTGTCAGATTCACCAAGGTTGAATTGAAGGAAAAAATGTTAAGGGCAGCCAGAGAGAAAGGTCGGGTTACACACAAACGGAAGCCCATCAGACTAACAGCAGATCTCTCTGCAGAAACCCTACAAGCCAGAAGAGAGTAGGGGCCAGTATTCAACATTCTTAAAGAAAAGAATTTTCAACCCAGAATTTCATATCCAGATGAACATACTTTTTACAGAGGAAATAATTCTGATATATAAAATAATAATTCTGAGACATAATTCATAAAAGATATCAACAATTTACAAAGCATAGGCTAAGAGCATCCCAAGGTTGTCAAGTAAAGAGATTCAGTAAGTTTGGATTACAGTTTAGACATCTATATTTTTATAAAACTTTATGCATGCATCTGAGGTGCATCCCCATCTGAGAACCACTGAACTAAAAAATAGTAGATTTAAATTAAGAATAAGCTTGTAGCCAATAAGCATTTAAACAATAACTAAAATTCATGACTGATAACACTTTACTACTGATGCCCAATATCATCAGGCAAAACAGCACCAAGGCTCTGATAAATAGAAACATATCATGGACATCAAGAGCTTTGAAAAATCCCTGGAACTTCCCATACAGAATTTCCACAATTTCTGAAATATTTATATTGACAACATTTTACTTATGAGAATTCCACCTGGGAAGGAGAAGCATCTCCTTTGATTTGACAGCTCTTCTCATGCAGTACATCAATAGCAATGTAGATTTAAAAAAACAAAAAAAACTAATTATTTCTAGTACTTTTCAAGGTGAAGAAACAAATCCTTGTGATTTTGCAGGGGTCCTCTGGGAAATCACAAATATTGTTTTAAGTACAATTCTGAAAGTTTTACTTTACATTTTTTTCTATAATTGAGGGTCTAATTTTAGGGAGACAAAGATAAAAAATATTATGAGAGGAAATTAGGCACTTGATTAAGGTTAGATCATAAATGCCTGAAAAATATTATTACCTATTTAATTGAAAGAACAAAAAATTCAAAAACAAGAATAGATGGTAACATAATTACCCAAATGTTAGTTATTACAGAAGTGAGGATTCTTTGTTTCTCTCTTTTTTGTTGTTTTCTTAAGTAATGTAGGTTGTAATAAAGTCAAGTTAAAGCACAGAAAGCCGTTCTGATAAGACACAGAATCTTTGCTTTGTAGGCAGATGACACAAGAAGATTAACCCTTCATATTGTAAGCAAAAGCAAGAAGCAGTAAATCAAGGAAGCAAGCCCATCCACGCTGAACAAACTTTGCTAACCTACTAACACATTCCATAACTTTTCAGACACAGGGATTATAAACCAAGGCAAAGAAAATTTACATTCCAAGCTTTGCCTTTCATTGTGCTCTTTAATATTCCGGAACAAACTGGGGCTTTAAGACGGATCTCGCAAGACCACAAGAACTAATTTCATAAGATGCTGTTAGCATAGAATGCTTTTATCATTGCTACCTTTGAACAAATCCCAAAGTAAGCATTTTCAAAAGTTCTTGGTTTCAATCTCCAAGAGTCAGTATCAGTAGTTGTAACCCACATGAACAAAACTCCTTGGGGTCGTCAATAAGTTTTAAGAGTATAAATGGGTCTGAAGAACAGGAAAAAGAAAAAGAGAAAAGAAAAAATAACAGAGAAGTACTATTTTAGGAGAAAACTATTCTTTTTCTTAAAAAACAGAAGCACATACAGAGTCATATTTTCTCTGTCACTATTGCTCCCAGTATATTCTCAACCACCACTATTAATTACAACTTAAGCAAAGTAAATAATATTTATTTCACAGATAACACTTGGGAGTAGATAATAAAGAACAGTCTGTAACAAGCATTTATTTTAGCAACAAGCAGAAATCATAAACACACATAACACAATTCTCTATGGCCACATACCTGCTGTAGCCTTCCATGCCTTCTGAAATTGGCAAAAATTAACCAAGGAGATAGCCTATCTGTAGCACATAAAAAGCAAAAGCCTGTAAACATAAAATTATGTTCATTAATCAATGTTTCAGTGTTCTATATTACTTAGATATAATTTAGGTATCCAGTGATTATTCATTAATCAGTTTAAGGCTCTAAATTCCCTAAAGATCTTTTTTGAATTGAGATATAATTCACCTACCATAAAAGTCACCATTTTAATGTGTACAATTCATTGGTTTTTAGTATATTCGTAAACTTAGGCAACCACCACCATTATCCAATTCCAGAATATTTACATCACCCCAAAGTGCAACCCCATATTTATTGGCAGTCACTCCCTATCCCTCCTTTCCCCTTGGCAACTGCTAATATATTGTGTTTCTATATATGTGTTTTTATCTATTCTGGACATTTTATGTCAAATCATATAATATGTGACCTTATGTCTGGCTCTTTTCACTTAGCGTTTTTTCAAGGTTCATTCATGTTGCTGCAAGTGTCAATACTTCATTCCTTTTTCTAGCCAAATAATATTCCACTGCATGGATGTAACATTTTTATCTATTCATCAATTGATGGACACTTTGGTTTACTTCCACTCTTAGGCCATTATGAATAATGCTGCTATGAACATTTGTGTGCAAGGTGTGATATAAACATATGTTTTGAATTTTCTTGGTGGAAGCTAGACATGAAATTTCTAGATCATATGGCAACTCTACATTTAATTTTTGAAGAATTATAAAACTGTTTTTCACAGAAGCTACATCGGTTTATTTTCATATCAACAATGTCTGAGAGTTCTGATTTCTCCACATTCTTGCTAACACTTGCTATGGTCTGTCTTTCTTTCTTTTTTTTTTAATTATACTTTAAGTTTTAGGGTACATGTGCACAACATGCAGGTTACATATGTATACATGTGCCATGTTGGTGTGCTGCACCCATTAACTCGTCATTTAACATTAGGTACGTCTCCTAATGCTGTCCCTCCCTCCTTCCCCCACCCCACAACAGGCCCCGGTGTGTGATGTTCCCGTCCCTGTGTCCATGTGTTCTCATTGTTCAATTCCCATCTATGAGTGAGAACATGCGGTGTTTGGTTTTTTGTCCTTGCCATAGTTTGCTGAGAATGATAGTTTCCAGCTTCATCCATGTCCCTACAAAGGACATGAACTCATCATTTTTTATGGCTGCATAGTATTCCATGGTGTATATGTGCCACATTTTCTTAATCCAGTCTATCATTGTTGGACATTTGGCTTGGTTCCAAGTCTTTGCTATTGTGAATAGTGCCGCAATAAACATACGTGTGTGTGTGTCTTTATAGCAGCATGATTTATAATCCTTTGGGTATATACCCAGCAATGGCATGGCTGGGTCAAATGGTATTTCTAGTTCAAGATCCCTGAGGAATCGCCACACTGACTTCCACAATGGTTGAACTAGTTTACAGTCCCACCAACAGTGTAGAAGTGTTCCTGTTTCTCCACATCCTCTCCAGCACCTGTTGTTTCCTGACTTTTTAATGATCGCCATTCTAACTGGTGTGAGATGGTATCTCATTGTGGTTTTGATTTGCGTTTCTCTGATGGCCAGTGATGATGAGCATTTTTTCATGTGTCTTTTGGCTGCATATATGTCTTCTTTTGAGAAGTGTCTGTTCATATCCTTCACCCACTTTTTCATGGGGCTGTTTTTTTTTTTTCTTGTAGACTTGTTTGAGTTCTTTGTAGATTCTGGATATTAGCCCTTTGTTAGATGAGTAGGTTGCGAAAACTTTCTCCCATTCTGTAGGTTGCCTGTTCACTCTGATGGTAGTTTCTTTTGCTGTGCAGAAGCTCTTGAGTTTAATTAGATCCCATTTGTCAATTTTGGCTTTTGTTGCCATTGCTTTTGGTGTTTTAGACATGAAGTCCTTGCCCATGCCTATGTCCTGAATGGTATGGGGTTTTTATGGTTTTAGGTCTACCATGTAAGTCTTTAATCCATCTTGAATTAATTTTTGTATAAGGTGTAAGGAAGGGATCCAGTTTCAGCTTTATACATATGGCTAGTCAGTTTTCCCAGCATCATTTATTAAACAGGGAATCCTTTCCCCATTGCTTGTTTTTGTCAGGTTTGTCAAAGATCAGATGGTTGTAGATACGCAGCATTATTTCTGAAGGCTCTGTTCTGTTCCATTGGCCTCTATCTCTGCTTTGGTACCAGTACCATGCTGTTTTGGTTACTGTAGTCTTGTAGTATAGTTTGAAGTCAGGTAGCCTGATGCCTCCAGCTTTGTTCTTTTGGCTTAGGATTGACTTGGCAATACGGGCTCTTTTTTGGTTCCATATGAACGTTAAAGTAGTTTTTTCCAATTCTGTGAAGAAAGTCATTGGTAGCTTGAGGGGGATGGCACTGAATCTATAAATTACCTTGGGCAGTATGGCCATTTTCACGATATTGATTCTTCCTACCCATGAGCATGGAATGGTCTTCCATTTGTTTGTATCCTCTTTTATTTCATTGAGCAGTAGTTTGTAGTTCTCCTTGAAGAGGTCCTTCACGTCCCTTGTAAGTTGGATTCCTAGGTATTTTATTCTCTTTGAAGCAACTGTGAATGGGACTTCACTCATAATTTGGCTCTCTGTTTGTCTGTTATTGGTGTATAAGAATGCTTGTGA
Organism: Homo sapiens; assembly: GCF_000001405.40. Taxonomy (NCBI): domain Eukaryota; kingdom Metazoa; phylum Chordata; class Mammalia; order Primates; family Hominidae; genus Homo; species Homo sapiens. The sequence continues at coordinate 67,756,055 of NC_000008.11, read as the reverse complement.
TTTTTGCACATTGATTTGGCGAGTTGAGAGAGGAAGGCTTCAGACGATCAAACTACTCTGAGCTAAAGGAGGGAGTTCAAACCCATGGCAAAGAAGTTAAAAACACTGAAAAAAAATTAGATGAATGGCTAACTAGAATAACCAATGCAGAGAAGTTCTTAAAGGACCTGATGGAGCTGAAAACCAAGGCACGAGAACTACATGACGAATGCATAAGCCTCAGTAGCCAATTTGATCAACTGGAAGAAAGGTTATCAGTGATGGAAGATGAAATGAATGAAATGAAGCAAGAAGAGAAGTTTAGAGAAAAAGGAATGAAAAGAAATGAACAAAACCTCCAAGAAATATGGGACTATGTGAAAAGACCAAATCTGTGTCTGATTGGTGTACCTGAAAGTGACAGGGAGAATGGAACCAAGCTGGAAAACACTCTGCAGGATATTATCCAGGAGAACTTCCCCAGTCTAGCAAGGCAGGCCAACATTCAAATTCGGGAAATACAGAGAATGCCACAAAGATACTCCTCGAGAAGAGCAACTCCAAGACACATAATTGTCAGATTCACCAAAGTTGAAATGAAGGAAAAAATGTTAAGAGCAGCCAGAGAGAAAGGTCAGGTTACCCATAAAGGGAAGCCCATCAGACTAACAGCTGATCTCTTGGCAGAAATTCTACAAGCCAGAAGAGAGTGGGGGCCAATATTCAACATTCTTAAAGAAAAGAGTTTTCAACCCAGAATTTCATATCCAGCCAAACTAAGCTTCATAAGTGAAGGAGAAATAAAATACTTTACAGACAAGCAAATGCTGACAGATTTTGTCACCACCAGGCCTGCCCTACAAGAGCTCCTGAAGGAAGCACTAAACATGGAAAGGAACAACCGGTACCAGCCACTGCAAAAACATGCCAAATTGTAAAGACCATCGACACTAGGAATAAACTGCATCAACTAACGGGCAAAATAACCAGCTAACATCATAATGACAGGATCAAATTCACACATAACAATATTAACCTTAAATGTATATGGGCTAAATGCTCCAATTAAAAGACACAGACTGACAAACTGGATAAAGAGTCAAGACCCATCAGTGTGCTGTATTCAGGAAACCCATCTCATGTGCAGAGACACACATAGGCTCAAAATAAAAGGATGGAGGAAGATCTACCAAGCAAATGGAAAACAAAAAAAGGCAGGGGTTGCAATCCTAGTCTCTGATAAGACAGACTTTAAACCAACAAAGATCAAAAGAGACAAAGAAGGCCATTACATAATGGTAAAGGGATCAATTCAACAAGAAGAGCTAACTATCCTAAATATATATGCACCCAATACAGGAGCACCCAGATTCATAAAGCAAGTCCTTAGAGACCTACAAAGAGATTTAGACTCCCACACAATAATAATGGGAGACTTTAACACCCCACTGTCAACATGAGACAGATCAACGAGACAGAAAGTTAACAAGGATATCCAGGAATTGAACTCAGCTCTGCACCAAGCAGACCTAATAGACATCTACAGAACTCTCCATCCCAAATCAACAGAATATACATTCTGTATATTTAATGTACATTTATTTATTTCTATAGGCCAATTGGAACAGAGCTCCTTCAGTAAGAGTCTCTTACATCTCATTTATTAGAACTCCTTGGGGAGAGAAAAACATTGCACAGTCAATGAGAGTTAAAATCCTTTCCAGATTACAAACATATATCATACAGACCCATAGATACCTTAAAGCTTCAATTCTGCCATTTTAGTCATAGATCAAGAGTAAGTACAGAAATACAGAAACTCACTAACACAGATATCAAAGAGCTGTTCTCCTTTGTAGATGTGATATTCTGAAATAATCTGAATTCAAAATAGGCAAATAGACAAATACAAGAGAAACAATCAAGATTTCCATCATCTCTCACTCAAGAGAGAATAGATCTCTATAAACCACAAATCCATTTAGAGAGCTTACCAAATGATTAGATCATAAACCAAATTCACAATCACTGCTTCCATCAATGGGGAATAATTTATTGGCTATATACAAAGAGATAACAAAAACAAAAGACAAATTAGTGGAGAGGAAAATTGAAATTAGAAAACAGAGAATAAGCAAAGATCTATTACCACTTCAGATTCACCTCTATAAACCAAGAAAAGACCTCCCTGGGGAAAGGGAGCCTCTGACTTGCCCCGTTTCTGGTGATGACGTTCATCCAACTCTGTCAGAGTAGGGCATCTCAGTGGAACCTCCAAAATGACTAAAGAATCTTTTTTTTAAGCCTCTCATACAAACAGAAAATGAACAGGCATCAAAGATTTTATCTAACTATTAATTAAATGAGATAACTGGGAAAGATGTTACTGCTAGTTCAAAAGAGAAATCAAAGAACCGCAAATTTATGTGGAGTAAAGAAATGGTGGAATTACTTTACAAATGGAAGCAAAACTGACTTTTTTCATAGGGCAGGGGGAAGGTCATCCCTTTGCCAGTCAGAAGTTATTTAGATGTCTATAAAAAGCAAGAATCATTTAAAATGGGCAAGAATTATTTACATTCTAACCGGTTTCTTAAATCTATAGGACTGTAAAATAGTCTAGTCGTGACAAAGTTGCAGACAACCTCCATAGACTCCAGCATTCCATTGAAAAAAAGGTTTGGTAATTTTTTTTTTTTTTTTTTTGCTTATTTCAAAGTCTTAAATCTCTCCTTACAAGATCAAATACCAATACAAGTTCTTAAAAGAATCTGGTAAATTCTTCTTCTACAGTCTTTAGAAGCATTTGACCTTTGACAGCAAATAAAAATCTTTGCATTACATTAAATAATTGTGCTGACTCCGTCATGTGTTTTCTCATTTGGCCCTTTAGGAAACTTATTTAATCACCTCCTCCTATGAGTGTTTTTCAATGTTAATTTGTATCTAAGATTTCTACGAGCTATGCCATTCTTCCAACTGGTACTTTTGAATAAAAAAAAATCCTCTGTTTATTTTGTCTGTTTATATTCAATATAATTATGATCCGCAGTTCCTAAAATTCTCTTTTGAATGTAAATACATTCCTTTAGCTATTGACTTTGTCATTTTATTATGTCTCTAAAAGTCAGCAAATTCTTCAGAAAATTTTAGTTTTGTATTTCTCCATTTTCAATAAATTAATTCCTCCTTGTGATACCTTACAGCCAATCTCAATGTCTTCTACTGTGTATTCTTCAATTCACTTTCTGAGAGACTGAAACAAATTCTCATATGATTTTTATTTTTCTATGTACTTTTGGGGACGTAGAAATGGATGTCCCTCAGCACCAAGAGAACTTTCTCCTCCCTACACTTTTATGATTGTCCAATATGTGCCAAGGTGAAACATTTCTGCTTGTTTGACTTCCTTCATTCTTCGTAACAGCTTTTGTCCTTAAGGCAAATTTTCTCACCTAGTCTTTTGATTCTTGTTATATCTGAAATTTCCCCTCTAGTTAGTCTTTTTTGCTTACAATTGAATGTTTTCTATGATTAAACTGTTTCCGTTCTTATTTGGTATTTTTCTCCATCATCTCTCACTGCCCTAGGTAAATAAATAAGAAAGTAGTTTTTCATTCATTTGCTTGACTATTGTTTTTGACTTTAATCAAACTTTTAAAATCTCTGTCTTCTGCTCCATCCCTCTCAAATTTCCCTTATTTTCATTAAAATACTTAATATCACAAGTGGTAAAACACATACATCTTTTCCCTGTCACTAGCAGTAGTAATTTTTAAAAGCAATTTTTAAATTTTTAAAATATTTTTATCCATTATGTTTTCTCTATTTATTCCTCTGTAAGAGTCTTGGGACCAGGTATCAGGAAAGATGGGAAAGTAGGAGGTAGAATGTGAGACAAAAGAGAAGGGAAAGAAGAAAAAACAAGTGATATAGACAGGAGACAGGGAAATACTAGAAGAGGGTGGTTCCCCAGCAAAGGCCCTATCCTCAAGCCTGGAGACCCATGGCCCTAAATGGGGATAGGCCTTCCTATTTTCATGCCCAAAAGTTGCCTTTTGGCCCATCATGCCCCTATCCTGTACCCATATAAACCCTGAACCCCAGGCTCTAGAAGCAGATGAGCAGATGAGGACATGAGACAAGCAGACAAATAGTGGAATGTTTCGGCAGAGAGAGAAGAGGAGGAGGAACATCTGAACACCATTCAGTGTCTTGTTCCAGTGTCTTCAGGGGAAGATTATCTTCGCACTCCATCCCCCCTTCCGGCTCCCCATCCATCCCACTGAAAGCCACAATAAAACTCCACATTCATCCTTCAAGCCCATGTGTAACCCAATTCTTATGGGATGCTGGGTAAGAGTTCAGGATACAGAAAGCTGCCACACTGGCCCTCTGCCCTTGCAAAAAGCCAGAGGGTCCATTGAGCTGGTTAACACTTAAACCATCTGCGGATGGCAAGGCTAAGAGGGCACTGTAACACTGGGGCCAAAGGCACCCACCCCTAGACACTACCGTGGGGCCAGAGCCCAAAGCACTTGCCCTGGATCCTGCACCTGCCCATCCGCGTGCTCCCCCTGCCATCAGGGTTTTGAGCAGCAGCAATAGAACAGGCAAGCCACACCCCTGTCACATGTCCTGTGAGAGGGATCAAGTAACTCTCGCATTTCACAAGGACAGAGAGAAGATGGAAGCCTCCTGCTGCTTTGAGTCATCAGGTAGATCTCTTTATTCCCACCTTCCTACACTAAAGTACTTTAGTTTTGCTCTATAAATTCTATAAAACATCATCGTAACCTAATTATAAGGACCTAAACATATAATAATTGGCTTGCCCATTAATAAGACTTACTCTTCCAGTTGCTTTCACATCAGAGTGAGCCGAACTCTTCTTGTGAGACACCTGGCCGAAGACAAAGATGCAGACTGGGGCTCTGGATGAGAGCTCCCAGAAAGGGAAGAGGTCCTAGCAGCTCTGGGCTGAAAGGCGTGCCAAGGCTTTGTTAGCAGATGTCTGCTGTGTACCCAGCACTGCCCTAGGCACTGTGGAGTACAAAGACAGACATAATCGAGTGCTTGGCATGGAGGAGTTTTTCATAAATGGTAATACAGAGTTGTGTCAACACAGTCAAACATAAGGGTGTATATGAATAAGTGCTGTCCACTCAAAGAAGGTGACCACTGCAGATAGAAATGGATTGGAACAGCTTCATGGGAGATACTGACTTGAGCTGGGTCTGGCAGGGATGGAAGGATTTGGCCAGATAGAGACAGAAAGGCTGAATGGAGATGGCCACTGGTATCAAGGAAGCACCATAAACAAACACAGAGGAAGGACACAGCTGGAGAGGATACAGAGTCTTCAGAGAATACTGAGGAAGATAAAAATGAAAATGTTTTCGAGGGCCTTGAATGCCAAGCTGAGGAGCCCGAATGCCACTCTTCATCCTGTCGAGATTCACTGGCAGACAGCTCCTGCTGCTCCCTGTGCCTGCAACGGTCTCATCCCATCCCTTATTCCCTGCACACCACCATCCTCCTCTGGGCATGACTGGCTCCTTCTCATCCTTGGTTTAGACGTCCACTTCCTCCCAACACCCTACACATGCGATCCGTACCTGCCCTCTTAACTTTGCATCACAGCATCTCTGATTTGTTCCTATAGGATTAATGGAACCACCAAATGTAACAAGGAGTTTGTGTAACTACCTAGCCCCTCCACCAGCACTGAGTGTCACAAAGCCAGAAACCATATCTGCAGCAATGGATCAAGAAGAGAAGAAGGCAGGCAGAGGCCTCATAAAATGTCTACTATTTAAGCAGGCAGAAATTAGAGAGGAACCCCAGGAAGGACAGGAACAGAAGAAGACAATATCTCAGAGCCCAAGGGAGAAGAGAGTTTCAAACAGCAACTGGCAAGCAGCCTCAGAAGCCATGCAGATGTGGAGTAGGGTGAGAACAAAACATTTTTCCACTTAGAAATCACCGCTGATATTTGAGAGAAAGTTTCAGCGGGGTGGTAGGGAGGCAAAGCCATGGTCAAGGTTCAAGAGTGCACTTCTGGCCAGGCGCTGTGGCTCACGCCTGTAATCCCAGCACTTTGGGAGGCCAAGGCGGGCAGATCACGAGGCCAGCAGATCGAGACCATCCTGGCTAACACGGTGAAACCCCGTCTCTATCAAAAAATACAAAAAATTATCCGGGCGTGGTGGTGGGCGCCTGTAGTCCCAGCTACTCAGGAGGCTGAGGCAGGAGAATGGCGTGAACCCAGAAGGCGGAGCTTGCAGTGAGCCGAGATTGCACCACTGCACTCCAGCCTGGGCGACAGAGCAAGACTCCGTCTCAAAAAAAAAAAAAAAAAAAAAAAAGAAGAAGCCTGGGAAACGAAAAAGAAAAAAGAAGCCAAGCGGCTTGTGTTTAAGGATGAAAGAACTGTGGTTAGCTGATGAGAGAAAGACTAAAGACACGGGAACAAGACAGGATAGCTGATGGTGCTGAAGACAGCTGGGAGGGAATCGTCAGTGAGGTGTTGTTAAGGGAAGCTTCAGAACATTCCTCACAGACTTGCCAAGACCGCATGGGGCAGTAGCCTACCTTCACATTTGCTGTTTCCTTACCTGTTGGAATAGTGGCAGAACGCTATAAAAAAGAAGTGACAGGCGATAAGGTCTATGCAAATAGCATGTTGAGGAATGATCACAAACTGCAACGGGAGGGATGTCTGTACAACTTTTGTCTGAAGAAAGTGCTACCACACTGTTTATCTTCTCCAGATAGCTTTAACAACGTAAATCTATGTAGCTCTCACTCATATACCTGAGGAAAGAAATTGCAAAATCTTCCTCCATGGTATCATAGAATTTCAGTTCTGGAAGAGACATTAAAAATGATCTCATCATCAACAATGGACTCGAATCAAGGATGATATTTTCTTTTCCCAAGTAGTTTCATTTCTTTCTGTGCATGGTAATATTTCTTTTAATAAAGTTCACTCTTCCACTAAACTATGATAAAGGCATAGCCAATAAATAGAACTTCTCATCTTCCCATCTCCAAATCCCTAGCTGGTTTAATAATTCACTCCCTCTCAGTGCCTTAAAAATGGAACTTTTATCTTTGAATTCATCTATAAAACTGTTCCCTCCTCCTCCCATTTGCTAAATGGACTCCATTTATCTCTCATTTTATGGGAGCTTATCTACTCCAAGAGAAGTTTGATCAGATAACCTGGTCCTTAGTAAAACAGAGAATGATTGCTAGGTATGGCTTCTATTGTTTGAGAACCTCTCTTTGATCTGAAATTTTTAGGAAGGTTACAGGATGTCACCGGAGTTTCTGGCATTTTTGATGGTCCAGGAAATGATTCCTTTGGTCTCAGAGTCTGGAGAGCCTCTGCCGAACATGCTTGCGGGATCCAATCCTTCAGAATGATTTGAGGATGAGTTTAATTCTCAGTCAGAGACTGAACATTCCTAGTTTAATGTTGTGATATAATATGACAGATTTATACATTGTTCTGACATAGCGAAATGCAAAGAGATGAAGTGTTTTATTTACACAGTAACCTCTTATTTCCACAGATCATTGGCTTTCCTGGGCTCATCTAAAAGGCCTGTGAGTACTGCTGTGAGTCTTGCAGAGCAGCCTGACCAGTTTAGGAAGACAAAAGTACAAGGCCAGGAAGTCAGGAAAGAAGGCAACATAAAAAAGAAACGAAACCAGACATGATCACCCGGGGAACTTCCACTCTCCAAAAGCACCCATAGTGTTCTCTGCTCCCAAGGTGCTCTCTCCTCTATCTGGACACAGAAGCATCTATGTTAATGTTTGTTAAATGAATTTCTTCCCTGGTTCATCGTTCATCCAACAGACATCGTTGATCACTCCTTCAGGAAACATTGTATTCCCTCGAGGAGGTATAAGGAAGTGCACAGGAAGACCAAAAGGATACAGTTCTGTATTCAAGGAGAAAGCAGCCTCATGAGGAAACCAGACAAGAAATTTGATGTGGTAATTCCTACAGTAGAGGACATGCCAGGATTTGTGAGGGACACAGAGGAGGCATTAACCAAACTGATGCTGAGAAAGTTGCAGAAAAATTCAGAGCATCATTTCAAATGAAAACCATTTCAGCTGTTTCATGAACCTGACATTGAATCTGTCAAAGGAGTTTTGGTTCAACTCCCCAGGTAGAGAAGATGGGAAAGATTGGGTGCTCTCTCTTCTAACAGGGACTCTGGCTATAGTATTAGAGGGTACAGGAGTTCTTGGCTATGACTCTCCAGGAAGCCTGAAAAGTTTTGTGAGTGTGATGAGGAAATAGTGGCTCACTCTCTGTTTTAGAGCACAACCAGGACTGGGCATGAAAGGTAACAGGAGGCACCCTAGGTGCCTATGCTTATTTAATAGGGCGAGGCACATCCCCTGTAATGGGTTTTGTGGCGTATTGGAATAGGAGCAAGTGGATGCAAATAATAATTTTAAAAAGCTTTCATCATCAACATGGGAAAAAAGAGAAGGAAATGGTTTTCTCCAAGGTTTGCTTGGAAGAAAAAGCAGACCTCATTCTAAAGTGAAGTCTTGCTACTCCAAGTGTGGCTGAAGAGCCAGTGGCACCAGCATCACCTGGAAGCTTCTTTAGAAATGCAGACTCGGCCAGGCGTGGTGGCTCACACCTGTAATCCCAGCACTTCGCAAGGCCGAGACAAGCAGATTGCCTGAGGTCACGAGTTCAAGACCAGCCTGACCGACATGGGGAAACCTCGTCTCTACTAAAAATACAAAAATTAGCTGGGCGTGGTGGTAGGCACCTGTAATCCGAGCTACTCAGGAGGCTGAGGCAGGAGAATCGCTTGAACCTGGGAGGCGGAGGTTGCAGTGAGCCGAGATGGGGACTTGGCACTCCATCCAGCCTGGGCAACAAGAGCGAAACTCTGTCTCAAAAAAGAAAAATAAAAACTCTTAGGCCCCTGTTCCAACCTACGTCAGAGCTGCAGTTTAATGAGATCCCCAGGTGACTTCTATGCATGTGGAGCTCTGAGAAGCCCTGCTCCAGACCAGCATGGTGGTTGAATATTGGAATCACCTAAGGAGCTTTTTAAACCACTGATCCCACCACCACGGTTTCTATTTTCAAGGTCTGGCTCCCTAAATGATTCCAAATGTACAGCCAAGGTGGCAAAGCACTCGAAGGCCTCCTATTCCCCACGAGAACCTCTGAAACAGCAGCAGGTCTGGGTGCTGCTGATGCAGAATGAGTACCAAGATCTCCCTGAAGCCCAATAAAGCCACTGACCACTCCTGTAAGTCAGGAGCAGTGAACTGAAGCCAGCTGTTCGGATCTGGGTGCTATAGGTACCCCCGTGCACGTTCTCATCATGATTGTTCATTGTGCATTTCATTAGGTGGAATCCGTTTAGGAATCTGTCATGGGAGATCAAAAAAACATTAAGCTTGGAATAATCCATGTCTGCTTGTTTAGCCCATCAGACAAATCATTTGCAATTAGGTAGGATCCTCATGCTGAAGAAGATAGAGAAAGAAAGCTTGCACAGAAAAGTTAGAGGCCTCAAGTTGGGAAAGCAAACAAACCAAAAGCAGAGAGGAGTCACCCAAAGGAAGCAGCACCCAGTGAACCCCTGCCGTGAGTCAGCACGAGGGAGGCCCAGCCCTTTCTAGGGGAGCCTGATTAAAGATCAGGCTCAGCTGCTGCTGCTGCTGCTGCTGCTTGTCCCAAGACCAAGTCGTAATAGCAACTTCCCTTCCTCAGCTGCCTGAACTTTTTTTTTCCCTTGTAGCTGGAGAGAAGTGTCACATTTTGCTCACTCTCAACCTTCCTCGCCCACCCCCTTCCCGGAGAACCTGTGCGGTGTGTAGAGGGTGCTGTGAGCCACCTCCAGCCTCGGGTGGCTGCTTAAGTAACTTTCAACTCCTCTCTTCTTAACACTATGAAGTGTCTCGGGAAGCGCAGGGGCCAGGCAGCTGCTTTCCTGCCTCTTTGCTGGCTCTTTTTGAAGATTCTGCAACCGGGGCACAGCCACCTTTATAACAACCGCTATGCTGGGTAAGTGGAGCGACATTCATGCCCTACACAGCTTTGATTTGGATCTGGGGGCTGGTTTGCTCCAGAGTGTGCCTCACTTTTTCTGATTTGGGGGTCTCTGAGTGAATCTGCACACTTTCACGGTCCTCTATATAAAATGTACTCACAGCTCTCTGCTCTTGGCTTTAGCTCACTGAGAGAATGTGGTGGGCTCCAACCTGGCTTTTTATACTTTTTATCATGTGCCAACCTTAGCTGTGGACCCAGGGTTGAATGGGATTCTGTCTTTGGAGTAGCCATGGTCAGTATTTACAGTGTTTGCCTTGGTTGATGCTTGGGGATGCTGTTGTCCTACATGATTTATGACCTGAAAACTAAGCCTTTCTTTACAATTGTATGTAGGAGCGGTGGGTTGAAATTCATCAGTGATTAAGAACTGAGTGTGATTTTTTTTTTGTCTGTGCTTATTAGTCTGTAGAGTGGTTATTAGATTTTTAAATATGAGCAATGCAAATGATTCAACTCAAAATAAGCAGAATAAAAGTAGTCAACTGTAAAATTATGGATAGTTTTTCTGAAGGAAAAACATAGGAGTAAAACAATCAGTTTTGTCCCCCCTCCGTAGGTAAGCATGCTTTCTATATGCCTTTCTTCAGGAGGCAGAGGGCTGGAAGCCGTGTGTTACTATGCACATTCTTATTATCCTGAAGGCTTGCTGTGGTATAGACAGCATGTGATTTGCTCACATATGCAGGGGGTCGTTCTTAGAATCTGGAAATTATGGCTTGCCTGCACTTTAGATCTGGAAAAACCTTAAATACTTCCTCTAGTTCAATTCCTTTTTACAGAGGAGTAAACTCAGTGTCTTACATATTTTTAAATAGGCTACTATCATTCAATAATCACCACCTGAGAAAAGTTTTCATGTAGATCTGGATCATGACAAGGTAGTGTACAGTGTCTTAAAACCAAGTTGTTCTTTTTAGAAATAGTGTAAAAGAGAATTTGTAAGTGTGACCCTGGAAAAGAGAATTGTATTTCTCTTTCTCTCCCAAAGAATCTTGGCACTGCCTTTAGGGTTCCTCTGAATACAGTGCTTACAGAGGAAATTTTGGAAACATGTCCTCAGTTTTAGGGGAGGCAGGATGAGATGGAGGTGTTGGCTGAGGTAGGGGCTATAGATGGCAATATGATCACGGATTTTTCCACCCCAGTATTTCTGGGAGGAACGGAAAGGAGTTAACATCCCAGGGCTGCCTTTTGGCCTGGACATACAAGATCTCAACTTTACCTCCGATAATTTGTGACCCCTTTAGAGATCTGGAAAAAAGAAGCTCATGTTTAAAGACTGATGGTGCAGGCTTGGGTTGTGGGGGACTTAATTCTGACTCTCCTGGCTGATGCCGGGTCAGATGATAAACATAGATCACAGATTTAGACACACGTGTATGACCTAAGACCTCACTCCTCCACTCAGCTGTGGCTCTGTGCATAATTATTTCAGCGTGTGGCACTCCTCCGTGAAAAGTTACCAGGCCTGCTTCAGCTGAGCAGGTGTGCACCCTTCCCTAAGCACCACTTTGAAGAGGAAATGAGGCCAGTGGTGGCACCCTTTTCGTATAGAATTTGTAGCGACTGGAACCCTTCAGGAAAAAGTTTCATTACCTTCTCTGTTTTCAGCAATGGACATAATAATTGCTATTTTCTCTTCAGTTGCTACATAAGTTAATCCCAAGTGTATAAATTACCAGATGTCTAAGAGTAGGAGGGAAGAAAAAGATGAGAGAATGAAAAGAAGTGAGTCTCACTCAACCATTGCAATACAAGCCTAGAGCTTCTTTAAAAGCAAAAATATTTCTGAGCATATTCACTGTTAAAAATGGGGAATTCTACCTTCATTAGACATGTCATTTTCTCATCGCAAAAGACAGAAATGCTGCTCAGCTTTGAGAATGTTTTGCTTTGTTTACTCCAAAACTACTTTCTGCAAGTTTAGCCTTCCGGTGAACAAGAATCTGATGGGAAGACATGGTAGAAGAGTATTTAGCAGTTTTTTTGGCTGGTTTCATCCATCCAAAGTTATTCTGAGCCACCTCATTTTTATTCCTTAATAATTTTTCTCATTTGTTTTTTGCTACTAATGAAGGGGCAGCCCTAGTTCTTGCATTCATGTAAAAATATTTTTGTAGGTCTTTGTAGAATCTAATAATATGTGATTATCATTTACAGGACCCTGAGCATGAATAAAAAATGGAACACACAGGGCAGACCAGCATGCCTCCTGAGAGTAGCTAATGAGGGCAGTCCTCTTTAGACATAAACTAGTAACAATTGGATAGTGCCAAGTGTGTAATAGATGCTTAGTAAATGGTAAATTTAAGTGTCTCAGAAAAAAAAAATTGCCTTGGGATGGGTAGTGGGAGATTTGGGGAGAAATAGGGATGATTAATGGTCATTTAAAAACGTTAGAAAGAGTAAGACCTGTTTGCTTGCACAACAGGGTAACCATAGTCAATAATCTAATTGTACATTTTGAAATGACTAACAGTGTGACTGAATTGTTGTAACACAGAGAATAAACGCTTAAGGGGATAGATACCCCATTCTCTACGATGTGCTTATTTTACATTGCATGCCTGTGTCAAAACATCTCATGTACCCCATAAATATATATTGGGTATATAGTAGTATGTATATACTTCTATATACCCACAAAAATTAAAAACTTAAAAAAATGTGTGGAAAGACTACAAGAAAAATCTGATGACAAAAGCTAGTGCCTTTTTTGTTAACTACATTAAACACTTACAAGGCAGATCTTTAAATGCATAGGAAAGGAATGAAGCAAAGTGGAAAATAACGACTTCGATTATATTTATTGGTACTTTATGTCAAGGGCTTCAGGGGTTACAAATGCCAAGCCAAACATTTCAGGGATCAATAAATGTCCGTCAGTAAGTGAGACAAGCAAACATCATTCTGTGTTTCTCTTTTTCTCCCTCATCTCCCTGTTTTCCCAAAAGCAGACCTGATTATTTATTATGCTGTGATATTGAAACCAAAAAAAAAAATCTTCTGCGTCACAGAAAATTAGGGTAGATTTTTAAAATAGTGGTAAAAGAGAGATCTCAGACAGTAACAATAAATTCTGGCAAAATTGTAGAACTAACATGGCCATGATTTTTGAAAACTACTTATTGAGTGCCTTCTTCATGTGTCAGCGTAGCATAAGTCTGAAGTTTAACTGCCTGGGTCTCAGTTTTTGCTCTCCCACATTTAGTAGCTCTGTTATCTTAGACAAGTTATTTAACTTCTTAAACTGAGGTTTCCTTATCTTGGACAATGGAGGTAATATTAGACCTTCCTCACCAAGTTGCTGGGAGGATTCAAGAATAGCATGGTTCTTGGCACTTAGTAAGAACTTAACAGGATAGTAAAATACTTACCAAGACTTAATATAAACATTTATAAAAACATTAATTCTAAGAACAACCTTATGCATTTGTTATCCTCATTTTACAAATAGGCTAAATGAAGTACAGTCCAGATAGCCCAAGTTCAGGGCTAACTAGCTCAAGGACACACTTGAGATTCTCACCCAGCTCTGCCTGACTCCACCACTGTACTTCTCACTCTGCCACTTATTCAGGCACAGAGAAGAATTGCTTTTAAGAAAAACTGGAAGATTTACTCTTGTTTGGGGAACTGATAGTTTCAGAACAATAAAGGAAAAGAGATTATATAGGTAAAATTGGAGGTTTAATTTTGGTCACCTTCTCTAGGGTGATGATGAGTCACCGATAATGAATCATTATTAGAAAAGCATGCAGGGCCCATAAGGGATAGAAAACAGAAGAAGAAAGAACTTTCTGTTGTCACACACACACGCGCACACACACACACACAAAAGTAGAACAGAAAGTAGCTGTGATTGTGTGCCTTTGTTCATGCAAGTATTATTTGGATGCCCATTGTGTGCTGAGAACTTGACCAACAGAGTGAATGCCCTCTGATAGCTTGCTGTACAGTAGAGAAAATTGCCTACACATCAAATTACTATACAATGTGTAAGTGCTGTGTGGTAGTGGTCCCCAACCTTTTTGGCAACAGGGACTGGTTTTGTGGAAGACAATTTTTCTACGGTTGTGGCGGGGGTGGTTTCAGAATGATTCAAGTGCATTACATTTATTGTGCACTTTATTTCTATTGTTATTACGTTATAATATGTAATGAAATAATTATAGGACTCACCATAACAAAGAATCAGTGGAAGCCCTGAGCTTGTTTTCCTGCAACTAGGCAGTCCCATCTGGGGATGACGGGAAACAGTGACGTATCATCAGAAATTAGATTTTTATAAGGAACATGCAACCTAGATCCCTCGCATGGGTAGTTCACAATAGGGTTCTCGCTCCTATTGAGAATCTAATGCTACTGATGATCGACAGGAGGCAGAGCTCAGGCAGAAATGCAAGCAATGGGTAGCAGCTGCAAATACAGATGAAGCTTTGCTGGCTAGCCTGCCACTCACCTCCTGCTGTGCGGCCCGGTTTCTAACAGGCCATCAACTGGAACCGGTCTGTGGCCAGGAGTTTTGGGACCCCTGCTGTGTGGGATGAACAGATTCCTGAGGGCTGACAGAAGAGCTCAATGAACCAAGAAGGAGAGGTGAACATCCTTGCTATGTCCTTGCCAATTCTGATCATCTAGCCCTGCTGCACATAGGCTGAGTATGCAGAGAGGACTGGCTTCCCACCATCATGGCTGCTTCTTGGGACTGGAACCAAGTAATATGCTCGTATTAATCTACTTGTACTGGGTCTGCTTGCAAAGTTCCATGGACTCCTTTTTTCTCATGACAGCCCTGCATTTATTGAAGATGCCTCTCACGTCTTGGGACAGTTTCTTCCCCCTTCTTCTTTGTGTCTCAGGGAAGCCACTTTGATGAATGGCATATCCTTTTTTCCCATGACCATAGGTATGAGCAGGGCTGGGTATCACTCACTATGCACGCAGCTGGTATGTGCTGGTTAGCCACACCCATGCTGTGCTTATGGCCCCACTTATGGTTATTTGTCCACAAGCCAATAGTCATCCATGGAAACAGGATATGACTATTCACAGAAGTAGACTTGAAGTAAGATTTTTTTTGAAAAGTAGTTTGGGGCCAGGCACGGTGGCTCACGTCTGTAATCCCAGCACTTTGGGAGGCCGAGGCAGGTGGATCACCTGAGGTCAGGAGTTCGAGACCATCCTGGCTAACATGGCAAAACCCTGTTTCTACTAAAAATACAAAAATTAGCCAGGCGTGGTAGCATGCACCTGTAGTCCCCGCTACTCAGGAGGCTGAGGCAGGAGAATCACTTGAACCTGGGAGGCAGCAGTTGCAGTGAGCCAAGATCATGCCATTGCACTCCAGTCTGGGCATCAGAGCAAGACTCAGTCTCAAGAAAATAAATAAAAGTAGTTTGGTCCTTGAAATCCTATTAGCAAAGAGACTACACATTGGATGTGGCATACTGAAGACAAAAGGATTGTGAGAAATAGTGACTCAGTAGAGCAGTTTCAACCCCAGAGACATAATACTAGTTTTCTACCTTACCTCTCTGGCTATTCCCCCACCTTTGTCTCAGGAGCAGTTTTTGTGTTCTTTTATGTCCTGATGGTGGCTTCCTTTGAATGTTCTCTGAGCTTTTGGAAACCTAGGTCTAGAGCACAAGAAATCAGAGCCAGTCATGTGAATCTGAGTTGCCTTCTGCACTGGTAGTTAAGGCTCTTTTCAGATATGATGGGCAAAAGTCCCCCTTTTCCCAGGACTGGCCTGGGGTTGCCAGGGACTGTCCCAGTTTGCACCTGCTGTTCTGGTGTAGTCATCAGCAGTGCCTCCTTCCCAACTGAGAAGGGTCCTGATTTGATGGTAAATTGTTGGTTTGACCTTTTATATTCTTCACAATGTTTGCATCCTTAATGAGTTTTATTCCATGTCTTCAAATATGCCTCTTGTGTCACTCTTAAGGAAGAAATGCATCTCTGGTTCCCTCTGTTCCTGTAAAAAGTATCCCATTTGTACTCTCCTCTCCCTTGTAATGACCACCAGCCACATATAAGACTTTTTGTTTTAATCTCAGTCTGGGTTAATGTAGTTCTCTCCTAACTGATCTGCCATTCTCTAGTCCTTTCTCATATTGATGAGCTTATTAAAATAAGGCTTTTTATCATATCACTCCCTTGCTCAAAGACCTACTTTGGCTCCCTGTTGTCGACTACATCAAAGGCAGAATCCTCTGCATGGCTTTCAAGGCCTCTATCATCAAAATCTTGTTTTCCTGCCTCTTTTTCACTTATCCTACACCCTGAAACCAGATCTAGTCAGATCAGAGAAGTAGAGAGCTTCATTCAGCATTGCACACCCTGAATAAACAAAGCAAGCAGGCGCCATTCATAGTAAGAGCCTAAAGCAGGAAAGGGCCATGTCAGCTCATCAGTGACAGGTTGAAATATGTGCTCTACATTTGGGGGCGTTAGGAACTACAAAGGACATGTCCTTGGTTCTAAGGTTGGTTAAGAACGTTTCCCCACAAGTTAGTGTGTAGTTAATGGAATAGTTCTCCAGTGCCTTCTGGAACTTCCTTCTAGCTCTTGCCCCTTGTTAATGGTAGAATATTTTTAGTTTTCCTTATGCACTAGCTCAAAGTACAGCCCCTAAGTGCTGATTGTTTATCAGCTCGTTATACCCAAAGCTTTCTTCCCTGCAGTATGTTCTGTGTGTTGGGGCCTCCTGCTTTGCTGGTTAAAGACATGCAATGCTGCAGTCCTCTACCCCTCTGAACCAAACTCACAGGCAGACTGTATGGGGGTCAGCACTTCCTCTGCCCACTGAGCTAGTAGAAGGAGGATTGTTTCAAATACTTCTGGGCTCCACTCTCCTTGAAGCCCAATCTGATAATGGACCCTTTATTTTATAGCACCAAGGTACTTTCTGGGTAATACCATTAAGCATAATCACTTTCAACCTCTGAAAAGCAGCAAAGGATGTTAATGTTTTATAACTTCACAGCCTATATTGTGCAAGCTACAAAAGTATTATTTTTTTTGTCTTTGTAAATGGAATGACTGAACAGAAAATAGAAATGTTTTTGGTGACTTGTTTTAGAGTTTTCATTATGATCAATCAGTAGATAACTGGTTTATTGGATTAGAATTTGCTTTGCTAAATTAATGGCTTCTCGATCAGCCTCTAGGCATTAGCTTCTTTATGGTACAGTGCTTTAATGCGTAATACAAAGCTTTAGGATCTTGTTCCAGGTAGTGTCATAAATTTCCTAAAAGATTATTTTATGAAAGGTTGAAGCAAACTTCTAAGTGTTTCTCTTCAACATAATTATAGCCTTTGTTCTTTTTTTTTCCAGTGTACTTCGAAAATAGTAAAACATTTTAGTATCAGTGTTAGTAAGGATACTATTGGGTTGTTTTGTTTTGTTCTGTATTTTTTTGTTTGTTTCTTAGTTTTGCTATGACGAAGAATCCTAAACCTCCATAGCTTAAACAAATCCATTTCTCTCTCATGTAAAACTCCAGAACAGCTATGGCTGGTTAGTGGTAACAGAGAACCAGGCTGCTTCTGTCTTGCAGCTCTGCCATGCTCAACATTCAACTTCCAAAGGAGGAGTCTTCCATTTCTCACAGTCCAGCCAGCAGGAAAGTGGAAAGAAAAGTCACTCTCCTGTAATACCACAGACCAGAAGTTCAAACATCAGTTCCTGCAGGCCAGAATCAGCTAGACAGTCCTAGCTGCAAGGGAGGCTGTGAAATATAGCCTTTAGCCAGGGGGCCAGATCTGGGAGAACATGTTAGAGATAACTACAGCAGTCTCTCTCTGAGTGGTTACTCTGATATCCAATGACTACCAGCCCATTCTCCCTTTCACTTGTTTTTTTTTGAAATAACAATATCTCCAAATGGATGTTTAGAATTTTGGACTTCCAGCTAATTAAAAGTGTGCATTTTTTCTTCTATAAATGACATTTTTTAAAGTCATAGAATGTCGGGACCGGAAGGGACAAAAAATATATCATAGCCCAATCCCTTTTTACAATATATGAGGAAGCAGAACTCCATAAAGGTAAAAGGATTGGCAGAGCTAGCACTAGAGTTAAGACTAAAACCCAGGCCACCTGAGTTCACAGCATTCTTTATAGTTGACAACACCACTTTTGGTGACTCCAGAAATCTTCTTACCCTTTCCTATTCTCTAGAGTCATTGGGGATGAAGTAAAGTGATTTGGCAAGGCTGAGAATTGTTTAACAAGGGAGGATTTCATTTCATGTCTATAAATATTTGCAGGGTGTCTGGCCCGCTGCTAGTCTAGGACTACAGAGATGAAAGAGCAGCCCATGTGCACAGCATAATGAGTAACTCAGGCAGGTAAACAAACAGTTCCAACCCTGGGATCCTTGTGCCTCCAGAGAAAACTCTTGATATCAGATATCAAGTGAGTGCAGGAGAGGGTCACCTAACCCAGACTGAAGAATGGACAGAAGGCCAGAGAAGTCATCTTAGATGTGACGATTGCAAAGGGGGGAAAAAAAACACATTTGAGTGGTTTATTAAATATGCAAGATATTTTGACTTTTTCTTTTAAATGGCTGGTATTGAAAGGACATTGTCCTGATCTCAGTCATCAAGAACAACTAGAAATTAGGTTAAGGCTTTCCAGACACAGGGAATATATTGG
This sequence comes from Homo sapiens, assembly GCF_000001405.40. NCBI lineage: Eukaryota > Metazoa > Chordata > Mammalia > Primates > Hominidae > Homo > Homo sapiens. The sequence goes on along the minus strand of NC_000008.11, from coordinate 67,737,299 downwards.
TGCAAAGAACTACAGGTGAGAGAGCTTGGTCAAGTCTAGAAAATCAGGGCAATTGAGTATGGCTATAACAGAAGGCATCTTTCTCTGAGGGAGTCAGGAGGCGGGAGGGAAGGCTGCAGAGGTAGGTGAGGTCCCATAACATATGGTTCTGATTTCTCCCAAAGGCAACAGCATGCTCATGAACAACTTTAAGCAGGGAATTTAGTTGATTCAATTTTTAAAAGAAAGTTCTCTCTGCCATCATTGAAAAGGGAAGATTGGAGGGCTGAAGACTGGTGTCAAGATGACTGGGATGTTATGGTGACCTTAGTAATACGAGGTAGGGCCTGGTTAATGGCAGTGACATCAGAAGAAAAAAGAGGGAACCAACTAAATATTTAGGAGGTAGAATTTTCACAATTTTTCCACTATTTCACAGAGGGAATAGCGTAAATTGAATCTCAGAATCAGGTAAGTAGACTGCCCTTTGCAGAGAAGATAAGCACTTTTTTGGATATGTATTGTTTGAGCTGCCTATAAAGTGCCCAGTTGGATAGACGGATCTGAAGCTCAAGAGAGACCTCTAGGCTATGAAATAGATTCCAGAAACTGATGTGTCAATAGAATTTCTTGAAACCTTTGGTATAGGATGGAGTACCCTGGAAGAACTCATTACATGAAAAGAGGGCCAAAGACTCAATAGAGCAGAAGGGGAAAGGCAGAGAAGAAAGTAGCAGAAAGGTCTAGAAACAGAGTAAGAAACACAGGAGATGTCAGTTAAAGGAAAATAAGGGATCCAAGAAGGGAGAGGTTAATCATATCAAGTGCTGCAAAGTCGTATCCACTGGGTAGGCCATTCAGGACATCATTCATGATATCATCAAAGGTGCTTTTGGTGGAGTGGTGAATGGAAACTAGAGCAGGTAGGTTGAGAAGGGAATTGGGATGTCAGAAAATTAGCAGTGAAAGGAAACCATAATTTCAAGAAGCTTGTCCATGAAGTGGGGGTGAGGGCAATGTGGGGAGCTGATAGAGTTAAAGGAGTGTTTTGCCCTTTTGCTTTTACTCCTTAAGATAGGAAAGATATGCTCATATTTTACACCAGGTGGTAGAAATAAGGAAAGGGAGAGACCAGTGATAAAGGAAAGACCACAGGAAAGTGAGATGGAGTCAGGTCTCCACAGAGACTGAAAGCTGGTTTGCCTCTCCTTTCTCTGTAAAGTAGGAGGTGGGTCCTGGTCCTATGAAGAGAGACAGGAGATGACTTGGGACCTTCAGAGGGATCACCAGCATCACTGAGGGGCCAGCTGATGGTATGGATGATGAGTCCATAAAGGAACCATAAACCCAGCTCCACAGGTTTTCTCCAGAATCATTTCTGAAGAATGTTACCTGCAATGTGCCCCTGGAGGGAGAGGGGAGGGAAGGCTGCAGAGGTTGGTGAGGTCCCGTAACATACGCTTCTGATTTCTCCCAAAGGTAACAGCATGCTCATGAACAACTTTAAGCCAAGAACTTAGTTGATTCTATTTTTAAGAGAAAGTTCCCTCTGCCATCACTGAGAAAGGAAGAGCAACTAGTGGAGCTCTAAAAGGAAAGAGGGCAGAAATGTAATAGCAATGGAAGAAAGAAAAAAAAAAAAAGACTGCCACTAATTTGTATTTCTCTAACATTTAATAAGATGATCAGTACTTTGTAAATCAGAATATAATACAAGGTATTATATTAGGTAAGTTATGCTATTCGTGGGAAAGTCTCTCATGTAGACACATCCTGTCACAAAATTGACAATTTTTTTCATTACCTTCTATCTTCCTAAGGAATTAAGTAAAAGACTGAAAGCATCTTAGTGTCTTCTTAGCCAAATCTATTCTCTTCCTCATTAAGTTATCGGAAAACTGGAGGTGCCATCTCCTCATCCATCTTCCCAGTTCTCTCATCCTTCCTCATTCCACAAACACTTACTGACCCAATACCAGGAGAGTAGCAATTATCACATCCTGACTGTCATTTCTTATCCCCAAGGATGGTTAAGAATCTTCAAAGTAGCTGTGCCAGGCAGTGTCTTGCAGAGGAAACGACAGTCTGTGTCTCCTGAGGGCTTATGTTTTAATCCACAGTCTAAACTGAAAAAGAGGGAGAGATTAAAAAAAATGAACAAGTATTTAAAACCAAATGAAAATGCAAGTATATTAGGTCAACACACTCTTCCTGCTTTCTTCTACCTTTGTTTTCTTAACACACACGTCATGTATTTTTATAACATTTCAATCTTAGCAACTGATAAAAGATGAAAGTTCTAGGGTACCACACTCTATCACTAGATGAGGACCCTGGTCTATGTTTGCACTTACAGAAGCTGGAACCATTTGCACATGTGACCTCATTGGTCATATTTTCATTTCCCCTATCTCCCTTTAAGAATGTCTTTATCTTACCAGACTAATTCATGAATCACCAACATGTCAACTAGGTTCCTTTTTCTGATTTTGTGACTGTAATGAGAACACAAGATTTATAATGAGATGATTGGGGTCTTATTATAATCTCTCCATCATGTTTGGGATGATGGGATGATGTGATGGGATGTCTGATGATGTGATAGCAATATATTTGGCATCAAAACTGCTAAACATAATGAAGGTTGGAGGCATTTGGGATGAGCCTGTATAGCAAAGTATTTGCAGCAGTTAGAAATTTGCTGCAGAAAAAAAATATTCTAAGCCCTCGACTTACAGGGCAGAAAAAAGGATACATATGGGGGAGTCCAGTTCTCCCTAAGTTTTCAGAACTCTTTGTGGAAGCAGAGGAAAATGTAAGTCATTTTAATGTAATATCTGACAGAAATCTTAATGTAATATCTTACATCTTAATGTCATATCTGACAGAAAAATTACTTCAATGTTTTGGAGAGAAATTTAGTCTGCTTTGTTTTTCTCTGCCTAAAATAAGGGTTTTCTTTTTTTTTTTTTTTTCCATGGGGCCCTGGTTTGCTGAGGTCATGCACCTTCCACACTACTATTCTAAAAACTCTCCAATTACTTCAAGCACCCACACACACACCTGTACCCTCTGTTTGCTCCCCCCAATGCCTGACACCACACCTTTTATATAAGAGCAAATAAATGTATCTTTCTTGATAAGAGGGAGGCTGGTGGCTCACACTTGTAATCCCAGTACTTTGAGAGGCCAAGGTGGGAGAATCACTTGAGCCCAGGAGTTGGAGACCCAGCCTGGCCAACATGAGAAAAACCTGAATTTACAAAAAAAAAAAATTAAGTTTGCTAGGTGTGGTGGCGCATGCCTGCACTTCCACTACTAGGGACGCCAAGGCAGGAGGATCACTTGAGCCCAGGAGAATGAAGCTGCAGTGAGCCATGATTGCACCACTGCGCTCCAGCCTGTGTGACAGAGGGCGCCACTGCACTCCAGCCTGGGCAACAGCCTGTCTCAAAAAAAAAAAAAAAAAAAAAAGACGATGCAGCATTTGACCCGAGTTATCTCAGCTTCTATCCTTCCTACCACAAACTCTACAGGTTCCTGATCCCGCCCCCACCGCCCCCCACTCCTTTCCAAGGCAATACCTTGTGTATTCAGTCAGCACTATTCATTGAGTGCCTACTATGTGCCCATTTTAAGGCCCAGGGATATAGCACTGTAGGTTCTAGGAATACAGCACTTCTTTAAGTCCTAGTGAATAAAACAAAGTATCTTGTGAAGTTTACATTCTAATGAAATGACAGAAAATTAATATGCCATAGTAGTGAGTTCTGATAAGGACTCTGAGCGGAGATAAAATGTAGAAAGGTGATAGAGTGTCAGGAGAGGAGATGAGAAGAATAAAGTGAGACTCCTGATTATGTGAAGCTCTGAGGGTAGAAACTTCCACGCGTGGGAAAGAGGAGGTGAGGTGGAAGCCCGTGTAGCATGTCCCTGGACAGTGGGTCTCAGACCAGCAACATCAGCACCACCTGGGCACTTGAGAGAAGCTAAAAATTATCAGGCCACCTCCCCCTCCCAAATCAGGAGTTCTGGGGGTGGGGCCCAGCAGTCGGGCTTAACAAGCCCTCCAGGTGATAGACGCTAAATTTTTTTATTTTTTTTTTTTTTTTTTTTTTTTTTTTGAGATGGAGTCTCGCTCTGTAGCCCAGGCTGGAGTGCAGTGGTGCGAATCTCGGCTCACTGCAAGCTCCACCTCCCGGGTTCAAGCCATTCTCCTGCCTCAGCCTCCCGAGTAGCTGGGACTACAGGTGCCCGCCACCACACCTGGCTAATTTTTTGTATTTTTAGTAGAGACGGGGTTTCACCGTGTTAGCCGGGATCGTCTCGATCTCCTGACCTCATGATCCGCCCGCCTCAGCCTCCCAAAGAGATGGGATTACAGGCGTGAGCCACCACGCCCGGCAAGAAGCTAAACTTTGAGAACCACTGTTGAGGACAAGCAGCAGGGTGACATGGCTGGAGCCTGGGGGTCGATGGAACAGTCACTCGCCCTTGGTTCCTGCTGCTCTGGTCCAGACTGTGTTCAATTTCCGTTTGCTTATCACTGTGAAACCTCTCAAAATCACCTACAGCTTTCGTTCTCTGTCCTTTGTCTATTCTGTGCATGTTCCTCCACATCTGCCCACCTTTCTCAAACCAGTTCAAACTCTTACCTCCTCCAGCGCGAGTTCCCAGGTCCCACCAATCAGCCGTGACCGCGCCCTCCTCTGAGAGCCCATGCCACTCTGTCGTTTATAACACTAACCACGTGCGGCTCGGTATTACAGTTGTATGTGGATGTCCTATCTTTCAGGAAATAAGCAAGTTGAGAGTAAGATGCTGTATCTTCTTATCTATATTCTTACAGTCCCCAAATAGCGTTTCGCATGTTCAGTGAAGATTTTCAAAGGAAAAAGGAGGGAAGAAGAGGAGGAAGGGATGAGAGAGAGCGAGGAAGGAAGGGGGACAGGAAACTAACAAACTAGGAATCGAATTGCTGACACCTGCAGGCAGTTTTATCACACTAAATTTCATCAATGACAAGTAGTGAAAAACAGGAACCATTTGCCCTTACGGCTTTCGGAGGAATGTGGGGATCCCACAGCTGCCACCTGTATGTGCTTAAGGGCGATATTCCCACTCTCCTGCTGATTTCTCCCTGTTCAATGTGTTTTGGGTATCACTTGCACTATTATCCAAAGTTGGCCTCAGATATTTTATTTATATAGGCTCTTAAAAGTGACTGGACCGGCATTCTGCTTGGGGGAGGAGATCTCTGAGGCAAAACTGCCATTTCCTGGCTGGCCTAGAATGGGCACCAGCTGGTCAACACTTTTATTAGCCATTACCTTTTACCAAATTTAGAGAAGCGACCCTTGCCTTTTTGTCATTGCTGCTTTATCCTCTAAGGAATAGACAGGAAGTCATCTGAAATTGTAGGTCACTCCTCAATCATTCATTTTGAGCCTAACATCCTCTCTAGTTTTTGACTAATTTTTACAAACCAAAGAACTTCCAGTGTATCTTTCAGAACTTTATTGGTCGTATTCTTCCTTTAACTTTTTTTCTATCTCTTTAGGTGCCGTGATTCAATAAGAAGAAAGTTTGCTTGCAATTTCTGTACTTGGTTCCCCTACTCAGATGCCCATACAAATTCCAAGTACCACAGAAACAGAATAGTCCTGGAGAGTACAGTCAGGCTTCCTTTAAAATAAGGCAACAGTAAAAATTCAAACACAGAGTTGATCAAATAAAGTTGATCAAATGTGGTTTGAAGAGTCCTCAGAATGGGGGCATTTTCTGAGCCGAGCTCAGCTTGCTGCCCAGAGAGCAGTCCAGCCTGAGGGAAAGCTGGAAATATTCAGACAGAGGTGGTGTGAAATCAGTTGGTCCCTGTGAGAAAGGCTTAAAGCCTTAGCCTTGAGTTAAGGAATTGTGGAAGAAGTGAGAGGATGGGCACCAGCTGAGAAATAGCAAAAAGTAAGGGACTCTCCAAGGGTGAAACCACACTGCATAGTTTCTCAAGAAAAAGTATAGCATACCAAAGGACTTGCCACTATCTTGGCCTCTTTTTTTGTGTGTGAAAAAGAATTTGTTTTTTTCCTTCAAATGCAACTTGTATAGACAGCATTTAATTACAGGGTGGATAACTCACCATGGACCCAGCTATTGGTAGCTTGGTTCTTTCTAGGAAAGGAATCTTAATAAGAAAAAAGTTAGATGAAATGGTAAAGTAGAATTATCGCCAATTCAAAGATTCAACCAACTATCCCCAAATTAGGTATTCTAAACCAACTAGTGGAAAGATGCAAAATCAGCATGGTCACCCAGTCTCATTTCTGTAATAGCAGGATTGCAAATAATGATTTCTTAAGAATGGATAATTTTTATGGTGACTACTTACCAAGAATTTTGTGCCCTTGAACATACAGTATAACTTATAGTTATTATACATGGCTTCTGGTAAACACATTGTATTTTTAAGTATTGATCACTCCAAAGATTCTTCTGTTCATTGTATGGGACAATGGAAAGTCAGTTACTCATTTCACTCAATCTAAAGATATCCACTATGATATTCTTATAGTAGAAACATATATATTTGGTCTTCATCCCATTTTCTGGCAAACAGCTCCTAAAATCCTTGACTCTCCAAAGTGATGTGTCTTTTTGTATGCTAATGAGATGACAGGTGATGGGGGCTTCTGGATAGCCTTCGGATGGGAGCTGGTTGCCAGGGAAACCAACCATGTGATTAGAGGTTTGGGACTTTCAGCCCCATCCCCCAACCTCCAGGGAAGTAAAAGGGACTGCAGTTTGAGCTAATCACCAGTGGTCAATGATTTAATCAATTGTGCCCTCATAACCCTCCATAAAAACCCAAAAAGGACAGGATTCAGAGAGCTTCCAGGTTGCTGAACATATGGAAGTACTGCGAGGTTGGTATCCCCACAGAGGGTCTGGAAGTTCTGGGACCCCTCCTACATACCTTGCCCTATGCCTCTCTTCCATCTGGCTCTGTATCTGTATCTTTTATAATAAATGGGTAAACATAAGTGTTTTCCTAAGTTCTGTGAGCCATCCTAGCAAATAACCAAACCCAAGGGAGGAGATTATGGGAACCCCTAATTTATAGCTGGTTGGTCAAAATTTCCAGACACCTGAACTTGAGATTGGCATGTGAAGTAGGAGGTAGTTGTGTGGGACTGGGCCACTAACCTATGAGATCTGGGGCAGTTCTGGTTAATGTCAGAATTGAATTATAGGACATCCAGCTGGTGTGAGAGAATTGCTTGTTGGGGGAATCCTCCCCCGCCCTACATCTGCTAGCAGAAATGTTCTGTGTTGAATGCTGAGTGTAGCAGGAGAAAACAGTTCTTTTCCAACATCACATCCACTGGTTTCAAAAAACAGAAATGGCCAAATTGGGGCCCGTAAGAATAGCACACCCTAAGTCCTAAGCCCTGTAACTTTCTTTACCTGCTGTCGCCATTAAGAACAACACAGCTGTTTTGCTTGGGCAGTTCAAGTGGTGATTTACATCTCCTATATTTTATATACCTATAAACTATTTGTTTCATCAGGCTCTGAGCGGCTTACAGGGATATTTATTTAATAATTTGACTAAGCCTTGCATACCCGTCTTTGTTGCCATTAATAGAAACTAGTAACCGTTTTCTTCCAGAAAACAGTTTTCCAGAACATCACTTAACTTCCTCCTGAGCACTCAGAATGCTCTGCAGTAGCACTAACTATTTTGTACTTTAATTGTTTAATTGTTTATTCTTCCTGACCAAGCTGTACTCTCTTTGGGGGAAGGAACTTCATCTTATTCTTCAAGTCCGATCTCTACAGAGATTAACAGGCACATGGAAGTTTTGTTGTTACTCCTGCAGCCACTGAAGTTGAATCACAATAAGTTGCCAGTATATGACAGTTTTTAAATCTTAAAATAACAGCAATATCAAATGGCTCAATTTAATATAAACTTTAACTCTGAAAAATTAGGGCTTTTTTTCATGCTATAAAAATACGAGCAGCTTATGTGCAGATTTTCCATTAACATATCATCAAAGCTCTATCAGGTTTACAGAGAATATTGCCAGAGCTAATGAATTTTAATGTGCAAATAAAACACTAGGGGATCTTATTGACAATGCAGATTCAGCTGCAGTCCCAGGTAGAGCCTGGGACTCTGCATTTCTAATGGGCTTCCAGGTGATGCTGACACTATGGTTCAGGCACCATGCTTTCAGGAGCAAGTTACTGAATTGCAGGATAAGGAGTCAGGTGACAAGTTCGAGATCTGCTACTAGCTATCTGTGCTACTTTAATGAAGTCACTTCATCTTTCTGGGCCTTGCTTTCTATAATGTCCAAGAATTAAATTGGGTGGTCTCTTTCTTCCAAGTCCCAGGTTTATGATCTGCTGGGGTCACCTCTACACATGTGGTTAGAGAATCCATGCAAAATAAAGGTTCGGACCACCAGCTCCATCCTCAGCCTGCCTGGGTTCATGTCCTAGTTCTTCCACTTACTAGTGATGTGATAATTGGAAGGAATTACTTAATATCCCTGTGCCTCAATTTTCTCATATCTAAAATAGAACTAATATTGAATAAGTTCATATATGTAAAATGCTTAGGCAGAGACTAGGACAAATAAACTCAATAAATGTAAGCTATTTGCAGTATTAATACTCTCTACAGTTTCATTTCTAAAAAGCTTTCCTAAGGGGATTATCTGAAATGTAGGCAAAGATTTAGAGTGCATGGAAAGACGTTTGTTATCAATTTATTTAGTCTATCAAAACTTGGGATGCTACCTATGTGTTCAACAATGAGAAAGGCTCATTATAGTGCAAATTATAGACCCTTTTGTGCCGGCTATAAATGTCTATAAATAATTTTTAATGCTCAAGATTCTATAGAGGTAAAGGAAAATTCTCACTCCCCCTCTGAAGGTTGGCAAATGCTGAAAAAAAAGGTATACAAGTGTATTAATGTGCATAAACACAGGGGAATCACAGGAGAAAGATTACCCAATTCCCCAATGAGGTTTAGAAGTTCATATACTCTTCTTCATAGAGGAGAGGTAAGTGGGGAGTGTAGGAAATGTCAAGGGGTAGTAAATGACTTTTAGGGGAATTAAATGGGCCCAAAGGACAGATAATAGTTTGTTTTGTTTTGTTTTGTTTTGTTTTGTTTGTTTTTTGTTGTTGTTTTGTTGGTTTTTGTGGGTTTTTTTTGTTTTTTTTTTTTTTGAGACAGAGTCTCACTCCGTCGCCCAGGCTAGAGTGCTGTAGTGCTATCTCGGCTCACTGCAAGCTCTGCCTCCTGGGTTCACACCATTCTTCTGCCTCAGCCTCCCGAGTAGCTGGGACTACAGGCACTTGCCACCACACCAGGCTAATTTTTTGTGTTTTCAGTAGAGACGAGGTTTCACTGTGTTAGCCAGGATGGTCTCGATCTCCTGACCTCGTGATCCACCTGCCTCAGCCTCCCAAAGTGCTGGGATTACAGGCATGAGCCACTGCGTCTGTCCAGATAATAGTTTTTAAATGATTCTAATGGGATGAAGAACAGAGAATAGTTTGTGGACAAGTCCTAGGAAGGTGAGGGGCATAACTGCCCTGTGAACAAAAGTTGTCTTATTATGCAGATAAAGTCTCCCAGGTAATCTCTCAGAACAGACCTCAAAAGAATAAATGAAAAGTCTGTCTGGGCATGATGAGAAAGACTTTTAGTCTTTCCTTTTCTCTGGTGATTAATCCTTCCTGGTTAGTTGAGATGCCCGAGGGAGAGGGTTTCAAGACAATTGCACTTCTTTTGGAAGAAGTTTTCTGAGTCAGATAAGGGAAGTTCCAGAGGCAGCCTCTCCCTGTGGGGGTTAAGGGGGGCAGTGGGGAACTGCAGACAAGAGAAGGTTAGAAAGTTCTTGATTCTGAGGCAGCATCTAAGGTCTTCCAATTTCCTTTAATTCAAAAGTGCTCAACATGCCAAAGCACCATACTTTGGGGTATTCTGTGAGCCCCAACAATACAATAAAAAATGAGAAAATAGGATACAAAGGTATCAGTAGTTTTGGTTTTGCTATATGATATAGTTAACTATATCTGGGGGGAAAGCTCCAAAATAACAAGTGGTTGTTATGTCCAAGTGACACTGTAACATAGGGTTTTTTTTTCTTTCTCCCTATACTTTTTTCTGTATTTACTAATTCTTCTGCATGAAGCATGAACAGCTTTTATAATCAGATTAAAAGTAATTTTAAGCATGTGTAAATTCTCAAAAAGATTTTTAAAAAATCAACCCTATAGCAAGAATTGCAGCTTCTGTGGTGCCTTGTGCCAAAACCATTCTAAAATCATTGCAAATAAGAATCAGAAGTTAGTAAATTTAACAATACAACACTCAGTGCCAAACTAATGACTGAAAAGAAAAACAAGCATGTTCCTCCTTTATTTCTAACTGAAAATGAGATTATTGAATATTCCAATGAAGCATTAAATGGCCAAAGTGGCTGTCTTGCTGCGTGTCACATAGATACTGGAGAGATGTGAAACAGAGGAGCAGTGCTCGAGGCCTTTCGGCTTAGAATAATGCCAGAACCTCCCTGCATCATGCTGATATATGCATTTAAGTAAATGGATTTTCAAATAGAAATTCTTCAGTGGTCTCAATATCACAGTATGATTAAATCTGTATTTAGATTTTTATTTAAAAGTTAGGAAAAAAGCATTTGAAATGACTGGAGGGAGAATTCATTACACTTTCATATGTATTCCCCTATAACATGTATTTTTCCAAGCCTGAACAAGCCCATTTTAAGAAGACTTTCCAGAAAAAATATTTGCCAGCAGTTTCTTGCACCATCAATTACTTTTTAAAACTACAATAATAGCCATCGTTAGAACCTCGTCCAGGTTAAACGTCGTCATTTGCCAAAGAAGGCTAGGGGCTATTTTTTCTTGCCTCTGTGAAGCATGGATTGAAAGGAAAGTTTGTCTGCATAAATTTTCTACTGCTACTCCACTGCTTGATAAAATTCCTCTTCCCTAATCTTTTCTGACTTTCCATCACTTTGAACTTCTCACTGTTTGAGTAGACATCACCAGTGATCTATATATACTTCATTATCTCCCTAACCAGTAACCTCAACCTGAAAACTATAAGAAAAAGAGCTTCTGAATAAAAATTATTTTTCAATCACTTACAAATCATTTTTCTTGGCCTCTGTCTTGCTCTCATGAGTTCTAAAACCTTGATTAAAGAGGCTTTTGTCTTAAAACTCAGGCTTCTGGTTAAGGAATGTTGAAAAATCTTAAATTTGCAGCTATCTTAAGTGACAGATCATAGCGCAAATCTGGGGTACCCATTGTCATCCAGAAAAAAAATTATCTTCAAAGTAGGATGGTCCAAAGTAGCATACATATCTAAAATTTATTTTATCTCATTCTTAAGTACATTTTAATTTTTTGTGTTTTATAATGTAAATAGCCAAGCATGGTGGCTTACGCATGTTATCCCAGCACTTTGGGAGGCTGAGGCAGGAGGATTGCTGAACCAGGAGGATTGCTTGAGGCCAAGATTGCTTGAGACCAGCCTGAGTGACACAGCAATACCTTGTCTCTACAAAAACAATTTTAAAATAAAACCCAGGCACAGTGGCACAAGTCTGTGGTCCTAGCTACTCTAGAGGCAGAGGTGAGAGGATCTCTTGAACCCACGAGTTCAAGGTTGCAGTGAGCTATGGTTGTGCCACTGCACTCCAGCCTGGGTGACAGAGTGACTCCATCTCTAAAAAAACGAAATGTAAAATACTGGTACATTAAGTAACAATGTAGATGTAAAATGACTTAAAGTCTATGGAGATTGAAGTTGCTTACAATTTTCAGTCATGAAGTTTTGAAAATGGAGGTGATGATGATCTCAAAGTTCCTTGTTCACCAACAACAGCATATACTGAGGCCTATATTCATTTATTTGTTAAATTTGTATTGAGCACCTATATGTCCCAAATTGTTTTAGATATTAGGAATATAAAGGGCTAGCACTAAGGCAGAAAAAAAGCACCTGTTTTGTGAAGCCCATAATTTCACGAGGGAAACAAACAATGAACAAGTAAACAGTTATAAACTCTTACAACAGCTATGATATAAATAAACAAGATACTGTGGTTTTTCTTTACTCATTCAACAAAGGTTTTGATCATCTAATACATACCTGGAACCATGCTAAGCACTCTACACAAAATGGACATGATCCTTGTTTTCACTGAATTTCCACTCTAGCCCAGGTAGCCGACTATTCTAGCCCAGGTAACTCAGATTAATTACAACTGTGGTTAAAGTTATAAGGGACTTCTCCTTTATAACTTGTTAACACAGAATGCTAACAACTCAGAAGGAACTGATAACCAAAAATTGGGGGATGAGTCTAAGATGGAAGAGGACTTCCTGAAGATGTTATCCTTAAGGCAGGGCCTTGAATGATGAGGAATTTGTTGGGCATGGCTGTGAGAGCAGATCAGAGCTGTTGAGAGTCTCCAGCTTGGGAAAGGAAGTAAGGGGTACATGATTGCTCCCGTTGCTTACTGATTATTTTTAATTGTGTGGTTTTAAGGGAAACTGGGCCCAATGGCTTACTGTCAGTTGTATGTAGGACATTAGACTTTGCAAAGCACTTTGTCTTGGGTTGTCTCAGTTGTTCCTCATCTATGTGTGTGGTATGCAAGTAGTTGCTTTCAATTCTCATAGATATAAGTGCTACACAGGTGTCTTCTCAAAACTCAGTTTCTAAACTCTGCAAGTAAATGTGTCCTTCCGTTGTAGGGCACACCTGAAATTGGTGAAGTGGTGCTCAGTGGGGCTTTTTGTTTTGTGTACAGAGCTTTCTGAATATAAGCTTTTGGCTTCAAGAAGCATTGAGCTGCTGTAAGTTCGCTGCAGAGTTGAAAGGGGAGACGTGGGGGCACACGTCAAAAGGACAGCTCAGCTGTGATTAGGAGGTATGTGAGGTTTACCAAAGGCAACACACCACATGAGAAAATCAGACCCTGGTGCCAAGAGGCCCTACAGCTAGAGAAAAGAGGTGAGTGTGAGAAGGCCATGTAGGAGGAGAGACATCTACTCATTGATGTATCTGATGTAAACAAGCACAGGTTCTACATTTTAAACACAGGGGACTTCAGAAGTAGTGTGTCAGAGAGGGAAAAAAGTCAGTGAATTTGTATGCTTTGCTCATTTTTGGGTTTTTTTAAATTTTTAATTTTGCATTTTCTTATCAGCTTCTGAGAGAACCATGTATTAGAGATATTAATCCTTTGTGTATCATATCTGTAACACATGCTTCTTTACCAATCTGTCATTTGTCTTTTGACTTTTTCTGTAAGGAAAAGAGCAATAGAAACCATCTTAATGGTTATAATTCAAATCCACCATTAGTTTTTCTTTCTTTGTGGTATTTAGTTTTAGCTTGTTTAAAAATGTCAAATATTGCTCCCACTCTAAATATTCTAGGATTGTTTTCCTGCTGATTTTGCATAATTTTTCTTTTTTACATTTAGATCTTTATATGGAATTATTTTTTTGTACACAGTATAAGGAAGAATATAACTTAATTTTATCCTAGAGGGCCATTTACAGAAGAGAATATGCAAAGAAAAACTAACTTACATAAAAAGGCACATTTCACTCACAAGGAAATGCAAATTAAAACAATTAAGTGTTTTAATTTTTCCCATAGATAGAAAATGCTTAGTGCTGGTGAGGATGAGGAAGCAACTGGAACTGTCATATAGTGCCAGAGAAGGTCAAATTGTTATAACCTCTTCGGAAAGTAATCAGCTGAATCTAATAAAAGTTAAGATCCTCCGCCACGCACGGTGGCTCACGCCTGTAATCCTAACACTTTGGGAGGCCAAAGAGGGTTGATTCCTTGAGCCTAGGAGGTTGAGACAAGTCTAGGCAACATGGTGAGACCCTCGTCTCTATTTAAATAAAAATTTCTATATGTCAAAAAAAGTTTTAAGAGTTAAGATCCTCACACCCTTTTGATAAATCCTATTAGAAAATACCTGTCTGAAATAAAATAATTAGCATGTGTGTTAAAATTGTAGCACTGTATGTGTTGATTTTTCTAAAAGCTGAAAACAAAGTCCATCAGTACGGGAACAATAGAAAAATCATGATATATCTATAATATGGAATGTTATGAGGCTATTACAAAGAATGAGTTATGGCATATATTGAACTAGAGGGGTGTGTGTGATATATTTTAAAATGAAAATAGAGTTTGAGAGTAATATGTATGATTCTATTTTGGAAATGTGCTGATTTTTAGAGTGTAGGGGATGTTTTAGTGTATGTTTAGGTTTTTCTTTTGGTGGGGAGGAAATGGTGGTAGTGGTAATTTGTGAGCGTAAATCAACTTCTCCCTTTAACATTAAAATGGTCTGGTATACCAACATGAGAGATTTAATTTTATTACATAGTGATGTATTTCATAAGAACTGAACTAAGTAAGAAGAAACCTGGGTTCCATTTTGATTTGCATGTCTTGGACTTGTCATTGTGTTCCTGGCATCTCTTCTTCCCAACACATGATGAGGAAATAAAAAATATCAAGTGCTCCAAATGTCCCTGAAATAAGGGTATCATAGGGCAAAAGGATAATCTTTCCCCTACAGTTTGTAAGCTCTGGTTAAAGGCCAAGGTTTCCAAGTTTATAAATTAGTATCTCAGTTTCAGCCGATCAGGGAAGGACCATCATTCTTTTCATTTGAGAGAAGTTCGGTACTGTGATGCTCATACTTAGCATATAGGATATGTAAGCTCAGACCAGGTCACAGCCTAGTTTACTTCACCGCACACATCTAGAAGGAAATGAGCGGCTCTCAAAGCTGATTTTTTTTTATTAGAATTACCTGCAGATTTAAAAAATGTAACTACAAACACCCTGGGCTTGCCCCAGATGTACTGAATTGGAGTATCCAGAAATTGGACCCAGGAATTTATTTTTTCAGTGATTACCAGGTGGTTCTGATGCATCTCATCCATAGACTGTTGTTTGGGGACTATTGTTGAAATCTAGTAAATGAAGTCAAGCTGCCTGCCGAAGGTCAAATATAGGCAGTGATAGCAATGTTAAAAGAAAAACCTTAGACAAATTTAACAGAGTTTAAATGGGCAAAGAATGATTCCAAAATCAGGCAGTTCCCGAAACAATAGATTCAGAGAGGCTCCAGTGCTACCTTGTAGTCCAAGATTTATGAGCAGAGAAAGGAATATGACATACAAAAAATGTAAGTGAGGTACAGAAACATTCAGATTGGTTACAGCTTGGCATTTGCCTTATTTGAACCCAGTTTGAACAATTGGCTTCCATTGACTGGCCGAAACTCGGTGACTGGCACAAGAGTAGGTTACAGTCCATTTACATCTCTAGTTAAGTTAAGGTTCCCTATGTACGGAGAAACCTTTAAGACACGTAAAGAGGCAGCTTTAGGCTAAACATAATGGCAACAAGCATTTTGAAAGCCCCTACCATAAAAAAGTAACTTTTAGTGCTAAGCCTGCCTGTACAGCAGGCAAAATTTGTAAAATTCAAACATGCAAAATTTCTGGGGTTTTTTTCCCACTTTTGAGAAGCCATTGATCCGTGATAGGGGTTTTTTGTTAAAGTAACGTACCAGCCTTGCCATAGAAAGTATAACCCTGCACCTCTATCGTTCATCTGCACCTGACCTTCCCTGTCAGTGTCCTGATACTAGTTATATTGTGGTGTCCAGCTACAATGCATATACTTTGTTTCAAAAACTCAGTCATCTGGGTGACAAGGTACATCAAAATCTTTGCAAAAGTAAAACTAGTATACAAATCCTAGTTGTATATTCCTCTGCTTCTTCTCTGAGTAGTGGATATGTGACTTATTTAAAAGTCAAAAGAAAATCTGTTAACAACAGACCTTCAATATCTGAAACCCTTAAAGACTATTACCACTAACAGAGAAAGACCAAGTTGAAAGGGAACCTTTTAGAAAGACTGAGACAAAGCAAATGGCACGCATGGTATTTCTTTTTAGCCTCTAAGGCAGTAAAGTACCAGATGTCATACAACAAAGTCCGAGAGGACCTTGTAACCTAATGGGCGTAGCCAGAGTGCTCAGCTTTAAAAAGCTCTTGGGCTTATAAAAGGAAGCAAGTTGGCACCATTAACTCCATATGTTAGACTTAGGAAATTTTTTTGCCAGCCTGCTTTGATTTATTCAAACATTTGTAATGTTGAACCTTTGTATTAAAATGGAGAGTATAAGTAAATGTTTGTTCAATCCCTAATAGGGAGTTTTTCACATAGTGGGTTGCTTAGTAAATATTTGGTAACAGTATTATGTGGTGCCTCCTAATTGTGCAGTTGGAAGAGGAGAGATCAACTCAGGTTGATCTTTCTTAGGCTGAATAAACTATGCAAAGTATGCATTGACTGCATCTCTAGTGGAGGCAGCCAGGAAGTGATCAACAAGGTGAAGAGGCTCTGGAGCAGAACTGTGTCTGAACGCACAGCTCTTCATTCAAAGAAGTTAAAAGTGAGCCATGTTTCAAGGTTCAGGGTACACAATGCGGCGATATAAAATTACCCAAGGGCCTATCCGTTTTGACAGCTCTTTACTTTTGTTAAATTCTATTTCCTTGAAGCATGTGGACTAATGTAAATAAATGTGGCCCTCGCAGTTTTCTGACCACTTCTCCTTTTACTCCGTCACTGGATCCCATCCCCTCCCGCCCGTTTCTGATGCTTAGGTGACAGTTCGGAGCTCAGTGTCTGTGAGCGCTGAGTTCTCTGTCTCAGAGACATTGGTCATTTTCATGGCTTAGCTATGGCCTGTGTTCTGATGACTCTCAAACCTGCATTTCCTGCCCTGGCTTCTGTCAGGCCTCTGAGCCCAAGCCAAGCCATCGCATCCCCTGTGACTTGCACATATCCGCCCAGATGGCCTGAAGTAACTGAAGAATCACAAAAGAAGTGAATATGCCCTGCCCCACCTTAACTGATGACATTCCACCACAAAAGAAGTGTAAATGGCCGGTCCTTGCCTTAACTGATGACATTACCTTGTGAAAGTCCTTTTCCTGGCTCATCCTGGCTCAAAAAGCACCCCCACTGAGCACCTTGCGACCCCCACTCCTGCCCGCCAGAGAACAAACCCCCTTTGACTGTAATTTTCCTTTACCTACCCAAATCCTGTAAAACCGCCCCACCCTTATCTCCCTTCGCTGACTCTCTTTTCGGACTCAGCCCACCTGCCCCCAGGTGATTAAAAGCTTTATTGCTCACACAAAGCCTGTTTGGTGGTCTCTTCACACGGACGCGCATGAAAGCTTCTTACCCACAACTCAGTCCCATATGTCCAGTTGGTTGCTGGACACGGATGTGGATGCATGGACGCCAACTTCTCTAAAATAGTTCATCATTTTATTCCACATACAATCTTCCCTGCCCCCTTTCCTTATTCTCATTCAATTTAGAGAAACCCAGCCACGCAGAATCAAAACCTCATTTTTCTTTCTCCCCTACTTCAGTCGCTTACTAAGTCTTGTCGCTCCTGTCACAATTTCTTCCCAGGGCTTCATTTCTCTCATGCTGCCGTCATTATTTTATGCCTGCATGACTGTAACAGCCCCTACCTTGCCTCTCTGCTTCCAGTTTCACCCCCTCCAATTGACTGTGCACATCAGTATCAAATTAATCTTCCGAAAGTGCCTTTTTGTTATGTTGCTCTGCTGATCCGAAACACTTCAGTGGACCAGGGCAACTCAAGAATCAAGTCCAAACTCATTTGTTTGACATCCAAGGCCCTCCATAACTTGGCCCACTGCAGCCCTTGCCTTTCCCCTTTAATTTTTTTTTCCCCGAAATAAATTCTGTTCTGATCAGAGTGGTCCTGCCCATTTCCCCAATCCTGACCACAGCATGCCCACACCCCATTCCCTCCATCTGTATCCACTCGGGATGCTACCCCTCATTCTTTCCTCCTGAGTTGTCCCTGACCTTCAGCCGCTCATTTTAAGTTTCATTTCTACCATTGACCAAACAATCCCACAGGGACATCTCTCCCCTGGCATGCTCTTTGTTCCCCCAGTTCTAAGCACCTTAAGTATAAAGTCCATGTCTTCAACTACTTTATATGCCTTTCATAGGGCTTCATAAATAGTAAATGCTCCAAAAAGATGTATTGCTTTGACTAGATTTGGAGCCTAGCTTGTTGTCTTGATCATGATTTTCAATTCAACTTGCCCAAAAGAATAAGAGAAAAAAAAATATTGGCAGCCAGACTCAGCTTTTCCCCCTACCTAAGGTTCAAACAGGAAGATAGTTCCATGAATTAAATTTAACACTTGGCCAGGTGCGGTGGCTCATGCCTGTAATCCCAGCACTTCAGGAGGCCGAGGTGGGCAGATCACAAGGTCAGGAGATTGAGACCATCCTAGCCAACATGGTGAAACCCCGTCTCTACTAAAAATACAAAAATTAGCTGGGTGTGGTGACACGTACCTGTAATCCCAGCTACTCAGGAGGCTGAGGGAGGAGAATCACTTGAACCTGGGAGTTGGAGTTTGCAGTGAGCTGAGATCACGCCACTGCACTCCAGCCTGGTGACAGAGCAACACTACATCTCAAAAAAAAAAAAAAAACTTCAGCTGTCTATGTGCAGATAACCCATATCTCCTACAATTGGGAAATCTGTACTTAGGGAAAGGTATCAGTCCAGATTAAGATGTGGAGAAGAGACTCTTGGCAGAGAAACACTTTCTGAGTCACCAAATGAAAAAAATGCCTGTGTGGGGATTATCTGACCTGCACATGTACCTTTCATCACAGCCATACATAACCCATGGTCCTAGCCTAGGTGAATGAGGCAACAGGCATAGACCTGAAAGATTTTCATAATATTTTGCAAATTCTGTCCTCCTGACCCTTATCCAGAAGAGTAAGTTCTTATTTTCTCTGGCTATAATTTTCTTAACCCAAATTGGCTTTTAAAACATTAAAAAAAAATACCTCACAATTCTTAAAACCCTTGCATGAGTTTCTGGATAGTTACCTTGTTTTCTTAATTGTGACAACCAGGAGTCATTAGGACTTAAAATATTTTGTTGTGTGAGTTGGGGAGTCTTTAAGAATCAGTTAGGTATTCTAGAAAATGGTAGACCCAGAGAATGAACCAAGGTAGGCTGGCTTAGGAGAGGACAATTATAGTTCTTCTAGGAGGCAAAACATAATGAATGTCACACACAGACACACACACGTCTGTGTCTTTTAGTGTTATAGACTCAGCCCCAAAGGTGTTTATCTCCCGAAAGCCTGCTTCCACTAACAGTATACCCACTAGACTAGAATCAAGGTGTCAACAGGGCCATATTCCAATTGAACTCTCTCAGGGACAATCAGGCCCTTGCCTCTTCCACCTTCTGGTAACAGCCAGTTTATGGCCAACTCCCTCCTAGCTCTTCCTCCATGGTCCTATTGCCCTCCCTTCTCTTCTGTATCAAATCTCACTAGCAATTGCACCGAAGGCCCACTAGGACACTCCAGGGTCATCTCCCATTTCAAAATCCTTAACTTTATCACATCTGCAAGTGTTCTCTCTTTTGCCACATAAGGTAATATTCACAGGTCCCAGGGATATCTTTTGGGAGGCCATTCTCTAGCCTACCACAATGATGAACTATTATTATTTTGTATAGATCAAATACCACATAGTTAAGCTCTTAAATCATAAAGCAGCAAGATGTCAAAGAATATACACCATATGGGTAAGAGTGGTTATCTCTTGGGAGTGCTTAGTGGGGGATTTTCATTTTCAATGTATGTTTTTGAAGAATTTTATAGAGAGTGTGTGATTGATATGTCTGTATTTGGGGATAAAACAATAAGGATTAAAGCAGAGAAAAGATACTTCTGGCAATTCTAAAGGAAGCCAACAATGTCCCAGTTGGGTACCTCCACTCTTGATGTCATAGCACTTATTTCCAGCTCTCTCTTCCTTCCCTCCCCTGTGCAGCTGTGCTCCTTTCTCTCATCTGTGCAATTTGGATTGAAAACACACTTCAGGCAATTACATCCAAACTCGGTGTGCTTGGCTTCAAAGTCCCGGCTATTCCCTCTGTTGCAGGCTATTTTTCCTAATTTCCTCCTTCAAAGACCAAAGAAAGAAGTTTCCAGAAGGAAGGGGATGAGGAGAATAATTAGAAGAAATAAGAAATTCCTTTTTGTACCCATGCTGTGAGATCTCTTAATTCTGTTATTGTTTTTATTTTTTTCTTCCCTCAACAAGGGCTGCAGTATCCTACTACATAGAAACAAACATACTCCTCCCTCATTTCTAAAACCCTACCATGTGTGGAATGGTATGCTGCTAACTATATATCATTATTCATTTTCTCAACCTGCATTTGTGGAGCAGTTGGCTATTTTTCAGCTACTATGAACAGCTGGCTGAAAATACAGTGATGAATAAGATAAAGGCTGCAAAAGGAAAATAAATCTGGGGGCCAAAAAATCACTAAGCCAAAAGGAAAAGTCAAGCTGGGAATGGCATCAGGCAAACCTGCCTCCCATTTTATTCCTAAATAAGATAGCTACAAAGATTTAAAAATAAAAGAAGCTGCACACCTCCCTTTCAATTTGCCTACAAGGAAATTCCTCATGGGCAAAGGACAGACAGAAATCAAAGCCATTCTTCTGTTCATCTTTGACAAATTCATATCTGATTGCTTCCTCTGCCCTATTGTTTCACTAAGACAGACTGAGGCATAAGAGATTATTCCTCTACCTTCCTCTCGCATGTAAATTGTGTATTCAGTGAAAAGCTGATCAGAGACTCAAAAGAATGTAACCATTTGTCTCTTATCTACCTTTGACCTGGAAGTCCCCTTCCCTGCCTTTCCAGACCAAACCAATGTACACCTTACATGTGTTGATTGATGTCTCATCTCTCCCTAAAATGTGTAGGACCTGTATCTTATGCGACCTATCTCATTCTGTGACTTAGAATGTCTAACCTCCTGGGAATGCAACCTATTAGGTCTCAGACTCATTTTACCCAGCACTTATTCAAGATGGAGTTGCTTTGACTCAAACGCCTCTGACACTTCTCTCTCTCCTTTTTTTTTTTTTTTTTTTTTTTTTTGAGACAAGCTCACTCTCTCGCCCAGGCTGGAGTACAATGGCGTGATCTCGGCTCACTGCAACCTCCACCTCCTGGGTTCAAGTGATTCTCCTGCCTCAGCCTTTTGAGTAGCTGGGATTGCAGGTGCCTGCCACCACACCCAGCTAATTTTTGTATTTTTAGTAGAGATGGGGTTTCACCACGTTGGTCCGGCTGATCTCGAACTCCTGACCTTAGGTGATCCACCCGTCTCGGCCTCCCAAAGTGTTGGGATTACAGGCCTGAGCCACCGCGCCCTGCCCACTGCTATTTCTTTAACATCCAATTTCTTTACAAGTGCCTTAGAAAGTCTGAAGGATCCATATGTCTGATAACCCAAGTACATATTTTGAATTAGAAATGTTGTTTCCTTCTAAAGGAGATTTTGTTACGTTAATGGCCAAATTTGTAAACCCCATAATTAGTCTATAAATTTATTAAAGAACTATAGTCACTATTATGTTACGACCATTTGGCCATATCAAAAAGGCATTTGTACTTATGAGCAACAGAGGACATTTTCCGCTGTTTTGGAAATAACCGAGTGTTTTTCCTTGTATATGTAATCAGACTTTTAATTAAACCAACTTGGTTTATCACTAGGTGCAATCACAGAGGTAAACACAGCTGGTGTGGGCATGTGGCTGGAATACATTGGAAAATGGAAGTGGAAGATCTGTTAAAAAACTGCCAATCTTCCTTTTATTCACTTCAAACATTGCAGAGAAGGGCTAGTTTTCACTAAATGAAGGCAGCAGTAAAGTGACTTCGTGAGTGGCATGAGCCATCTAGCAAATTATGGAACCTAAGAAGGGGGTCATGGGAACCCCCAGTTTATAGCCAGTTGGTCAGAAATATAGGAGGCCCAGAATTTAGAATTGGCATTGGAAGTAGAGGCAGGCTTGTGAGGCTGGCTGAGCCCTTAACCTGTGGCAGGGTCTGAGCTAACTCTGGGTAGTCAGCATCAGACTGGAATTTAATCATAGGACACCCAGTTGGTAGCAGTTGCATTAGAGAATTGGTTTGTATCGGGAAAAAAAAACAAAAACCACATTTGCTGTCAGAAATATTGTGGGTAAAAATGGCTAAGCTGCCAAAGAGTAGTTCTCTTATCGGTGACTTAAGGAGGATCTCATTCCAAGGGAGGTGCCTTTTCTAATACTGGAAGCCTATGATAGCTCCTTGTTTCTTTTAGTTGCTTGGTTTAGTCTGGGCTTTAAAAATGTATATATTTTTAAATTCTCAAATGACACTATAAGCTCAATGAGAGTAGAAAGGGATCCCAACAGTATTGGATGCACATTAAGTTTTTATCATACTTGTCTCTAATTGAGTGTTATGACTCCTGTTTCTACAAAGTCTATTTCCAGTAAGCCCAGTCTGTGAGCTGCCACTTTGCCAATAAAACAACTGAGAGAGCTAAGGAAGGCACTTAATCCTGAGCTTTATTTATCTATTTACTCACTTTACTTACTCTGTCGCCCAGGCTGGAGTGCAGTGGTGCTATCATGGCTGACTGCAGCCCCCGACCTCAACCTTCCAAGTAGCTGGGACTACAGGTGCACACCACCACACCTGGCTGATTTTTTTTAACTTTTCTAGAGACAGGGTCTCCCTATGATTGGGCTCAAGCAAACCTCCTGAGCCTGAGGAGTGCTCGGGCTCCCGAAGTGCTAGGATTGCAATTTAAGCTTTAAACGTTATGCCTGAAGGCAGACTTTAGCTCAGAATTAGGATACTAGGAGATACCCTAAGATCTTTGGGGAATCATCACCACCTGAACACAGTTTTCTCTGCAATCACCACCCTTCTCATTTCTCCTCAGTTGGGGCAAATTCTCCTTTTTAGTCGCTTTCCACTCTGATTTTGAGTATCCCTCATACCCCAGTTTTCATCACTGGAATAATCCTCTATATCTTGAGAGTGGAGACGCGGTGAAGAAGTAATGTATAACTTATGTACCCCATAATATATTTGTTTGGGTATAATAAACAGATACATTTATGATCAGAATTCAAACTTATAGATACTTGGAACATTTAAATGCAACCTTCTAAAGAACCTCGTTTCCAGGCAAAAATTTTAACCTTGATATTTAAAAAAAAAATTTTAACATGGCAATTATTTTAATTTGGAGTTTACGTAAAACCAGAAGGATTAAAATTCATATATATCTGGCTTTTAACAGTCACCAGAGCACCTGAATTTCAGCTTAGTCCCTGTGCTAAGAAAGAAAAGCAGAAAGTAAATAGCAATTGAATGCAGCTGTAAATCAGAAATGTATGCAACAGTTAATTTAAGGTATAAAACTAAAGCAGCACTTCCACTGGCCAGTATATTGTAAAATCTGTCTTCTCTTAGAATTAAAGAAAAACTAAATGAGGCCATTTGGAGGCTGGAAACACTTTAGAAATGCTCACTGTGTCAAATGCTATGATGGAAACTGCAATTATAATCTGAGTGACTCAGAAACAATGGATGAAATATTCCCAGGCCGCCTATAAACTACCCAGGGCATTTACTGTCTACTACTTGTTACACAAAATGTGTGTATTCCAAGTTCTACTAAGCCTAATTGCTAGAGCAGGGAGAGGTTTCTCCTCACTCTTTTTCACTAAAGCAGAGCCATGAACTGATTACATGGAATAAATCGCTTGTTAGGGCCAATGGTAAAACCCGAAACAAAGAAATGACACAGCTAAGTATCCATGCAGACACACTACTTAATCAGGTTCTCTCTATTTAGGCTTCATCCTCTACCAAAACCAAACTCCAGGTATGGTAGTCACCCCCACTTATCCACAGTTTCACTTGTTTGTTACCTGAGATCAACTGGTTTCAGTTTGTTACCTGAGATCGACTGTGGTCTGAAAATATTAAATCCTGATCATTATAATAGACAAAAGGTACAGTAGTCCTCCCTTGTTCACGGGGGATATGTTCCAGAATCCCCAGTGGATGCCTGAAACTGAGGCTAGTACTGAACCCTGTTAATATATATATATATATATATATATATATATATATATATATACACACACACACACACATACACACACAGATACACACATGCTTATAAAGTTTAATGTGTACATTAGAAAGTAAGAGATTAATAACTAATAATAAATAGAATAATTTATTATTTTAATCATGACTCTTTGCACTTTGGGGCTATTATTGAGTGAAATAAGGGTTCCTGGAACCCAAGGACTGTAATACAGTGGACCTAATAACCAAGAGGGCGGCTAAGTGACTCACAGGCGGGTCCGTGTACAGTGTGGGGATGCTGGACGAAGGGATGATTCACATCACATGTGCAACAGAGCAGGATGGCATGAAATTTCTTCACACTACTCAGAACAGCATGACATTTAAAACTTAGGGATGGTTTATTTCTGGAGTTTTCCATTCATGGCTATTGAAAAATTCGGTGTTCCCAGAGAAGGAGCTAGTTTTTTAAACAAATTTACTTTTATGTGAGAAGGCTTTCTGAGTATCCCAAATCTCTGTCCCCACATGTGGGCCCCATCTCTGACATTCTGGAAGGAATTCTCATATCCCTTATGAGGATTCATGCTCCCAGCTTAAACTTTCCCAAAACAGGTTCAGGGATTGCTCTTTGGTGGATCTTTATCTTGCTGCTTGTGTGCAAATACTGTCCTACCCTGTGGCAGATCCACAGGCACTTGAAAGAGGTTCCATGTGCCTCTGTACCTTGTAGCAGCCTGGGAAGCTGTGCTGATTCATGTGATTTGCTGATTTTAGTCCCTGATAAAATTCTCTGTTACCACCCCAGTACGGCTAGCAGTTCCCTGAGGGTGCAAACATATATCCACAAATTGATCTGGTGGTTCTCCTGACAGTGCCAGACCCTCCAAGGCATAAGGTTGTAGCTCCAGTGGTCCCGATACACTATTTCTCTCTACCCAATCTGCACCAAGGCCTCCATGGGCTAGAGCTCTGTCCATGCTGTGTCCCGCTTTGGCCATGGAAGATTGCTGTTCCCTGGGGCTGAGCCATCCCTCCTGCACAGGTCGAGCTCGGTGGCACAAGCGCACATATCAGTGTGGGTCACTGCAGACTTAGGCCAAATGGACTCTTGAGGGAGATAGCGGGAGGGGGCAGATAGGAGGGGTAATTCTTCTTATGTGGATCTGGGATCCGTCCCAGTGCAGATCGGCTTGGACCTCAAAGTATTACATGGCTCTGTGGATTTGACCACAGCTCTGTTTCTCCTTGGGGCAACAGTGCCACCAGGGTATTGATTGGTGTAGAACCAGACTGTCTTCTTTCAACTACTGCCTTCCACTTGATGTTTAAAACTTACAATGCTGAATGGCTCGTGATTAGACTCCCTCTTTATCCTGAATCCTCTCATATGGGGTGTAAGGTGCCCCTCCATCTTTCAGATGTGTGTGTGTGTGTGTGTGTGTGTGTGTGTGTGTGTACACAGGCATACATATACCACATGCATACATATACCACACACATACCACACGCATACATATACACACTGCCCTTGGGGACAGGGTTCAGATCACGCCTGTCTCCCATCCCACCCCAACCAAGAGCCTCCTCAGGCTGTCAATGAGCTCATGCAGATAGACAAGAGGAGGGCTAGTGCCCACTCCACAAACTGGATCTATCTTAATTTCATCACCAGCCCAAATAGGGCCCTGGAAATCAGTACCATGAGTTAAAAACAAGCTTGTTTCAAATGCTGTGTGGAAACCCTGATAAATCTGATATTTTCTGTACTATTTACCAAAGATAGTCTGAGTTTTCTAGCAAATTAACATTTGAATTGTGCATTTGTTAAGGGTTTATTGTTTGCATGTAACAAAAACCAGTTCCAGCTACTTTAGACCAAAATAGGTAATTTGTTGTAAGGTTTCAAGCCAGGCTCTGAGGATTTCAAAGTAGGATTGTGGATCTTTCCTCGAGAACCTTGTGCTTAACTGAACTCTCTGCAGTTTCTTTGTGTTACAGTTCAAGTCCTAAACTCTGAGCAGAAAGAATTGGGTGTCTGCTTACTCATGCTCCAGTCAGCTAAGACTAAGAATGCAGTTCCAGGTAACTCAAACCAGGCACTTTGGACCTAGCCCTCTGAGCAAGATGCAAAGATGGGAATCTCTGTGGTCTGGGCTACGAAAAGTATATACTATGGAGAGCATTACTTTGTATTTTTTTTATTACTAAGACAATGGTCATTACCAAATGACTACAACTCTATCTTATGATTTATATGTGACTATTTTACATTTTTTGAAAAGGAAAGTAATCTTGAAACTAAATCCATTTCTTCTGAACTTGAGAGACCTAAGCCCCTAAAGGTGTACACAAGGGGTTTCTTAACCAAAAATAAAATTCTAAGCCCCCCCCAACAGACTAAACAGACCCCCTTTGGGCCAATGGGACCCTAGAGAAAACTGAAAAGTTAAATTCCCCTCCAAGACAGGAAGGGAGGTTGAACATTCTTCATTATACCCCCTCCCTTTTGAAGTTTAGACACAGCTAATCAGCATTAATATTAAAACAGAGATCATAAGACTGACAAAACAGACTCTTTTTGGCAATAAGATGCAAATTCCAACCTGACTCTGGTATAACATCACATGCCAGATAGCAGACAGAAAAAAATAAAAATATTTTACCCCAAAATATATTTCTCTGACATATTTTGAAATGGCCCTGCAAAGCCATCTTTCGGGGTGGGGGGTTGGGGGGGGGTGGGGGCGGGAAATTTGCACCTGCAGAGAATCTACATTAATGCAGCTGGGGCTTTCCCAGATCTAAGAGAGATTAACTAACAGCCTGACACCTTTTATACTCTGGTAAGAAACATTTACCAATTATTCTCTCCAAAGGTGGTTACCTAGAGGCTTCATCTACATAGCAAGAACTTTGGTTTCCACAACCCCCTTTATCTTAACTTAAGCATTTCTTTCTACTGATTTCAAGTTTTTAGACAAAGCTTAATTCTTTTAACAAATTTCCAATCAGAAAATCTTTTTTTTTTTTGAAACCAAGTCTCGCTCTGTTGCCCAGGCTAGAGTGCAGTGGCGCGATCTCAGCTCACTGCAACCTCTGCCTCCTGGGTTCAAGCGATTCTTCTTCCTCAGCCTCCTGAGTAGCTGGGATTACAGGCACGCACCACCATGCCCAGCTAATGTTTGTATTTTTTTAGTAGAGACGGGGTTTCACCATGTTGGCCAGGCTGGTCTCAAACTCCTGACCTCAGGTAATCCACCTGCCTCAGCCTCCCAAAGTGCTAGGATTACAGGCGTGAGCCACCACACCGAGCCAGAAAATCTTTTAATCCACCTATGACCTGTATGAGCTCCCCACCCATACTTCAAGATGTCCTGCCCTTTTGGGCTGAACCAATGTATATCTTCCACATATGGATTTATGATTTTTACTTGCAATTCCTGTTTCCCTGGAATGTCTAAAACCAAATTATGACCTGACCACTTCAGGTTCACTTTCTCAAGACATATTCAGACTGTTTCCTGGGCCATGGTCACTCACAATGGCTCAGAATCAAACTCTAAAAATTTTACAGAGTTTGATTTTATTCATCAACAGGTTTTAAAAATTCAACTGCTCACTAATTCAGAAAGGCCCTCCTTTATTTATCATTGTTAGTAGTGACAAAACCATATGAGTATGCAGCAACTTGATTCTTGCCTCCTCAGAGGAAATAATTCATCCAAGGGACATAAGGCAGAGTGAGAGACTGAGGCAGGTTTTGGAGCAGGAGTAAAAGTTTATTAAAAAGTTTTAGAGCATGAACGAAATGAGGTAAAGTACATTTGAGAGATCCAAGTGTGCTGTTCAGCCCTTGACTTGGAGTTTTGTACATTGACATGATTCCAGGATCTGTGTTTCTTCTCCCCTGATTCTTCCCTTGGGGTGGCCTGCCCACATGCACAGTGGCCTGCTAGCATGTGACAGGGGCCGCATACGCAGTGTGCTTACTGAGGTTGTGCTCATTTGAGGTGTTTTTCCCTTATCAGTTGAGTGTTCCTAGAGGAAGGTTATATACCAGTTAAATGCTACCATTTTGCCTCTTAGCGTGCATGCTTGAGCACACTTTCCCAACTCCCGAGAGCTTATCAGGAAGCTGCTGATCACTAGATTCAGGTGTTTTCTAACTTCTGGGAGACTGCCTTTCCCTGGAACCAGCCACAACCAGTGATTATTTTAGAGAGACATTATAAAAACCACCTGACCATCTCCTGATGTTTCTGGTGTGGGGTTGGGGGCCCTCTCCTGCTCTGCTCATCTTCCTAGCTCCCTACTCTAATATTTCCTCCCTCAGGAGTCCAAGACCCAATTCTTTGGGAATCTGGATGAAGATTAGTCTTCTGTAACTGTTTCTTGCTGGCAGAGGGGCATTGGTGATTTTTCTGTGGGTTCTGGCCTCTTATTAGCTCTCAGGGCAGGGTGGCTCCATGGGTTGGTGAAAGTAGTATCCAGCCAGGTCTAAGGGAGACACAGGCAAGATTTCACCTCTGTTGCATTCCTCTGATGGGCAGTCTATGGGTCTTCTGTAGAAAGGTGACTCTTGAATATTGAGAGGATGGTATCCCTTACTGGGGATCATCTGGAGTTTGATGGCCCATCCCTCTTGTTTCTCCTGAGCTGCAGCCAGAGATCACTAGTTAGTTCAAAGGAATAAGTAGGGTCATTATAAATTGCAGACAAAAACTCGAAAACAACTTTAATAGATTTATTAGAATCTAATAAAAGGTATACAATTGTTCTTGAAACATAATTTTTTTCTCTCCTGCTCTTTTTTATTAAAAGCAAAATCATGATAGGACTCATTTGTTTGCAGAATAAACTTTAGCCTTATGAACCTTCGCCTGATTATTTGCATAAAGCACAGCAAGAGTAATTATTTGCCTTATAGGCTTCTTTTTAAATTGGCTTTGATGAAACTTTGTTCTGTAAGGAATCTCACATAAGACTTTTTAAAGCCATAAGCTTAGCCATGGGTTTGTGCCATCAAAAACCTGTATGAGTTGGGTAAATTCCTCTCCTCATGAGGTCCCAAGATTAGTTGGGGCTCCTGGGCCTGTCAGAAAGTAACATTCTTTACTTGTCACAGGTCAGAAACCTTGTACAGGGACTGTGTAGACAAGGTATAAGGTCAGTTTTCCCAAGGATCTTTTATTGGCTCTATAAGTCAAATTTGATTTTTTTTTTTTTTTTGAGATGGAGTCTTGCCCTGTAGCCCAGGCTGGAGTACAGTGGTGTGATCTCAGCTCACTGCCACTGCTTCCTCCCAGGTCCCAGTTCAAGCAATTCTCCGGCTTCAGCCACCTGAGTAGCTAGGACTACAGGAACATGCCACAATGCCCAGCTAATTTTTGTATTTTTAAGTAGAGATGGGGTTTCACCATGTTGGCCAGGCTGGTCTTGAACTCCTGACCTCATGATCCACCTGCCTCAGCCTCCCAAAT
The DNA here is from genome assembly GCF_000001405.40 of Homo sapiens. NCBI lineage: Eukaryota > Metazoa > Chordata > Mammalia > Primates > Hominidae > Homo > Homo sapiens. The sequence continues at coordinate 67,707,662 of NC_000008.11, read as the reverse complement.
TGCTGGGATTACAGGCTTGAGCCACCACACCCAGCCTTAAGTTTGATTTTTTAAAGGAAAGCACATCATTCTAGTCAAAGCCTTGGTAAAATAACCAGTTTCTCTAATTGTGTCCTACTGCAAAGAAAACATTTTTATTGCACTTATGCAAATAACTATATTGCCATAAGTTAAGAATACTCACATATAGTTTCTAAATTTTAGAGAAATCAGGTAGAGAGGAATATGCTCAAAATTTTGTTTATAGGAGTATACTTAATTGTTAAAAGCTGTAAATAGCTTAAAAGAAAAGTTTTCTTGGCTTTGAAAAAGAATCAGCAAGGTTTTAAGCAAAAAGTCGTGAAAGGATTATGTCAGTCTTCTCTTAGTTCAGTCCATGCGGTTAACTCCTGTTCTTCTTGGTATTCATGAATGTTTCAGCTCTCCATGAGGGTCCTGAAAGTTTTTTCACCTATTCTAATGTCACAATCACTAAAGTTATCAGAAATCTGCATTTAAGAGCACCTGTTAGAGTCCTATATCTGATTATAAAGCCATCTTTTGAAGAGGATCAAAATAAGACAATAATTGTCTGTGGATGACAAAAAGTCTTAAGCAAGCCACAGTCAAAGAACAATTGACAAGGAAATGTGTTACCTCTGAGGCACAAAATAATTTAACATAACAATGATAATTATTACTGATAACATATACTAAATTATATCAGAATTATAAGAATTTTGCATAAATTTGGAACACATACCAATAACACATTTATACAGATACAGTGCAAAGAAAACCAAACTTTACATTTGCATTAGTGTACTATTGATGTCAGACCCAATTCTTAATAAATCCTTATAGACAAATCTATGTAATCTTAATCAGTTTGACTGTAAGGTAAGATTTTCATAAACCTTTTATAACCCTTTACAATTTTTCATTAAAGAGTAGAACGTTCATATAAGAAAACTATGTTGTGCTTCTATTCCAATGTTCAATTTACAGATAAACTGTAAATACTAGGTATACTTAGTAATAATCCTTTAATTTTAGCTAATATATTCACACAGAATTTGTTTTACAAATTAATTTTTCACAAACCTTCCACAACTTGCTCAAATCTTTAGCTTTACCCTAACTTAAAATGATCCTTTAACCCTCTAGACCAAAAAAAAAATCCACATTCCCATTTCTTGTAATCTTTTACCAGAAACGTGTTCTACTTTCTTCACATGCCTTTCATGTGAAACTGTTCTTTCAGTGGTCTTATGTACAAATTACACTGTTAACTCTTAGCAACTTTTACTTTTGGTGAAAAACCTGGTAGCAGATTCTGATTATGTCCTAGATTTAGAGCCTAGGACATCAGACAGAAGTTCAGATAAGGTTTTACTTTTACCAGCACGGCTTGGGGACATGGCAAACTGTGTATGTCCACAGTCCTTACCTAGAATTTAATGGCTTTAAAGCAGGCAAGTTGTACAATTAAAAGTCATAGTAGTTGTTTATGAAGCATTTAGTAGGCCTAATAACCTTTAAAATTGTATAACGTTTTTTCATAAATTCCTTTCATGAATCTTTTTATGACTCAGACCATTACAACATGTTTGGACTTTTTTGGTCCTAAGCATTCCTCTTTGTAAACAACCAGTTATTTTACTTTAGGACAAAAATTTACCATAAAAGATCCTTTTTCATACAAAATCTCCTCTTTATAACTTTTCTTACCAAAAATACCTCTTTACCTTTATAACTTTTGAATTAGACAAAATTCATTTTCCTTCTATTAGGAAGTTTTGGTTTGTACTGCATGTTGCCGTGTGAGCCCTGTGAAAGGGGAGCATATAAGGAGGTTATCCACATACTGTAGAAGTTATGCCCACCTCAAGAGATTGCTCAGTTAGATTTTTGCTAGAGCTTGTCTGAATAAATGTGGGCAATTTCTAAACCCCTGAGTTAGGACTGACCAGGATGAAGTTAATAGATAAAGATTTAGGTAGCTTTCCCAGGAGAAACAGGGCTATTAAAGGGAAAGATGAATTCAGAGATCATGTGAATATTAAGCAGACACCCATCTTGGAAAGTATATTTTTGCACCAAAGAGGTGTGGGATATTTAGACATTCATTACCCAGGGACTGATGGGAGAATGGTAATTGGTCCCTTAAATAATATAAAGGAGTGTGAATCTTTTCTTTTGGAGGGAAGTGGTGCCATTTGCCCCCATTACCTGGCAGGATTCGGAGGAGAGTTGTTTAGAAAAGATTAGCACAGAGTAGGCAGCTCTTAAACCCAAAGGGAAATTTATAATTTTACTTGCCACCTCCAGAGTTGCCCTTGGCTTTGTTCTGTTGATGGTGAGGTCTGATTTGGAAACTGGCCAGAGCGTAGAGCTCCTTCAGCTCAAGGCCATCGGGGGTGGGGATTCTGTCCTAGGCACCCTTCAGCCCTCAAGGCAGCCCCGTTTCCAGTACCCAAGCTTGTGGCAGAGGTGGCAAGCTGTGCGGAACTTTTTCCCACTTATCCCATTGAGGCACATTGCCTTCCAATGGCCTGGCTTCCCACACCAATGGCAGTTACCTGGGAGGGTATTCTGGGGCAACCTGGAGGGGCTGGAGGGCTTGTAAAACAGCCAATAGTTGAGCCTGTTTCTTATTTCTGTGTTTCTCCTTCTCTTTAGCCCTGTCCTCCTTATTCTACTCTCACCTATAAAATACTGAAGAGGCTAACTTGAGGATTTCCATCATAGGGGCACTGGTTTCTAAGGCCGACTTTTATAATTTTCTCCCACTTCTTGAGGATGCATCCAAGGAGCATGTTATGTGGTAGGGAGACACGATTACCCATCTGCAAAGAGAGAATAGAGGAGAAAACAAAGGAAAAAAGATGTTGCCTGTTATCTCCCTATTATCCTTTCCTGAACAGGGTGACCCTCATTCATCCTTAGGGTTCTAGAATGAACCAGTCTTACCGTGTACCTTAACTTTGGTCCCATCTCATCACAATTACTCGAGAACAGAGGAGATACTGGAATGAACAGAAGCCCCCTATTCATCCTTGGGGTTCCACAATGAACCAGTCTTACCAGGTACCCCTAACCTTGCCTTCATCTCTGTTCTAATGGTAATCTGTCCTTGGACCAGCCTTCATCTCTGTCCTATGGGAACTTTTTATTCTCTTGCACCTGCAGCCTTCAGCTGGCCTATATTCTTGTCCTCATGAACTTACAGTGACTCTCATTCAGAGCATTTTAGCACAAAATGATTCTCTCTTTTCTTATAATTCCATTTCCCATGCTTTTTAAGCAGACAAGAAGCCTGTTTTTCAGCTAACTGCTACAAGGGGCTGGACTTCCCTCCCTTCAAATATGACCTTGAAGGTCTTGACGCGTATTGAGAAGGGCACAGAAGTGATTAGAGAAATGGAGGAAAATTTGTATTTGGGGTTCCTTGTCCTCACCAGGGTAACATACAGAACAAATGCTTGAAAAGACAGGTTAATCCCTCTGCTACAGGAGGAAGTGGGAAGAAGCAAGAGGAATACTCATGGAAAGCCTTCATTTGTTTGCAAAAACAGTAGTCCTTGGATTTGAGAGGGCAATGTTTATTTGCCCACCTGACATAAAGGAGGAACCTCTGGAGGAGGATAAGGGGCCTGGGATAAGGGCTAGCAAATGGCAAGGAAAGAATTTCCCTTCCTCCCAAAGTGGGTGCTAACTCAAAACAAAACAAAAACAACAACAACAACAAAAAAAAAGCAGCATGTAAGTGGGGTCCTTAAAGGGCCACAGAGTTAGGCCCTATGCAGGCAGACAAACTGCTTCAAAAGCAAAAAATCTTGGCCCTGGAGCATAACTGGGATGAAAATAAAAGTGTATGGAAAGTCATAAGGAGCTGGCAGAGCTGGGGTTCTGATTAGTGTTTATCCTAGCAATGAGCCAAGAGACAGGGAAAGACTTGGAGGTCATCTGAGCTGGTAGAGTAAAAACAAGTATAAATCTCAGGGGATATCTCCAAGGAGTCCATGTCTTCGCTGCCAGACAAATGCAGCAAGAGCCATGGGTGCACAAATAGCAGGGAGTGTATTTAAGGCAGAGAAGGAGGTCATGCAGCATGCAAAGTAAAAGCAAAGAAGAAGCAGACTTGCCCCCAAGGCAGACGATCTGGCAGGTGCACAAGGCCATTTCAGAATACCCACAGAGAAAACCAGAGAATAAGTGGTGTGGATTTTGGGGAAAGATCCAATTTTAGTTGAAAAAGCAGAGGAAACCCCAAATATTTCATGGTCTTAGGCTTTAGCCTCACCACTCTTGCTGGCCTCCTGTCCAGGAGGGCCACTAGGGCCTCAGATCTATGCAGTGTGGACTCCAAAGTCCTTTCCACCCCAACAAGCCACCCATCAGGGTGAGCTGAGAGATCAGCTTTGGGGGAGCAGAGCCACTGAGACCAAGACAAGTTGTCCTGGGGACTGGTTAATAAGCAGGAAAGTGAAAGTCAAGAAAGAAACTGAGTACAGGGATTGAACACCTCCAGCCAAAGGAGGAGAGGCATAGAGGTATCTCACCACTGGGGAACATATCCAAGTCACATGGCACCAAAATATGTTAGCAATAGAAAATCTGCACAGATCCTCAGCAACTTGATTCTTGCCTCCTCAGAGGAAAGAATTCATCCAAGGGGCATAAGGCAGAGTGAGAGACTGAGGCAGGTTTTGGAGTAGGAGTGAAAGTTTATTAAGAAGTTTTAGAGCAGGAATGAAAGGAAGTAAAGTACACTTGGAAGAGGGCCAAGCAGGCAACTTGGGAGATTCAAGTGCACTGTTCAGCCCTTGACTTGGGGTTTTATACATTGGCATGATTCTGGGATTTGTGTCTCTTCTCCCCTGATTCTTCCTTTGAGGTGGGCTGTCCACATGCACAGTGGCCTGCTAGCACTTGAGAGGGGCCGTATGCGCAGTGTGGTTACTGAAGTTGTATTCTACTCACTTGAGGCGTTTTTCCCTTACCATTCAAGTATTCTTGGAGGAAGGCCATATACCAGTTAAACACCACCATTTTGCCTTAGTGTGCATGCTTGAGCCCACTCGTCCAACTTCTAAGATCTTATTGGGAAGCTACTGATCACCAGCTTCAAGTGTTTTCTATCTTTTGGGAGACTGCCCTTTTCTGGTGCTGGTAGCAACCAATTATTATTTTACAGAGACTTTTTAACCACCACCTGACCATCTCCTGATGATCACCTGACATTCCTGGTGGGGGTGGGAGCCCTCTCCTGCACTGCTCATGTCTGCCTAGCTACCTACTCTAACATGATAAAGCTACATGGGATCATGAGGACCTTAAGTTTCTTTGCTTTTGACTACAAGGGTATTATCTCCATATAGTAATGCTGATTTTGTCCTCAATGAGGAATATTCATTCTATATAATTTTCTTGAATAAATACTTGAGAAATTATTTAAATTTAGCATGGTACAGATAACAAACATGCATGCAGTGTTTTCTATGTCAGTGTGCATGTTTGAGCCCACTCACCCAAGTCCTAAGATCTTATTGGGAAGCTGCTTATCACCAAATTCAGGTGTTTTCTGTCTATTGGGAGACTGTCTTTCCCTGGAGCCAGCTGCAATCAATTATTCTTTTAGAGAGGCAGTTTAACAAACACTTGAGAGTAGGAGAGCCCCTACTCTCCTGAACACTGCACGCACAATCTTCCCAAACCTAGGGTTCGTGGGGATGAATACAAAAGGGGTCCTTGGGTGGAAATGAGGATTGGGAGCCACTGAATTGTAAGCGACTGCAGTTAGAGTTCAGCCTCTGTAGTAATCCTAATGCAGAAATAAAAACATTCTGCTCTTTATAGGAAGTTACAGTTCTTCCCAGGAAAAACTTCATAAATGAGGCTTCTCTTGTTTGCCACCCTGAGGTTGGTTCCAGCCAGTTTCACACATTCCTAAGTTGCAGTTTTGGTCTGTGCATAAAGTAATTCTTCAGTGATTTGCGTTTCTCTTGTAGGACATCTGAATAACCACACAGACCTTTCACTATAGTTCTCTGTTGTGTTGATGAAAGGGATGGCTGTCAGGTTAGATGCAGTTTAGCAAAATAAAATAATCACCAGCCTATAGAACACTTTCATTAAATCATCATGTGGGACGGTTGTGTACTTTTGTTCTCTAAAGATTTTGAAATGTGTTCTTTTATCTGTCACTCGGTTCCACAGTCACGGTGTATCTGTCCCTTCAAAACTAAGAAATAACTGTCTAGTAATAATTCAGATTTAAATATTACCTGTTTATTAGAGTGGAACCAGTCACTTTTTCATATATACTCTTCGTGACACCCTGAGAGATGAGTGATATCACCTTCTTTTACAAATAAGGCAACTGAGGCTTAACAAGATTAACTTGATTCATGAGTGCTCAGTAGCACCCTAAAATTGAAGCTGCAAAGTTCCAGGCAGCAAGGATTGTATCTATCAGTTTCTTCTTGTATTCTCAGTACCTAGCCCAAAACAGGCCTATAATAAATATATAAGTAAAGATTAAGAGAATGAATCTGTCTTCAAACTCCATGCTCTTTCCACTATACCATGTTTTCTCTGAGATAGTACTGGGATGTACTTTGCCCCTAAGTGAGGAAACGATTGTATCTATCTGTAGTAATTATATATTATGTATATGATTATGTCTATAATATTCTAAAGTCATAGAATATATTTATATTCCCAGCCATTGTCATATCTTTATGTGTTTCTGGCATAAAGAAGGTTAGTTGGAGAATATGGAAATAAATCATTAAAAATCAATGATTGAGGATTATTATTTTATGTTTGAATGCTAGCATGTTATTATTGGACTTACCAAAATAGAACTGTGAATGCTGGGATATTTTTCTTCCCTCCTAACAATATATAAAATGCAACTCCCCTGAAGCAAAATTATTTTACATTTTCTTTTGTCAATATGTTTAGTCATTGATGTTTTAGAGCAGTAAAAATATACTTACTGCAAACCTCAACCAAAGTTGCTGGAAGGAAAGATGAAGACAGATCACCCATGCTACAAAAATTATCCTTAAGGGAAAATTGCTCCAACTTTATACATTTGTTGATTATACTACATTGTTTTAAACCTGGATTCTAGCTCAAATGATTGACTTGTCTCCCCAAAATACCAAAAGAATTACAACATCTATTGACTTACAAGTCCTTTGCAAATCCCCAAATTGCAAAAGACTTTCTTTGTCTGAGGAAATGCCACCAGTAATTACTGGAGAAAATGGCTGTATTGATTTAGAACAATGATTTACATTAGCTTAGCAAATACAGTTTGGGGTCAGTTACCAGATAGTAGTTTTTCTTTCAGAGTTTATAACTCCTTAGTATGTATAAAACTGAAAGAATGTGTGCTATTCAACTTGTAACCATGATTATTGTGTAAGCCACTTTAAGTAAACACATAAACATAAACCATAGACCAGAAGACATCAGAGCTGCAGGCCTGTACATAGTACCTCCCTATTAAAGCTGTCTATTCAAGTGTTTAAAACAGACTAAAACGATGTTGCTTAGAGAAGTATGTTTAAAAAAACTCAGTTTTATAAACCTCACGATTATATGAGGCAAAATAATAGAGTTTGATAAAATCCTTTTGAGTCGTGGATCTCTTTGTGATTCTAATGAATATTAGGTAACTGTTTCCCCCAAGTGGAAATGCATACAGAATTTTACATACAATTGTAGAGGATTCTCTAATTTCTGAAACTCTTCCATCTCAGTTAAGAATATAAACCATGGCCGGGCGTGGTGGCTCACGCCTGTAATCCTAACGCTCTGGGAGGCTGAGGCAGGTGGATCACCTGAGGTCAGGAGTTTGAGACCAGCCTGGCCAACATGGTAAAACCTCATCTCTACTAAAAATACAAAAAATTAGCTGGGCATGGTGGTGCACACCTGTAATCCCAGCTACTCGGGAGGCTGAGGCAGGAGAATTGCTTGAACCTGGAAGGTGGAGATTGCAATGAACCCAGATAGTGCCATTGTACTCCAGCCTGGGCAACAAGAGTGAAACTCTGTCTCAAGAAAAAAAAAAAAGAAGAAAAAACATAAATCACTTCAATTTTTAGGTCACAAGTTTACTTGGACTTAAAATTGCATGTAAATGTTTGTTTGTTTGTTTATTTATTTATTTATTTATTTGCCTGTTTTTCTAGGTAACATCCCCCCCTCCTGTTTTGTTTTGTTTTGTTTTGAGACAGAGTCTGGCTCTGTCACCCAGACTAGAGTGCAGTGGGGTGATCTGGGCTCACTGCAACCTCCAGCTCAGTGCAACCTCCACCTCCCGGGTTCAGGCCATCCTCCCACCTCAGCCTTCCAAGTAGCTGGGACTATAGGTACATGCCACCACACCCGGATAATTTTTTTATTTTTGATAGACATGACTTCGCCACATTGCCCAGGCTGGTCTCAAACTCCTGAGGTCAAGTAATCCACCCATCTCGGCCTCCCAAGGTGCTGGGATTATAGGCGTGAGCCACTAAACCTGGCCTGTAACCCGTTTTTCATTATATTTGTTTGGCTCCAAGTGCCCAGAAGTCATAATAATGTAGCATTTGGGAAAGTTATTCTAGCAATGTGGCATTAGAGACCATGCCATTCTTCCAGGCCTTTTTCCTTCCAACTATGTAGTGGATTGCACTGCTTACCTTGTGCAGAGTGGCCTGCCAAGTGCTTCTGGACTTTCCAGTGTATAGTTTCCTCTGGAACCTTATTTGAAGCCACATTCAGGAAACAAGATGGAACTAGACTCAGAATAGTAATAGAACTTCTGGGCACCATTCTTGCCTTTCTCAGTTAATTTCATTGTGATATCAGTTAGTTAAAATAGTATAGAGGTGTCATTGCCTTTCCCAGGCACTAACAGTGATCAGGTAGGCCCTATGTGACAAAAAGGGTTTAAAAAATACATAACTGTCTCAAGGATCTTATAAATCCAGTTGGGGAGAGGAGACCTCATGAAACAGTCAATAAAATAAGAAAATGCTGTATTATTCAGTATAGACACAGAATCGGAAGACATATCGACTTATATTGATTGATGCTGACAGCAAACAGAAAACTAGAAGATAATTACAGACTGAGTATTTCTTAGAATGTGTTCCCAAACTTTCTTGGTCACAAAGCCTGTTTTATAGCACACAATAATATCCCAAAGAGCACATTGGAGGATCCCAATTGGAATAATCATAGGAAATTCTCCTGGAAAAAAGAGGGCCTTGAGAAGTAGGATATAAGTTTAGTAAGGTCTAGAATCACCTTCACCAGAATCACCAGGAGTTGTTTAAAAGAAAAAACACCAATTACTGAGCCCTACCCTTGCCCTATGAAATCATCATTTCTGGTGTGAGAGCCCTCGAAATCAGCATTTTTATATCAGGTTATTTTTATGCAGTCAGGTATAAGAACCCCCATCTGGACAGACATAAGAGGGAAGGCTCTTCATTACTATCTAGTCAAAGGCTCTTCATTATTACCTAGCCAAATAATTATATAATATAATGCTTTGGGCTCTTTGAGTTTAATCTCAAACCTTGATAAAATTTTTAAAAAGTTGTAAGATTTCGCATTGAGTGACAGCTACCAGGTTCTCATTTCCTGGACCTAACAGAATAAACACCTGATACTTCTGATATAGTCATTTAGGATTCCGTTTTATAGTTTTTAGCATTTACTTGCTGCCATACAACCATGATTCAAATAATGCAAGATTTTTGTGTGCATAAAAGTTACACACACAGACATATATACTTTTAAATATTTTTATTGACACGTACAAATGTTCACAGTTTAATACACATATCAGTCTTCATAGAAATAAAGTAAGGGAAGGAAATAATTATAAAATTAGTTTTTTTTTTCCTGCGACTGCAACATCCTGAGTAGAATTTGAGGGCCAGGTAACTCTAATGCTTGCGAGAGTACCTGATGAAAGATTTCTATTTATTTTTCCTCAGTAAAAAACATTTTTTACAAGGCAATCTCATTCTCTCTGGTTATTAAACAGTGGATGAGACTGAGTGCCTTTTCCCTCAAGAGGTAAAGCGGAAGAGAATTTACTTTTACTAAGTATTTCCTAAGGCACAGGTCCTTTATAGCATATATTTCATTTAATACACAAAACAACTCAGTAAGAAAGGTGGTTCATCTTTGAGTCACTTTCAGAGTTTAAGAAACCCAAGCTTAAAGAAGTCAGATGGCCTCCTTAAGGTCTTATGACTATTGAGTGGGAAAGCCAGAAGTTCAACCTCTATCTGCCTTCTTTTTCACATGAGAGCACATTGCCTCTGAGAACAGCAGAAGTCTCTAGACAGCATTTGTAACCCAGGACTCACTCCAGTCTTCCTAGCAACAAACTACTTCCGTGGAGAGCAGCAGCCCCCAGTGGCTTTAGCTCAGTGGAGTTTGCCATCCCTGGGAGCTGCCACTGCCCTCGTGGTGTTCCCAGGGTCCCCCATACCCCCACAAGTACAACAGAGCAGTGATTACCAACATGGACTTGGGTTTGACAGTGGCTGTCTGCTTAACCTTAAGTATATTGCCCAATCTCTCTGAGACTATTTCCTCAGGGCAAAATGGGTGTAATGTCCACCTTATAGAATGGTGTGGGAGTCTTTAACAGCTTTAATGAAATATAATTTACATATAATAAAATCACTCAAGTATGCAGTTCAATGAGCTAGACGAATGTATTTAGTTGGGCAGCTGCTTCCAAAGTCTAGTTTTAGGACATTTCCATGACCCCATAAAGTATCACAGGGCCCTTTTCCAGTCAATCCCCTGGTCTATCCTTCTTGATCCCAGCAGTCATTTAATCTTTCTAACAACAGGTTTACCTTTTCCAGGATATGGTATAAATGGAAACATGTAGTCTTTTCTGTCTACTATCTTTCACTTAGTTTGATGGTTTGTAGTTCATATATTTGTAGCTTGTTCAATCCCTTTATTGCTGAGTGGTATTCCATTGTATGGATATACCACATTTTGTTCATCTCTTAACATATGATGGACATTTGTGTTGTTTCCATTTTTGGCTATTATGAATAATGCTGCTTGAATATTATGCACACTTCTGTGGACATAGGCTTTCATTTCTCTTGGGTAGATACCTCGAAGTAGAATTGCTGGACCATATAGTAAATGTATGTTAAACATAAGATGCCATCAAACTGTCCAAAGAAGCTATACCATTTTGAATTCCCACAATGCTCCATGACCTTGCAACACTTGATATTGTCAATCTTTTTAATATTTGCTATTCTAGTGCATGTACTATGGCTTCTCAGTGTGGCTGTAATTTGCATTTCCCTAATGCTTAATGATTTTGAACTCCATTGTACATGCATTTATATATTCTTTATGGAGTCCCTGTTCAAATTATCTACATTATGAGTGTTTATTCAAATCATACATCTTTTTTGTGGTTTGTTTTATAGCCCAGCATATGGTTATCCTGGTGATATCCCATGTGACTTCAAAAGAATGTCTATTCTTGCCTCTATTGTGGAACAGTAGTCCAATTTCCCCTTGGTGGTCAGGATCCATCACTTCAGCCTAGACTGTAACTCCCGTTTTGGCCTGTTGATTCAGAGGCACCAGGAGCCCAAAGTGGCCAGGTGGCAGTCTTAACTTCCAGTTCAACAGAATTATTGTTATCTTCTGGTGGGAGCCCTCCTCCCTCTGGAACTATCACCTCTAAGCCAGAAGAGCATAAAGCAAGGGGAAGAGGAAGCAAATATTTTGCTAGTGGGTCACTAGGGGTAATAGTGAATGCTGCCCCTCCCATCTGTACCCCTTGATTCCTGGACCTGTAAATTCTGGCTATGAGAGAAACAGCACCATATATTGGACACTGATTTAAAACATGTAGAGCCTTCTGGAGAAACTTGCTAGGTATTAACACATAGCTGGCACTGTAACTGAATCTTCAAAATGCCATTTCACCATTTATCAAGCCAGCTGCTTCAAGATAGTGGGGAACATGGTAAGACCAATGAATTCCATGAGCGTGAGCCAGTTGCCACACTTATTTTGCTGTGAATTCCTTGATCAGAAGTAATGCTGTGTAGAATATCATGGCAGTGGATAAAGCATTCTGTAAGTCCAAGGATGGTAGTTTTGGCAGAAGCATTGTATTCACAGAAGGCGAATTTATATCCAAAGTAAATGTCTGTTTGGGTAATAACAAAATGCTATCCCTTCCATGATGTAAGAGGTCCAGTATAATCAACTTGCCACCAGGGAGCTGGCTGGTCATCCTAGGGAATGATGCCATATTGGGGACTCAGTGTTGGTCTCTGCTGCTGGCAGATTGGGCACTCAGTGATGGCTATAGTCAGGCCAGGCCTGGTGAGTGGAAGTCCATGTTACTGAGCCCAGGCCTAGCCTGCATCCCTGCCACTACGGCCCATTTTGTTCATGAGCTTATTGGATGATAATAGGAGTGGCTAGGGAAAGAGACTGAGTGGCATCTAATGAATGGATGATGGCATCTAATGAATAATCAAGTGGATTCTATCCACTTGATTATTAAAATCCTCCCCTGATGAGGTCACTGTTTGGTAAGCATTCACAAGGGATACCAATATCTTCACATTTTTTTTGCCCATTCAGAGAGGTCTATCCCCATATCTCTTCTCCAAATTTTTTGTTCACCAATTTTCCAATCATGTTCCTTCCAAGCTCCTAACCATCCAGCCAAGCCACTGGGTACAGCTCATCAATCAGTATATAATCACACGTCTGGACATCTGGACATTTCTCTCCAAGCAAAGCGAATAACCAGATGCACTGCTCAAAGTTCTGCCCAGTGGGAAGATTTTCCTTCACTACTGTCTTTCAAGGATGCCCTAGACAGGGGCTGTAGCGCTGCAGCTGTCCACTTTCAGATAGTGCCTGCGTATTGTACAGAATCATCTGAAACCAGGCCCTAGTCTTCTCTTCCTCTGTAAACTGATTTTAGAGAACTCCCCATGAGGCCATAGGTGCGGGCTGGCAGAGAGAAGGCAGTGTAACAGGAGTGGAGACCATGGGCATTTAAGCCACTTCTTCATGTAACTTAATTGTGCCTTCAGGGCCTGCTCAGGCCCAATGTTGTATATACCACTTCCATTTGATGATGGAGGGTTGGCTGCGCACACTAAACTTTACGGCTTGGTGGGTCAGATAACACTTAGTTCATGATGGGAAGCTCAGGCCACATGGTAACTTGGTGGCACATGGGCAACGTTCAGTGTCTGCTAAGCCCCAGCAGCAGGCCAAGAGCTGTCTCTCAGAAGGAAAGTAGTTATCTGCAGAAAATGGCAAGGCCTTTCTCTAAAATCCTAAAAGCCTATGCTGTGATTTACCTATACAGGCCTGCCAAAGGCTCCAAACAGCATCCCTATCTGCCACTGACACTTCAAGCACCATTGGATCTGCTGCATCACACAGTCCAAGTGGCAGAGCAGTTTGCACAGCTGCCTGGCCTGTTACAGAGCCTTCTCTTGTTCTGGGCCCCACTCAAAACTAGCAGCTTTTTAGATCACTCAGTAAATGGGTCAGAGTAATACACCCAAATGAAGAATATGTTGCTACCAAAATCCAGAGGTCTATTAGGCATTTTGCCTCTTTCTTTGTTGTAGGAGGGGCCAAATGCAATAACTTATCCTTCACTTTAGAAGAGATACCTTGACCTGCTCCACACCACTGGATCCCTAGAAATTTCACTGAGGCAGAAGGCCCCTGAATTTTAGTTGAGTTTATTTCCCACCCTCTGACACACAAATGTCTTACCCGTAAGTCTAGAGTAGTTGCTACTTCTTGGTTCCATCTGAGTCCGTTCAGGCTGCTATAACAAACTATCTTTAAACAACAGAACTCTAACTCTCACAGTTCTGGAGGCTGGAAAGTATGAGAAGAAAGGGCCAGCAGATTTGGGGTCTGGTGAGGACCCACCTCCTTGTTCATAGGTGGCAGTCTTTTACTCTGTCCTCACATGGCAGAAGTGAGGGAGCTCTCCAGGGCCTCTTTCATTAGGGCACTAATCCCATTCGTGGGGCCTCTGCCTTTACAACCTAATCACTTCCCCAAAAGCCCCATTTCCTAATACCATCACATGGGAGTTAGGATTTTAGCATATGAAATTTACAGGGACAAAAACATTCAGTTTATGGCACCATCCATTCCACAAATAATTTTTGATGCTTGCAATGTACCAGCCTCTTCTCCCACATTTCACTAAGTAAATTCTGACTCCAACGTGGTCAACCCGAGTATGTTCCACATCCTGTGAGTGCCCTGTTCTTCCTGGTAGTTTATACACTTAGGGGATTGAAAACAGCCCAATTAAGCTCGTTTGCCTTTCCAAAGACATTTACATGAGGAGAACCCTAGTAATAGCTCTGAGAAGGCTAGCATTTGTTTCCCAAGATAGTGCTATAGAATAAAGAAACAATGGTCCTAGGTCACACAGTCTACTAATGCTGAATGGAAAACAGAAGGAATTTCATTTCGTAGCTATTTTATTTGGAATGAGTCTTTTCACATTTGCCAGTGCTTTGATACTGTGCAGTCATCAGCCTTAATAACTAGTGATGTACAATAGCTACAGATGGCAGTGTTCTGAGTCATCGTTGGAATTTTTGTTCAGGTTTCTCTTCCTGCTTGCATGAATAAGTCCCCTGCCAGTGTCCTTTGTGCCTTAGGTCTATGGGTCTATGCTAATGGGTATGACTCGTAGTGAATATATGTCTACATGTATAACTCTGTATATCATCAGCTTAAAATGTTTACACATGAGCTACCTTGGGTATTAATTTGCACTCATTATCTGTGCCCCAATTTGAAGCGAAGAGGTCAACACTTTCACAGAGACCTATGATTTAATGGTGAAGAAATAATACTAACTTCCCACTAATGGGGCCATTTTTGCTGTTGCCACTTCATAAACCCAGCAGTTAAAGGGCAGCACTTCTGTGTGATTCTAGTTGTAATGAAAAATAGTTTATCCTGCACACTTTTGAAATAATATAGCTTAGGAAGACATGATTTACACATAATAGATTATAGCAAGAAAGATAAACTTCACTGTTAAAAATCTTAATTGGGAAAAAAGCTTACTATTGATCATTAAAACATTTTACAGAGAATCTTCAATAAAATAGCAGAGTGGTGAAATGTATTATGTTAGACTCATGGAAAAAAATTATATGTTCAAGCAGCTGCCAGCACATAGTTCACACTTTAGCAAGTGAGATATGCCTTCCTCATACTCAAGTTTTACCAATCTCTTGTTCTTTTTTTTTTTTTTTTTTTTTTTGAGACAGGATTTCACTCTTGTTGCCCAGGCTGTAGTACAATCTCGGCTCACCGCAACCTCTGCTTCCTGGATTCAAGCGATTCTCCTGCCTCAGCCACCCGAGTAGCTGGGATTAGAGGCATGCGCCACCATGCCCGGCTAATTTTGTATTTTTAGTAGAGATGAGGTTTCTCCACGTTGGTCAGGCTGGTCTCAAACTCCCAACCTCAGGTGATCCGCTGGCCTCGGCCTCCCAAAGTGCTGGGATTACAGGCTTGAACCACCATACCCAGCCCAATCTCTTGTTCTTTAAAATTGTTTTTCATCTCTGCATGGGCAACTGCCAGGACAAAAAGATAACATATTAATTAAACAACTCCAGCATGGCTCATAAGGAAGTTATTCTCTATCAACCAGAAAAGGATCTGGGTTGGAATTAAATGTTTGGAGTTTAGTCTTAATTTATTGATTCATGTTTTGGTCTCAAACAAATAACACTTCCAAGCACTATCCCCCTTCTAAAATGAGCCTGTACTAATATACTACTTCATTATTTTTACTAAAAGCCAATTCCCTGAAATCTACTCAGCATTTCAAAGTGCTGTGTAGATAAAACATAAGATATATTTTTAACATGTCTGTGAAGAAACTTGGTAAGGTATTTTACAGAGATATTTACATCTTGAATTTAAATATCACAAATCAACATAGTCACAGAAATATATGAGGAGCATTAAAAGCATGTTTTTTGCTCCTGACAGTGTGATGGGGGCTGGGCGTGCTCTGCTCCCACAAACACTCAGGGATCCAGGCTATTTTGTCTTCCCACCACCTTCTCAGGCCTCAGTCTTGTAGTGTATCCTCTGCATCCTTCAGCAAATGAGGAAAGAGAAAGGCAAAAATGATTTCAAGGGCAGTTTTGGGGGACAGGCCTGAAAGATACATAAATCACTTTCCAGCCACGTGCCAGTGACAAGACTGGTCACTGATGGCCACCTAAATTAAGGGAGCCAAAAAATACAGTCCACAGTGTACCAAGGAAGGAGAAGAACACAAAGATATTGATAGTCACCACCAACCTCGATCACAGGTGTAGAGCTGTGCGCTTACATAAATCCATAGCATGTACTCTACTTGAACAGATGTATGAAGTCAATATGAGTTATTTCTAGAAGGCTAAGAGACAAATATTTGGTTCTTGTGTGAATTTCCTCGTTTTCTTTGTTTTTTAAATGTTTCCTTTTGTATTACTAAGTGAATGGGAAAAAGAAAAGTAACAAATGCTTGTAGTTACCAGAATGTAATTTTCAAGTTAATGTACAGAAAGTTTTCCGTCAGGGAATGCCTTTTATTTAGGTGTTAGTCACTCATTGTTTATTATTGTGTTTATACAAAAACTGATTTGTACATTAAACTTAGTGTAGATGAATTTGTACCATGCTAACTTGGTAGAAAAGTTATATTTGTTATCTTAAGTTTGTATTCATTGGCATTTCATTGTTGCTTGAAATATATCCCACACTTGAATATGAAGTATGACATATTTCCTGCAATCTAGCCAAAAATTAAATATGTATTGAAGTTGAAAATTTAAAATCTGTTGATTCACTCTTCCTGACTTGTATTTTTTTTAGCTGATAAGACTTTCCTTCTAATGCTTCCTCTTCTAATATTCTTTTCTAATATTTCCTCTTCTAATGTGTCTTACATCAGCTTCTCTGGTTGATGTAGCTGTTTATATTGCTTTTCAGAGTTTAATAGGGGTCCAAATTTCAGGAGTTCTGACTCTGAACACTAATATTGCTTCACACAGCATTTATGGTTTAAATAACATACCTTAGAACAAGCACTGATGTGCTGATTTGAATGTGTGACTGAAAATATCACACATCTCAAGTAGATTGCTAGAACCAAATTTCTCAACAAATTTACTTGATGTGCTGAGAAATAGTCATACAGATCTTTAAACTTCTAATTTGTAATAGTAATTAATATTCATTAACTCTAAATTATTTATTTCTGTTGCCATCGACATCTTAAAAATATTAACCTCTGATATATCAAAAATTGATTCTAAAAAATGAGAATTCTATGCAGACCAGTCCACTTAGCTGCCAGATCAAATGTTATAGAATTTGATTAACATTAATTGAACCACCTATAAGATACAGAACTGAGTAACACACAGTTCCTCTACATGAGAAGCTTATATCTTCAGAAAAACAAATAACCCTATTAAAAAGTAGGCAAAAGACATACACAGACATTTCTCTAAAGAAGACATAAAAGCAGCCAACAAACATATAAAAAAATTCATTATCATTCATTATCAGAGAAATGCAAATCAAAACCACAATGAGGATACCATCTCACATCAGTCAGAATGGCCATTATGAAAAAGTGAAAAACCAACAGATGTTGGCAAGGCTGTAGAGAAAAGGGAATGCTTATTCACTGTTGGTGGGAATATAAATTAGTTCAGCCAATGTGGAAAGCAGTTTGGAGATTTCTTGAAGAACTTAAAACAGAACTACCATTCAACCCAGTAATCCCATTACTGGGTATATACCCAAAGGAAAAGAAATCATTCTACCAAAAAGACACATGCACTTGTATGTTCATCGCAGCACTATTATCAATAGCAAAGACATGTACTCAAGCTTGGTGCCCAGTAACAGTGGATTGGATAAAGAAAATGTGGTACATATATACCATGGAATACTATGCAGCTATATAAAAGAATGAAATCATATCCTCTCCAGCAACATGGATGCAGCTGGAGGTGATTATCCTAAACAAATTAATGCAAGAACAGAAAACCAAATATCACATATTCTCACTTACAAGTGGGAGCTAAACAATGGGTACTCATGGCCATAAAGATGGGAACAATAGACACTGGGAACCACTGGAGTGTGGAGGTAGAGGTGGGCTGAAAAGCTACCTGTTGGGCACTGTGCTCATTACCTGGGTGATAGAATCATCTGTACCCCAAACCTCAGTATCACACAATATACCCATGTAACACACCTGCATGTGTACCCACTGAATCTAAAATAAAAGTGGAATTTTTTTGAAGAAGAAGTTTATATCTGAAGTTCTACGTGGGTGTGTATGCTAATATGTACATGTCTATAACTAGAGAACCAGGCGTAACGGTAACTTCCAAAACAAAAAGTTACGGGAGTACATTGAGTCATTTGTGGGTTTTAGTAGACTGAATTACGAAATGCTACACAGAGGAGCTGAGGCTGAGGCAGGAGAATTGCTCGAACCCAGGAGGTGGAGGTTAGAGTGAGCCGAGGTTGCTCCACTGCATTCCAGCCTGGGTGACAGAGTGAGACTCCATCTAAAAAATAATAATAATAATAATAACAATAATAGGATTACAACAACAAATGGGATGGTATATTCGAATCTGAGAAAACTATACTAGTCTATGGGAGCCTTTTAAATACTAGATCTTATCTCTCTAAATTTTATAAAAATAGAATGAGTAATTTGTTTTTGTCAATGTGCAGCATACTCCCAGGATCATAAGAGCTGCTTCTAGGGATAAGGGAATGGGTGGACAGAAAAAGAAATAAAGAAATGTTAAAATCATTTGTTCTTTTATTCAAATTATTCATTCAAACAAAACACAAACCGAAACTAGGAGAGAAGTGTACAATGTCATGAAAAATGGGGCAGAAAAGAACTTTAAGATTGGGGCATTCTCTGAAGTTGATGTCACAAAAGTGTTGTTTTTGACACAAACCTCAGCATTAATGATATAGCCTGCAATACGATTCCCTTGATAAACATATGCATAGAAAGTCCACAGTAAGGCAGCTAGGATTTTGTGAGGTTGTTTATGTTTCTAAGCTTTCGATTTTGGGTAAATGAGTCCTGTGAGTTGATTACTGAAGTAATAAGGAGCGTTCCCTTTGTATTTACCCTAAAACTTGTCCTGTTCAAGAATCAAGGGGTGTTCCCTTTCCTTGACCTTCTCAAATATTCATTATTTCCTAAACTTGAATCATCTGGTCATCCTGCATCTCATCTGTCCCCTTGGTCATTTGGGTTAAACTTCTCTAGACTCTATTTAAATCTGTTTTGTCTTTCTTGAAGTGAAACAACCAAAACCACACACAGTATCCTAAATGATGATTTTTTGTTTTTTGGTTTTTGGTTTTTGAGACAGGTTCTCACACTGATGCCCAGGCTGGAGTTCAGTGAAGTTCAGTGATGTGATCTCAGCTCACTGCAGCCTCATATTCTGGTGATCCTCCCACCTCAGGCTCTCAAGTAGCTGGGACTATAGGCATGTATCACCATGCTGGGCTTTTATATTTTTTGTAGGGACGGGGTTTTTCCATGTTACCCAGGCTCAAGTGATCATTTTTAATAAATGTAACTGCCATTATCTATTTCATACTAGGAGTTCCAGTTCCTTACTTAGGGCTGACTGTAGTATTAAATCTTACAAAACCTTGCATTTGAATCGTGCTTTAGTTTACATTGTTCCTTAAAACTGCATCGTCTCATTGACTATAATCCTTATCCTATAGAGACGGCTGCTATCCTTATCTTCACTTTATAGACAAGGAAACTGAGGCTTAGAGAAGTGAACTGACTTGCCTAGCGTCACAACAATAAGTAATGAAAGAGCCAGAAACTGAATCGCTGACCCCGAAACCCACCGTGATGATAATGAGCATCTATTGCAGCTCATTAGATACATGCTTCCTAAATATGAGGCACAGCACTAAGTATATTCCATGTTTCTATATTTAATTCATACAACCAACAACCCCATTAGCAGAGGCTCAGAACAGTTAAATGATTTGCAAAAGGTCCCAGGACTGATAAACAGCAAAAATTGCATATGAGTCCATGTCTGCCTGACCCCAAAGCTCTTGCTTTTTAATAGCCCTTCCCCAATCCTGCCCAGATCCTCTCACCACAAGTCCACTGCTTTGCTCTTGGTACATCAGATAATGACTCCACACAATTCAGAAAACAGTCCTGGGTCATATCTTATAACTTAAGTCTTATCATCCTGCAACAAGGTATCTCAAGGGAGACCAACCATCCTGGTTGGCTCAAGGCTCAGGACTGAGGCCCTTCCCTGCTCATGGGACTTTCAGTGCTAAAACTGGAAAGTCCTGAGTAAGTATCTGGGTTTTCTTCTGTGAGAGAAAAATGCTGTGAGATTCCTATTATTTATCCCAATTAATTTGCTATTTTATTTCCTGGAAATGCTAACATCACTGGAGTTAAGATGTTGCTTCTAAGAAGCCATCAGAAAGGAACTTGAACCCTGACAGGTGCAGGTGGCTTTGAGAAGGCCGGGAGATTCTCTTGGCCTCTGAAGACCTTGAGTAAATACTGCATGTGGGTATCCATTACCTGGCAGAATTTAGTTTAATTGAATTTCATTCTTGAGAATTCTGTTTCTGAACTCTCCCACGCTGAACATATAAAAGTCAGTTCTATGTATTTTTCCCATCCCCTAACCTCTAAAATTTTATGATTTCTTTTATCTCTTTCAGAAGCCACTCCCAACCTCTCCCCTCTTGTATTTAACTTGTGTTCATAAATCTGTTCCTTAGCTGACATGTACCCTAAGAACAACCTCAGCTTGTTAACTGTTCTTTCATACAGTTTGAAATAGCAAAATCCCAGCTTGGAGCACGACCATTAAACATGTAAACACAAAAATTGAATAATGTTCTGTTTTGTTTTACTTGAGGAACCCACATACTAAGGCAAGTAGTTTTCTTTTGCAGTATACAATGGGTTTGCGGTCATCTGGGGCAGAAGCCCTAGGCCCAGAAGTTATAATTTCTGCTATCACCACTGGCCTCCTCCCCAGTTATATGTGGGCAATTCTTACTTCCTTTTTGGCTATGCGTATATATGTACATGTAATAAAAGAGGTTTTTGTCAATGTTTATGCGGAACCAGGTTTTATATGAAAGTTGAGTAATTTACTGACAGATGGGCAACAGCAGCCCACCAAGGGGAATATATGATGAAAAAATTAAGACCCTAATGGCTTGGTTTTCTGTCATGGTGATGTCTCTCAAACAGATAGTTGAGCTGGGCCAAGGCACTGCTTGATGACAGAGGTCAGCAATTAGGAGGGGGTTATGTAATCCTCTGCTGGCACCAAAGAGATTGTGTGTTACTCAGAACATGAGAGAATTTTGCCTAAACATAAATGACCAAGGAAAATGGGGTTCTGGTCATTCATTTATTTAATCAGTATTTTTTGAGACCTACTATATGCTATGCATTATTCTAGGCACATAGGCCCTATCTATGATGGCAGAAAAGAAGCAAATTATCAAGCGGCAGTGAGTGCTGTGAAGAAACCTAACAGGGTAAGGAGATAGAAATTGAAAGGTAGGATGGATTGCTGTCTTAGAGAGTGTGGTTGGGGAAGCCCTCTCCAGTCAAATAGTGACAGATTAGAGATATGAATGAAATAAGAGAGCAAACCATGTCTATAACTGGAAGAACATTCCAGGCAGAAACAGTGGTCAAGTTAAAGACCAAGACCTTTGGTGACCTCGTAATAACGTAATAATTCAGGGAGATGATGTGGTATATGCCACAAATGAAGACACATAGCTAAGAGTTGATTATGAGAATGACAACTGTGAATTTTTTACAGGCACGATGAGCTGTTATAACACCACAGTGGTTAGCAATTCTAGTTTTTTTATTTTTTATTTTTATTTTTTGAGATGGAGTCTCACTCTGTCACCCAGGCTGGAACGCAGTGGCGCCATCTCGGCTCACTGCAAGCTCCGCCTCCCGGGCTCACGCCATTCTCCTGCCCCAGCCTCCCTAGTAGCTGGAACTACAGGCGCCCGCCACCATGCCCGGCTAATTTTTTTTGTATTTTTAGTAGAGACGGGGTTTCACCATGTTAGCCAGGATGGTCTTGATCTCCTGACCTCGTGATCCACCTGCCTCGGCCTCCCAAAGTGCTGGGATTACAGACATGAGCCACTGCGCCCGGCCAGCAATTCTAGCCTTTAAATGTGTGACACACATACAAAAAGTTAAGATCCACTGGGCTAGCGACATCAGGAGGATGGCTGAGAATCTCAGAAGATAGAGAAAATAATTCTCTTAGAGTTTTAGAAGCTGTTTGATATATCTGGATACCCAGCCAAAAAGCACCCAGCTTCTTGGGTGTCAACAGCTCCTAAGAATGTTAAAGAAAAAATTATTCGATGATACTTGTTGTAGGATGGTAAGAAAGACTATTTAGGGCCATTGATATAGAGTATAGGTATAGGGACTACTGCAATGAAGCCTTGCAATGGGGAGAGAGATTGGGCTCAACTCTGAACACAGCATGGGCAAGTTGGGAATGTATAGCCAAGGAGCAGGGCAGGGTAAGTGGGTGGAAAATTACTAAGAGGAAACATCAGAGGGAAGGGAGGATTCTGGCTAAATGGACCTAATGGGATTCTTGCTGAAGACAGGCCCGGGTGGTCAGACCTCACCTAGGGGATGATAGAGAATAAGAAGACTGATCGGATGTGGAAGGTGATCAGATACTAAGGATGGCAGGTTCTTTGCTAACGCTGGATTTTACAAGGAAATGGACAGATGGGCCTAGGAGAAGGTTCAGGGGCCTGACTAAACTTTGGCCAAGCAGAGAATCTTTGTCAGAAGAGGGTGAGCAAGCCCCGCTTCTCTAGAGTTAAAGCTCATCGGGGCCTGTACGGAAGCCCAGATTTCCAGGCATCCGGCCAATCTTGAGCTGGAGAGAGGCCGGGTACGCATGCTCTGTTTCATTGTCATTCCTCAGCCTGTGGTGAAACCATTCCACATGTGAGGCTCCTGGGGATTGTTTCTGATGGGGAGATGGCAAGGGAGGTGAGAACTTAAGGGAAGAGGTTCTACACCCCATCACCTCGAAGCTGTGTGGAGCTGGCAGGTTGTCAGGAATAGGAAACTTGTATTTGCATTTTTAGTAAGAGAACATGGACAGGATAGATAATGACTATGAAATATTTATTAAGCTCCTACAAGACACATGACAGACAATAATCTGTGGCTGATGATGTGTAAGACAAGCTCCTAACATCAAGAGAAATATCATCTGGTGAGGAAAATAAGACTTGCCTAGGAAAAATTAAATTTTAAGAATAAAAAGAGGCCAGGCACAGTGGCTCCTGCCTTTAATCCCAGTACTTTGCAGGGACTGAGGCAGGAGTTTCACTTGAGGCCAGGAGTTTGAGACCAGCCTGGGCAACATAGCAAAACCCCATCTCTACAAAAAAAAAAAATAAATAAATAAATAAAATAAAAATTATATATATATATATATATATATATATATACATTTTAAAATCAGCCAGACATAACAGCATGTGCCTCTAGTCCCAGCTTCTCAAGCAGCTGAGGTGGGAGGATGGCTTAAGCCCAGAAGTCTTAGGTTACAGTGAGCCATGATGGCACCACAGCACTCCAGCCTGGGCAACAGAGCAAGACCTTCTCCCCTCCCCCCAATATGAAGAATAGAAAGAAGGAAATTGGTAGATAAAACAGTAATTTGGGTAATAAGAGCAAAAACATATAGAAGTGTCATAAACTACAGTGTTATAGGATCTGTAGAGAAAGTAGGACTTAAACTTACTGAAAATGGGGAGAATTTGAATAGGCATAAAGAAGAGGGTTTCTCTTGGGCCAAATAAATATAAGGCAAAGAGACTGCAATAGACAAATAACATTGATGAGTCCTGTTTAGTTCAGCTTATCTGAACTAATAAAGTAAGTTTGTATCGATAAATGGTGGTCAGATTGTAGAGGATCTTGTATGTCAGAGTAGGAGTTTGAATTGCATCCTGTGGCCAAAGGGGAGCCTTCACTGGTTTTGAAGAAAGCCAAGCTGTGTAAAAATTACTGTGGCTAAATTAGAGAAGATGAATTGCAAATAGCAGAGCCTGAGGATAGGGAGAATAGATAGAAAAAATTCCAGTAGTTCAAATGTCAAGTGATATGATGAGGCAAATTAAGTAAGTGGTGCAAAGATTGACATAAAAGGCTTAAACAGTTATGGCAACTTCTGCTTCTGACCAAGATGGAGTAGCAGGGATTGGAGACACCCTCCTGCCTAAAACAACTAAGAAAACACATGAAACAATGGTTTCAAATATGGAACATCAGGTACAATAGGACAGTGATCCCACAGGGGGAATAAGCAAACAGCGCTATGATTGCTCCAGCTACTGCTAGAGGGACTGTCCAGGAAGCAGCAGACCGGGGGGAAGCCCGGGTGGACCCAGACATCACCCTGAGTTGAGGAAATGAAGTTGAAAGTCCAAGAACTTACAAGGCAGAGTACAAGAAGACAAAGAATATTCTGCAGATCTGCAGGGGATCACCCAGGTCTTCCGGCTAAGTATCCATCAACAAATACATGTGAAGAAAGAACCCAAACCTGCAGCAAGAATCACCAAAAAGGCTAGAAGGAATACTCTAGGGAATATCCCATGTAGGGAAGGAGTAGTTTATGTTCTCAAAGGCCAGAGTAGAAAATCCTCATAATTCACAGGTTCTCAGGGAGAGCACTCAGAAGGATCTACCTTCTATGGAACAAAAGCAGCCGTAGAAAACAGGCTGCTCTAATAAATCCTGGAAAGCTTTTAAGCAAGCCTTAAAGAAGTCAAATTGTTTCCAAGTAACTTTGGTTCTGCAAAAAAACTCAGAAATATAAGAATACAAAACAAATGTCCAAGACCCAACAAAGTCAAATTCCCATCAAATATTAGCAGGAATGCAAAAGCGCAGGAAAATATGAGCTACAATAAGAAAGATCAATAGAAACAGTCTCACAGATGCCACCAATGATAGAATAAGTAGACAAGAACATTAACCCAGTCATTATAGCAGTACACCAATGTTCAAGAAGATAGAAGAGTAAACATGTAAGTAGAGACACAGAAAATACGAAAAAGACACAAACTGAAATTAAAGAGATAATTACAGTTGTAAAAATGGAAAACTTAGTGAATGGGGTGAATAGCAGATTAGACAAGACAGAATAAAAGACTAGTGAACTTGAAGAAGCCATGGCAATAGAAACTATCTTACCCGAAATACACAGAGAAAAAGAAAGGCCAAATAATTAGGTAATGGCCAGAAACTCTACAAATTAAATCAAAACTTAAAGCCACAGATCTAACAAGTTCAATAAACCTGGAGTACAAGAAGCTTGAAAAAAAACACTAAGGTCCAACATTAGCAAATTACTTAAAACCACAAATAAAGAGAAAATCCTAAAAGAAGCTGGAGGGAAAAAAGTCACGTTATGTACAGAGAAACAAAGTAACAGGTTTTTTCCCCCTGAATTATTGATCTATAGATTCAGTGCAATTCCAGTTAAAATACCAGAAACCATTTTTTCTTTTTTTTTAAGAAATTGACATGCTAATTTTAAAATTCATATGGAAATGAAAGAGCCTGGAAAAGCCAAACAACTCTGAAAAAAAACAAAGTTGAAGGATTTGTTGATACCTGATTTTGAGACTGTTTATAAAGTTGTAGTAATGAAGATGGTGTGTTATTGGCAAAAGATAATGAATACAATAATGATATAGATAATTCAGGAATGGAAACACACGTGTATGGCCAATTGATTCTTCTCTAAGGTGCAAGGACAATGAAGTAAAAAAAGGATAGTTTTTCAACAAATGGTGCTGAATATCTGTATTCCAGGAGAAAGTCCCAAAAGCTTACATGCATACCTTGCACAATTTTGAAAAAAAAATAAAATGGATTGTAAGCAAAACTTAAAACTATAGGTCTTCTAGACAACATTAAAGAAAATCTTTGGCCGGGCGCGGTGGCTCACGCCTGTAATCCCAGCACTTTGGGAGGCCGAGGCGAGTGGATCATGAGGTCAGGAGATCGAGACCATCCTGGCTAACAAGGTGAAACCCCGTCTCTACTAAAAATACAAAAAATTAGCCGGGCACGGTGGCGGGCGCCTGTAGTCCCAGCTACTCGGGAGGCTGAGGCAGGAGAATGGCGTGAACCCGGGAAGCGGAGCTTGCAGTGAGCCGAGATTGCGCCACTGCAGTCCGCAGTCCGGCCTGGGCGACAGAGCGAGACTCCGTCTCAAAAAAAAAAAAAAAAAAAAGAAAATCTTTGTGACCTTGGGTTGAGCAAAGATTTCTTACATATGACACCAAAAGCATGATCTATAAAGGAAAAAGGGAAGATAAATTGACTTCAGAAAATTAAAAACGTCTGCTCTTGGACAGACATTGTTAAGTGAATAAAAGGACAAGCCACAAATGAAGAGAATATATTTATGATGCATATATTTGATAAAAGACTTGTATCCAGGATATATAAAGAACTCTTGAAACTCAAGAAAACATTCAATCCAGCCAAAAAGAAAAGAAAATGAGCAAAGTATTTCAACAGACACTTCACCAAATTAGCATACAAAAGGTATTCAATATAATTAGTCATTAGAGTAATGCAAATTATAACAACAATGAGAATAAAAGGTAATTTCAAGCTTTGGACTTTGGGTAACTGGTGGATTGAGGTCATCTATGATTGCTAAAACCAGAAAGCCAGTCAGGGCTGGAGGTAAAGAACTGAGTATTAGACATGTTCCTTTTGAGGTAATAGACATTCAGAGTGGAAATAT
The DNA here is from genome assembly GCF_000001405.40 of Homo sapiens. NCBI lineage: Eukaryota > Metazoa > Chordata > Mammalia > Primates > Hominidae > Homo > Homo sapiens. Next base: position 67,680,678 of record NC_000008.11, on the reverse strand, counting down.
CTAGCAGACAGATGAAGATTTAAGGCTAACACTAGGAAGGCAGAGCATGTCTGAATACCTGATTGTTAAAAAGAATCTATACCCAAATGATCTATCTCCTTGATGACAGTTGTTTCTGTGTATGTATGTCTGTGTGTTTTGTGTATGTTCACATGTGTAATCATGAGAAAAGCTTTTTTTTTTTTTTTTAAATACAGAGGGTCTCACTCCATTGCCCAGGCAGCTGGAGTGCAGTGGCACTTTCATGGCTTGTGTCAGCCTTGACCTCCCACCTCAGCCTCCTAAATAGCTAGGACTACATACACACACCACCACACCTGGCTAATTTCTTCATTTTTTTGTAGAAATGGGGTCTCCCAATGTTTCCCCGGCTGTTCTTGAACTCCTGGGCTCAAGCAATCCACGCACTTCAGCCTCCCAAAGTGCTGGAATTACAGACATGACCCACTAAGCCAAGCTGAAAAGCTTATACAGTTACTTCATTGCCTTGGAAGTAGTAAGCACTCAATAAATGTTTATAAATTATTACCTTTAGTTTGAATAGGAAACCAATGGCGTTCTCACCTCTAATCTACTCCTCTGTTCAGAGTGACATAAAGATAGGAATCCTGGGGGAAATGCATTTTAAGACTAATCTTCAGAAAGGACAATAAATAACTTTAAGTCCAAGCTACATGCAAGTCAGTTTTTCATGTGTGCCTCATCCTCCATGGCTACCATGAAAAACGATACACAGCTCCTAATACACCATATCTCCAAGTCTATGTCATGATCACCATTAACAATTGTAGCCAGGTAACAACATGCTGCACCACTAACAGAGGAAGTGAGACAATCAAGTCCTAACATCCTTGAATCTAAACCTTAATGTTAGGTTGAACTATGGAAATGCCCTCTAAATAGCAGACAGGCATTTCCACCAGAACAAACTAAAAGAACTCAATAGCATGCTGTTTAACTTGGTGAGGGTGTTGTGGCCAAGCAGTTCCCCTTGGTTATGGCTTCCTATGCACCTAAAGCATGACAGCTATGGATACCCCTGGGGATGATTATACAGCTTGACTACTTTATGTAGTCAAATAGATTCCCACTCTGGCATCCCAAATATCAAACTGACTAGCATAAGCATTTTGATGATATTTGAGTAGTAACAAGCATAGTAATATTTGAGTCAATTATATGAAATTGAAAACTTGTAGCTTACTACATTATCAATAAAAAGACTTTCAGAGGCATTAAAATCCATTCAAAGCAGATGACTAGAAGCATTTTGCCTCAATAGTGTTTTCCAAATGTCAAGTAAGGTTTTTTAACACAAAAGCATATGTTTTATCTGAGCAAAAATATCCTTCTTTCAAAAACCCGGGTAACACCAAGGACTGTTTAATCCATAAACTGTGATAGATAGAACATATATAAAATGCTTTTTGTTTTCAGAATGTTCGGGGCTTTTGTTTTGTAATGTCAACTTTTTATGGGTATAACATACAAAAGTGCACAAATCATATGTGTTCTGTTAAATGACTCCTCAGAACGTATACATAACCATGTAATTGATAACCAAACCACAGAACATTACCAGTACCAAGAGGTTTCTTTGAGTCCCCTCCCAGTCATTGCCCCTTCCCCCAAGGTTAACCACATCCTGACTTTTAACACCATACCTTAATTTTACCTCTGTCGGAATTGTTATATCAATGGAAACAAACTCTTTCTGTCTGAGTTTTTTCACTCAACATTATATTCAGGAGATGTGTCCACATATGCCTATGACTTGTAGTTCATTCATTCTCATATCGCGATATACCTATTCTAATCTTGGTAGACATTGGGTTATATCCAGTTTGAAGCTATGGCACATATTACTGCTATAAACATTCCTGTACATGTCTACTGGTAATTATATGAATGTATTTCTGTTGGGTATATGGTATGAATTGCTGAGTCATCGGGTAGCTCTACGAGGTGTTACCACCAACAGCTTTCTAAAATGATTGTACCAATTTACAGTTCCACCAGCAAGCACTCTAGTTGTTGAACAACTTAACTAATTCATGGTATTATCTGCCTTTCATTTGAGCCTTTCCTCTGAATACATGATGGTGTTGCATTGAGTATTAATTTGCATATCTCTGATAGCTAATGACATTGTGCCATTTTGTTATGTTTAGTGGCCATTTTGTTATCTCTTTTCATGAAATGCCCATTCAAGTTCTTCACTCATATTTTTATTGGGTTATTGTTTCTTGTTGGGCTATAGAAGTCCTTTATATATTTTGGATATCAGGCCTCGTTGGATATATGTTATATAATTGTAATTATAATTTGTAACAAATTGTGAATATTCTCTCACTCTATAGCATCTTTTGATGATCAGAATTTCTGAATTTTAATGCAGTTTATTTCATCAGGGTTTGTGTGTGTGTGTGTGTGTGTGTGTGTGTGTGTGTGAGACAGAGTTTTACAATTATCTCCCAGGCTGTAATGCAATGGCGTGATCTCTGCTTACTGCAACCTCTGCCTCCCAGGCTCAAGTGATTCTCCTCCCTCAGCCTCCCAAGTACCTGGGACTACAGGCACACACCACCACACTCAGCTAATTTTTGTATTTTTAGTAGAGACAGGGTTTTGGCCAGGCCGGTCCTGAACCCCTAACCTCAGGTGATCTGCCTGCCTCACTCCCAAAGTGCTGGGATTACAAGCATGAGCTCATCAGGGTTTTTTATGGTTAGCTTTTTTGTTGTTTTTTTTAAGAAATCTTTGCCTACCCTGGGGAGTTGAAGATATTCTTTTTTTTTTTTAAGCTTTATTGTTTGACTTTTCCCATTTAGACCTACAAGCTACCTGGAATTTATTTTTGTAGACTGTGTAAAAGAGAGAGTCAATATTTATTTTTCTCTGATAGCCATCCACTCTTGCCTAGATTTTTTACCACCCTAGGTATTTGAAAGATTTGATTATTTCTTTCTAGTGGAGCAAGAATAATAACTCCCAGAAAATAACATCTATATCTTTACACTTGTATCTATGTCTCTTTGGATCTATATCAATATCTCATTTATATATGGCACATATCTCACATACACACATATACAGAGAGAGAGAGATGTGCAGCCTGTGCTCTAAACATTCATTTGTGAGTTGGCTTTTTAATCTGTATACATCCAGTTTTGTTATTGATGGCTGATCCCAGGACAGCTTATAAGGGCTCCTTGATAACTACTGTTGTAAGTATACTATACCGTATAGGGAAAAATGAAGTCAACTTCCAATTCTGGATCCCAGAACAATATCTTCCCCTTTTCCAGCAGCAGGATAAAAAAAAAAAAAAAAAAAGAAGGTGTTTTGAAAATGAATAAAGAGATGAATTTTCAGCAGAAATGACTAGGCAGTGGAGTAGCTGCTGTGGAACAGATAGAAATCACTCATTGATAATTTATGGAAGTCTTCATCTCTTTCCAAATATTCTGAATTGAGAAACAGTATATAAATACCTGCTGTGACACGGCAAGAATTATATTGGCAGATTCCAGGACCTCTGGGTAAACTGCGAAGGTTGTACCCTGTGCAACTCCTGACGGAGGAGTCAGCACTAACAGATGACCTAAATGTGAATGATGTCCCTGGCGTTGTGCAGCACAGTTCGGGGCAGTAGTCCTGCTAGCATGCATACACACACAGACACACATGGCATATATGCAAACACAGAGTATGTGTATATACATATACGTACATACACATATGCACACGTTTTTTCCCAAGTTTTGAGGAAGAATTGTTGCTAGAATTGGAATGTCAAAATTGCGGATATTATATCCATATTAAATAGTTATAAGTAAAGACTTCAGCATTTAAAGGCTTTTATACTGGATACATTTTAAACAGCAGTGCACTTTTATAAATGAATGGGGGTTATAATATACTATAACTTTTCAATTAACATAAACTTCTTCCTTTTACTATTTCTGGTGGTAAAGTTCAGTCCTCTGAAGGAATGTCCACTAGGCATGTAAAAGCCTGTCTAGAGAAAGAAAAGAAAATGAACCTATTACAGTTGGTGCCAGTTATTTCTGTGCAATTAATCTATAAAAGTTTTATAGTGCAGCTGAGTGTCCAAGTTGAAAGCTAAATGGCAATGCAGTAACCCTCTTCCCAAAACAGAGTGGTCTGACACAAGCTACGCCTTTTGAAGTTACTGCAGAGTTACTATCATCAGCTTAAAACATAAAATAATATCTGACATGTCCAAACAGTCACAGGGAGTAATTAAAACTAAGGGGATTTAAAGAAGATGAAGACTTGCCTGAGCTTGGTACTTTAGTAAATGAGATCTGATTTCTTTTAAGCCCTATTTGAACGTGGGTTAAACCTTACAAATGCAGGCTCTGTTGGATGCCACTTGGTGGGAAGTGAATGCGAAGCTGCCTCTCCATATTTATAAATTGTCCCAAAGATCCTTATCTGTGCAGATAAAATAATAAATCTTCTTCCATCTCCCTGCCAATACTTCCTTAACCCCGCTAAAAAGCAAAAGACCAAGAAAATACTGATCTAGTGATACCATTGATATAGGTATAGTGTGTCACATCCTAACTAAAGTACTGTAATTTAGGAATGTGACTGTTAGCAGAAAAATAAGATTTTGCTGATTTAAAAACGTACAGGTTGGTCATGGTAGCGTACATCTGTAATCCCAGCTACATGGGAGGCTGAGACTAGAGGATGGCTTTAGTCCAAGGTTTGGGGCTGTAGTGCACTATGATCACACCTGTGAATAGTCACAGCACTCCAGCCTGTGCTGGGCAATGTAGTGAGACTCCATCTCTTAAAAAATGTGCAGAAAGACCATGAGCTCCTCATTATCCTCCAAAGGAGTAAATGTGTTTTGGATCAACAGTGCCCTGCAGCATGAGGCCTTTGAGTAGATAATGCACAGGCAGTGCGATTTGAGGGCTTGCAAAAAGCCCCCTCCACAGTCCACAAATGACTCTCACATCAAATCAGACTGGCCTTTCGTTGTGATAATGTCATTCCAGTGGGTTGAGGCAGTACCCTGTTTTAAAAGGCAAATGCCTAGGAGAAGGGTCCCATGGAAATGCTGAGTGCCTCGGGCAATAGGGGCCTCTCTACTCAAAATTAGTGGGTCACTGAGTCAGTTTTGATGGGCAAGGGGAGGGGTGGAAGGACAAGGTACCAGAGTGGTAAGAAATGAATTAGAAAAATTCAGCTAGGACATAAATTGTGGGGGATTGTGGGATGAGTAAAAAGGGCGTAAAACCACCTCAAGCAGGTGCAGATCCACCAGCACATCTTCCAGAGTTACAGGCAGGCAGCCCCTCGATTGTGAAGACAGGAGGAGAGTCACAGCAGCAATGCCAAGAGCAACCAGCCCAGCGTTGGGAGAGGTCTATGTCTGGTGGGGAAAGGTGCCGAGAGCCAGTACTGCTATGGTTGTATCTTTGTTTAGGAGATTTTTTTAGAATTTCAACTCTTTATTTAAGATACAGGGAGTACCTGTGCAGGTTTGTTACATGAGATGAGTATATTGCATGATGCTGAAGTTTGAAGTTTGGGGTATGGATCCTATCACCCAGGTAGTGAGCATGGTACCTAATAGATACAGGTAATTTTTCAACCCATGCCCCTGCTCCCTCCCTCTAGTAATCTGCAGTGTCTGTTCTTCCCATGTTTATATTCATGTGTACCCAGTGTTTAGCTCCTACTTATAAGTGAGAACACGTGGTATTTGGTTTTCTGTTCTGGTGTAAATTCACTTAGAATTATGGCCTCCAGCTCCATCCATGTTGCTGCAAAAGACATGCTTTTGGTTTTTTTCATGGCTGTGTAGTATTCCGTGGTGTATATGTACCACATTTTCTTTATCTAATCCATCATTGATGGACACCTAGCTTGATTCCATGTCTTTGCCATTGTAAATTGCATTGCGACAAACATATGAGTGCATGTGTCTTTTTGGCATAATGATCTATTTTCCTTTAGGTATATGCCCAGTAATGAAATTTCTGGGTCGAAGGATAGCTCTGTTTTGAGTTCTTCCAGAAATCTCCAAGCTGCTTTCCACAGTGACTTTACTAACTTACATTCCCACCAACAGTGTATAAATGTTCCCTTTTCTCTACAGCCTCGCCAGCATCTGTTGTTTGGGAAATTTAATTTTTCAGTAAATCCACAAAAAGAATCAGTCATACAGTTTCTATTCCTATTCAGAAGACTTTAGGTAGTCATATTCCTGCTATGGATATGAAGCTGGACAAGAGTAGTTTTTCAGTTGTGGTCCTTTGACAAATAACCAGCTTGCCTTGTTACAGCTAAGGGGCTTTAGCATTAAAGCAATCTTGGAGTCGTAACATAACTTTGCACCCAAGGCAGGCATTTTATCTACATCATTCCTCACAAATGCTCAGGTAGTCTCTGCAGTACAGCCTGACTCCTAAGCCTGAGCCCTGAAATCAGACTTCAGTTCAAATCCTGGCTCTGCCACTCACTAGCTATATGACGTTAGGCTTACCCTCTCTGTCATGTCATGACAACTGTAGAATGGAGAGAATAATTCCAGCTATTTCACAACTGTAGAATGGAGAGAATAGTTCCAGCATCATAGGATTGTTCTATGATGGTAACACGGTACATATAAAATGACACAGAATATGGCATATAGTAAATGTTCAATAAATGGTAGCTATGATTGTCATCAACTCAAACAGCCTCCCTTCATTCACCTTTACCTCATAAAGCAACTCTTTCTAGAATGTTCTATATATAACAATTGTATTAAAGGCTTCTTGAAGGAGAAGCCATTTGTTTGTGTCTTTGTTCAACACCAGGCTCCTGATGCTTTCAGTAGTGTCTGGCGCACAGCAGGCATTTAAAAAATATTTGTTAAATGAATTTTATAGAATTAAGTCTATCACACTCTTTTGAGTACTAAAATGCTATTATAGTCTGTGGATAAAAATAATAAAACAAGGCCAGGCGCAGTGGCTCACACCTGTAATCCCAGCACTTTGGGAGGCCGAGGTGGGTGGATCATGAGGTCAGGAGATTGAGACCATCCTGGCTAACACGGTGAAACCCCGTCTCTACTAAAAATACAAAAAAAAAAAAAAATTAGCCGTGAGTGGTGGCGGGCACCTGTAGTCCCAGCTACTCAGGAGGCTGAGGCAGGAGAACGGCATGAACCCGGGAGGCGGAGCTTGCAATGAGCCCAGATCGCGCCACTGCACTCCAGCCTGGGTGACAGAGCGAGATTCAGTCTCAAAAAAAAAAAAATAAATAAATAATAATAATAATAATAATAATAATAAATTGAAAGAGATTATAAAATAAAAATCATGCAACACTGAACATTGAAATCCAAATCCAAATTTAAAATCATTGTATATCATAGTATCCAATGTGAATATCCCTATTTTGCCCCTTCAGGATGTAGTTTGAATGAATGCCGCCAAATACAGTCAGAGAAGAGAGGTGAATGTAAGAAAAACAAGATCCAAAGAATTTAGACCTAGCGTGGGATCTCTGTCTCTTTCATTGAGCAAGGAGGTTTTGTCTCCTTTGTTCTTTTCCACAGTTCATCTTTGTATATTTCTCTCTGGGCTACATTTGATTAGCTGCCCAGTGTACCAGTCCTTTCAAATCATACGTAGTTGCATTGTTTCTTACAGTAGAATTTGCTATTGCCCCCAAGTTTCTATCATCCGTAAGTTTTGAAACTCACTTGGCTACATAAAAAACTGATTTAAAAAAAAAGTTAGTGAAATAATACCTTCCTCTGTAATGCCTGCATCATCCTAGAAGCTTAAAGCTAATGAGGCAGTTAGGGCTTATTTGTTCAAGGAAGACTCTGATTTGGCATTTCATCCATTTTAAAAGCAAAACATCATTTTGTGGGACTTAGAATAAAACATCTTGATTGTGTTCCAAGCAGGACTTTAGACCGGTTTGATGCCTAGGTTAATGGCATTTCAATTATACTGTTTTCAAAATGAAATATAAATTGTTCCGGGTTTTTGTCCCTGTGTGTTCATATTGGGCCCGAGCTCTATGAGAAACCTCCTCCCAAGTATTCTGGAAGACCCTAGGGTGCTGGAGAGACATGGTTGGATTTGACTTGACATGGGAGGGTGGAGTAAAAGGACTCGATGATGGATTGGCTGAGTGATGAGGAGAAGGACAGGAGGACTTGTAGGTTACTGGCTTGAGGAGTGGGATAGATAGTGGTGCCTTTTAGTGAAACAAGGGGAAAAAATGGGAAGAGGAACTGACTTGGGTTGCACAGGAATATAATGGCAATCTATCTAAAAGTTTGTACGCATTGGAAGAAAATTTTACACACGGAGTGGAATGAAAATGAGTTCAAAGACAAAACTATGATATAAAATGTTCCAGTTATATTTAGACTCCTTTGGATACATTGAAAATTGTGATGTATTTTTAAATGTTAATATTTACAATATACTGAAATACTTTGTTCATGCCATTAAACTGATAATGAAAAATATTAGAGCCAACTTAAAAATGCATGAGAAGGCCGGGTGCGGTGGCTCACACCTGTAATCCCAGCACTTTGGGAGGCTGAGACAGGTGGATCACATGAGGTCAGGAGTTCAAGACCAGCCTGGCCAATATGGTGAAACCCTGTCTCTACTAAAAATACAAAAATTAGCTGGCTGTGGTGGTGCGCACCTGTAATTCCAGCTACTCAGGAGGCTGAGGCAGGAGAATTGTTGAACCTGGGAGACAGAGGTTGCAGTGAGCCAAGATTGCACCACTGCACTCCAGCCTGCACAATAGAGTGAAATCCCTTCTAAAAAACATAAAATACAATAAAATTTAATTTAAAAAATAAAATAATGCTGGTTCTCCAAAGTTATTTTGGGAGTACATAAGCAAAAGTGTTTGCAGATCACTGCAAAAGAAAACTTAGGAAACATCCTAGCCTGCACAAAGGAGTTCTAATGTCAAATGTTTTCTTAGCAATAGGGAAATAAAAGCATTTTTCAGAAGCCTTCTGCTTCTGAAGCAAACTATGCATTAGTGTGTTTCAGATTCGAGGAAAGCAAGCCCTTTAGTCAAGTAGCAGAGCTGGGCACACAGGTATAGACAGTATAAGGCCAGAATCATATAGAAGCAGTATTTTATCTTGTTTCATGTATTTTTATAGCTTAGGTATCTCAGCCTGATTCTTAACTATTTCCATTAGCATCACCAATGAACCCTACTGAACACTACAGCAAGGTGATCCTGCTGAACAGGAGCTTGGTGAAGAGCCACTCCTGCTGAGTGGGCTGCAGTGGGGATGGGGGAGGAGTACAATGATAGGAAATAAAAGGATGGCAAAGCCTAGGATAGGGGAGGTGGTACCACAGCTGCAGACAACTGAAAGACAAATGTGGCAGCAGATTTTAATTTCAGCAAATATTTAATGAGCCCCTAATCTGAGATAGACACCATTGTGGGGTATCAGCAAGATTGAGGTGATTGTTCTCAAGGCTGACGACGTGACAGAGCATTTTTTAAAACAGCCCTGGGCTCCCTGTCAACTGCAGTCAACCAGCCAGAATAAGAATTCACATCAGTGGATAGAAAAATACTATTTTCCATCACCAAATGAAACTGAAGATACCTCCAGATCTATCATCTTGAATTGTCCAGAGGACAAAGATGGTAGAACATATGTGAGTTTATGTGTTTGTGTCTACAGATGAATTATTAACACTCAGAATCATGACAATGATGCAGAGGAAATGTATATACTAAAATTGGTATTTGATGTTTCATTTCTGGTATCCCCTAGTGGATTTTCTTGCAACTTCCCCTTCCTTTATTTCTGTGTCCTCTGGATTACCTTCCAGCCCGCAAAGCATTTCACATAACTGGAAGAAAATGCTGGGTAAAGACATGTACTTGATGTTGATTTGCGTCTTTGTACACACCACTGCTAGTAGGCCCGACTGTTAATAGATACTATAATTTTTACTGGTTTTCTTAGTAATTGTGACAAACTGTTTTTTCTTTATTCCCTCGGACTATCCCTATTGAGCTCCCAGGTCCTAGAAAACACTGGATATGAGGACAGTAAGGTTTGCCTACACCATTAATAAATGGCTTATCAGTGATATAATCTGTAAATAACCTTCACTTTAAGAGTATTACCTAACCATGCTGCTATGGTTTGGATCTGTGTCCCCGTCCAAATCTCATGGCAAATTGTAAGCCCCCCAGAGTTAGAGGTGATTGGATCACTGAGGCGGATTTTTCCCTCAGTGCTGCTCTCGTGATAGTAAGTGCTCACGAGATCTGGTTGTTTAAAAGTGGGTGGCACCTTCCCCCTGCCGCCTCCTGCTCTGGCCAGGTAAGACCTGCCTGCTTCCCCCTCACCTTCCTCCATGATGGAAAGTATCCTGAGGCCTCCCCAGAAGCCATTATGTTTCCTGTACAGCCTGCGGAACCATGAGCCAATTAAACCTCTTTTCTTTATAAATTACACAGTCTCACGTATTTCTTTATAGCAGTGTGACAATGGACAAATACGTGTGCTAATAGGCATGTATTCTACATCTTAGATGGGTAATTGGAGAGATTCTTTACACCTCTCAAAGGAGTGCTATTCTATATAGACTAGTTTTCCAGAAAGTGAAAACAATATAAATACTTTAATTTTAACTTATTGTAGTAGGAAATCACCCTAAATGTAATTACATTCTAACTGAACACAAGGCTGATATTTAACCTTTTGTGACCTAGAGTGATTATAATCATCATCAGTTGTTATTTACAGATACTGAAGTGCTGGGTCCTCTTGATTTTTCCATGTCCCGTGGCTCCCAGATGCTCTGTTTTTTGGGGTTGTTTTTTTTTTTGTCTTTAGATAATTTTTCATATTTCCTTTTGCTCTTAGTTACATGACACATAAGAAGCATCAAACGTCTGTGGTGAACTCTTTACTCCCTTCTGAAGATCTGCCCTTCTAAGTTACTGTAACACAGTGATAGGAAAGTATAGACCTTCATCAGGAAGGGAAGGGGAAAGGTGAGGAAGTTGTTACCTAAGAAACTAGATTACAATACTAATTAATAGAATGATTTCTGAATTAAACATAAATAAATTCCCAAAGAATTCTGTTACTTCAGCTTAAATTCTGTAGCATTGCTCTTGGCAACCTGGAAATGCTTTTGTTTACCTCTTGCTGGTGGGATGGGTTATAGAAAGACTCCCCGTCTGTGGGTGAGCATGTATAATTTGATCAAATCAACCATCAAACCACTTTTAAAACTCACCTCTTACTCTCTTCAGTCCACAGGGAAAGAAACTTTTGAAATAATAATCAGTTGCCTGGTATACTGCTCAATGATATTGCCACACGTAAGAACAAGCATACAGGTAAGGGACTAGTTACAGTCTCTGGTAATAAAAGCACTCACTTAAGACTGTTGCCATGAGTAGTCAGTTTGAGATTAGCACTGGAGCAAATCAAATGGTAACTCACAGTTATCTTTCCTATGTAATTTTGACAATAGATCTTTGTCTGCCATGAAAGAAACACTAATTGATAATGGTACTGGATTTCTAGGATCTGTCCCAGTCCATCCTTTCATTGACCCGCGAGTGATTCTTCCTACATGCAAGCTGACTATGGATCCTGCCTTACTCAACATTCTCCCATGACTTCCCTCACCTGCAGCTGCCCCTTTCTTTAGCTACCTGCAGGCGAGCATCCACCTCTCATTCAAGCCTTAGCTCAAACTCTGCCTCTTTTAAGAAACTTCCTCCCAGGAAGATTTGGGTGTTCTTCTCTCCTTTGCTGTCATGGTACTCCATGTACATTTGTAATATAGTTGTGAATTTGAACGTCAGTTTCCTCTCTTCATTATGTGCTTCTTGATAGAGGCTTTCATTTTTGCATACCTAATACATAGTATAATGCTGGGGGCCCAGAAGGCATTTAAAAATGCTTTTTAATGGCTGAATATCCAGATTTTTTTATCATTAAAACTCCAGATGAAACTCTGAAACAAATCAATCCATCACCAACCAACAGGTATCCTTTGTTCCTACCGGAGCACATTTTTTGTGGGGTATGTGCTATATATCATTGAGATATATTAATTTTGAAATAAGTAACTGGAGAGCAGCTATTAAACTATGAAGAAAGAGCTGGCTCTGCCTTTATAAATAATTCTAACTATCATAACTTGGAAAAGTTGCTTAACTCATTCTAACTGAAGTAACTATTTCACACTAGCAAAGCAGTAGAGAACTGCCTGTGTGTGTAACTAACGGACAACAGATGAGCAACAGTGATGTAGAAGCTTTTATTGAGTGCGAATATATTTTTATTCTGACTATATGAACTGTTGAAGTGGGTATAGAAAATATAGATTTTTAATTCATTGGAAGCTATCAAAGTTACTTTGATAAAGTATATTTTACCAGTTTATTGCAACAAAAACAATTTTCTAGCCATAAAAGGAATAATTTTAAATTTCATAATTTGGAGGCAAAGCATGTTGAGCAAAGCCTTTTTAACCAGATTGATGATGTCTTCTTGTGCATATGCACATAAAGTCTTCTGTTCAAACAGGACACTTTTAGTAATAAGTGAATATGGCTCTTTTTTAAAACCCATGTGTGTGACCAGCACCAGCCCAAGTCAAATATTGACGAGCCTCCTGTACACAGAATAGATGTGTGGCCGTGGCTACTGCTGGCTAGACATGTTGGCATTTGAGAAGCTCGCTTTTGCCCAGCAGCCTGGAAGGCTAGAAGCATCCTTGTTCATCTTTCTGTCCCTGGTGCCCTGCACCCCTTGAGCTCTTCCTAAGGGTGAGCAGCCCAGTCTTGGCAGCCACTGGGGCGGGGCACACAGTAATCTCCTATTCTATACTGTGCCACATCCATTAAAGCTAAGACATATCTTGTATTCAGTTGAGATTAAACTGATTTCAGATTCTCATACTGAAAGAAATCAGGTGGAAAGTCAGTGGGTTAGAAATTGAATTTCAGTTTCACTCCTAACTCTGAGGTCCCCCCTCAGATGTCACCTAACCTTGCCGATCCTCCCTTTAAATCTGCAAAATCAGAGGAAATGAGAAGATTGGACCCAAAGTCCTCTAAGCTTTAAAATTAACAGCTTTAATTTTTTTTTTCTCTAACTTTTAGCGGGGAAGTTGAAAAAAGATTTGGATGATGTTGGCATGGGGGTCTTTCCTGTAGGCTGAGAGTTAGGACATCCAGGCCCTGGTTTTGGCTCTGATATTAGTTCTGTGGCACTGGCCTGCTCAGCCTGCTCTTGGGGAAACCTGGGGGCTAAAGGGCTAAACTGGTGATCTCTGAGGTCCTTTTCAGATCTAAGAGGCAAAGACCCAGTCAGCAAGCGGCCTGTGGCATCGTTAAACATAAAGCCTTCACCCCAATCCGAAATGACATCGGGCTCCATCAACCTTTTCTTGACATGCTGAACCAATGATTTCTTTCTCAAAGGTCATCAAAGCAGCAATGGGAGTCCACCAGCAAGTTTCAATGTTTTAAAATACCTGAGTCTGTGTAGATGCCAGATGATAGGTTTTTTGGTTCCAGGTAATTAAAGAAACATTTATTGAACATCTGTGGGCCAGGTTCTACCCAACACTGCAGACAGTAATAACCACATGCCTATATGATTTAAGGAGTCCTAAAGGAAAAGGAATGCAGATATGTAAACCTTGTGCATAGCAGGTTTTTCCCCAGGCTTGCGATTCTGGACATAGCAATAACTAATATTTCTCAGGCCTAAGGCCCACCCGGTGAAATGCTTAGGGGGCACTCAAGAATGATCGAGAGTGTCAACCATTCTTGTCAACCCATAGATTCCCCCATCCTGTCACCCGGTTTTGGCCCTTCCCTTTCCCCCAATGCCCCAGAGAAGAGAGCTGCATTCTTCAGTGAGGGACATCGTGTCATGAGCCTATATCACAGTCACACCCCCAAGCAGCCCCTGTTCCCATCAGTGCTGCACGGAGACCCTGATCGCCAGGCACCTTGCCTGGAGCTTTCCTGAGAATCCTTCCAAGACCTCCCTGTCACTGGGCTGCTATTCCACATGCTTCCTCCTTCCTGTTCCCATTAGCAAAGAGGAGCCAAGGGGAACTTTCTGTTTGGGTTCCAGGGCTGTAAGTTCCCAGACCATGTCTCCCTCCTGCCCAGCTTTACTGGCTGCTACCAGGGCCCTCCGCTGGTGAGAGTGCCCCCCTCCCCACCCCTCTCTCAGTGAATCCTTGATCCTGAGATCTCCTTGCACCTGTTTTCCCAAAAGGAATGGGTAGCACTGTACACTGGAGAGCTTGCTGCAAGTCTTCTGCCCACTTCTGTGATTCTATTTACCAGGCAAGGCCTCAGGTTACCATCAATTTTGCATCCTTTACATAAGTTCCCACAGCGGGGAAGAATAGTAAAATAGGTGTGGAAGTAGCACCAAGGAAGAAGGGAAAGGGGTCATCACCTGTGTCTCAGCAAGGAGGAGAACTCTTGAAGAGGTCATGTCTCTGCTCAGTTCTTTACAGGTGAGTGAAGTCTGCCATCCTACCAGAAGGAACAGTGGATCATGTTCATAAAACTCTTAAGTAGTTCCATAGTTCTGAAATGCAAATGATAAAACTGGAATAGCAAGAGATGAGCCTATAGAGATGGAAGAGAGGCGTGGACTCTAAGAGGACATGTATATTTTGTTAACTACCTATTGAAGGTTTAACATTTGTCAGGAACTGCACTAAACCTTTACCCTTAATTCATCTAATCTGCACCACAACCCAGTGTGATAGGCCCATTTTACAGATGAGGAAACTACCGACTAGAGAGGTTAAGTAGCTTGTCAGTGGAAGAACTAGAACTTATTATACCCCGAGCTTTTGGATTCCAAAGCTCATGCTCAAACTTTATTGCCTGCATGTTTGAGAATCATTGCCATAGCAAACAAATCATTGCTGTCCCATGGGAAGGTCTAGGACAAAGGAAATGGTACAATTAAAGCAAAGCCATAAAAAGAAAAATGCCATACATGTGGGAGTCTAGAAAGAAGCAAGAAGATGAGAAAAATTGACATAAAGTTGGACTGTATTCTTTAGCCATGATCAACTTGAAGAGGTTTTCTACTTATTTTTAAAGAATTTTCAGAATAGTTATGCCCCAACAGAGTGTTTCATCTTTTGTTTTCAGTTCTTGTACTTGGAGTTACTTACACTGACAGTTTCCTGAGAGATGTGCTACTGTGCCATTTTCCCATTCTGTTGGAGTCATACTACTCAATTTCAGCACTGAAAATTGAGGTCAGCAAATGGGAAATTACCACTTCATGAAGAAACTCGGTCACGCAAGGTCCTAAAGATCATTATTGCATATAGATGTACCTACTAAGGAACTCAGAAGACAAACGTAATGGAACAAAAGTTTAGCAGACTTTTAACCTGAATGTTTTTTGGATGTTGTTGGTGTTTTGTTTTGTTTTGTTTTTCCCGTGAAGAAATAGAAATCTTGTAGAGCAAAGCTACAAAACAGGCATTGATAGTCTACCTGGCCTTTAAAAGTGAAAACTTTGCCGATTTTTTTTTCCAGAAGCGTAAGCAGTTTTAACTTCAGAAGTAAGAAGAAAAGTTGCTTGGGATTTTCTGGGTTACTGTAACCATTGCTTTCTGCCTCGCCCTTTCCTAGGTAGTACCTAGGTAATTTTGATCTCTTTTGGTTTAGTGTATAAGTAAACTCTCTGAGTATAAGCTTCCTTTTCTATTGCTTAATACATTAAACTTGCCTTGTAATAACATGATACACGATTGCCCAAGTACAACCAGAGTAATAGTTTTTCCTAGTATCACAGCTTAATTCCTGGGTGAGACAGACCTATGCCCTTTGTGTCATGCTCTGCCCTTCTCCACTTGAACCCCATCCTACTCAAAGTGTACCTTTTCCATTGACTGGGAAATTTGAGGCCCTGAAATCCACACCCAAACAACCTCAAACTCACTTCTAGAGCCCACATGAGCCTTGCAGTCTTAGGCCCAAATGGTTAAAAGAAAAAGAAAAAAAAGGCAGGGGGCAGGAGATTTGAGGGGCTGTTTCTGGAGCTTGGATATACAAAGTGGGTTATTCATGAGCCAGGTGTGGGAGAAGGCAGCAGGTGCACAGTGGGCTAGAGGCCAGCCCTCTCTCTGTATTGCTACATTTGGGCACAGTACCCCATGGAATCCAAAAATTCTAAATTTGAACCTGGACTTCCAGGCTGTTAGGAAAGTATGCCTGTCAAAAGAATAGAACATTTTACCATCTTATTGCCTTTATTTGTAACTTTTATAATATTTACACATTTGGCATGAAAGTCTCCAATTACACTCTTGATCCAGCTCCTACAAATGTTAGGGGTAGATCTGGGTGACCCCTGACCCTGAACCATCGAATCAAAGTCTCTCACCTCGCAAGGTGGAATTTAAGAATGGCAGTCTTAGTTTCTGCTGGTCGCTTGAAGAGAAAATGTCTAAACTTAGGAGCTGAGTCCCATCATTTGTGAGACCACCACAATGAATGAATGTCTATAAACTTTAAGATGAGAACTTTAAAACTTTAAAATGAGAACCTTCATTTCTGTTCTGTCCAAGACTTAGTTGCTCAACTTTTCCTCAAATTCTCTAAGATGCCCCTGTATCCTTCCAATAAAGGCCCCCTCCTGCTTCACTATCTTGGAAGGGGTTTCCATTACTTACATCATGTAACCTATGTTTCCACCTAGATAGCAAGAATTAAGGAATTCATTGTTTAGTAGCACAAAACATTATGTTGGAGGCTTTCAATGTTGTCCATAAAATTTGTGCTTGCCTATTCACAATAGCAAAGATGTGGAATCAACCCAAATGCCCATCAATGATAGACTGGACAAAGAAAATGTGGTACATATACACCATGGAATCCTATGCAGCCGTAAAAAAGGAATGAGATCATGTCCTTTGCAAGAATATTGATGGAGCTGGAAGCCATTATCCCCAGCCAACTAACGCGGGAAGAGAAAACCAAACACCTCATGTTCTCATTTATAAGTGGGAGCTGACCAATGAGAACACATGGACACAGGGAAGGGAACAACATACAATGGGGCCTGTTGGGGAGTGGGGTGGGGGAGTGAGAGCATTAGGAAAAATAGCTAATGCATGTTGGGCTTAATACCTAGGTGATGAGTTGATAGGTGCAGCAAACCATCGTGGCACATGTTTAACTATGTAACAAACCTGCACATCCTGCACATGTACCCCAGAACTTAAAAATTAAAATAAAAAAAAGTTTGTGCTTGCTACCTCAAGCAGATCAAAGAGTCTAGTTGGGTGATTCTGATAACTGGCTAACAGGCTAAAAGAACTAACCAGGCTTAACCGAATCCATAGTACCTACACATTATAAATTTTAAAAGCTCTTTACTGGTTTTCAGTTGTTATTTCATCTCTGTTTTATATTTGCCTTGAGGTTTAGAGCTGTTTTTCTCTGAGTTAGTTAATGCAGTGCATACATTTAGTTTTTATTTTTCAAGTCCTGAATAGAGAACTCTTCATAGAAAGGGCAGGTAGTAGGTAGGGAATTGCCATGACGTCTTCTGGAGGGTTGTCAGGAAATGGGCTCTGTCACCAACAGTGGCCCGCAGCCTCACTTGCCTGTTTCTTAGAGAACAGACTTTGACTTTGGTGCACTTCTTCTTTTTCCTCTCATCTGTCTTCTCCTGCTTCCCCTCACCTCAGTGTGATTCAGCTCTAATTGAGGTTGTTAAGAAACCGCTTTGTTCAGAGGGTTAGTAGGGGAGAGGAGAGATCTGCCTCTGTATTCCTGACATCAAATAACTTTCCAAGGTGCTCCTGCAGCACATTGTATCCCTTTGATACACACATTAAAACAACACAATAATAAAGCGCTTTATCATAAAGACCAAATAAGCGATAAATCATTAATCGCAGGAGTAGTATTCCCTACTTTAGAATATATATGTGTATATATTCTATATATACATATACATGTGTGTATGTATTCTATATATACATATACGTGTGTATGTATTCTATATATACATATACATGTGTATGTATTCTATATATACATATACGTGTGTATGTATTCTATATATACATATACGTGTGTATGTATTATATACATATACATGTGTATGTATTCTATATATACATATACGTGTGTATGTATTCTATATATACATATACGTGTGTATGTATTCTATATATACATATACGTGTGTGTATATATGTAGTCTCATTTCTCATTTTCTAGAATAACATCACTCTTTATGACCTTGTTCCACAAAACTGGAAGAACAGGGCTGGTACTCAAGATGGAGACAGAATTGGGATGGACTGTCCTGGGAGACTGTAGGTTTCTTGTCACCTGATGCATTCTTTGTAAATTAACTTCTCCCTCCAAGAAGAAATAGAAGCCATCAGGAGATAACACTCTTACATGCTACTCTCTCTAACTCTAACCTTATATCCAATGCCATCCATCCTGAATGCCTTCCTTCTTTCCCCTGTTTTCAACTACCTGCCTCCCCCAGAACCTGCACCAAAATCATGGTCTTAGGAGGGGGTGGTGGTGAATGGATGAAGGAACATTCAAGATGGTGTTGCTGGGCTGAAGGAGTAGATTTTCAAAGAGCTTAGGTGTATCCATGCAATGGAATATGACTCAGCCTTAAAAAGGAAGGAAATTCTTACACATGCTACAACATGGATGAACCTTAAAGACATTATGCTACGTGAAGTAAACTAGACGCAGAAAGACAAAGATTATATGATTCCACTTACATGAGGTACCCAGAGTAGTCAAGTTCATAGAGACAGACAGTAGAATAGTGGTTGCCAGGGCCTGGGAAGAAGGGGAATGAGGAGTTATTGTTTATTCTCTCTATCCCTGCTTGCTCTGTTTAAGATTTCTCATTTCTCAAAAAGTTCTAGAACATATGCTGTGGAACTGACTTGACTCTTCTAGCTTTTACCCCCAATTCTCTTGCACTGTAATAAAGCAGTCTCTGAGTTGAGATGGCTTTACAGTGACCCACAGTTTGCATGGGATCCAAAGGACTCATTGGATACTTGAGCTTTGAGGGAACCTGCTGTGGGGCCAGCCCTGAAGGCAGGCTGCAGAAACTACAGGAGCAAGATGCTTCCTGCTGCCTGAGAAGGCTAGCCTTCCTGAAGTTCCTTTGTTCCACTCAGATCACACAGCGGCTTCCTCGGTCCCTTGGATTAAAGCCACAGTCCTTGCAACAGGCTTCCAGGCCTGCCTCCCTCCCGCCTCTGTACCACTCTACCACCCTACTCTACTCCAGCCACAATGGCCACTTCCTCAATCACCAGCTGCGTTCCCACGTCTTGGCCTCTGCATTTGCTCTTCTCCCTGCCTGAAACATTCCTCCCCCAGAGGTCCATGTGGCTTTCCTCTGATACCTTCTCAATTACACCTTCCTTGACCGCCATATCTAAAATTAGAAGACCTTCACCTGGCACTCTGTGTTCTCCTCCCCTGCTTTGTTCTTCATCATCTTTCACTCTGTATATTTTACTTATTGTGTGTGAGCATTTCCTTAGAACATTCAGTAAATACTTGAATAAATGACTAAAGGGATGAACTAGTACTTTGCTTTCCAGAAAGGCCATAAATCATATAGTTACACAAAAAGCTCTGTCCCTTTAGAATGACATTGTAAATGGAAGCCATATAGGTCAACAGTAATCCCAGAATTCTGTGACAACCAAGGGATGTTAATCCAGATTACTGGCAATAGTCCTAAGGCCAAAGTCACTAAACTTTCAAGTGAACTATAACAAAATAAACCTGTCCTTTCCAGAAAATTCACATCCTTTGGAAAACCGATGGAATCAATCACCACATCAACTGTAATTACTCAGTGATATGAATACCAAAGGCTGCTTGGCATTTTCCTTAGCAAACAGGATTAGGGGAAGGTGGAAAGCACCCTTACAATTCGTTAAAACTGTAATACAGGCCGGGCATAGAGGTTCGTTCCTGTAATCCTTCCTAGCCTTGTGGGAGCCTAAGGCAGGCACATCACTTGAGCCCAGGAGTTCAAGACCAGCCTGGGCAACACGGTGAAACCTCATCTCTACAAAAAAAAAAAAAAAAAAAAAAATGAGCCGGGCATGATGCCGTGTGCCTGCAGTCTCAGCTATTCAGGAGCCTGAGGTGGGAAGATCACTTGAGCCTGGGAGGTCAAGGCTGCAGTGAGCCAAGATTGAGACACTCTGCTCCAGCTTGGGTGACAGAGTGAGACTCTGTCTCAAAAAAAAAAAAAAAAAAAAAAAAACCTGCAATAATTAACTTTTACCATGTGCCAAATACTACATTGGTGGATAAGGTCATTTAATTCTCACCACCCTACTAGTAGATATAATAATCTCCAGAGAAACCTGGGGCACAAAAAATCTGCCCAAATTTATGCTGCCATAGTGAATCAGACTTAGGTTTTCTGAATCCAAAATCTAAAGCCTTTCCATTATGCTACACTGCCTCCCTTACATAATAAAATCAGACCACTTGGGATTTGCTTTTGCTGATTCTGAACTAGATTTGAAATTACATGCCTCTGTAACTGCTTTCTACCTAGATTATTAAAACACTGACTACAGCAATGAAACTTTTCCACGGTAGAGGGAAATAATATTTTAAAGGTTGCTATCTTATCCAATTCATTTTTTGAAAATCATTTTGCCTTATCACTGGGTAAAATCTCTAAGCAATAAAAGAAATGCAATGAAGGGAATAGGCAACGTTTTATAAAATGTGCTTTGCATCTTGATAACAACATGTGATTTATTTATTACTTATGATAAATGTGAAAATATATTGCATTGGTGGAATTTGTGAATAGGACACTTTGGGGAATGTAAAGTTTTGCTTCAAGCATTCAGCTGATTGACTACCTTGTTGAAATGTAGAGTAGGACCTCAGGGCAGTTTTGCAAATGTGATTAGTTTTGTGGTTATTAAAGCATAGATTTGCCTTTCTCCAACATATAATATATTTTCAATAATAATCCAAGCGCCAGGAGACTCTGAAAGAGATTGGAAGAAAGCAATAATATTTTATTGGTGTGCATCAGAGGAGAAAGACTTATCTATCTTAAAGCAGCCAATGTTATAATTAGTCTCATTTTTTTCCAAGATAAATTATATCCAAAATTACTCTAGCTAATTTTAACTCAAATAAATAGGTTGGTAAATTCCTTTCCCACTTTACGTGTAGTGCTGAGTTACGCATATATAGCATTGCCTTGTCTCTTAATTAGCAATTTCTGTAGTATGCATGATGACTGGAAGCCATGGTTTAATCAAGTGAATCTCAGCATCCACTGATGACTGGTGTAATCTGAATTTGAACTCTATTATGTATCTGCTTCCATTTGGAAGGGAGACTCCAGGCCCTTTATAGAGCGAAAAGAGGCCTGCCTATCTGGAGCATAAAGAGAGCAGTGGGAGGGGAACAAGAAACGCATGGAGAGGAAGGCAGGGCCAGCCAGCATAGGGCTTGCAGCCCATGCTAAGAATTTGAAAAGAGTTTTATATTTCATGAATGGAAACATACTGAAGAAATTTAATCAAAAGAGATAGGGTGCCATTTGTAATTTTTAAAAATACAATTTTCCTGCTTTGTGGAGAGTAGATTGAAAGGGGCAAGATGATATCAGAGAGACCAGGTAGGAAGCTGCTGTGTAGTCCAGACAAAAGAGAATGAGAGAGGAGCAGCAGAGGGGAGAGGAGGAAGAAAGACTCAAGTTCTGTGTGACAAGCAGAATGTCCTAGATTTGGTGATGGATGAGATGTTGGGTTGAAAAAGAAGGAACTTTCAAAGACAGGACCTCACTTTCTGGCTTAGGGGTCTGGATTTTTAGTAACAAAATGGAAAAGTGGGTTTGAGGGGAAGATTAACTTCATTGTTGGCCATTCTGTTTGAGATGTCTGGGAGACATCAGGAAGAGATGAGCAGTTAGACGTACAGTTGAATATGTGAGCAGGAACTAGGAAGAGAGGTTTGATGTGGAGATAAATGATGGGGTGTTATCAACATAAAGAGTGTTGAAGTAATGAGATTAGATTGAAACTCCCTAGGGAGAGAGTTGTGGCATAAAAAGAGAATGAGGCCCTGAGAAATGATGTTTAGAGGTGGGTACGGGGGAGGATCCACAGGGAAGCTGATTTTGTAAATTACATCTGTGCAGCTATTCGTTTAACAAATGTATATGACATACCTTATTATGTACCATTGAAGGTTCTGGGCACACCAAGGTGCACAAGAACTAACCCCTGACCTAAGAAAGTTTGTGCTGCAGCCAGGGAGACAGTCATAAAAAGAAAGCATTACAATCAGCACAATACATGTTGCAGCACTTATGATACACAAAGCAGTGGCAAACCTCAGATGGAGTTAGATAGGAAGAAAGATCAAGAAGCCTTTAAAAAAATTCTGTTAGGTGGGTGTTATAAGATGAATAGGAATTCTTCAGACCAGTAAGGTAGGGAAGAGTATTCGCTGTAGGAGGAACAAAAAAGACAAGAAAGGTCTGAGTCAGCACACCACTCCAAGGAAACGAAAAGGACGCCAGTGTGGCTGAAAAACCAGCATGTGGGATGGGTGAGGAAGGCAGGAGAGGAGGTTGGTAACAGGATCTTCAGAACCTAGAGTCATGGCTGGCAGGAGGCGGGAACTCAGGAAATATTTATTTAGTGAATACATGATCAAAGGTGCATCTCACAAAGCCTCTCCTGGTGGCTGCAGGGAGAGTGCACTGGCATGAGGAGAAAGTAGAGTAAGGAGTCTACTTGGCAGGTCCTGCAGAACCAGTGGAGTCATTAGAGCTTGCGTGGAGGGAGGACAGAAAGACAGGAGAAAGAGAAGACAAGGTATTGGAAAAGCATTTAGCTATCCTGAGTATCTGTATTCTACCTACAAAAAGTAGTTTAGAACCTTCTAGGTTTAAAGAAACTTTGATTCAACAGACATTTGCTGAAGGCCTATCAGGAAGCAAGAGCTGGGCTGGTTGCTGGAGATACCAGTGAACACACCACATCAGGTGTGGAGAGAGCCTACCCTTAGCAAGGAAGATGGGTTGAACAATTTATCATTGCTATTGACTTATAAAACCTCTTCTTCTGATACTTCTCATCTTTTAGAGAAAGTAAAGGATATTTTTTAAACTGCTAGGTTTATAACACAGATATTTGTTGGTTTGTGTGTTTACTTCTTTGTCCTAGTTAAGAATTATATAGTTACATTTTCTTTATTCTCCAGCAACATCAGATTATTTTTCAGAGATATGCAATAGTTTATTCCTATTCACAATCACAAGTCTGCTGTAATCACGAAGGACTTCCTATCAAGCATTTTTTAAGTTACCTTTTTAATATTTTTTATCACTATTTCTTTCTGGATGAAAATGGAAGAAGAGGAAAGAATTTATAATCAAATATTTCCCAGTTTGTATCTTCCTCACCCTAGTTGAGATTTGCAACCATACTCTTCTGAGCCATTGCTCCTGTTCCTGCCAGTCCTGAATCCGGAGACACCATGTGTTTAAGCAAAATAAATTGAGAGATTAAGGGTAGGGAGATGGGAGGTAGAAATAGAACATAGGATCATATTCTTCATTTTTTGATTTTACAGTTTGGAGAAAATGGCATCGTACTGCCTCAGCTCCCCCAAGTGAGTCAGGCTTTGATGCCAAATTATTTGGAAATACTTTGCCTAGATCCAAAGGCCTAGCCCCAGTGACACATCCATTTGGCTCCAGCACTCTGTTCTTCTGGACCATTAAGAAACTCCACCAAACTCACAAAGGCCATCCTTAAAATCCCATGGGTTGTAGGCCCATACAGATCCTCATTTTCATATAGCATATGACTTCTTTACAAGGAGCCTTCATTTCTATTCTCATTGAATCCCTCCAAGGCTCTCTTACAGAGGTGAGTTTACACCCTTTTATAGATAACCAGACATTGGGGAGGTTAAAGACTGAGCCAAGCCTTGAACCCTACATTGATGACATGAACTTGAGAACTCTTTCCACCTCAACATGGTCATAAGGTCAGGCTCACAACCCAGCATCACATGGGGATATCACATCACCAAGAGTCCTCTGAGTTCTTTGTCATGATCTGTGCTCCATGAGCCTTAAATTAGAAGTGACCAAGGTCTGGAGCTGACCAGTCATTGCTGTGCTCATCCATGTTTCCTGCCCTGTAACATTTGTGGGAATAGTTGAAGAGAGTAGAATGGGATACTGGAAAAAGAGATGTCTCAAATAGAAACTACTTTAAATCAACAGTGTTTACAGTTATGGGTTTCATGGGAAAGTAGAATGGTTTCTGAACTCAGGGATGTGAGAAAATCAGTTGCGACTTTGGTTGATGAGATTAAATGACCCAGGCCAGGAGAGGACAACCAGCCAGCCCTTTCTTCTCCAGAATTCTTTTCTCACACAACTCTGTTTAGAGTCTGGGCAAAGGAGGCAAAAACAAAAACAAAGCAAAAGAAAAACCCCAACTTCTCCAATTGCCTGCCCTTGTTTGCTTCCCTGCTTCCACAGAGACTAGAAGAAGATTACAACACACACCAAAACTCATAAAGCCCATAAGCCTCCTGGTGATAGCAACACCAAGTATTTTACGTCCAGGTAAGGAGATAGGTAAGATGTAACCTTGGAAAAAACAGAGCCAGAGATCAATGAAGGGGAAAATTCTATACAAAGACATTTTCTTTTTAAAATCCTTTTTCAGATACTGTCTTCTGTCTTTTGCCTCCTCAGTGTTATGTCTCTCTGCCTTTCAATTCACACAGTGGTGGTAGTTTTAAAATCAGGGATTGCAGAGATTGAACATTCCTTTTTAATGATGCCCTTAGAGTCACACAGGGGCCTCTTTGCTATTTCCAGCTAAGCTCACCCCTCCTCTTTTCCTGGAACTTCTGAAAGGGCCCCAGAATCAGCCTATGTGATCTGCTGCAGCATTAGATTGAGAGGAGGGTTTGCTTTTTCCACAGATACTGATTAATGCAGGACCAAAGAATTCCACCAGAATAAAATGTTATTTTTTAGCAGTTTTGAGTAAAGACTTTAAATGGTTTTCATGACAAACCATATCAGGGGTTTAGGATTAATCTCAAGAAGGACATAGTTCCTCATCCCTTTCCATCAAAATCCTTTTCTCCTAATTCCTAAGTTTTGTACGTCACAGTAGGTATTCTCTCTCCCCAGCTCATTAGAGTATATGAAATCACAGACACTGTGCTAATGGTAGCTGGATCTCTGTTGTGAGATTTTACTGCTATTCTATTTATAAAATGACAGCCAAAAGACTTGCATATGCTTTTTTCCCAGTATATAAATTTGTAAAGTAGAAGCATGTTGGTACTGTCTTTTTATTAGAATGATCAAAGTGTATCAATAAGAATTGTATCAAGGATTCAGTAAGAATCCCTGTTATAACAAAGAAACCCCAGATGCATTCAAGGACTGCCTGGTTGAAACACTCCAGACCATTTTACATGTCTGAGAGATTAAATAATTCTCTTTTATTGTGTAACCTTGTAACATTCAAAGAATGCCTGTATGCTAACTAATTTTATTCTACTGATTGTACTGTAATGAAGGGGCAGCATTATCTGTGTCTTACATAAAGAGTACAAAAATTAAATCATTTGCCTCAAGTTTCAGAGCGAGCAATAGAAAGCTATACTAAATCCAAAGTGCAGAAACAGAAAATTAGACAAATCTGGCCACCTATCATCGTAAGCCCTTGAGGCCTGGGGCAGTGTAGAAAAAGAGGAGACCAATTTACGTATGTTAGAATGATTTCATGATGCCTCAGAACCACATTTTCAGCCTCACTTGGAGAAGGACATTGTCAGAGATTTTACAGATTGGCAACATCCTGTACAAAACTCTCTTCATCGGTTGCCCTAAATTCTGCCCCAACCCATGTTATGTTATAAAAGGAAATGGCAGAGAGAAGAATCAAACAGACACAATAAAAAATGATAAAGGGGATATCACCACCGATCCCACAGAAATACAAACTACCATCAGAGAATACTACAAACACCTCTACGCAAATAAACTAGAAAATCTAGAAGAAATGGGTAAATTCCTCAACACATACACCCTCCCAAGACTAAACCAGGAAGAAGTTGAATCTCTGAATAGACCAATAACAGGCTCTGAAATTGTGGCAATAATCAATAGCTTACCAACAAAAAGAGTCCAGGACCAGACGGATTCACAGCCGAATTCTACTAGAGGTACAAGGAGGAGCTGGTACCATTCCTTCTGAAACCATTCCAATCAATAGAAAAAGAGGGAATCCTCCCTAACTCATTTTATGAGGCCAGCATCATCTTGTGATACCAAAGCCTGGCAGAGACACAACCAAAAAAGAGAATTTTAGACCAATATCCTTGATGAACATTGATGCAAAAATCCTCAATAAAATACTGGCAAATGGAATCCAGCAGCACATCAAAAAGCTTATCCACCATGATCAAGTGGGCTTCATCCCTGGGATGCAAGGCTGGTTCAATATATGCAAATCAGTAAATGTAATCCAGCATATAAACAGAACCAAAGACAAAAACCACATGATTATCTCAATAGATGCAGAAAAGGCCTTTGACAAAATTCAACAACGCTTCATGCTAAAAACTCTCAATAAATTAGGTATTGATGGGACGTATCTCAAAATAATAAGAGCTATCTATGACAAACCCACAGCCAATATCATACTGAATGGGCAAAAACTGGAAGCATTCCCTCTAAAAACTGGCACAAGAAAGGATGCCCTCTCTCACCACTCCTATTCAACATAGTGTTGGAAGTTCTGGCCAGGGCAATTAGGCAGGAGAAGGAAATAAAGGGTATTCAATTAGGAAAAGAGGAAGTCAAATTGTCCATGTTTGCAGATGACATGATTATATATCTAGAAAACCCCATTGTCTCAGCCCAAAATCTCCTTAAGCTGATAAGCAACTTCAGCAAAGTCTCAGGATACAAAATCAATGTACAAAAATCACAAACATTCTTATACACCAATAACAGACAAACAGAGAGCCAAATCATGAGTGAACTCCCATTCACAATTGCTTCAAAGAGAATAAAATACCTAGGAATCCAACTTACAAGGGATGTGAAGGACCTCTTCAAGGAGAACTACAAACCACTGCTCAATGAAATAAAAGAGGATACAAACAAATGGAAGAACATTCCATGCTCGTGGGTAGGAAGAATCAATATCGTGAAAATGGCCATACTGCCCAAGGTAATTTATAGATTCATTGCCCTCCCCATCAAGCTACCAATGACTTTCTTCACAGAATTGGAAAAAAACTACTTTAAAGTTCATATGGAACCAAAAAAGAGCCCACATCGCCAAGTCAATCCTAAGCCAAAAGAACAAAGCTGGAGGCATCACACTACCTGACTTCAAACTATACTACAAGGCTACAGTAACCAAAACAGCATGGTACTGGTACCAAAACAGAGATATAGATCAATGGAACACAACAGAGCCCTCAGAAATAATGCCGCATATCTACAACCATCTGATCTTTGACAAACCTGAGAAAAAACAAGCAATGGGGAAAGGATTCCTTATTTAATAAATGGTGCTGGGAAAACTGGCTAGCCATATGTAGAAAGCTGAAACTGGATCCCTTCCTTACACCTTATACAAAAATTAATTCAAGATGGATTAAAGACTTAAATGTTAGACCTAAAACCATAAAAACCCTAGAAGAAAACCTAGGCAATACCATTCAGGACATAGGCATGGGCAAGGACTTCATGTCTAAAATACCAAAAGCAATGGCAACAAAAGCCAAAATTGACAAATGGGATCTAATTAAACTAAAGAGCTTCTGCACAGGAAAAGAAACTACCATCAGAGTGAACAGGCAACCTACAAAATGGGAGAAAATTTTCGCAACCTACTCATCTGACAAAGGGCTAATATCCAGAATCTACAATGAACTCAAACAAATTTACAAGAAAAAAACAACCCCATCAAAAAGTGGGCAAAGGATATGAACAGACACTTCTCAAAAGAAGACATTTATGCAGCCAAAAGACACATGAAAAAATGCTCATCATCACTGGCCATCAGAGAAATGCAAATCAAAACCACAATGAGATACCATCTCACACCAGTTAGAATGGCAATCATTAAAAAGTCAGGAAACAACAGGTGCTGGAGAAGATGTGGAGAAATAGGAACAATTTTACACTGTTGGTGGGACTGTAAACTAGTTCAACCATTGTGGAAGTCAGTGTGGCGATTCCTCAGGGATCTAGAACTAGAAATATGATTTGACCCAGCCATTCCATTACTGGGTATATACCCAAAGGACTATAAATCATGCTGCTATAAAGACACATGCACACGTATGTTTATTGCGGCACTATTCACAATAGCAAGACTTGGAACCAACCTAAATGTCCAACAATGATAGACTGAATTAAGAAAATGTGGCACATGTTCACCATGGAATACTATGCAGCCATAAAAAATGATGAGTTCATGTCCTTTGCAGGGACATGGATGAAACTGGAAACCATCATTCCCAGCAAACTATCACCAAGGACAAAAAAACAAACACCGCATGTTCTCACTCATAGGTGGGAATTGAACAATGAGAACACATGGACACAGGTAGGGGAACATCACACTCCAGGGACTGTTGCGGGGTGGGGGCAGGGGGGAGGGATAGCTTTAGGAGATATACCTAATGCTAAATGACGAGTTAATGGGTGCAGCACACCAACATGGCGCATGTATACATATGTAACTAACCTGCACAATGTGCACATGTACCCTAAAACTTAAAGTATAATAATAATCAAATTTTAAAAAAAAATAGAATAGCTCTCGCGCTATTCTCTACTAAATTATGGCTGCTTCTCTCAACATGTCGTTTTACAGGAAAATGTTCCTTGAATAGGAAATGTAAGGAAAACCGAAACCAAAATTATACAGCAAAGAGAATACAATGAGTGTGTTTCTTGTGAATACATGATTCATGAGGCTAATACTTTGGGAATCAGTTCAAGGAAAACAAAAAATCATGAAGCCCTATCATATCTATATAGAAAACAACAATACAAATAAAATATTGAGCATTAAAAAATAAATAAATAAATAAAAGGAAATGGCGTGTGGTGTGAGGCAGAAGAGAAGCCAGTATAGAGGCCGAGGTTTCTGATGTTTGCCATTAGGCAATTCCATGCTGCATAATACAAATAAAGCCATTTCTACTCAAAAATCTCTCACTATTCTAGACTTCCAGAATCTCAGAACATTTAAATCAGTGTTTCAGGATTTGGTACTTACACATTAAAAAGTCCTACAACACATAAATTTTATTCACCAAATGAGAAAAATTACCTAGTAAGAAAGCACTAAAAAAATGCAGCCTGAAGGAAAGCAAAGACCTTCATGTAATCACAAAGCCATTAAGTTTCATGTAAATTCCTTATGGGGAGACAAGGAAAAGAAACAAATTAGTTTTTACCTTTGAACATAGCTTACAACAATTCTTTGATTCTTTGGCTTCTCAGTGGCTAATTTTAGACTGCTACTATTAACATCCCCTCACTGATTATTCTTAAACTTACTCCTGAGCTGCTGTTAAATGCCAAAAATCTGCAGCCTCAGAATATCCTTCCAGAAGGCTTTGGCTTGTAGGAGCCTGACAAGATTATTCCCTACTCCCACTCCTGCAGCCTCTGTACATTAAAACCTACCAAGTGGTCCCCTGCTGGCAACCCATCAATCCTCTGTGCAATTTGTGAAAGACAATCCGACAAGAGTATAGGCAAGTGCGTGTGGGATCAGGTCTTGATTTTTATATATGAACATCGTAGACAGTCTCCCATCCCTCTTTCCTCATGATGAAGCCGCCATGAATTTTTAAGGTGTATCCCTCCACTACCACCACCTCCCCAGCTACAATGCAGAAGTGAGCCTCAATAGACATGAACCAGCCAGCACATGGCATTTCTCTGGCACCATGATTTATTCATGGATGTCCATGGCACCTTATTTGGTCCAAGTAGAGTGAAGTTCAAGGCTTTTGCTTTTAGTAGTTGGAGCAGTACCTCCTCCTCCTTGACAGTGGGGTGTATGGATGTGAGGCCTAGAACTGCTGCTGCCCTTTTGTGACAGTAAGGGAAGCCTGCTTAAATGAACAGATGAACATAGAGCTAAGAGAACTGCAGAGAATGAGCTAGAGTCCTGATCGAACCCCGCTGACCTACTGCTGGCCCTTTCGTTTATATACAAATAATTTTCTATTGTAATTTTGTCTAATTTGAGGTGGTTTTCTGTTAATTTGGAACCAAAAGCATGCTGGTTGATATGATTGCACAATCATATTTCTTAACCATTGAAGAAATTGTTCCAGAACTGGTTACATTTATACAGCCAGCAGTCTCACCACCAAAAAAGAAAAGTAAGTTCAATCTTTCCTCCAGGAAAGGGTCTTAAAGCCCTAAACCACATACAGCCCCCATATAAATTTAATACAGGAAATAATAAAGGAAAAAGGAAAGGGCAGATCCAGGTTTTAGAGATTTTCCATGTGAAAATGACAATCTGACTTCCTGAGTCTCAGCCTCACTCTTTAGACTTTACTAATTCTTTGTCCTCGTTTCCCTTCAACTGGTGTCGTTACTTCTCCATGGGCTGCTTGCAATGTTGTCACTTTGCCGCTTTCCCTTTCCTTTTCCTTAAGTCTTCATTCACAGCATCCACCACCATTCAAGAAGCATTTTTTTTGGTCAGACTGAGCTTAAATTTCAAGATTGTTTTTGCTTCCTAGAAATTTCCAGATTCAAAAGAACAAGTCACAGGCGGTCATAGCTATACAGTTCTCATGCCAACCATGGCTTATAATGAACAATTTGGTACGAACTACTGACCATCCTTCTAAAACACTGAGTGACCCTTAAAAAAATTCAACCTTAGTTCCCAATGCTCTTGTGTATATACAAATAATCATTGCCTTCGTTTACTATTTCCTCAAATCCTTAAAAATAGAAAGAATCAAATATACTGCCAAAAAATTTAGCCAATTGTTAAAAAATCATAAGAGGACCAAATGAGATAGTACATGGAAAGTCTTTAGAAAAAGCTCAAAAATAGTAAGAATGAAAAAAACTATTGGGCATCATTGTAATTTATTATTGTTGGATATCCTGTTGTTAGGATTAAAGTAAAAACATCAAACATTACAAAGAGACAAGTTCCCTGCAGACTCTTTAGTTCAGTCAGTTGTCACTGATAATTTGGATATGCCTAATTATTCTTTACAAAAAACAGATAATTCCAGATTCACATTGCATGCAGATGTTTCCAATATCATTTGAAATAAATTCTAGACATTTTTGTCAACATGCCAAGGATTTTTAAGCAGAGAAAATGTAGGAATTTAGAAATATTAAGGTTTTGTGCAGTTATTTTCGTCTTTCCATGAAAAAAAAAATCCAATGCCTTGCACTGCTCTTTTGCCTTCTGTGTGAACTGTGCATCCATCAAGAGGTAAAAAACAATCACCTCCAAAGATGTAAAGATCATTCACATATTGCAATATGTGTGTGTTTACCATTAAAAAAAAAATTCCCTCCCCAAACCAAACTAAAATCATCAAAAAAGAAAATCCCCAAACCGAGGAACACATTTGGCAAGAACATAAACAGAGCCTGGTTTGTTTTCCCAGTTTCATTGATGATATTCCCCAGTTCTATTCTAACAGTCATTTCAACCAACTCTTATTTTTGGTTAACAAATAAAAGGCTAGTTTACAAATCTGGCTCACAGCTTCCAATGGAACTTTTCCACAGCTTTCTGTAGCTGCTTTATCCCTTTAACACACCAAAAGAAAAACAAAATTCTGCATGAAAAGTTTCAAATAAAAATTCTTAAAATCTCTGGTAGAGTTAAAACCTCACAGAAATTAGTACTCCCATTTTTCTCACCGATGTGGCAGACCCTGTATTGGCTTACTCAGAAACTATTCCAACCTCTTCCTTCTGGGCCTTTCTTGCCAGCAGAGGCTACCAAAACCCAAGCTGCTTTGCAATGAGGGTTCCAGACGTGACTTATGCTCCATTTGCTCAAGACTTGAATTTGGAGCTGAGTAAGTCTGGAGCTGGCAGTATGATGCAGCACAGCCTTCTGTGTTGGGCCTAAAGGCTTAGCAATGCCGTTCTTTACCCCTTCTCTCTCATTCCTCAAAGGATTTTGACTGAAAATGTAAATACTAATTTTATACACGGAATGAAGGAATAACTAAGAAAAGAGAAGGTCTAGCAAAAAAAAAAAAAAAAAAAACCTAATCTAGGAAATTTGAATACTATTTCTGATCTTTCATCTATTCTCTAAACAGTCTCTGCGGTACATAGGCAGAGTATAAAACTGAAATGATGAATTATATGTTGATGACTCCTCAATTTATATCTCCAGCCCTAACTTCCTCCTAAGCCCCCTATAGGGGCCAAAGGAACTTCCCCTTTGTCCTCTGAAAGTTCTCTGAAAAAAAATCAACTGACAAAGGCAGATTAATAGGACAAAAAGCATACAAATTCATTAGCATTCACAGGGGAAGATCATAGAGTGATACCCAATATCCCAGTGGGATACAGATGCTTCTATACCCTACTTCTTAGGGAAAATGGAGATAGATGTAGATGATTTTAGGGGGGTAGTAAATGATTTTTAGGGGGATTCAGTGGGCTTGAAGAACATATAATGGCCTGGAACATACTCTGTTGGGCCTATAGAGCAGACAGTGGTTTGTGACAAAAGTCTCTCCAGGTACATTGACAGACTTCAGCCTTTCTTCCTGTAATGTAAGATCCGTTATTGAAAACTCAGAGAAAGAACCACAGGTAATTGTTTTCTTCTTTATTGCGTCCAGACTTTAGGCAGATAAGGGAACTTCAGAGAACAATTTCATTACATTCTTTGGGAGACAATTGAGAGACAGGAGTCAGGGAAGGTCTAAGAGACCTTGAGGCTGCTTCTTCAGTTCAGCATATCAAAGCATCGTATTTTGTGGCATTGGTTTCTGAGCTGCAACACCTCAAATTAACATATCCAAGATTATCCTGTCAAATCCAGGCATGGTGTTATGCACCTGTAATCCCTGCTACTTGGGAGGCTCAGGCAAGAGAATTGCTTGAATCCAGAAGTTCAAGGCCAGCCTGGGCAACATAGTGAGGCCCTGTCTCTCAATAATTTAAAAAAAAAAAAAAGATTATCCTATCATTGTCTAATAGCATCTCAAACTTAACATACCCAAAAAGGAAAAGGAGCTTGATATTTGCTGTCAAACCTGGCTCCAATGTTCTCAAACTCATTGAAACATACATCCTCTGTAACTCCTCTTTTCCTCCCTCTCCTGTGGTCATGTAAATTCAGCAGTGGACCCTGTTGGTTCTCCCTCTGATAGATCCTAGATCTTGCCTTCTCTTTTACTTCTTTAGATAAGCCATTTTCCTCCTAGGCTGTGTCAATTGTCTCCTAACTGATCATCCCTACTCTCCCCTTTCTCTTCCCTTTCCCTGTAATCCATTTTCCACATAGCAGCCAGAGTGAGCTTAAAACTATAAATTAGATATCATTCTGATTTAAACTCTCTAAGAGCTTTCATTGTGCTAAGAATAAAAGCCAAACTTCCTATAGGGCCTGCCTCCCTCCCTAACACTGCCTCTTTCCAGTCTCAGCTGCAGAAACATGGACTGTCTTCCTGTCCTCAAACAGGGCAAGCCTATTCCATCTCAGGGCCTTTGCGCTTGTGTTTCCTTTGCCTGGAGCCCTCTTCCCTCAAATCTTCCCCTGCAGGCTCCTTACCATCCATGTTTTATTTCAAAAATTGATTCATGGGATCCTTCCATGGCCACCCAATTTGAATTAGCACATCTGCCCCACTCCACTTATGATCAAATTACCTCTTATCTTATTCATGACCCTCATCACTACCTAAAATGATGTTATAATTGTTATTCATTATCTCACCTGTTAACAGTGATGTCTTTTTTCTCTCCCAAGATCTTCTCCTTGACAACTCCACAGCACCTCCAGAGAGGTTTGCTCGGTTGGAGTGTTACCAACAAAGTCGTTCCCCCACCAAAAATGGGGTATTTCCCTGTTCGATCCCATGAAGCCAATAGGCAAAACCAAAAGTGAATGTCTAGCAGTGCAGGCTTTATTTGATGGCCATAGGATTGAGAAGCAGAAGCTTGGTTCAAAAATCAAATTCTCAGCCCATGAAAGCCAGGAAGCTGGAAATACAGGGCATCTTTAATGAAGGGGTTGAGCATTAAAAGAAAGGGGAGGAATCTTCATGTCTTTTCTGAGAGTTGGTAGAGAACTCCTAGAAACTGGAGTGCTGCCTGCCTTTTTGTCTTTTTATGGTTGCTTCCAGTCATTCTCATGGTGTTTGTCACCTGTCATGGTGCTGGTTGCAGTGTTACATAGCAGAGAGATCAGACTATAATGAAGTTAGAGGTTCTTCAGAGATCAAGTGGGCTGTCATCTTGGATCCCACCAGTCTTAGCCATTTTGGTCAGGAGAGAGAACTTTTTATCTCAGGCATTTTCTTTCCTAAAGATAAGCAGAGTTAAGGCAGGGTAGAAATGCACCTAGGTCAGGTAGGCATCACACTGGGTAACAAGAGGAATTACCATCTTCTCAAAGAAAGAACTAGAAACCAGTACAGACAGCTAAGAAAGTGGTTTCCCAACTTCTCTACTCATGTCCCTCAAGAAGAAATCTGGAAAATAATGTATCCCTTATCTACTTTTGTTTAACTTGATAAGATCAGAAGACCTGGGAAAATTAAAATATTGACATCATTATATTTGTTCCAACACAATAATATTTGACAAAAAGGTATTACGTGCTTTAAAAAATAATTTTTCTCTAAACCTTGAAGCTGCAAATATAGCTTATTTAGGAAACCATGTGTTATATCGTTTAATTGGCAAAGACAAACTTCATTATTATACTAGTCAGCCCAATCACTTACTTTCTGTCAGGAAAATCAGCCTTCATCTTTCAATTTATACTTTTCTGTTTAATACACAGCCCCTTCACAACCCTTTTCCTTCTTAAATTGAATTCTAGGATATGCCAGTAGATAAGATACAAAGCTCTGTCCTGCATTTGTTGCCTAAATGAAATTCATGCCGTGATCTTCAACATTTTTTTACCGATTCTCTCATTCACTCTTAAGGCACTCACCTTCAGGAGCAATGCATTTTGTTGTTAATAGGTGACAGAAAAAGTGAGGTTGTTAGATATAAATTATCAAGTCCCATTCCTCTCAACATGATATATTTGAATATAGACTTTCCCGTCCTATTTTTAATACCATACTTAACCTTACGATCTGATGTGATATATGATACAATGTGATATGATGGCAGAGAAAGACATGAAGTCCTACCTCAGGCTTGCGGTGCCTCATTTAATTATTGCTTTTTTTGATACCCCTGAGAATTTTTCACCCTCAGAGCAAGGCACTACAGTAATATATAGGATAGAGGAAAGTTTTGCCTTTATTCTGAAAAGTATTAGGGGTGTGATTGTGAAGGATGAGGGTAGGATCGTAGAAGTAGAGTAACAAAACCTCACCTATAGGTGCATTCTGAGACACGTGTGTTTTAGGCAAGAGTATGTATGAATGCTAAAGAACTGGAAATTCACTGCCTTGAAAAGATCAGTTTCCTTATTCCCCTCGGAAAGTCTCCACATACCCCAAGGGGTGTGAGTACCACAGCTTAATGACAGCTGGGCCAAGAAGCCTGGTTCCCTTTGGCCCTTGCTGCTGTTAGGGCCATGTGGTATTGCTCCTGACATGTGCAAGCCAACAAGAGTCTGTCCCCTTCTTCACTGCTCATCAATCTGGGAAAATACTACTCCCAAATCCTAAAAGTCCCCACAGTCTGCAATCCCTCTTCAAGTTCCGGTGCACAGAACTGAATGTATATCTAACAGCAAGAACATGCTTGTAAGAGCTCTGCCTGTGCAAAAAGTCTGGAATTTGCCTCTATTCACACAGAACCCAGGACTTCACATGTTAGAGTTACTGTGCTTTTGGGGTTATGCAAGCTCACACACACCCTGCTATTTTACCCAGGGCATCCCTGCAAGCCAAGACAGCCATAATGGCCGGGCATGGTGGCTCACGCCTGTAATCCCAGCACTTTGGGAGGCCGAGGCGGGCGGATCACGAGGTCAGGAGATCGAGACCATCCTGGCTAACATGGTGAAACGCCGTCTCTACTAAAAATACAAAACATTAGCCAGGCGTGGTGGCGGGCGCCTGTAGTCCCAGCTGCTCGGGAGGCTGAGGCAGGAGAATGGCGTGAACCCGGGAGGCGGAGCTTGCAGTGAGCCGAAATGGCGCCACTGCACTCCAGCCTGGGCGACAGAGCGAGACTCTGTCTCAAAAAAAAAAAAAATAAGACAGCAATAATGAAATGAGTTTAGAATGGCAACCATGCGGTCTTTAAGGTACTGCCAACCCCCCTCAATCTGCATTGTGATATGAAGAGTGGAAGATGTCTCTTTTTCTCCATTGCTCAACCAAGTCTTATTTTCTTTCTCAGGATAAGTGTTAATTCTTTCAGTGTAGTAAACCCACGTTGTTATAACAAGCCAGTGTCTATTTTTTTCTATGTGATCTATAGACATCGCTACCTCAGAATCACCTGGGATGCTTATCAGACCTACTGAATTCAAATTTATGGGATGGGGCCTGAGAATCTACATTTTCTACCGGTACTAGGTCATTCTTTCTCTTTGATGAAATTTCATATGTAAATAAGTACATATGAATATATATGCAAGTTTTAACAAATAATTATACAACAAACACCTATATGTCCACCACTCAGCTAAAAATGTGAAACACTGCCAAGGTATTTGAATCCTCCCATGTGTACTTCCTTCTTAATCACATCTCTCTTTCCCTCTCCCCTTCCTTCTGAGGTTACCGGTAGCCTTGTTTTTATTGCTCAGTTGATTTAAAAAAAAAACTACCATATATACTTGTATCCCTAAAATCTTATAGTCACTTCTGAAATCTATAAAAATGTAATTATACATTATGTATTCTTCTGTGACTTGTTTTAATCATCAGTAGGATGGTTGCAAGATTCATCCTTGTTGATATATGATATCTGTGGTTCATCTATTTTCACTGCTATATAGTATTCCATTTTTTGGAGAGGTACAGTTTAGTTTTCTACTGTTGAGAAAAGTTTGGGTTGTTTCTAGTTTAGTTTTGTGATTATGACATAAAGCTGCGATTCCTGTATGACTCTCCTACCTCTTGGTGCTGTGGAAATTCCATTGAGAAACTGGTAGTTGTGAAATGATGTCTCCTGTGGTTTTAATTTGCATCTTCCTGCTTATTAAGGATGATATGCATCTATTCATATTTTTGTTCATTTGCTTCGTGTTAATTTCATGTTGATATATTTTGTACATTTTTTAGGTAATGCATCTTTTTCATATTGATACTAATCTTCTGCTTATATGTTTTAAATATCTCCTCTCTAGGGCTTGCCTTTTGACTTTATGGAATATTTTCATGAAAAGTTCCTCATTTTAATATAATTGAATTAATCTTTATGATTTTTCCATCTTGTTTTATAAATACTACCCTATCCCAGGGTCATAAAGATAATTTATGTTTTCTTCTTAATCTTTTAAGGTTTTGCCTTTCAGTTGAATTCTTAATCCATTTTGACTTGGAGTGTGTGTGTGTGTGTGTGTGTGTGTGTGTGAGATAAAGGCCCAAGTTAATTATTTTCCCACATGGATAAGTAGTTGTTCCAGTTCTATTTATGAAAGAGTTCATCCTTTCCCTGCTGATCTGCCATACTACCCCTGTCATGGATCATGTTTCTCTATACATAAGGATCTGCTTCTGATATATTGGACTACCCTCATGCCAGTTCCACAGTCCTAATTACTATAACTTCATACTAAGTCTTTATATTTGGTAGGACAAGAATTGCTCACCTTCTTCTTCACAAGTGCGTTGCCTGTTTCTTATTCTTTGTTCTTCTATTATGGTTTCGATTCAGTTTGTCCAATTCCACCAAAAAAAGTTGAAATTTTGTTTGGAATTGCATAGAATCTATAGATAAATTTGAGGGTAACTGACATCCTTACAGTATTGTTTTCTAATATGTGAATATGGTGTGTCTCTGTTTACATCCCCTTTAATGTCTTTTAATCAATATTTTTTTTTTTTTTTGAGATGGAGTCATGCTCTGTCGCCCAGGTTGGAGTGCAATGGCATGATCTCAGCTCACTGCAACCTCTGCCTCCCAGGTTCAAGTGATTCTCCTGCCTCAGCCTCCCAAATAGCTGGGATTACAGGCGCCCGCCACCATACCCAGCTAATTCTTGTATTTTTAGTACAGTTGGTGTTTCACCATGTTGGACTGGTCTCAAGCTCCTGACCTCAGGTGATCTGCCCGCCTCGGCCTCCCAAAGTGCTGGGATTACAGGTGTGAGCCACCATGCCCGACCTAATGTCCTTTAATCAAATTTTATAATTTCCTCCCTAAATAACTTGTGTATCTTTTGTTATATGAATTGCTAGGTACCTTACATTTTAGAGAACTGTATATTTGTATGTAATCTCTGTATGTTGCTAATGTATAGAAATTCAAATGATGTAAATTTTAATTATATATTACTTTACCATGCTAATTCTCTCACTAGTTTTATAACTGTTACTTTTTTTTTTAAGTTTGCTATGTGGTTAATTGTATCATCTATGAAAACTGGCAGTTTTGTTCCTTCTTTCCAGTTCCACTAGTTTTTATGTTTTGTTCTTATTTACACTAATTCTATTGAATACAAACGATGGTCATAGCATCCTTTTCTTATTCTTGACTTTGAAGAAAAGTGTTGAGTACTTTGCTGCTGAACATGATGTTTGCAGATTAGAAACAGAATAGACTCTCTCCAGCTTACATGACACTTTGCTCTTTTTTAGCTTATACCTTTGTTACACTCCATACTGCACTTTCAATAATTTTTAAAGCTATACTTTCTGGTTCACTAATCCTTGTCTGGGTACATCTAATCTGCTATTTAACCTGTCCATCAAGTTTCTAGTTTTATTTGTTACTTAATTTAATTCTAGAAATTTAGTCTGGTCATTTTATAGTTCCTTGATTATTAGTAATATTTTGGATCCCCTCCTTCATTTCCTAAGAATATTACATGATATATTTATACTCCACCTCAGGGTGTTTGTTAGCTATGGCCCACAGGCCAAGGCCAGCCCAACCAAATCCAATCCAACCTGTTTTTCAAACAATGTTTTACTGAAACCCAGCCAAAGCTGTCTGTTTAATTTTATCTTGGTAGGTTCACTCTGTAATGGCAGAATTTAGTAGTAGTGATGGCAGCGGCAGGCTATCTGGAGCATCCGCTGCCATCATGCCGGCTGCAGCAGAAAGACATGAGTGGTGGCAGCAGGAGCAGCTGCACAAGCAGCAGTGGCAGCGGTGGGTCCCCTGTACCCCATGTCCCTGAGGCAGCCAACTGCATGACCCGCACCCTTGCATGGCTGGGCAGGACGTGCTCCCAGGCCCAGAGCCTCTGTCGCTGCCTCAACCTCACTCCCTGCCGCATCCCAGGAGTCCATGAGCACCCTGCTGAAGGCACAGCCAGAATTCACAGGGCTGGCCCCAGGAGTGTCGGGTTCACTCGTTTGAGGTTGGCCAGGGGCTGCCACTGCTGCTGCTGGGGAAAATGCAGACAGGAGGTAGGGCTGGGACTGCACACTCCACAGAGTGGGCAGGAGCTGGGGACAAGTGGGAGCCCAGGACAAGCTGAAGGGCCGCCTCTTTCAAGTTGGTGGGGCAGGAGCTCCCCAGGCGCAACTATAGCTTCCCAAGCTGAGGCTGAGACCCAGGCACCCCTGCGCTCCTGGGAGCCAGGAACAGGCAGGACCCCTACCCTCCCAGGCACAGCAACAGTCGCCCAACCCACAGGTGCAGACCCAGGCATCTCTACACTCCTGGGGGCCTGCTCCTGCTGTCTGACTTCTCGCCACTGTTAGTTCTTGCTCCAATCATGGAGCAAAGTTGAGGCTGAGCCCAGGCAATTTTGAAACCCAGACAGATGTGTGCACACTCAGGGCAGCGCTAACACGCCAGCTCCCTGCCACCTCGACCCCCTCTGGATTTGGGGCACCAACAAGCACTGGAGGGAGGCCAAAGGGGTACTGAAGGCAGCTCGATGCTGGCCTGCAGGCACCCCTTGGCACAAATAGCCTAGGTGCCATGAATGGCAGCAGGAGGCAGACAGGCTCCTGGGCAGAAGGGGGCAGGTCCCTGGTGAAGCCCCACCTCCAAGCTGGGGGGAGCCGAAGCCTGGGGGCCAGGCTCCCAGTCCCACAGACCAGAGTGGGAATTTGTGGTGCCTTTTCCACGCCCACCCATGGCTGCCCATGGACCAACTGGCACATACTTCCTCCCCTCTGAGGCCCATGAAATTCCCAGACTCAAGGAGATGATGGGACGACCAGCTACAGAGAGAAGCTACCCACCCCAGGGTCTCCTCTCTGCTGAGAGCTGAAGAGACAGGATGACCAGCTACAGAGAGTAGCTACCCTCTCTGCTGAGAGCTGAACACTTGTCAGGACACCCTGGCTATAGAGAGGAACTACCCACTATAGGTCTCCTCTGAGCTATTCTATCACTCAATAAAGCTCCTCTTCATCTTACTCACCCTACACTTGTCTGCGTACCTCATTCTTCCTGGACACAGGACAAGAACTCAGGACCTGCCAAATGGTGGGGCTAAAATTGCTGTAACACAAATAGGGCTGAAACACACCCCTTGCTCACCACGTTGTGGGTGACAAGAAAGGAGAGAAGAGCTGCAGCCCTTCAGGGAGCCCAGACCTAGAAGCTCCCCAAGCCAGGGCTGTGATACCCTCTTTAGGGCTCTGCAGTTCCTGGCATCCCAAGCTTCCGGGCACCACACCATGTTCCCTGGTGTCAGCTGTGGAAGCTGCTTATGGTACACCTTGTCCAGCCACAGCCTTGTAGGGAGCTGGTGCCCATACCAGCATCTGCAGCTGCCTGGCCCAGCACAGTCTGTGTGCCTAGCTGTGTGCAGTAGCTGGACCCCACATTCATTCACATACCCCTTGTAGCTGCATGTCTGGCTCACCCTTGGCAGGCATGGGATCCAGGCCAGTAGCGGGAGCCGAGCACAGCCTGCCAGACTGAGAGAACAGAAGGAGCCCAGCAGGCCAAAGCAAAACTCAGGCAAAGGCACCACTGGCCACAGAGGTTTCCAGCTGGTGAAGCAACACCCCAAGAATCCCATAACAGTAGCAATAGAGACTGTATGGCCAGCAAACCTAAAATATTTACCACGGGGCTCTTTACAGAAAAACTTTCCAACCCCTGCACTATCTGACAATTTCAACAGCGGTAGGCTCTACAGGCCTAATTCTGCTCTTTGTTGTTTCTACTGGCTTTTGCTCTTGTTGGCTTATTTTCTGATGTGCTGTATAATTTTTGATAGTAAGCTCCTATTTGTTAGAACTTTATGGGAGTACTTTGAGACCTGGTTTTAAGATAGATTCCTCCAGAAATGATCTGCATTTGTTTTGGGACCCTAGGGGCAGGGCACATCACAGGCTAAGGTCCCCCAGGAAAGACTCTGAAAAAGAGGCTTGCATGGAGTCACTTTATTAGGGAGTACTCTCACAAACAACATCTGCAAGGAAATGAAAGAAACTGAGGACAGAGGGAGATTTGAACTGAAATGTCATCTCAACAGTTTTCATGGGAAACTCTAAAGGACCATGGATTGGTCCTTCAGTAATGCCTCAAATTGAGGAAAGGGGACGAGGCCTTTGCACCTCAGCATACGCTGCCCCTGGGGGAGTGGTCTTCCTCTTAGATGAAGCACTTCCCTTCAGCCAAAAGCAATTGCTCCAGAAGAACTCAGCTGTGAGCCCTCAGCAGGCAACACTTTGCAGCCAGGACAATGCAGACCTCTGTTCTGCAGGGGTGACTTGAGCAGCACATCACAGTGAGGACTGCAGGGAACTTCTAACCGGATGACTACTTGAACACAAATCCTTAGTTTGGAGGTTTTGGACCATATCAATTTAAATTTTACTAGGTTTATTAGGTTGATTTTTTAGGGTGAATTTCATTCCTAATCCTGCTGGAGGGCTAGCCATGGTTTTAAATTCTCACTATTGACTATATTTTTCCTACCTAGAGCCAAGTTCAAGACAAACAAGTTTTCCTCCTTTCTCCTGTCACAAGGCATTTTGTTCTAGTCATCTTTTCACTAAGGTTTTATCTTTAAGGCTTTACATGGGAGTCTGTGGTCTGAATTCCCACCTTGCTCAAACTCTAGGGCATCCAAGGGCTACCAAGGTGCTCCTCAGTCAGGATAACCACTGGCCCCAGTGTTAGCTTCACTCATTGTGTTGGGCATCTTAGAATTTCTCTTACTGTATTGCCACTCTTGTATATTAAGTGATATACCACATACACAAACACACATGCATGCATGCACACACACACACACACACACACACAAAATTTCTAGCATTACTAAGGGCTTTCTTCTGGAAGGATATTTCAGGGTATTGAGCCCAACAAATTATGCTGGCAGATAAATTCCTAGGTGAATCTTACATATGCTCTAATTTCAAAACCACTAAACTAATGTATTGCTGATGGCCATCAATCTACTGAGCCCCCAAATCTTCTTAGTTTTAAGTATCAAATCTTTTCATGTGTTTTTCTCTGATCACTGCAGCTAAACCTTTTTACTACATATTTTCTATGTAGTTTATGAAACAGTTGCCACGTTACCTTATAATAATAAGGTATTGTTTGTCTTATGTACCTAACTAGATTATACATCTTTGAAAAATTTTCCCCTATGCTTTGTAACTCCTTTCCCTTTTCCTCACACCAGAAACTTGCATGGAATAATTTGCTACGTGGATAAATATTGAATAAATAGTTTGTTCTCCACTGTGGAAACATTTTTCTCAGACTGAGTCCCATCCTTAAATACAACAAGAAAGAACTAAATCGAAGTGTGATACAATGATTTCACACAATATATAGCAAGTCCTTGAGACATAGTGAAGATATCTTATTATAAGAAATTAATTTCATGACATTATTACATGTTATTGCTTTTTCTCCTCTCTGATTTATGCTAATGGGAGAAGAAATTCTCAAAGCATATAATGGAAGCCCATTTCAGGCATTTAAAAGATGATGTGGTTTACAAAAAGCCAATTTCAATTCAACTCAGCAAATATTTATTGATCAACCATTACATGTGAGCTACCGTGAGAAAATTTCTGTTATAAAGTGAAGTCCAGCTGTCAGGTTTCTGAAGACTATGTGTTTTTCTTTTCTCTGCTGTTAAATTAACTGCAACAACCACCACCAAAAATAAAGTCATTACTTCTGCCTAACTTTAATCCAAGAGTGAAGTCTAAATCTTCATGTCCTAAGCAAACTGCCACAGGGAGATTCTTCATGTTCCAAGCACTTTATATTGCAACTATAAACCATAACCAAAGAAGGGAGAATCCATTTAGCTCTCTAGAGCATGTTCTGCCAAGTTGTCTCTTATTTATTGCTTTTTAATGAAATTTTTCATGTGCATCAAAACATAATCTTTCAACAAAGGAAGTGCAGCTCTGAGACCCAAGCACTTTATAATAGAGAATCTGCATGTGAACATTAATTTTTCTAGGTGGAATTACCTAATGGATTTCTTTGTGCTCGGGGATGACATTTTTTTTAAGTAAGTGAACATCCTATTATTAACTTTTCCACAGGATACAAGCTTTCATAAATTTCAGCAAATATTTTAAACTGTCCTGTTTTCCTTGAGAATATGAGATGAGCCTTAGTTATGGAGTACC
Source organism: Homo sapiens (assembly GCF_000001405.40). Lineage (NCBI taxonomy): Eukaryota > Metazoa > Chordata > Mammalia > Primates > Hominidae > Homo > Homo sapiens. Next base: position 67,636,626 of record NC_000008.11, on the reverse strand, counting down.
CTAAATCTTTCCTTCTGAAAACACACAGTTTTTTAAGCTGCCATCAAAATTAAAGGGAGGTTTTAGCGAGAGGGACTTGGGGAGTAAATAAGGAGTGCCAATATGTATATTCTCACCTGTGAAGACTGATTTAACAGTGAATTTAATTATTCCATTGGTTTCTCTTATTCCTCTAAAAATATCCAAAGTAAACTTACTGTTTTACAGGGTGCTTTTGGTTACAAGCAAGAAAAAACCTGACTCAAACTGCCCTACATAATTTTAAAATGTATTATACAACAGGAAGTCCAGCAGCAGAACAAGCTTAAAAGTTGGTTGATTCAACAAGATCATTGCAGACACAGATTCATTTTGTCTCTCTACTCAAGAGTCCACAGTGAGCTTGGGGTGAATCTGCCTCATAATTATAGGCTGCCCATGGCATGCAGAATTGCATATCTGCTTGTTTACATTCAACAAGAGAGAGAATCCTTCCACCCCCTTTAAATAATCCTTCCCTTAAATCTGATTGGGCTAATTTATACCACACATCTACCCCCAAACCAACAAAAGTTGCTAAGGGATATCCAAGTTCTGAGTGGCTAATCGAGACTCAGTTCTGATATGGGGATAGGGTGAATATCTGAGCAGAATCAAAGTCCTTTTAGGGTTTCAGACAGGAAAATAGATTTGGAGGAGCAGCAAAAAACATCACTGCAGTCATCTACTCTGGTCCCTTGTGAAGGGCAACATTAGAAATCCTTTACTACATCTAGGTAAGTTTGGTCTTTGGAAGTATTGACAAATTGAACATGTGTGGCTTATACCAATAGAGAAAACATCTCTACAGGACTTTCTCTGACATTATTTTTTTCTTTTTCTTTTGAGTTTCACTCTTTGTTGCCCAGGCTGGAGTGCAGTGGCATGATCTTGGCTCACTGCAACCTCCACCTCCCAGGTTCAAGTGATTCTTCTGCCTCAGCCTCCCAAGTAGCTGGGATTACAGGCATGCACCACCATGCCCAGCTAATTTTGTATTTTTAGTAGAGACGGGGTTTCACCATGTTGGTCAGGCTGGTCTCAAACTCCTGACCTCAGGTGATCCCCCCTCCTTGGCTTCCCAAAGTGCTGGGATTACAGGCATGAGCCACCATGCCCAGCCCCTTTTTCTTTTATATAAAGTGTTCCATATCCCCAGTTACCATTGTAGAAAATGAGACCATCCAATATGTGCATTTCTCAGATGCCAAAGAGCTGCCTGAGCAGAGAGAAAACAGTAAATCCCAAATTAAGGCACTGATCAGAGATTAGGTTCAAATATCCATGCAAAGGGCAAGAAAAAATGCCAGCAGCAACAACAAAAAGGTTGAATGTATTCGGAATCAAATTGTGTCATGTTTTTTGTGGTGTTCACAGTGGAGCAAACTTGGAAAAGCATGTTATCAGTGCTTTAAGTTCTAGGCTGGGTGCAATGGCTCATGCCTGTAAACCCAACACTTTAAGAGGCCGAGGTGGAAGGATCAGTTGAGTGCAGGAGTTAGAGAACAGCCTGGGCAACATAACAAGACCCTGTCTACAAAATTTTTTTTAAAAAATAGCAGGGCATAGTGGTTCACACCTGTTGTTCTAGCTACCTGGGAGGCTGAGACAGGAGGATGCTTGAGCCTGAGAGGTTGAGGCTGCAGTGAGTCATGATGGTACCACTGTACTCCAGCCTGGGCAACAGAGTGAGACCATTTCTAAAAAAAGAACTAGAAGAATATTTTCCTGTAAAAGTAATGACACTAGCTACTAAGTATTGAGAGACTATAAATTAGGTATTTCCCAGACGATATCTCACAGGGATTGTGACTATAAACTCATCACCAGCAGGAACTGCTGTCTCCCTGGCATCTACCACTGTGCCTGGAACATAATGTAACCTTCATAAATGTGCTGGATGAAATAATTTTCACAAAAAAAATATGCAGTGGTTCATTGGTCCTTCCCCTCAATTTAAGGGTTAGAACTCATTGGTTCTAAGTGTTTAAGCATTTTGGCCAAGGGCACACATCAAGTGGTGGAGCCCAGATTGTAATCTAACCTTACTCTTTCTCCCCGCAAAGTGAAGAAGGAAGTGGATCCTACAAAATAAATCCAGTGTGGCTCACGCCTGTAATCCCAGCACTTTGGGAGGATGAGGCGGGCTGATCACAAGGTCAGGAGATGGAGACCATCCTGGCTAACACGGTGAAACCCCGTCTCCACTAAAAATACAAAAAATTAGCCGGGCGTGGTAGCGGGCGCCTGTAGTCCCAGCTACTCGGGAGGCTGAGGCAGGAGAATGCGAGAATGCGGGAGGCGGAGCTTGTAGTGAGCCGAGATAGTGCCACTGCACTCCAGCCTGGGCGACAGAGCGAGACTCCGTCTCAAAAAAAAAACAAATAAATAATAATAATAATAATAATAATAATAATAATAATAATAATTAAATCCAGTGACTTGGAGAAAGGAATGAAAAAAATGAAATATCTGAAGTTTAAGTGTTTTTAACACTAGTGGATTAGGAAAAACACCCTAATGATGTCATTTTAATTCAATTCCGTCTTTGAAGACCCTATCTTCAAATGCAGTCACATTCTTGGATTGAGGGAGTTAGGACTTCAACATACGAACTTCAAGGGGAAACAATTCACATATCCGCACTTAGACACAATATGCAATAAAAATTCCAGATGATTTTAACGAAACATGGAGAAAGAAGGAGGAAAACATTTGGGGGGAGAAGGATAGAGAAAAAAAGATTCTTAAGGTCTTATCTTGTTCAAGGGGACAAATTACAGAGACATTCTAGACATGAAGAAAACGGTGTCTCAAAGTATGTTTGTAAAATACAAAAAAATCACTAATACACAGAAGGTGCATAACTTGCAAACCACTAGATAAGAAAAATCTGACGAAGAAAATTGATTTTTTTTTTTTTTTTTTGAGACGGAGTCTCGCTCTGTCGCCCAGGCTGGAGTGCAGTGGCGCGATCTCTGCTCACTGCAAGCTCCGCCTCCCTGGTTCACGCCATTCTCCTGCCTCAGCCTCCCGAGTAGCTGGGACTACAGGCGCCCGCCACCACGCCCGGCTAATTTTTTGTATTTTTAATAGAGACGAGGTTTCACCATGTTAGCCATGATGGTCTCGATCTCCTGACCTCGTGATCCACCCGCCTTGGCCTCCCAAAGTGCTGGGATTACAGGCGTGAGCCAACGCGCCCGGCCCAGAAAATTGATTAATCCAAGAAAGAGGAAGAAAAGGGCAATAAGAACCTACAACAAACAAAAAATAAAAATTATAAGAATAAATTCACATATATTATGTATTACAATTAATGTGAATAAGTGAAATTTCCAGTTAAAAATGCCAGGCAAACAAAAAGAAAGCAGGAGTGGCAATCCTATGGGGAAAAAATGGAATTTAGGATAAAGAGCATAAAATAAAACAAAGAAGAGTTTTTCTAAGGAAGCTTTATAGGAGTAAAAGTTTTATTCTGTCCAGAAGATGTAGTAGTCTTGAGCTTATATACAGTTACACACATCAAAATATATGAATCAAAAGTTTTTATATTCAAAAGTAAATTGAAAAATCCAAAATTATAGTAGGTATATTGAGTAAAATTGGCTCAAATTGTCAAATTCATCAGAAAAATAAGGACACAGTAAATGAAAATCATATAATCAATATGCTTAATAGGTATATATAGACCTTTTTATATACGAAAGATATTCTTTTCAAATATTTGTGCACTATTTCTAGAACTTGAATACATATTAGGTCATAAATACCAATGCAACGAAGTCTACAGAGTAGATATCATATGGGCCACCTTCTCTTACTTCAAGATAATAAAACAGTAACAAAAATAATTCTTCCCACCCAAAATACATCTCACTGCTTCATATATTTTTTAACATTCTTCAAAATAGCTCTCTAGTAAAGAACGACTAAAAACTCAATTGTCAACTATTAGATCTGAACATCAATGAGAACATCACATATTAAAACATGAGGCTTGGTGCAGTGGCTCATACCTGTAAGCCCAGCACTTTGGGAAGCCAAGGTAGGAGGATTACTTGAGTCCAGGAATTCGAGAGTAGCCTGGGCAACATACTGAGAAAAAAATCTCTAAAAAAAATTTTTTTTTAATTAGCTGGGCGTGGTGGCACACACCTGTAGTCCCAGCTACTCAGGAGGCTGAGGTGGGAGGATCAATTGAGTCCAGGAGTTTGAGAGTAGCCTGGGCAACATAGTAAGACCCCATTTCTTTAAAAAAAAGTTTTTAATTAGCTGGGCAGGGTAGTGCTCACCTGCAGTCCCAGCTACTTGGAAGGCTGAGGTAGGAGGATCACTTGAGCTCACAAGTTCGAGGTTACAGTGAGCTGTGATCATGCCCCTGCACTCCAGCCTGCATGACAGAGCGAGACTGTCTCTGAGAAAACACACACACACACACACACACACACACACACACAGCATCATTTTTTAAAGGTTTACAAAAAGTTTAAAAAAAATGCTTCCTTATGAATACAGTTATAAAACTCTGAAATAAAATATTAATGTGTCCAGAATTGGTGGGTTCTTGGTCTCACTGACTTCAAGAATGAAGCCACGGACCCTCGCGGTGAGTGTTACAGTTCTTAAAGGTGGTGTGTCTGGAGTTGTTCCTTCTGATGTTCGGACATGTTCAGAGGTTTTTCCTTCTGGTGGGTTCGTGGTCTCGCTGGCTTCAGGAGTGAAGCTGCAGACCTTTGCGGTGAGTGTTACAGCTCTTAAGGTGGCACGTCTGGAGTTGTTCATTCCTCCCGGTGGGTTCATGATCTCGCTGGCCACAGGAGTGAAGCTGCAGATCTTCGCAGTGAGTGTTACAGCTCATAAAGGCAGTGCAGACCCAAAGAGTGAGCACCAGCAAGTGTTATTGCAAACAATAAAAGAACAAAGTTTACACAGGGTGGAAGAGAACCCTAGTGGGTTGCCGCTGCTGGCTCACAGCCTGCTTTTATTCCCTTATCTGGCCCCACCCACATCCTGCTGATTGGTCCATTTTACAGAGAGCTGATTGGTCCATTTTACAGAGAGCTGATTGGTCCGTTTTGACGGTGCTGATTGGTGCATTTATGAACCTTGAGCTAGACACGAAAGTTCTCCAAGTCCCCACTAGATTAGCTAGACACAGAGCACTGATTGGTGTGTTTACAAACCTTGAGCTAGACACAGTGCTGATTGGTGCATTTACAATCTTTTAGCTAGACACAGAGTGCTGAATGGTGCATTTACAATCCTCTAGCTAGACATAAAAGTCCTCCAAGTCCCCACCAGATTAGCTAGATACAGAGTGCTGATTGGTGCATCCAAAAACCCAGAGGTAGACACAGAGTGCTGATTGGCGCATATGCCATCTTCCAGCTAGACATAAAAGTTCTCCAAGTCCCCACCCAACTCAGGAGCCCAGCTGGCTTTGCCTAGTAGATCCCACACCGGGGCCACGGGTGGAGCTGCCTGCCAGTTCTGCACCATGCAGCCGCACTCCTCAGCCCTTGGGTGGTCGATGGGACCAGGTGCTGTGGAGTAGGGGGCCGCGCATGTTGGGGAGGCTTGGGCCACGCAGGAGTAGGGGAGCGGGGCTCAGTCATGGCGGGCTGCAGGTCCCAAGCCCTGCCCCTCGGGGAGGCAGCTGAGGCCTGGCAAGAATTCAAGCATGGCACCAGTGGGCCGGCACTGCTGGAGGACCCAGTGCAGCCTCCGCAGCTGCTGGCCCAGGTGGTAAGCCTCTCACTGCCCTGGGCTGGCAGCGCCAGCTGGCTGATCAAAGTGCGGGGCCGCGGAGCCTGCGGCCACCCGGAACTCACACTGGCCCACTAGCACCGTGCGCAGCCCTGGTTCCTGCCCGTGCCTCTCCCTCCACACATCCCCTCAAGCAGAGGGAGCCAGCTCCGGCCTCGGCCAGCCCAAAGAGTGGCTCCCACAGAGCAGCAGCGGGCTCAAGGGTTCCCCAAGCATGGCCAGAGTGGGCATTGAGGCCGAGGAGGCACTGAGAGGGAGCGAGGGCTGCCAGCACACTGTCACCTCTCATTAGCATATAAAATCCAGCCATTTCTTTAAAAGGTGGTACAGCAGGTCCTAGAATAACATTGTTTTTCATTCAACATCATTTTGCTATAACTTTGACAAGAAAAAAAAAATCAATTCCCACCAGGGCCACTGTCTGTGAGGAGTTGGCATGTTCTCCCCATGTCTGTGTGGGTTTTCTTTAGGTACTCAGTTTCCCCCCACATCCCAAAGCTGCACCTGTTAGGTTCATCAGCATGTCTACATGGTCCCAGGCTGAGTGAGCATGGGTGTGTGAGTGTACCCTGTAATGGATGGCGTCCTATCCAGAGTCAGTTTCCACTTTGTGTCCTGAGCTGCAGGGACAAGCTCCAGCCACTCTTGACCCTGAACTAGAATAAGTGGGTTGGAAAATGAATTAAGGAATGAATACAAATTATTATTATTATTATTATTATTATTATTTTAATTGAGACAGATTCTCACTCTGTCGCCCGGACTGGAGTGCGGTGGTGCAATCTCGGCTCACTACAAGTTCCGCCTCCCAGGTTCACGCCATTCTCCTGCCTCAGCCTCCCGAGTAGCTGGTGCTATAGATGTCTGCCACTACGCCCAGCTAATTTTTGTATTTTTAGTAGAGACAGAGTTTCACTGTGTTAGCCAAGATGGTCTCGATCTCCTGACCTCGTGATCCACCCGCCTCGGCCTCCCAAAGTACTGGGATTACAGGTGTGAGCCACCACGCCCAGCCAGGAATGAATAAAAAGTATTGTAAAATAAAAACTCATAGGCAAAATCATACAAAGCCATGACAATAAATGATGCAGTACAAAAGCCCTCAGCAAACCCACTATATTTGTTATTGTTTGTTTGAACTGCATGTTGGGAACAGAGGTTCATATTTTAGCTTTGCAAACATCTATTCCTTGATTTAACCCACCACTGCAACAACCGCTATCCATCACAGATTCACCAAAAATTGAGTACATAATCTTACTTGTCTTTATTAATTTTTCTTAAATGTATATATAGTTCACTTTTATTTCAATGTTTAATATTAGAAGTACTTTGGGTCTTATTTTTTTTTTTTTTTTTTGAGACAGGGTCTCATTATGTCACCCAGGCTGGACAAAATGCCTTGATCATAGCTCACTGCAGCCTCCAGCTCCTTAGCCTGAGTGATCCTCCTGCCTCAGCCTCCCAGGTAGCTGGGACTATATGTATGTGCCATGATGCCCAGCTATTTATTTATTTATTTATTTATTTATTTTTGCGGAGACAGGGTCTCACTATGTTGTCCAGGTTGGTCTCAAACTTCTGGCCTCAAGCTATTCTCCTACCTCAGCCTCCCAAGTTCTGGAATTGCAGGTATGAGTCACCACACCCAGCTATGGGTCTTTATTTAGAAATTTGGTGATTTTTTTTGTTTGTTTTTTTGGGGGTTTTTTTGTTAGTTTGTTTCGAGATGGAGTCTCACTCTGTCATCAGGCTGGAGTGCAGTGGCATGATCTCAGCTCACTGCAACTTCTGCCTGCCAGGTTCAAGCGATTCTCCTGCCTTAGCCTCCAGAGTAGCTGGGACCACAGGCATGTGCCACCACACCCAGATAATTTTTGTATTTTTAGTAGAGATGGGGTTTTGCCATGTTGGCCAGGATTGTCTCAATCTCTTGATCTTGTGATCCACCTGCCTCGGCCTCCCAAAGTGCTGGTATTACAGGCATGAGCCACTGCACACGGCCTGGTGATTTTTTCATGACCAGAAATATGCCCATAGGAACTTAACTTGCTTCTATCAGTTAGTTTATGGTAAAATCGGTTCTGTTAGACACTGTTTCATGTAAAGTCACAATTTCCAAGAACTTATCATTGATGTTAATCAAGAACTTATTATATTTTAAAACCAACATATGAAGTAAAAGATAAAAGCAAATTAGTGTTACAAAATGCTGTAAAACAAACACTGCGTGTACGTGTATTAATGCAGAAAAGAGTTCAGAGTGATACACAAGAAACTGTTAACAGTGGCTACAAAGGGAAGATGGAAGGCTTGGAGTTGGAAGAGAACTTTATCATTTCATATGCTCTGTAATATTTTAATTTTTACAAGTGTAGGTTCGTAAATTCTGTAACGTACAAAGAAGTTTAGGATTTCATAATGGAATCAGTTGCGAAAGGTCATGCCAGGAGCCACAAGGAAACATCTGAAGCTTCACATCTCTGTCTTTCAACAGGACTTTCAGGTTGCCTAGAGGACAGAGATACTCTTCCTTAGCTGCTGCACAGTCAAGGCACAGAAGAATGGCAATCAATATGGGAGGTGTCAAACCCAGGCAACACAGTCTTAGAACTTTTTTTTTTTTTAAGATGGAGTCTCGCTCTGTCACCCAGGCTGGAGTGCAGTGGCTCAATCTCGGCTCACTGCAATCTCCGCCTCCCAGGTTCAAGCCATTCTCCTGCCTCAGCCTCCTAAGTAGCTGGGACTACAGGCACACACCACCACCCCCAGCTAATTTTTGTATTTTTAGTAGAGATGGGTTTTCACCATGTTGGAAGGCAGCTGGGAGATCATCCCTCACTCCTCCAGTGAAGAAACTGAGACCCAGACATAATATAGAGTTGGAGATCGTGTTCCCTTTCTGAATTTTCTGTAGGTGCATACATGCTCAGAAGGCATTCGGTAATAGTTTTTGAACTGATTACATTTATTTACTATTGTCTTATTCATGTGGTTGCTACTGTACAGCAGGATTATTAGTCAAACTCACAACCAAACTCAACGTGGGCTTTATAGCTACATAACCTCATTTGTCTTGTAGGGCAAAGGAACAAAATGTAAGCATATCATGGATTAATAAGTGTTAGTAATTCCTGGGAGACTAATCTGGGATGTCCTGCTTCCTCTATAAGACATCCTTAAACTAAAATTAAAAATGCTTATGCTGTCTTTCTTTGGACACCTTTATATAGGCTAAGTTAGAAATATATGTGCATAAGAGCAGCTGTTTGCCCAGTAGTCTTTCTAACCTCAACCCATATTCAATTCTTTGATTCCCTCATCTTAACCCCAAAGGGTAGCCAAAGGGTCTTAAGTTGATGTTACCACCTAACAGTTAAAAACAAACAAACAAACAAACAAAAAACCTGATAAGTTATAAGGAAAAGCCTCTAAGCTCACCTCCTCTGATAGTTTTGCATGGTTAGTTTTTCTAAGTTCCAGTAGACTACCTGAAACTTCCCTGTTTCTAGCACCAAATTACTCACCACTTCAAAAAACACTAGCTATCAGATTTAGGGAGAGTAAGCTTTTTGTTTGGTGAAACAAACAGGGCATTTGGGGGTCATGTGGTTTTCACATGCTGAATAAAGAGCTCTTGTTGGGCTTTGGTTACCCGTCATTCCATCAATATAATTTACTGGTTCACAAAAGAGTATGACATTTCATGGGTCTTTCTACATTGCCTTCCTTATTCTCTGTCCTTTGATAAGTTATCAAACAGCAATAAATTCATTTCTAAAGTCACACCTGAGAATTTCTAAAGGCTGGGATGAAATGAACTTTTTGTAACAAAAATGAGAAAACTGGATTTGAGCAATCACTTTCAGGGTTAAATAATCCCAAGGGTAGTTTCTTTGTATCCTGTACTTATTTGCAGAAGAGGAACTGATTGCCAGGTTGAATTATCCATCTTTAAAAAAAAAAAAAAAAGTTATTCTCATGGCTGTAAAACAGCTACAGATTGCTTTTCTTGCACTCTTGAGGAGCTGACAAGGCCCCAGATGGAGGTGTTTTTCAGCAAGCTGTCAAGTGATCCATCCATCAAAAACAGCCATATCACCCAGCCGAGCTTGCTTTCTCTGCCAAGAATTGTATTGGGTCAGATGAGAAAGGCCAGGGTATGATGAATCCAGAAAAAACACAGGTCAGAGAAATGTATATCAGAAAAGAGAAGAGATGTGGTTACATTTAAATTCCAAAGGTTATATTTAGATTTGTTTTACAGTGACTTGACAATTTTTTCCCGGTACTTTCTTTTATTCTTTCCAGAAATATGAACTTCATGACATTGATACTGAGAGGTGGTTTGTGTGATTTTGAGGAAATCAAAGCTGTAAAGTTCTGTTAGAGTAGCAGTCCATAAAACAGTAATTTATTATCAGCAAGCCAAGGGCCTTTTTATTCATAGGCCTAAAGGAGCTATTACAGGATCATTTGAAATAATAAAACTATCATGATTGGAAATAAACACAAAAGCCCTAAAAAATCATTGCCCAGCAAGTCCAGAAGTATCTCTAGGGATCTGATGCCCTCCATATTAGCCTTACTTCATCTTGGAAACTGCTATCCATCTGTATTATCCCACTCTCACACCACTATAAAGAAATACCTGAGACTGGGTAATTTATGAAGAAAATAGATTTAATCAACTCACAGTTCCACAGGCTTAACAGAATGCATGCCTGGGAGGCCTCAGGAAACTTACAATCATAGCAGAAGGGGAAGCAGGGACCTCCACATGGTGGCAGGAGAAAGAGGGAGCAAAGAAGGAGGTGACATACACTTTTAAACCATCAGATCTTGTGAGAAATCACTCACTATCACGAGAACAACAAGGGGAAAATATGCCCCCATGAACCAATCACCTTCCACCAAGCCCCTCCTCCAATTTGACATGAGATTTGGGTGGGGACACAATCCAAATCATATCATCATCTAAGAAGTAAAATGACAGAAAATCATGCAAATTCCATTCTTATTCCTGGTGCACCTTTGGGGTTGGAGAGACAAGTTGTAGGTGAAATAGTAGAGTTTTTGTTTTCTGCTTTATATTCTATTAATAATATTCTACCTTATCTTTAATCATTGTAAAATGCCATAGAGAGTTATGAAAAATATTAATTCCTACTGTGCTTTATTTACTTAGTTTTTCCTTTATATTTCATCTGGAAGCCAATTACTCTCAGCAATCTCCTTTATGCCAATCCATTAATATTTAATAAGCATCTACTCTATGCAAAAGACATTGAATAGTTGTGATTATTATGTGCTAGAGCTGTGCTTCCCAACCTGTCCTCATCATGACACACCTAAAAATTGATAGCCTACTTTTCTGGCACACCTGGGAGACAAGGCCCCCAAAGAGAAACTTTCTGACAGACACAGCAACACCTTAAGTCATCTTAGGTAATTCAGGACCTTTACAGAAAGAACCTTATATTGTGTTCAAATATAATTTCAACTGTGGTAAAACCTTTGTGGTTGTGAAACTGACCCAGTAGTCCTATAGAGATTTTTTTTGATAAACACAGGTGGATTCTTCTGGTCTTAAAGATTGAAACTTATATTTGTTTTATCTGAGTTCCTTCCTCAGAAAGTGACCTTCAGGCCTATCAAAAAGTATCAAAGAACTGAAAGAAACTCACCAGATCACATCCTGACAGTGAGATGCAAGACCCCTCATTCATTATGATTGCTTTCTTGCTCCTCCCTAGTTTCTGCTTGGTACACATTGTTACATTTCTTCCCTGCTATACACACCTGTAGTTTTTGTCCATCAGGGAGATGGATTTGAGACTGAGCTCCCATCTCCCTGGCTGCAGCACCTGATTAAAGCCTTCTTTCTTGGTAATAATCATCTTCTCAGTGATTGCTTTATGTGCAGAAAGCAGCAGGACCTAGACCAAACCCCTGGTGTTTTGGTAACAGTTGTAAACATTGATTTTTAATTTGTATCACTAAAAAATTTACAGCCATCAGTGTCTAACGCCGACGGCCCTCTTGTTTGGCCCCACAAGCCAGGTGGGAAGCTCTGTACCAGAGAAATGAGATGCCCCATAGAGATGGGCTTCTCCTTACTGTTCTCCATGTGGGAAGAATTCAAACCAGAAGCTTTCCCTAGTGTGTGGATTTCACATCCTCTCACTGAAAGTCACATTCCTTTTCAGCATTATGTTTAAAAAAAGAATGACTTTTCTTTCTTCTGTCATCAGAAATTTTCCTTCTTGGTATCTGCTCTGAGCAGCTCATGAAAGTTCCTGTCCCTCGTTGCCACTCTTTTTGTGTTTTTGGCCTTTTTCTGCATTTATAACATTAAATGTGAGTTTGTAATCTTCAAAAGCTGATGAAACACCAAATAGCTTTAAGACAAGAAGAAAAGAACAATGCAATCAGAGAATAAATTGGATAAAATACTTACTGGGCCAGTGAAAAGTTTCACTGTTTTTCTTCTTAAATGCAGAGGCAGTTTTTTAAGAGGTAAGAAAGAGATGACTAATATCTTTATTTTCGAAAAGTAATTATCATCTTTCTTTTCTTATCTTGTAGTGATAAAGTGATAAGATTTATTCCCAAAACAGAAGAGGAAGCATATGCACTGAAGAAAATATCCTATCAACTTAAGGTAATAGAACATCTACACACTTATGGTAGAATTGTGCTTGTGGAGTGTTTACAGGGATTTGCTGACTGGAGTTGAATAATTGGAATTTATTAGCCAAGAAAGTAAAGGCTAAGGAGATAACTTGAAAGAGCTTTTATTTTATTTTATTTTATTTTGTTTTATTTTATTTTATTTTATTTGAGACAAAGTCTCACTCTGTTGTCCAAGCTGAGGTGCAGTGGTGCGATCTCGGCTCACTGCAGCCTCCACCTCCCGGGTTCAAGCAATTCTCCGGCCTCTTAGTAGAGACGGGGTTTCACTATGCTGGCCAGGCTGGTCTTGAACTCCTGACCTCGTGATCCACCCACCTCAGCCTCTCAAAGTGCTGGCATTACAGGCATGAGCCACCGTGCCCAGCCAAAAGAGCTTTTAAAGGATATTTAAGGCTACTCAAAAATTTTCTGGCTGTGTGCAGTGGCTCATGCCTGTAGTCTCAGCACTTTGGGAGACTGAGGCAGGCAGATCACTTGAGCCCAGGAGTTCAAGGCCAGCCTGGGCAACATGGTAAAACCCCATCTCTGCAAAAAAATGTAAAAATTTAACCAGGTGTGGTGTCACATGCCTGTAGTCCCAGCTACTAGAGAGGCTGAGATGGGAGGGTCAGTTGAACCTGGGAGGTTGCAGTGAGGTCTAGTATCTCTTTTTTTGAGACAGGGTCTTGCTCTGTCGCCACTGCTCTCTAGCCTGGGCAAAAGAGAGAAACCCTGTCTCAAGAAAAAAAAAAAGAAAATTTTCTATCTGACACATTATCTATTTACTACCCATCTCCAAGGTAGAATGTAAATTTCATGAGAGAGTTTATCTATTTTTTGTTCATTGCTGTATTTCTAGTTAGTGTCTGGAATGTCCTAGAAGTTCAATACATGGTTTTGTTATTTTTCCTTAATGAATGAATGAATTCAGTTTCCTGTTTTCTAGAGCTTCTCTTTTCCTTCTTGAATCTTCCTACTGATCATCTAGGCACTTTCCTCTTAATTAAAACTTTAAGCAGAAGTGAGTTGAGGAAAAATTAAAGCCAGAAATTCAAGTTAATTAGTTTTGCTATGTTTCAGTGGGTCTGATAAGAGAATTTTCTTGGCAAAGGTTGAAGGCTCTGATTATTCAATCTTTGATAAACTTTATGGATTTTAGAGTTAGAGCATTTCTGTAACTCCATCAGTGCATACAATTGAGTGTTAGTTTTTACCTAAAAGTTACGATGAGAAGTGTGGTGTGATTGGTTCTTTTCCATGCCTACCAAAACACAAGCAAGCCCAAAAACTATGTGGTGGTTTAGGCTTCATTTTAATGGACAGCAAAGCAGATTACCAAACAGGCCTCATTAATCTTTAATATGAAATAGAAAAATGTTTTTTCCTACATGACTGAAGTACAGTCCTACCTGAAGGAGTGTTAGGGAATGAGGGAGGAAGGAGACATTGTGGCTTCTGGAGATATTTGTAATTAACAAACTTTTTTTCTTTTATTTATGGTTTGATTTTTCTCTTTGGCATGTTCCCCTTCAAATATTGAATTTATTTGCAAATGATGTCTTGAACATTGAGTTTATTGATTCCCTGTCTTCTCCTCATTCCCAGCCCCTATACAAATAGTATTGAGTTCAAGCATGGTGTCTCATTACAAGGGCCCAGGGTGAGGATGCAAGAACCCATCCCCAAATTGTGGTTGTTTTATGCAATACCAGAGAGACCATGGTCACTGGGCATTTCCTAAACCTCCTTTTCTTCTAGCAGGAATCTGCTTCTAGGAGGCTATCGTTAACCTCTTCACCCAACGACATCCTTTTCAGCAATTGTAGCTGAACACTTTCTGAATAGTCCACCAGGAACTTATTAATTGCAAAGAAGCAAAGCAAGTTTTGAGTGGAAGTTTCCGTCTCCACTGAAATTGTGTTTTCATATACCACCAGAAAAATAGCCACTTTTCATTTTGAAGTCCAGTGTTTTAGGGAACAGATATTCTGAACAAAATATTGGAGCAAAATATTTCTCAAAGGATGTTTCTACCATTTGTGAATCTATTTACGTGTTAGGCCTTACAAAGTAATGAACTTGCACTGTTATATTTGTGATAATCACTTACCATTATCAAAAGCAATAAAATTACATCTGTGAGGACTGTAGGGGTTACTTATAAACTCTCAGAAATCATCATAGATGGAATCAAAGCTCTAGACTGTAAATAGGGCTGCTGGCACTGATGACCACACATTTACATTGGGCCCTTTTTGGTAAGCATTTAAAGAAAATCATTCCTGCAGATTGTTTTCATTTAGTCCTCAAAGAAAGGCGGCCACCTGGGGGAGGAAATGGGGTTTGGATGTAAAGGAGCTTAGGGGACAACTCAGAGAATGGAGGGAAAGGGATCTGGTGAGAAAGAAGGGAGCAGAGTGAAGGGAAGAAAGAAGCTTAATATTAGGATATCAGCTGTGCTCTACACTCCACACAGTCACATCCAGCTCCTCTCAGCCACAATGCTACATGCTTCTACAAATTGCCTCATTTTAACAATCTTATGAAGTAAGTCTATTGTTATTGCTGTTTTACAGAAGAAGAGAGACAGAGTTAAGTAACTTGCCCAAGCCACAGTATGGGATTGGAACATGGATCTAGTCGGTGTCAAGCCCTCTAGGACCCAAATGAGGCCTGCCTCTTGCCTCTAGTCAGTTTATTCTGATTTTCCTCACAATGGAGAGGATTGAAGCCAAGTTTGCAGGGCAGTGGAGCCTAGACTCAGAATGTGATCATTATCATTATCATTTACTTTAACTCTAGAGTCAGGGGTCACCAAGACCATGCCCCCATTCAATGGGTTGCATAAGGACTCACCAAACTCAGCATATAGTCCTACTCACAGCTATGATCGGTCACAGCAAAAGGATACAAAGCAAAATCAGCAAAGGGTAAAGGAGTATTGGGTGAAGTCCAGGGGAAATGAGGCACAAGCTTCCAAGAGGCCTCTCCCAATAGAGTCACACAGGATGTGCTCAATTCCATCAGTAACAACTTGTGACAACAAACATGCAGTGTTGTCTACCAGGGAAATTCATTAAAGACTCAATGCCTGGGGTTTTTATTGGGGTAAAGTTATGTAGATACCCTCTGCCTAGCACATACCCAAATTCCAGACTCCCAGAAGAAAAGTAAGTGTTCAGCATGAACTACATTATTTGCACAATCTAAGCACATTGAATCACTCTTATTAGTTAGAGTGGTGGTAGCCCTCCTGATATCCAACTTTCCAAATGCCAGCCAAGGCCAATTTTACAAGCAGGCCTTTCTAAAGATAGTATTTTTCAGACCTGCTCTGTTAAATTTTTTTGTACATTTCTTCATTTCCTTTCACTAAAGAGGTAGTTTTATTGGATTGAAGTTGGAGATATTGAGTTTCGATAAATTTCTATCTAAAAGCATTGCGTTACCTTGATGTCATTTTAAATTTGAATGATTTCAACCAAGCAAACCATTTGTACTATGGAAAGCAGCAATTCTGGCCAGGCAGAGAAAGCAGCCTGCAGAGAAAAAAGAATATGACCGTGTGTCATCTTCCAGCCTGTGGAGCTAATGGGACAGAATTATGGGCATTGCTAACAGCTTCTTTGCATTCCCTGTGCATTGCCTCTAGAAGGGAAGAAGGAGGGTTTGCCAGAAGACCTTTAGTTGCCTTCCTTCCCTAAATCACACTGTGATAGACAGAATTCTAAGATAGCCCCAAGATTTCTATCCCCTCTGGTGTACATGCCCTGAATAATCACTCCCCTGAGGATGAGGAGGGGCCTGTGAATATGATGGGACAGCCATTCCTTTGATGATGCTACATTATATGGCAGAAGGGAAATGACATAGGGCAGACCTGACCTAAATCAGATGAGCACTTTAAAAGCAAAAAGTTTCCTCTAGCTGTTCACAGAAGAGGTCGGAGAAGTGCTTCTGCTGGTCTCAAGATAGCAGTTCACAAACTGCTAAGTTGTGAACTATCCATGAGAGTCACGAGCTAAGGAATTCCAATGGCCCCTAGGAAGTGAGAATGGATTTCAGCTGATAGGCAGCAAGGAAATTGAGACATCAGTCCTCCAAACACAAGCAAGTGGATTCTGCCACATAAGCCTGGAGGAGGCAGCCCAGCGGACACTGTTATAGGACCACTAGGTTTGATTGCCCATTGTGCAGTAACAGACCAATATACTGAAACAACAAGAGTTGCAGCAGATAAATGGTTTGATAATTGTAGGGCAGCCAAACAAGGAGATGGGAGGAAACCTCAAATCTGCCTCCCCAAGGAGGTTGGGTTAGGGTCTGAACAGGTGATGGGCTGAACAGGAATTGGGATCACAGATTGATTGAGAAGTGAGGAGTGAAGTCATGGGACAGGAAGTTGAAAAAACTGCATTTCCTACACTTCTTTGCTGAGTTGGTTTATTGGTGGAGGTCTTCAGACTGGTTGGTGTCAGCTATTCTGCTGGAATTCAAGATCTGAAAAACACTTTAAGCAACTCTTGGGCAGAAAGGTCCAGTGCCAGAGATTCCATCTATAGGAACAATGTGGGGAGCAGGTGGTCCGTGCTCCCCACAATGTGGATCTCAGTTAGTTAGCAGCTGCAGGAACTTGGGTAGAAGTACATCAGCACACCCCGGTCAATGCCCAACTATAATTCTGCCTAAAGCCTGACTTGTAATTCTCATAAGGGCTGTTTTAACAGCTTGATTTTAGCCCATTGATACCTGAAGAGAGAATCTAGCCAGCCATGTCGGGACTTCTGACCTGCAGAACTGTGAGATGATAAATAGGTATTGTTTTAAGCTGCTAAGTTTGTGGTAATCTATTCTGCAGGAGGAGAAAACCCACACACACAGTGAACTAACAACCTACATCTTGGCCTTTGGCTCTCAGATTCATATATGAATCATTGTTAATTTTCCTGATTTCACTAGTTGTAACCAAGCATCTTAGGGAAAGTGGAAAGTAATTGGACTACATGCATAGGCTATAAATTCACAATGTCTTCTCTGAAACATGAACAAATGCAAAATGCATGTGCATGTTGAACGGAATCTGAGAAGAGACTGTCAAAGCATAGTTAATTAGACATAGAACTGCTGTTACAAAGCTGGTTACTTTCCTAATTAAATTGTATGGTTTTGCGGAAGAATTAAAACAAGAAAGTTAAACAGAAAACCATGCCCCTAGAGAACTGGATTGAGAAAGCACCAACCAATTAAATTGTTAATTAAGAGCATAACCATGATTTAAATAAAGTTATGATGGAATGGGAACAGTCTGCAGGTAAGTAAATTAAAGTCCCTACACCACATTCTGCCTACGTCTCTTTGCAAATTCTTTGTACTCTGAAGTAATAGAAATGGTTTTATGTAGGATCACAAAGTTTCCATTATACAATTGACACACTCTCGTAGAAAGAACAATTAATGGTATTTCTGTTTCCAATTTCCTCATCAGAGAGCTGTAGGATAGGAAACTGTCCTATTTGTCCAAAAGTTTGTCATTTTTTTCAAACTGAAACACAACCTCATAAATATTGGTTTGTCAGGTGTCATTAAATGACATGTCAAAAGTCATAAAATCACATGGGGAAAACTATACTTGCTAGGAGGAAGGCTTCATCTCTCTTCCCTTGCTTTGTACATGAAATGTGCTGCTGCTGTCCCTGGTGTGGCCTCCCTCCCTCACACCCCAGTACTGTGCTGTAGTTGACTGCTGTCTTCTCTAATCCTCCTTGGTGCACTACCAAGTCATACACCAGGACCTACAAGAGCTCTAGAACACCTGTGATTGTGGGAGTTTGTAAACTCAAACATCCAACTGGACAGTTTAATCAATTGGAAAACTTATGAGGAGGAAATGGGTGGTAGAATTCATGCTGTGGAAGATATTTGTTCCCAACTTAATTAGAATCTGATCGTGTGATTGTAGGATCCCTTAATCGTGGCCATGGTAGGCAGAATTCTAGGATGGCCCCCAAGACTCTTGGCCCTGGTGCACACACATCTTCTCTCCTGAAATGCTAATCTGGGCACCATTGTAAAAGGATTGCAGATGTAATTAGGGTCCCAATCAGTTAACCTCAAAATAGGGAGATTGCCAAGGTGGGTCTGATCTAATCAAGTGAGCCCTTTAAAATCGATGTTTCCTCCAGCTAGTTGCAGAAGAGGCACTCAGACTACTCACTCCTGCTAGCCTGCAAAAACAAACAGCCATGCCGTGAACTGCCCCATGGCAAGAAATTGTGGGTGGCCTCTAGCTGCTGAGAACTATCTAAAGCCTACTAAAAGGAAAATGGGGGCCTCAGTCCTACAGCCACAGGGAAATAAATTTTACCAGCAGTGAGAAGATAAGCCCAAATGAAACTACAGCCCAACTGACACCTTAATTTCAGCCCAGTGACACCCTGAGCAGAGAATCCACACCATGCCCAGACTTCTGACCTACAGAAACAACAAAATAATAAAATTGAGCTGCTAACCTTGTGGTAATTTAGCAATAAAAATCTAATACTTTAAATACCCAGTGGCTTGGTATGCTGGCTGAAGATACACAGGAGCATTATGAATGATACTTCATAAAAGGTAAAAGTGAGGAAGAGACCAAGAATTTGGCCTGTCAGTATGTTTGGGGTAGGAAGTTACATTTCTACTTTTTTGTTAAAGGCTTTGTAAAGTAATGAAAGAACACTGACTTTTGCCTTCTGTAGCATGAATTTTGAAAGAGAGAAAAAGCTGCTTATTATCCAGGCAGATGTCCAACTGCAGTCATGGGTTAAATTTCAGTAATATAATTTTCAAGCATGGCTTGCATTTATCTCCATGTGTATATTGATAATTAATAAACTCAATAACAAATACATATTAAGAGAAACAATACAGTATGTTTAAGAAAGAAATACATTAGAAACATTCTTTCAAAAGGAAAAAACCCTCTACCATGTTATGATGATGACGATCTACCCCAGTGATCCTTTATTTAATTTACTCAACTGAATTGACATGACCTTCGGCTTATGCAGTAGTATTTTAAGCTGATCGTGTTTCTTTTCTATTATAAGAATTTCTAAGTTTTGACATTTAAACAATCTGTTTTGAGACTAATTGTTAAACATTAAAAGGAATTGCTCTTGCCGGATGTAGTATTGGCCATTCCTGAGGACAGCTGAAGGTTGGGTCTAGCACAGTCTTTTATAGAAAGTAATCTCCACTGGGCTCTTTCATGTACCTGCCATCACCTGTCATTGCCTCCTTTGCATGTCTAGTGGTTGGCAGGCTCTAGGCTGGGATGACAGACAACTGGACCATGGGTCTCTCGTTGTCTAGGATAGGCTTATTTACTTGGGAGTCACAGGGTTCTAAGAGTGAGAGAGAACAAACTTACAAAATTCCTTGAACCCAAGCTTAGAGTACTCGGTAAATGTCACTTCTGCCACATTATCCTAGCCAAAGAAAGTCACAGCTCAGATTCAAGAAGTGGAAAAACAGACTCTCATGCTTAGTGAGAGAATGGTAAGGTATGTACAAGAGAGTCTGTGGTCATTTTTGTAATCCACCACATCTTCTATTCCCCACAACCCCCACAACACACACACACACACACACACACACACACACACACACACACACACACACATTCAATTTGCCACCAAATCCCAGATGGAGGATGACAGTTACCTAACTTCTCCTCTGCAGTCTTAAGGCCACTTCTATAGTTCTGGCCCTGATCATCTTTAGCCTGAACTGCACCAGCCTCCCCAGTGTCTTTTCTGCAGCCCTCACACATGGTTCCTATTTGTTCTCCATACTGTAGTCAGAGTGATCTTTCTGAAATGAAAAACTAACCAAGTCACATCTCTACTTAAAACCTTTTAAGTGTTCACCATAGTCAACAGCAGTAATTCCCAACCCAGGGTACACATAGGAAGCTTTTTATAAAAGACTGACATCTAACCCCACTGCTAGAGATTCTGACTCAGTTGCTCAGGTGAGGCTTGGTGGTTAAAATTTCTTTAAGCTCCCTAGGGGATTATGGATGTAGCCAAGGGAGTAAGCCACTGGCCTAGGGTATAGACTTCAAACTCTTTGGTGTGACCCATAGGGCCAGTCAAAATTGCACCTCCCTGCCTAACACTTCTCAGCATCTGTCACACTCCTTGGCTTAGTGCCCATCACACGAACCATACTGAACCAGTTGTAATTTCTCACCTAAGCGCCTTAGCTCAAGCTGTTCTTGTCTGGAATGCTCTCCTCTTCTTTGACCACCTAGTGAACAGCACTTATCTTTGAAACCTAGGCTAAAATACTGGATTCTCCTTGAGTTATTTGACCCTCACTGAATTCTATAGACTGTTAGACCCTAACATCTATATCCCTTTGTGCTTCCTCCATTCACCCATCCCCAGTAGGCTTTCTTACAGATTTGAAATGTCATTAATTCTCTGAATTGCATATGGTGGATATGGAGGCACTGATGGAAGAGCAAGGACTAGTGACTCTTCAGCTGGTACTGAAAGGCTTATGTGCACAGGCCACTACCTTCAGGAACACAGCCCAGCAAAAGCTTAAAAAAGACCTTTACTTTTTTGACCCACCCCTCTGGTTTTTATTTCCTTTTTTTTATGTAGGTCACCTTTTTTATTCATCCTTGCAATTTCACCTGAAAATTACAAATATTGGAGGGAATGATTTGTGCTTTGTTAAATGTGAATCTAACCATTTCCACTTTTAAAGGACATTAACATGTGATCCAAGATACAGGAATAGACAAAGTTCCTTTTTCAAGGGGCAAGGATGGCACTTCTTGGTGACTGAGAGGTTTTCTATCAAGTGTATAAACCATACTTTGGTGCCATTTCTTAGACCCACAGCTCCAAAGACAAAAGTTTAGTTGAAGATTCTTTTAATTAAAGTTGCCTATTTTCAACCATTTCATTTTTCTAGCTGTATAAATCTGCAGAGATTTCCCCTGCCTTGCTTGGTTTTAGAGGTCAATGTTGCTGAGAAGTGTGGAACCTGGACCCCACAACCCTTTTTAGAGAAGTGCACCATTGTCCTGATCACTGGTATCAGGGCACAACCTTATAAACGAGTATCGATAACCTAAAAGAATTCACTAACATCATTCGAATTTAATTATTAAATATTCAACCATGTGAGGTCTTGCACAGGGCGAATAGGGAAAGCAGTTAGCATGGTGCTTAAAAGTAAGACCCCTGGAGACATAATGTCACTGGTCAATTGTGTTCTTTGCCTACTTCACATTGGCTGCAAAGAAAGAACATCCAATTGGGAAGTCAACCAGGTTTTTATTCAGTGGCCAAAGAATGGAGAAGGGGAGCTCATGTTCCAAAGGCACCATCTTCCTGGAGGCATGGGAGTTTTAGAGAGTTGGGCACAAGCCTGGGGAAGTATGTGGGCATGTACTGGATGGAGTTGCAAACACAGGCATAGTACATGAACATGTTTCTACACACACTGCATGTAGACAAAATGGGGGCAATTTTCTCTTAGGGGAAAGATTTCTAGTATTATAATGATACGTTAATGACTTAAAGGTAACTGGAGGTCGCCTGCTCTGGTCTGCACCAGTTTCATGTGGGTCTGAACTTCCTCAGTTATTCAGCAGCGGGTCTCAAGGGGGCTACTTGTGGCATCCAGACCATCTGGTTTCTTTAAACAGCTGTGCCTATAAACAGACTTAAAAAAACAGTTAAAGTTTTCCCACTGTCAGTAGGGGCCATCCTGGTGACAATACTTCTTGGGTTCATATCCAGACTCTTCCATGTACTGATGAAAGGGAGAGTTCCCTGATCCCCCTTGCAGACCATGTGACAGTGGTGTGTCTCACCTGTTCAGTCACCCCACTGCTCAAACCCCATGTGGGATGGGGAGCATGCAGACAGGCAAGTGCAGAGGCTGGGGTGAGTGCTTTGGGCTCCAGCCCATGGTAGTGTCTAGGAGTTACAAAGCTCTTTCAGCTTTGCCATCTGCAGCTCAATGGTCCCTCTGCCTTTTCACAAGGGCAGAGGGCCAGTGACAGCTTTCTGTATCTCGAGCTCTTGCCCAGCATCCCAGAAAAATTGGGTCACACACGGGCTTGAAGGATGAATGCAAGGTTTTATTGAGTGGTGGAGGTGGCTATCCCTATCCTGGGATGGATAGGGAGCTGGAATAGGCCCGACTCCTCTCCGACGACCCACCAGCCGAACTCCTCTCAGAGTTCAGATGTTCCTCCTCGTCTCTCTCTCTCTCTGCCGCATCATTCTGCCATCTGTCTGCTGGTCTATTTCTGAAGCCTGGTGTTCAGGGTTTATATGGGTGCAGGATAGGGGGCATAGCAGGCCAAAAGGCAACTTTTTGGGCACAAAAACAGGAATGCCTGGTCTCATTTAGGGCCATGGGTATACAGGCTTGAGGGTGGGGCCTTTGCCCAGGAACTGCCCTCTTCTACCCAGGATTTCCCGGTCTCCTGTCCATATCACTAGTTGTGTGAGTGTCAGCAAGTTACCTGATTTCTCAGTGCTTCTATTTCCTGATCTGTAAAGTAGGGAACCACAGAAAGAGTCAATCATTTCCACATTTGTACTAACCTGCAGCTGGCATGTACATATATATCTCTACATACACTGTAGCAATTTGTCCACATACTGTGTCTCCCTTACCAGATTGAGAACTCCCTGAGAGAAGGATGACTTACCATTCATCTTTGGATAGGACTGATGTCTGACTCATCTTTGTTTCCCTAGTGCCTGGCAATAGTAGACAGTCAACAAATATTGCTTGAGTGAATGAGCATATGTAGTTCATTCATCCATCTATTTGCCTATAATTATAATACAAACAACACTAACTTGGATTCTCATCAGGAACATATGCATAATTTATTTTCAATCATGATAAAAAATGGTAGGTGTAAATAAAAACTGTTGTAAAATGATGGAGCAAACAGGTATCATGAAATAGGCAAGGGTATGAGGTAGGGGAAATTATCCATTTCCTCAATTACTAACGAAGTTTTATGGAGGAAGTGGGATTTCTGTAATAGCTTGATGATAAACTTCTTAGAGAACTATCTTTGAGATCTGCAGTCTTCCATTAGAGCCTCACCTAACCTTAAGATTTTTGCCTTTGGGTGTTGACTAACTCAATGAATACAGCAATGCTGATTATCAGAAACATGTGAATTTGAAAGTCAGAGCTCAGGTGCTCTGCCTTGGAGTCAATTTGTGGTTTTTGTATAATCAAAAATGTCTGTATCTCTTTAAGCCTCTGGCTTACTTGATTAGCAAACCCATTCCTTTCTAATAACCTAAAAACAGCTATTAGGGATGCATATGTGGCAATACTTTGTGCCCTAAAAAAATTCAGAGAAGCTTTTGCATATTCATCAGCCATAACCACAAAGACTTTGCTTGATTAAAGAAGTTTCCTGTTTTCTACCATTTTGTTTTCCGAGTTGTATAAATGTGGAATGATTAAAATTCCCATGGTCCCACAAATACATCTCTTAGATGTTTTGCTGATAATTGGATTTGCTTTGAGGCTATCTGATCATCAGTGTTTCTTCTGCTCTCTCAAATTCCAGTTACATTTTGAATATGGACTATGATCTGGGCTAAGAATCAGCATCATATTGAGAAAGAAGAAAGGAGAAGGTACAGAGAGCATGAAGCATAAGGGAAAAGACATTGACCCAGTACAGAGATTGTGATCTTTGGGAGTTGCATCACAAGGCTTGTTGACTCCCTTAGAGAGGTGATATTGGGAGCACAGTCAGAAGATGCCTCTGTGTTATGGGGCCACGCTGAGGCTTTTGATAATATAGATACATAGCCTTTTGAGAATATATGGAAGAAGCAACCTTTGGGCTTTCAGACAAGGAGAGAACAGGTGGGAAGATAAACAATGGAATGGCAGGATATACTTTTCTTTCCTCCTTCCCTTCTTCCATATCCCTCTCTGCCCTAAAACTTCAGCCACCATATCCAGGGCCATACTTAGACAGTCCATTCATTTTGTCCATGAATTTGTATTGTGCAACCAAGATCAGTCAAGGTCCAGTCAGGAAACAGACACACCAATAATTTGAACAGAAAATTTTTGATATAAAGTAATATTAGCTAGTAAATGACAACTAATTACTAAAAGACATAAGATAGAAAATATAAATGCAGAGAACTACTACTCTTTGGCATTAGGAAGATTGTCCAAGGAAGGGAATAAGAACTTGATGGAGCATCTTCCCCTCTATCAGAAGGGTGAGATTTAGGCCTTCTTGGAATCCATGCACCGCAAAGTGAGAAATTTGCTGTGCCGCCAGCAGGCTAGGGCTGGCCTCTTGCTTTGGTATGAGCAAAACTTGCCAGAGAGTAAGTGTCACTGGGCCTTCCACATGGCACCAGTTTCCATGTCATAGGAAAGAAAAAAGCATATGAGAACTAGGAAAAGAATTTCCTTCCTTCCCAGTGTCTTGAAAAGTCCTCTCTTGACAAAGCCTAACATTGACCAGCTATCAAAGGAGAAATATTTATGGAGTCTAGCTTGAGTTTCACAAGGCAAGACAAAAAGAGGGTAGATCTGGAATTGAGAGGCAATCTATTGGTACCTGGAATAACACCTTTGCTGGTCCAGAGATGTGGTGATTAACAAGATAAAGTAATGTTCTGCGTAATTAACAAGATAAAATAAGGTTCTCGTTGTCCCTAACCCTACCATCTAAAGTGGAATATAGAGAAGTGAAAAGGCGAGGATGGGCGTGGTGTAATCCCTCACACCTGTAATCCCAGCACTTTGGGAGGCTGAGGCAGGCAGATCACCTGAGGTCAAGTGTTTGAGACCAGCCTGGCCAACATGGCAAAACCCTGTCTCTACTAAAAATACAAAAAATTAGCAGGGCATGGTGGTGTGTGCTTGTAATCCCAGCTACTAGGGAAGCTGAGGCAGGAGAATCACTTGAACCTGGGAGGTGGAGGTTGCAGTGAGCCGGCATTGCACCACTGCACTCTAACCCAGGCGACAGAGCAATACTCCATCTCAAAAAAAAAAAAGAAGGAGTGAAAAGGCCATGGCCATGGTAGATGTTATGGGATAATATAAAATCCTTCTACCTACCAAAAAAAAAGAAGGTACTTATAATAACAATTATATACTACCATGTGCTAAATACTCTGCTAAATGGCAAATACATGTTATTTAATGTAATCCTCATAGTTTAAAGACAGGTTGGCATTATCCCAATTTATAGATTGAAAAAAATTAAACAACTCTGTTTTTCCACTCTGCAGAAGACTTTTCCAATTTGAGTTCCTTTCTAACATGACTTAGCAAGAAGTCTCACCTGAAATCTTTATCAAGCTCAAAAAAAAAGGTTTTTGTTGAGATTATTTGGTGGCCAGCTGATAGTGAGAAAGGACACTGGACATGTACATGTGCTGAGGAAGGGAGCCTGGATGGGGAAGCTGGAACTTCGCCATAGACAAACATGGTTCCCTTCACAGTGTTATCTGAAAATGGCATGGCCCTGGGAAGTCAGTCATCTCTCCTGTCACCTCCAGCAACCTGCTTAGCTTTCTTATTTCTGCCTTGACTAATAATGTGTTTAAGTAATCTAAGCATGTTTCATCTTAGTATATTTAGATAATTGACAGCAAATATTAAAAAGTCATAGAATAATGTGAATAACTGAGGAGGTGCTGAGAGACTTGGGGGGAAATGGTAACAATGAGTATGGTATTTTTTTTCTCTCTTTTTTTTTTCTCAAAGAGAAAAAGAGTCTCGGCCTGTCACCCAAGCTGGAGTCTGGAATGCAGTGGTGCAATCACAGTTCATTGCAGCCTCTGACTCCTGGGCTCAAGCAATCCTTCTGAATAGCTGGAACTACAGGGGCATACCACTATGCCCAGATAAATTTCTAAAAAGTTTTTTGTAGAGTCAGAGTCTTTCCATGTTGCCCAGGTTGGTCTCGAACTTCTGGGCTCAAGCAATCCTCCTGCCTCAGCCTCCTGAAGCACTGGGATTACAGGTGTGAGCCACTGTGACTGGCCTAACTATGGTTTTTTGGTTTTTGGGGGGTTTTTGTTTTGTTTTGTTTTGTTTTGTTTTGTTTTGTTTTGTTGAGACGGAGTCTCGCTCTGTCACCCAGGCTGGAATGCAGTGGCACAATGTTGGCTCACTGCAACCTCCACCTCCCAGGTTCAAGCGATTCTCCTGTCACAGCCTCCCAAGTAGCTGGGATTACAGGCACAAGCCACCATGCCCAGCTAAGTTTTGTATTTTTAGTAAAGAAGGGGTTTCACCATATTGACCATGTTGGTCTCGAACTCCTGACCTCAAGTGATCCACCTGCCTTGGCCTCCCAAAGTGCTGGGATTACAGGCATGAGCCACCGTGCCCGACCAGTATTTCTATTTTAACAAATCTAAGACTGACTCTACATATCACAGATCTAATTGTTTATCATATGTATTTGAAAATACTGGGGAGAACAATTGATAGATTATAAATAAAACACAACATTGTTTCTGGAATAGCAAAATCTCTCGGGGTTACCTAATTTCTTTCAGGAACATAAGAGCCCTTATGAATCAGGAGACCACTTGGACAAGGTTGGTCAAGAAAAATGATATATATTCAACGTTGACTTTCACAGGACATAGGATATTGCTTAGCATAATTTATTATTTAATAACTTGTACAAATAAGATCTATATCACACAACCATAAGTGAATTCAGTTTCAGGTCAGGAATATAAGAAACATGAGCCATAAAAGTTAATTCTCCTACCAGTAATATTTAGCCTCTTTTTCATCATCAAATCCTTGAATAATGTTCTCTACAGGAGATCCATGAAGTGGGAAGGTGGCATCAATGGATATTAAGAGAGTAGTTATTTGAGGGTGTTGTAATCAGGATTCCAGGTAACTTTAATAAAACAGTAGAAGGTTCAGAAACACAGAAAATAAGGTTCTCTCAAGGACAGATGCAAAGTGATGCTTGCAAACATTTAGACTACAAGCCTCACAGAAGGGAAGAATCAAAGGACGTTGTGCAATGTGAGTCTAGGATGAACAGATACCATAGAGTGACACATGTACAAGCTGGCATACCCATTGGGATGGGAGGACTCTGGGCTTTCAGAGCTTCTTCAAATGGTCTTTGTATGGCAGACTATAAGTAACTCAACAAAATTCTGTCTTCTCCTCCACATGGGTGCTGTATTTCACAACCTTCCCTACAATTAGTTAAGTGTGGCCATACAACTGATCATGACCAGTGGAACTGAGATGGGAGAATTGCCTTGGCCCCTTCATGGGACTCCTCACAAAGGGGGTGGCTCATTTACTCAGCCACCATGCACTCAAACCCCTTACAGGAAGGAGAGAATGCAGGTGAGCTGGGGTGAGCGCTGTTGGGCTCCGGCCCCATGGCAGCATCTAGGGGTATTACAGTGTTCCTTTAGCTTTGCCATCCATGGATGGCTAAGTGTTAACCAACTCAGTGGAGAGTCAGGGTGACAGCTTTTTATACCCCGCCCTCTTGGTACCTGGGTCCTTGCCCAGCATCCAGGAAGAATCAGGTCACACAGACTTGAAGGATGGTGAATGCAGGAATTGAATTGAGTGATGGAGGTGGCTCTCAGCAAGATGGATGGGGAGCTGGAAAGTGAACGGAGCGGGAAGATGATCTTCCCCTGGAGTTTGGCCATCCTGTGGCCAATCTCCTCTATGACCATTCCCCAGTCGAACTCCTCTCGATGTTCAGATGTTCCTCTTCTTTTCTTCTCTGCCATGTGGCTCTGCTGCTCTTCTGCTCATGGAGCCTGGGGTTTGGGCTTTATATGGACACAGGATAGGGGGACATGGTGGGCCAAAAGGCAATATTTCGGCATGAAAACAGGAATGCCTGTTCTCATTTAGGGCCGTGGGTCCAGGCTTGAGGGTAGAGCCCTTGCCAGGGACCCTACTCTCCTGCCTCCTGTCTGTATCAGAATGTACACAAAAGTGATGTGGGCTTTTTCTCAGCTGAAACTTTAAAGAATGAAAGTTCTTCCTCCATTCCTTCCTTCCTCTTCTGCAGCCTGGATAACAGTAAAAACAGGACCCAAGAAGATGAAAGAGCCAGACATGGAAAATTTCTGGATCCTCAAATCACTCCATAGAGGAAAGCTGCCCACTCACAAGAAATAACCACCTTTGTCTGTTATGTGACCAAGAAATAAATGTCTCTTATATTTCAGTCATTATATTGTTTTTGAGCATCACCACAACTAGTAGAGAAAATGGTACATTGAAATAGAGTGCTATCTTAACAAATGAAAATAGTGTATAGCCTGAGCTTAGCAATTGGGCAGTAGACAAAGGAACATAGATATCACAATGTGGAAAGAAAGATACCAGTGTGATGTAGTGACGAAACATTTGATAAAACTATCAGTTGAACTTGGAAGATAAGGCAAGTGTCTATTGACCCTATAGCTCTAAGGAAAGTAGTTGGAAATACCTGGGATGTTAGTGTATCTTGGTCCTTCTCACTTGTAGAAAGGTATTACAATAAATAGCTGAAGTCAAGAAGAAATAGACAGGTTTACAAGCAGAAATAAAAAGGAATCTGGGGTCTGAAAGGACAGGAAAATCAGGCTGATTCTAGATCCCAAACACACACAAAAAAAGACTAAAGATGGTTTCAAGCAAAGAAGACCCGTTAAGATTTCTCAGGTTTGCAAAGTAGCTTAGATTAAGGGAGTTACTTTTCTACCTTTCCACCCCGCCTACTCTTTCAGATGCCCTCAAAGTAGCTTCCATTAAGTTGAAGAGAGGTGGAAAGGCATGGGGGCCAGGAAGCAAAATAATAACAAGAAGAAGAAAGAAGAAAGGAGGAGGAGGAGAAGAAGAAGAAGAAGAAGAAGAAGAAGAAGAAGAAGAAGAAGAAGAAGAAGAAGAAGAAGAAGAAGAAGAAGAAGAAGAAGAGGAAGAAGAAGAAGAGGAGGGGGGGGAGGAGGGGGAGGAGGAGGAGGAGGAGGAGGAGGAGGAAAGAAGAAGAAGAAGAAGAGGAAGAAGAAGAAGACAGATTTGAGAGTTACATCTAGGAAAGAACTTAGAGTGTGGTTACTTAATGAAACTTCCTAGGAGAAAATAAACCAGAAGCCCATATAGTTTCTGCGACATGACCCACAATATCACAGACCTGACCAAAATATAAAATAAAATAAAATTTTGCAAGATAGAGCATTATACAACTATCAGGACCTCAAACCTGAACAAACCAGAAGTTGACTGCAAAAGTTGCTTGCCTCCAAGGAGTGCATACTCACCAATATCCACTTTAGATGTGGCCAGGAAGAATAATGGGCAAAGGAGAACCTCCTAGAGAAAACCAGAGAACGGGACAGTTAGTTCCAGAGATATCAGAGAGCAGATGCTGGGTCCAACCAAGGACCTTTCTCCACCACCAAAGCAGGGAGTCTTTGTCATGCCCGCAGAGACAGGTGTCATCATGACCTGAGTCTGTGATCGCACACCTCTGCATTCCTCCTGTTCCAAAAGGGAGATGTTATTGTGGATATCCTGTCTCTGCTGGGCACCATAAATGGTAAAAGGGAGGCTGCAGGGGGCAGGTAATCTGCTTTTTAGTTTGTATGTCTTAGAGCATAAAGAGCCATACCTGGACCTATTGGAGAAAACTGCTTCTGAAGAGACTTTGGGTGGTCCTCTCAAGCAGATATATAGTGAGTAAAAGAGCATAGTGACTAGTCATCAAAAATGGAATTCTTTTTTTTAATTTAATTTTTTTATTATTATTATACTTTTTAGGGTATATGTTTTAGGGCACATGTGCACAATGTGCAGGTTTGTTACATATGTATACATGTGCCATGCTGATGTGCTGCACCCATTAACTCATCACTTAGCATTAGGTATATCTCCTAATGCTATCCCTCCCCCCTCCCCCACCCCAAAACAGTCCCCAGAGTGTGATGTTCCCCTTCCTGTGTCCATGTGTTTTCATTGTTCAATTCCCACCTATGAGTGAGAACATGCGGTGTTTGTTTTTTTGTCCTTGAAATTGGAAATCATCATTCTCAGTAAACTATCGCAAAGACAAAAATTGAATTCTTCTGGGCCCATATTCCATAGCCTTTTTACAGGTAGGAGTGACCCTGTGTATAACAGACAGCCAGTGGAGAGGAAGCAGAAGTGATGAGTTCCCCCTATGGTCCAAGGCTTTGTAACCCTCCTTCCTATCCATTGGCTGTGCATGACTATGACAAAGCCTTAGGGTATAGTGGATCTGTAAACTGAACAAGGCCTGGTCTTCAAATCACCACATGGTGCAAAATCATTCACCAGCAAGGAATATTTGCCTCAGAAACGAGGGAAAACTATTGAGTTTGAGCCGATGTACATTCTGGTCTATCTGTTGCCACAGCTGGTGTTACTTTAATAGAACCAGTATCTCTAAAACTGACCCTTTCTCTGGGACTTCTAGCCATAAGCCTTGTGGATCCACTGACTATCACAGATCACTAGGTCCCCACATCCATGGGATCCATATTCACATATTCAAACAACCATGGATGGAAAACATGCAAAAAAAAAAAAAAAAAAGCAATACAATAATACAAAAATACAAATTTTTAAAATATAACAGCTATATAACATTTACATTGTATTAGGCATTATAAGTAATCTAGAGTTGTTTTAAGGTATACAGGAGAATGTGTGTAGGTTATATGCAAATACCAGGGCATTTTATATCAGGAACTTGAGCATCTGCAAATTTTGGTATCCATGGGGGCCCTAGAACCAATTAATCCCCATTCAATACCAAGGGATGAATGTAGTTTATATTTTAGAAAATCTAACACAGACTGAGAACTTAACAAGCATACTCATTCCACAAACAGATCTAAATGGAATACTCTATGTTGGGCATTGGATGAATCACACATGGTATTGTGAGGACACAACCATGAGTAGAAACTGGACTTCAGACAAGGAGCTCAGAGAGAGTTATTAGGTCATCCAGAGCAAAAAAAGAAAAAGAAAAAAAAAAAAACGTGGCTGGGCACAGTGGCTCATGGCTGTAATCCCAACAGTTTTGGAGGCCAAGGCATGTGGATCACCTGAGGTCAGGAGATCAAGAGCAGCCTGGCCAACATGGTGAAACCCCATCTCTACTAAAAATACAAAAAAAAATTAGGCATGGTGACAGGTGCCTGTAGTCCCAGCTACTTGGGAGGCTGAGGCGGGAAAATCGCTTGAACCCGGGAGGTGGAGGTTGCAGTGAGCTGAGACCGCACCATTGCACTCCAGCCCGGGTAAAAAGAATGAAACTCAATCTCAAAAAACAAACAAACAAAACGCAAAGTTGATAGAACCTCCACAGATTTTTCTCTAATCTCCACGTGTCCTATGTTTCCCAGTCTCTGAGCGTTGTATGTACAAATGTAGAAACAAATTCCACAAATGTTTATTAAGGGACTCTGTGCCAGGCACTGTTCTGGATGCTGAGGGATACAGCAGGAAACACAACCAACAATCCCTGTCCTCAAGAAACTTCATATTGTGGTGGAGAGAGATTAACAAAAAACAAATAAGTAAAAAATATGGTATATCAGATGGTCATGGTTGTAGGGAAACGTAAAGCAGGGAAAAAGGTAAGGGACGCAATGTAATTTTAAATGGAATGACCGGTCAGGGAAGAAGACATCATTAAAAATGTGGCATTTGAGCAAAGGTCTGAAGGAGGCGAGGGTGAGCTGTTATTGCCACATCTTTGGGAATAACCACCGCTTCCTTCTTTACCAGGCAGAAGGGCCAGTCTCGGACACTAGCTCATCAGAAAGCTTTTGCTAACTGCCACAACCAGATGTGTTCCTTCTATTTTTTCGAGTCCTTGAAGATCTTTGTTATTCTCTTACACAATCTGTTCTCAGATTCTGGTTTCCTTACTGAAACACATGTTCTCATTCACTCCAGTGTTTTGAGGAACAACAAACCAATCTGATTAGGATAACCCAAGGTTAATAAGTTGTAGCTCTATTTTACCTTAACCCCACACAACCTCCATCACCAGCTGACATATTTTGAAATTGACAATTGACATTTTCTCAACATCATTTCACCCTTTCCAATCAAATTACTGTTCACACACCCTTTCCACATACAAATTCTGCCTTTCATGCCTCATATACAGAGGAAACCTTTTTTGAAAAAGATGTAAGCTTTTTAATCAGAAGGACAAAAAGTGTTAATGACACCATAGAGACCTATGAAAGAGAGTGGAGGCAAAAGCAAAGCAAAACCAAACTATTGCAGAACTGCAGTTTTAGTTTGATCTGGGGTTAGCAAAGAGAAGTTTTAGAAATAACCTAGCACTGAGTGATTCAGTGTTTTGGCTCAAAAGGAAGGTAGATGGGAAAAATCTAATTTGCCTGGGTACTTTTTTCAGACTATCTTACGAAATATGGACTACCACAACCCCAGGTGATTGTAAAGGAAAACTTAGTAAACACTGATTATAGATCTGAGGGTTCCCAATACTATTCAAAGAATCCACAGTTAACTGTCTTCAACTTTTTTCAACAAAAATCTATGGACATGCTTTAGGGACTATGAGTTCCACTTAGCCATTTTAAACATATAGATCCTGTCTTCCTTTTAATGACATTCTTCATTCCACTTAGAAAATCATAACCCTGAAAGAAATATAATAAAGTACAGATCTCTTTATATAATAAATGTGTTTGTAATTTAATGAGAAGTTAAATACATTCCTAAATGTTTCACTTCAAAGAATTTTGTAAAAAAAAAAAATTGTTAAAATTAAAACAGTTTGGGACAAACCCTGCATCCTTCTCCACTTGGGAGGTAAAGAATACATGTATGTTACTGAAAGCTGAAAGTAACCTCCTGTACTTAATTTGGAAACATTTCAAGAATATAATTCTTGTACTATATAGAAGGATTATTCCTAAAAACAAAATGACCTTTGGAACCAAAAGCATTTTCTTAAAGTAATAGGCCAGATTGAACCTCAAAAATAGGAACTTATTTCTTTTCAGTATGGCCACACAAAAATCATTTTTGTCACACTTAGCTTCTTGCTTATAATGAGACCATTGGCTTTTGGGTTCGTTTTTTGTTTTTTGTTTTTCTTTTTAAGGAAGATAGAGAAAGCACAGAATTATAAAACTCTTCTTATGTAACACTTTTCTATCAAGGGGTTCCAAATTATTTATAAAATGTTAGCTCATTTAATTCTCACAGCTCCCAAGCAGGTTCAGAAATGACATGCGGTATTTATGATGGACTTTGTCTCAGTTTCTGCTGGGGAACATGAGTCACTGCTACTCTTGCAGCAGAAATGAAGCTATAATTTCCTGACATCCGGTCGAGGCGCTAACCTGACCTCATTCCAACTCTCCAAGTTCAGCAGTTGTGTTCCAATTTTGGTTTTATTTATATTTCTCTAAGATCTGGCAGTGAACTGTCATAAATCATGCCTTCATGCAGGACTTGATGAGATATGAGGGACAGGAAGGAAGCCTTTTAGTAGACATCAGCTTTTGTTTCTATTTTAAGGGAAGTAAACATTTAGGGTGCTTCATTCTCAGCACATCAGTTACTCTGCCAATGAGTAACTCCTTTGTGTCCTGACATATGTAGGGCTCAAATGGACTTATAAAAAGTTGGACGTATTTATTTTTGAATAGGTAACAATGCATTGATGTTGAAAATTCAAGATGTTCAAAGGATATACAATTTTTAAGACCCCCTCCTATTCCTCTTCTCCAGTCACCCAATTCCTTTTGCAGAGGCAAGCAGTGTTACTAGCTTCTTACAGAGGTATTCTACACAAATCCAAGAAGATAACAGATAGACACAAATATGTACCTCTGCATAAATTTGTAGGTATATACATAATACATTAATATGTTAATTATACTTATATATCCCTATATATTAATGTGTATCTATAGATATATTTGTCTTCTCCCTTTTTTCATAAATTATAACAAACTATACACACAGTTTTACTACTTGCCTTCTTCACTTAAGATGTCTATGATAATCCATAACAAAATCTAAAAAGCTTCTTCCTTTTTACAACTGCATGTTCTTCTATTGCCATAGATATACCAGATTTCCTTAACCAGTCTTCTACTGATATTAGATTTCAAATCTTATGCTGTTATAAACATTGTTGCAAGGAAGAACATGATAGAAAGTTGTTTCACATATGTACAAGTAGAATAAGTTCTCAGAAATAGAATTTTTTGGCCAAAGAGGATATGTACTTTCTTTTATAGATGTGTTTCAAATTGCCCTCCATAGAGGTTTTGTCAGTTCACACTCCCACCAGAAATGTATGAAAATTCCTATTTCGCTACTCCCTTGCCAACATATGGTACAATCAAGCTATTTAACTCAGAGACAAAATAGACCGAATAATGAGTTTTCCAATTCTTGAAAAAGATATGTGATGTATCAAATGATTTATATTTTCACAGATCCTCAAGTTTAAAATAATTTGTACATTATCTTCAAAAAACCCACAATTTTTAGAATGTTACTAACCTTGATTTAAAAGTGCTTAAAAGTATGGATCATTTCCCATTAGCCATGACCATTGCTTTGCCAAAACAATTCTGTGTGGCATATTTCTAAACCTCAGCCAGCTGATAGGTTGTTTCAATAAATACTTGATACTGAATGTTTCCAGTGCTGTCAAAGAACCTGAACAATACTGGAGCTTCTTAGACTGAGATTTGGTCACTATCAAGAAAGTTTGAAAATAAGTATTTTCTATGTTGTTTTTAAAAGTGTGTATCTATAGCAGGGTTAAGCATTTCAAAAGGATGTGTGGGTTGCTGTTTGTGATATTACCGTTGAGCTAGAGAGTTCTGCCAAGTGAGAAATTAGCTTTTAAGAGATGTTTAAATGTACATTGCATGTGCCAGCACAGCTATTCTACTACACATTATTTATGTGGCATTTATAAAGGCATAATCAAGACATCTGATATTACAAATGAGGATTTGTACTCAACTGTAAATTATGTCACAGATGTCTTGTAATAGTTCTTTCCATTTTCAGCAATTACAGGAAATGCTCAAGATTTTATTATATACATGCATGTACACATATGCCCAGAGCTTTGCTGTTCTCCATAAAGAGTAGTGTTTTGACAAAGTTCTGAAGTATTAGACCTTATTCAGTTATATAAAAATATTTGATTAATATTGCGATCTTAGCTTCTGCATTTATGAAAAAGTATTCATAACCTTCTCTTGTGAACCTTTGTTCTTACAAAATGAGGTTCTTTGAGAAAACATTTTTTGTTATATTCAACTAGAACTATTAAAAACGTATCTAAATTGGTATCAGCAGACATTCATGTGGTATAAACACTGCCTCTCACTTGTACCCTTTTAACACAAGACACCATTTGATACTATTTGACTTGGCTACTAAGAGAAAATGGCTCTTTTTAAAAATTATTTTTAATTGACAAAAAATTATACAGAGATCATATACAACAAGATGTTTTGAGAAATGGCTCATTTAAGCTAATTAACATATGTGTTACCTTGCATGCTTATCATTTTTTGTAGTGAGAACACTTAACATCTCCTCTCTAAGCAATTTTCAGGAATACAATACATTGTTATTAACTGTAGTCATCACATTGTACAATAGATCTTTTGAACTATTTCTCCTAACTAAATTTTGTATCTTTTGACCAACATCTCTCCATCCACCCACCCCAACCCACCCCCAGCTCCTAGTAACTACCATTCTACTCTGTGCTTTATGAATTCAACTTTTTTAGATTCCACATATAAGTGAGAGCATGCAGTATTTGTCTTTTTGTGCCTGGCTTATTTCACTTAATATAACGTCCTCCAGGAAAATGATTCCTGATGCTCTTAAGAAAAGCGTCCTTTTCATGTGTCTTTTGGCTGCATAAATGTCTTCTTTTGAGAAGTGTCTGCTAAAACTTAAAGTATAATAATAATAAAATTTTAAAAAAAGGAAACATACACCTTGAAAATTAAAAAAAAAAAGAAATGTGTCCTTAAAAGTATTGCCTTGTGCCATTCCTAATTCATTTCAGTTAGCCAGGGTTTGATAACTGTTGTTATCAAAATGTGGTTTCAGAAGAAATCTAGTTTCTACCATCTTTCTGAAGTCAGTTCCTTTGTTAAACCTAAGATTAAGAAATATTTTATACTCGACATACTACTGTATTTAGTAATGACTATGAATTATTATTTTCCTCTGGCAGATTTTTGCAGAGGCACTTCCCTCTAGCTGAGCATTTCTCCACTATGAGAACCTCCAAAGTATCATCATGGCATTCTTCAGATTGCAGTTTGTTCCTCATGGTGATGGCATCTATTGCTAAATGCTATAAAATAAAATAACATAAACCTTTAAACACTCTTTACTTCAAATGGGACAGTTTCAGAGCTTTCAAATTCTTACCAAATCAGCATTGGCTCATACTTGTTTTGATAGGTTTTATTATTTTTCAGGTAAAGTGAGGCCAACAGATCAGGAGACAGCTGCCATTGAAACAATAGTTGATTATAATTACAGACCTCAAGAGAGGGAGTATCTATTAGGCCATAAGGGGAAGCACACGGGGAATCACCAAGACTCTGGCTAGGCGGGTTTGTATTTGGAAGGCAACCCCAGGGAGGAGGATTCTTCCAGAGGGGAGTTGGGCAACCAGGGAGGCATGAAGCAAAGCTAAGATGATTCAGGCTTTTTACATGGTTGTCCAGAACACAGAACATGTCCAGCATGTGCATGCAAGGTGGAAGTTGAAGCATCAAGTTTACAGAAGCATGGTAAAAGCATCAAGTTTACAGAAAGATATAAATGGACTAACGTAGTCAGTTTTAGGCGAGCACTACTAGCTCTTTGCTTTGGCTGTTTGATGATTGCGGCATTTATCAGCTACTCTTAGTGTTTTTACATACAATTATTTGTGTATGTGTAATTGAAAAAATTACATTTTGACATCATGTCATTCATTCCATAATGAATCCTTAAACCAGGTAGCTTAAAGTACAATGATGTTAAAATACCATGCTAATATTAAGTATTATAATAATTCAGCAAATTCTTTTGAAGAAATTTTTTTACCAGATTTATAAATTGCTCAAATCTGGTTTTTAAATACTATATAATATTTTAAGATGGGCCTAGTATTAAAAAAAAACACTTAAAGGAATTACTATGAAAATATCTTCTTTTTCTTTATTGGTAATATAGTTATATACATGATAAATGTATAGAAGGGCTTATAAATAGGAGTCTGAAACCTCACTTAGCTCATTATCTAGAGAAAAATGTATTTGTTTAGACATAAAAGTTATTTTTAAGAAAGTAAATGTGTTGCTTTTTTAAGTGCAAAATTCAAGAATCCCAAACATCAAAACATGAAAGAAGTCTTTGTCTATTTTTGATGCCATAACAGGAAGACTAATTTTCATCTACATTTTAATATGCATTTGGCCCCCAATCAAGCTCAATACAATGTTATTTTAAAATATATGTCAGCAAATTTTGTTGCCCTTAAATTAAGTAGCGATTGTTACTTGCTAAATAGGAAAAGTGAAAATTTTGTTTTTCCATATTACCAAAGGCTGAATTTAAAATTAATTTTACAATATATAAACTTTAATATTATGATCTAGAATAAACTATTTAACATAGAAAATACTACTTAAGTAATGCAGACTAGGTGATTTGAACCAAAACTCCCATTCAAGACAACTAAATCTGCAATAAAAATAAATATTTTCTTTAAAACATCAAAAAGCAAGCAAGGTAATAAGAATTACTGGGTGAAAGTCCAAAAGATGAAAATCCAGAGAGATAAATCCAAAGTTTATAGCTAC
Organism: Homo sapiens; assembly: GCF_000001405.40. Classification (NCBI taxonomy): domain Eukaryota; kingdom Metazoa; phylum Chordata; class Mammalia; order Primates; family Hominidae; genus Homo; species Homo sapiens. Next base: position 67,598,221 of record NC_000008.11, on the reverse strand, counting down.
TTTTGCTCTGGAGGTGTTTGCTGACCTAAAAATGACAGCTAAAATGTGAAGTAGCCATTTTGTCAGCCTCACAGGGATTGCCAGGGTGGAGGATCAGGCCAGACAGCCTAGGCTTTGGGTTGGGATGCTAAAAGATTGCATTCTAGGAGTGAGGGTGGACCAAAAATAAGTATCCCTGCTTTGAAACATCTCAATGGTCCAGAAAAATCTCACATCCTAAAATTAGTTTAAGGTGATTTCAGATAGCTAGTGGCCCCAGAAAACAAGTCTTCTCTGAAAGATACCACCATTGTAGGTCTCAAATTATTTCTACAAATAACTTTTAAAATGTGATGTCCACACATAATTAAAGAGAGCCAAATATATAAGGCAATAAGATAACATGAACAAAAGAACAACAATCCACCTGGTTCCAAAGAGTAGAGTTAGAGACATTGTACAGCATTTAAGCCTACTAAGCTACTGGAGATAAAAAGAATGGCAGCAAGAATAGTTTTCATAACCAAAAACTATACAAAGTGATATTGCGGAATTAAAAACAAAAGTAGAAAACATAGAACTGAAAAACACAATAACTGAAATTAGAAACTCAGTGGATAGGTTTAACAGCACATTAGACACAGCTAAAGACAGAAATGGTGAAATGAAGGGCAGAAGAAAATACCCAGAGAGAAGCATAAATAAACTGAAAAATAAAAATTAAAAATGCAAGATAAAAGACACAGAGGGGCCAGGCGCAGTGGCTCCTGCCTGTAATCCCAGCGCTTTAGGAGGCCGAGGCAGGCAGATCATGAGGTCAAGAGATCGAGACTCTCCTGGTCAACATGGTGAAACCCCATCTCTAAAAATACAAAAATTAGCTGGGTGTGGTTGTGTGCTCTTGTAGTCCCAGCTACTCGGGAGGCTGAGGCAGGAGAATTGCTTGAACCTGGGAGGCGGAGTTTGCAGGGAGCTGAGATCACGCCACTGCACTCCAGCCTGGGCAACAGAGCGAGACTCTGTCTCAAAAAAAAAAAAAAAAAAGAGACACAGAGGATACAATGGAAAGACATAATTGGAGTTTCAGAAAGGAAGGAAAAAAGAGAAAAAGAAGTATCTGAAGAAGTAATGCGTAGTCACAAACTATGCTACCACAATACATTTATTGATTACAAAGGCAAAAATAATAAATTTTAGTGGAGAAATCAGACACCACATAAACCAAGTGATCAAAGTTAACATCACCAATAATAGGATAAGTCAGTACCATGTGCCTCCTGAAATGATGCACTGAGAAGGACATATCACTTTGTAATATTCCTGCCAAAAATGCTTAATCAGCATCTAATCATGAGGAAAATATCAGATAAACCCAAATTGTTTTAAATATTTGGCCTGTATTCTTCCACAATGTCAAGGTCATGAAACACAAAGACTAAGGCACTGTTTAAATTAAAGGAGACCAAAGAGAGATGTCCACTGAATAAAACTATGATTCTGAGTTGAATCCTGGACAAGAAAAAGAACATTAGTGGTATAACTTGCAAAATTTGAATATGATCTATAGATTAGCGTGTACTATTGAATAGTTTTTATTCTGATTTTTGTGATTGTACTATCCTTGATTTTGTGAAATACAACTTAAATTATGAGATAATTGGATTTCATATCTGCAACCTAAAATTTCAAAGTAGAGTAAAAAAAAAAAAAAGAAATAAATTCATACCCAAATACAGTGAAACTACAAAGAGGCAATGACAGAAAATGTTTAAAGCAGGAAGGGGACAATAGGAATGAAATGGGAAATGTAATCTATTTTCATTCACTAAAACAAGCAGCTTAACAGCTAATTTCTCAGCAGAAGCAATGGAAGCCAGAAGTCTGTGGAATGGTAGTTTTAATTGCAAAATAATAAGAACAGGTACAACAATAAATGCCAACTTTTAAGCATATATGCCCAGTAAAAATATCTTTCAAGAAGAGAGTGAAATAAAGATATGTTTAGACAAAACTGGGAGAGTTCATCAATAACAGATACTCACTAAAGGAAATGTTAAAGGGTGTTCCTCGGGAGAAGGTATAACTTCCAAATCAATGGAGGCAAAAAATAGAACATAAAAGATCAATTCCCAAAAATTAAAGATTGTTGAGAAAAAGCATCAAAGGGTAGATGATAACGTTTAAAAACACTTAACAATCAACACTGGGGGGAGGAGCCAAGATGGCCGAATAGGAACAGCTCCAGTCTACAGCTCCCAGCGTGAGCGACGCAGAAGACGGGTGATTTCTGCATTTCCATCTGAGGTACTGGGTTCATCTCACTGGGGAGTGCCAGACAGTGGGCGCAGGACAGTGGGTGCAGCACACTGTGCGCCAGCCGAAGCAGGGCGAGGCATTGCCTCACTCGGGAAGTGCAAGGGGTCAGGGAGTTCCCTTTCCTGGTCAAGGAAAGGGGTGACAGACGGCACCTGGAAAATCAGGCCACTCCCACCCGAATACTGCACTTTTCCAATGGGCTTAGGAAACGGTGCACCAGGAGATTATATCCCGCACCTGGCTCGGAAGGTCCTACACCCACGGAGTCTCGCTGATTGCTAGCACAGCAGTCTGAGATCAAACTGCAAGGTGGCAGCAAGGCTGGGGGAGGGGCGCCCGCCATTGCCCAGGCTCGCTTAGGTAAACAAAGCAGCCGGGAAGCTCGAACTGGGTGGAGCCCACCACAGCTCAAGGAGGCCTGCCTGCCTCTGTAGTCTCCACCTCTGGGGGCAGGGCACAGACAAACAAAAAGACAGCAGTAACCTCTGCAGACTAAAATGTCCCTGTCTGACAGCTTTGAGGAGAGCAGCAGTTCTCCCAGCATGCAGCTGGAGATCTGAGAACGGGCAGACTGCCTCCTCAAGTGGGTCCCTGACCCCTGACCCCCGAGCAGCCTAATGGGGAGGCACCCCCGAGCAGGGGCAGACTGACACCTCACACGGCCAGGTACTCCTCTGAGACAAAACTTCCAGAGGAACGATCAGACAGCAGCATTCATGGATCACGAAAATCCGCAGTTCTGCAGACACCACTGCTGATACCCAGGCAAACAGGGTCTGGAGTGGACCTCTAGCAAACTCCAACAGACCTGCAGCTGAGGGTCCTGTCTGTTAGAAGGAAAACTAACAAACAGAAAGGACATCCACACCAAAAACCCATCTGTACATCACCATCATCAAAGACCAAAAGTAGATAAAACCACAAAGATGGGGAAAAAACAGAGCAGAAAAACTGGAAACTCTAAAAAGCAGAGCGCCCCTCCTCCTCCAAAGGAACACAGTTCCTCACCAGCAATGGAGCAAAGCTGGACGGAGAATGACTTTGACGAGTTGAGAGAAGAAGGCTTCAGACGATCAAACTACTCTGAGCTACAGGAGGAAATTCAAACCAAAGGCAAAGAAGTTGAAAACTTTGAAAAAAATTTAGACAAATGTATAACTAGAATAACCAATATAGAGAAGTGCTTAAAGGAGCTGATGGAGCTGAAAGCCAAGGCTCGAGAACTACATGAAGAATGCAGAAGCCTCAGGAGCCAATGCGATCAACTGGAAGAAAGGGTATCAGTGATGGAAGATGAAATAAATGAAGCAAGAAGGGAAGTTTAGAGAAAAAAGAATAAAAAGAAACAAACAAAGCCTCCAAGAAATATGGGACTACGTGAAAAGACCAAATCTGCGTCCTGATTGTTGTACCTGAAAGTGACGGGGAGAATGGAACCAAGATGGAAAACACTCTGCAGGATATTATCCAGGAGAACTTCCCCAATCTAGCAAGGCAGGCCAACATTCAGATTCAGGAAATACAGAGAACGCCGCAAAGATACTCCTCGAGAAGAGCAACTCCAAGACACATAATTGTCAGATTCACCAAAGTTGAAATGAAGGAAAAAATGTTAAGGGCAGCCAGAGAGAAAGGTCGGGTTACCCACAAAGGGAAGCCCATCAGACTAACAGCGGATCTCTCGGCAGAAACTCTACAAGCCAGAAGAGAGTGGGGGCCAATCTTCAACATTCTTAAAGAAAAGAATTTTCAACCCAGAATTTCATATCCAGCCAAACTAAGCTTCATAAGTGAAGGAGAAATGAAATCCTTTACAGACAAGCAAATGCTGAGAGATTTTGTCACCACCAGGCCTGCCCTACAAGAGCTCCTGAAGGAAGCACTAAACATGGAAAGGCACAACCAGTACCAGCCGCTGCAAAATCATGCCAAAATGTAAAGACCATAGAGACTAGGAAGAAACTGCATTAACTAACGAGCAAAATAACCAGCTAGCATCATAATGACAGGATCAAATTCACACATAACAATATTAACTTTAAATGTAAATGGACTAAATGCTCCAATTAAAAGACACAGACTGGCAAGTTGGATAAAGAGTCAAGACCCATCAGTGTGCTGTATTCAGGAAACCCATCTCACGTGCAGACACACATAGGCTCAAAATAAAAGGATGGAGGAAGATCTACCAAGCAAATGGAAAACAAAAAAAGGCAGGGGTTGCAAGCCTAGTCTCTGATAAAACAGACTTTAAACCAACAAAGATCAAAAGAGACAAAGAAGGCCATTACATAATGGTAAAGGGATCAATTCCACAAGAAGAGCTAAATATCCTAAATATATATGCACCCAATACAGGAGCACCCAGATTCATAAAGTAAGTCCTCAGTGACCTACAAAGAGACTTAGACTCCCACACAATAATAATGGGAGACTTTAACACCCCACTGTCAACATTAGACAGATCAACAAGACAGAAAGTTAACAAGGATACCCAGGAATTGAACTCAGGTCTGCACCAAGCGGACCTAATAGACATCTACAGAACTCTCCACCCCAAATCAACAGAATATACATTTTTTTCAGCACCACACCACACCTATTCCAAAATTGACCACATAGTTGGAAGTAAAGCTCTCCTCAGCAAATGTAAAAGAACAGAAATTATAACAAACTGTCTCTCAGACCACAGTGCAATCAAACTAGAACTCAGGATTAAGAAACTCACTCAAAACCGCTCAACTACATGGAAACTGAACAACCTGCTCCTGAATGACTACTGGGTACATAATGAAATGAAGGCAGAAATAAAGATGTTCTTTGAAACCAACGAGAACAAAGACACAACATACCAGAATCTCTGGGACACATTCAAAGCAGTGTGTAGAGGGAAATTTATAGCACTAAATGCCCACAAGAGAAAGCAGGAAAGATCCAAAATTGACACCCTAAAATCACAATTAAAAGAGCTAGAAAAGCAAGAGCAAACACATTCAAAAGCTAGCAGAAGGCAAGAAATAACTAAAATCAGAGCAGAAATGAAGGAAATAGAGACACAAAAAACCCTTCAAAAAATTAATGAATCCAGGAGCTGGTTTTTTGAAAGGATCGACAAAATTGATAGACCACTAGCAAGACTAATAAAGAAAAAAGAGAAGAATCAAATAGACGCAATAAAAAATGATAAAGGGGATATCATCACCAATCCCACTGAAATACAAACTACCATCAGAGAATACTACAAACACCTCTACGCAAATAAACTAGAAAATCTAGAAGAAATGGATAAATTCCTCGACACATACACTCTCCCAAGACTAAACCAGGAAGAAGTTGAATCTCTGAATAGACCAATAACAGGATCTGAAATTGTGGCAATAATCAATAGCTTACCAACCAAAAAGAGTCCAGGACCAGATGGATTCACAGCCGAATTCTACCAGAGGTACAAGGAGGAACTGGTACCATTCCTTCTGAAACTATTCCAATCAATAGAAAAAGAGGGAATCCTCCCTAACTCATTTTATGAGGCCAGCATCATCCTGATACCAAAGTGTGGCAGAGACACAACCAAAAAAGAGAATTTTAGACCAATATCCTTGACAAACATTGATGCAAAAATCCTCAATAAAATACTGGCAAACGGAATCCAGCAACACATCAAAAAGCTTATCCACCATGATCAAGTGGGCTTCATCCCTGGGATGCAAGGCTGGTTCAATATATGCAAATCAGTAAATGTAATCCAGCATATAAACAGAACCAAAGACAAAAACCACGTGATTATCTCAATAGATGCAGAAAAGGCCTTTGACAAAATTCAACAACCCTTCAAGCTAAAAACTCTCAATAAATTGGGTATTGATGGGATGTATCTCAAAATAATAAGAGCTATCTATGACAAACCCACAGCCAATATCATACTGAATGGGCAAAAACTGGAAGCATTCCCCTTGAAAACTGGCACAAGACAGGGATGCCCTCTCTCATCACTCCTATTCAACATAGTGTTGGAAGTTCTGGCCAGGGCAATTAGGCAGGAGAAGGAAATAAAGGGTATTCAATTAGAAAAAGAGGAAGTCAAATTGTCCCTGTTTGCAGATGACATGATAGTATAACTAGAAAACCCCATTGTCTCAGCCCAAAGTCTCCTTAAGCTGATAAGCAACTTCAGCAAAGTCTCAGGATACAAAATCAATGTACAAAAATCACAAGCCTTCTTATACACCAATAACAGACAAACAGAGAGCCAAATCATGAGTGAATTCCCATTCACAATTGCTTCAAAGAGAATAAAATACCTAGGAATCCAACTTACAAGGGACATGAAGGACCTCTTCAAGGAGAACTACAAACCACTGCTCAATGAAATAAAAGAGGATACAAACAAAGGGAAGAACATTCCATGCTCGTGGGTAGGAAGAATCAATATCATGAAAATGGCCATACTGCCCAAGGTAATTTATAGATTCATTGCCCTCCCCATCAAGCTACCAATGACTGTCTTCACAGAATTAGAAAAAACTACTTTAAAGTTCATATGGAACCAAAAAAGAGCCCACATCGCCAAGTCAATCCTAAGCCAAAAGAACAAAGCTGGAGGCATCACACTACCTGACTTCAAACTATACTACAAGGCTACAGTAACCAAAACAGCATGGTACTGGTACCAAAACAGAGATATAGATCAATGGAACACACCAGAGCCCTCAGAAATAATGCCGCATATCTACAACCATCTGATCTTTGACAAACCTGAGAAAAACAAGCAATGGGGAAAGGATTCCTTATTTAATAAATGGTGCTGGGAAAACTGGCTAGCCATATGTAGAAAGCTGAAACTGGATCCCTTCCTTACACCTTATACAAAAATTAATTCAAGATGGATTAAAGACTTAAATGTTAGACCTAAAACCATAAAAACCCTAGAAGAAAACCTAGGCATTACCATTCAGAACATAGGCATGGGCAAGGACTTCATGTGTAAAACACCAAAAGCAATGGCAACAAAAGCCAAAATTGACAAATGGGATCTAATTAAACTAAAGAGCTTCTGCACAGGAAAAGAAACTACCATCAGAGTGAACAGGCAACCTACAAAATGGGAGAAAATTTTCGCAACCTACTCATCTGACAAAGGGCTAATATCCAGAATCTACAATGAACTCAAACAAATTTACAAGAAAAAAACAACCCCATCAAAAAGTGGGCAAAGGATATGAACAGACACTTCTCAAAAGAAGACATTTATGCAGCCAAAAGACACATGAAAAAATGCTCATCATCACTGGCCATTAGAGAAATGCAAATCAAACCACAATGAGATACCATCTCACACCAGTTAGAATGGCAATCATTAAAAAGTCAGGAAACAACAGGTGCTGGAGAGGATGTGGAGAAATAGGAACACTTTTACACTGTTGGTGGGACCGTAAACTAGTTCAACCATTGTGGAAGTCAGTGTGGCGATTCCTCAGGGATCTAGAACTAGAAATACCGTTTGACCCAGCCATCCCATTACTGGGTATATACCCAAAGGACTATAAATCATGCTGCTATAAAGACACATGCACACGTATGTTTATTGCGGCACTATTCACAATAGCAAAGACTTGGAACCAAGCCAAATGTCCAACAATGATAGACTGGATTAAGAAAATGTGGCACATATACACCATGGAATACTATGCAGCCATAAAAAATGATGAGTTCATGTCCTTTGTAGGGACATGGATGAAATTGGAAATAATCATTCTCAGTAAACTATGGCAAGGACAAAGAACCAAACACCACATGTTCTCACTCATAGATGGGAATTGAACAATGAGAACACATGGACACAGGAAGGGGAACATCACACTCTGGGGACTGTTGTGGGGTGGGGGGAGTGGGGAGGGATAGCATTAGGAGATATACCTAATGCTAAATGATGAGTTAATGGGTGCAGCACACCAGCATGGCACATGTATACATATGTAACTAACCTGCACATTGTGCACATGTACCCTAAAACTTAAAGTGTAATATAATAATAATAATAATAATAATAAAAACAACACTACACAGAGTACACACACAAAAAAGCAATTGCTATAATAATCAGGAGAATCATCTTCTTTAGGGATGACAAAGGAGAGTGTGCCTAGGGGGAAGGGCATAGGGAAGCTTTCTAGTGATGTTTTGCTTCTTGACCTAGGTGTGGTTACATGGTTTTTCACTTTATAATAATACTTTCAGATGTAAACTTGATTTGATGTGATTATTTATAGCAAGGATGTTTATAAAACTTGACAATTCTTTATCAGTATCTCCTTACCATACACCACATAAAAATGATGATAAGACCCCTATAACTTCTGAAGGAGCTCACAAAATTAGATACATTTGAAGTTTAGAAGTGGTCTTACCTGTCCCCCAGTAAAGAGCAACCCTGATCATCTAGTCAGCTTCTTTCAGAGGTTCATAAGATCTGATTTCCTGTAAACAAACATTTTGCTCTGATATTAAATGTCTGTCTATATTTCCTTCTCCATCGCATAGGCAATAAGCCTTGGAAGATTCTTCCACAAGGTATATTTTCATTTGCCAGTGTATTATTTCATTTGCACAAAGTCCTTTTGAAGAGGGATGCTATGCTGCCTAAAACTATCAAGGTAGTTTTGGTCAAATCCTTTTTAAGAAATAAATTGATTTACAGAAAATTTGAAATAGCCCAATATTATAAAACTACCACATTCTTAGCTACCACCTGAAGGTTTTCTTTCCAAGTCTCAATAATTATGGCATCTCAACATCAATCTTTTTTTTTTTTTTAAGAGTCTTGCTCTGTCACCCATGCCGGAGTGCAGTGGTGCAATCTTGGCTCACTGCAACCTCTGCCTCCGGGGCTCAGGTGATCCTCCTACCTCAGCCTCTTGAGTTTTCTGGTATTACAGGCATGAACGACCATGCCCAGCTAATTTTTGTATTTTTAATAGAAACAGGGTTTCACCATATTGGCCTGGCTGGTCTCAAACCCCTGGACTCAAGTGAGTGCTGGGATTACACGCATGAGCCACCACCCCTGGCCCCAACATCAATCTTTAATGTAAACCTGGCTTCTAGTCTCCATCACTCGTGATCTTGATAAGCAAATCACAGTTTGGGGCTGGGCCCAAATGAAAACAAAATGTAAGAAACACCACATTCTGACTCAGCAAAGTGCTCTCATTTTGTTTGAGAACAGTTTTCTATTACAAGGCATTTGGAGTTGCCCTTTCATTGAGCATTTCTCTTTTTAAAAAAGATATAGCTATTTTTAAAGTATAGTTTATATAAGCCATGGAAGGGCTATAGAATTTCTGCCATGCTTTCAGTGTAGTAATTAGGGATTACATTTATTTTAGCCCTCAGGTGAATTTTCCCTCTCTGTACAAATTGCCCTCTCCTATTCTGTTTGCCTCCTTCCTTCTCTATTGCAAGAGACCCAAAATAACCCAAAAATAATCAAAATGCAAAAACATAAAACCCCTTGAGAATTAAAAGAATGAAAATCTATTCACCTCTTTTATTACCCCAATAATTCTAGGCCTACCCGCAGTAGTATTAATCATTTTATTTCCCACCATACTATTTCCAACCTCCAGTCATCTAATCAGTAACCGACTGACTTCCATTCAACAGTGACTAATTCACCTTGTACTAAAACAAATAAAAATAATCCATAATGTTAAACGGCGAACCTGATCCCTTATACTGATCTCCCTATTTCTCTTCATTGCTTCAACCAATCTCCTCAGGCTTCCACACCATTCATTTACACCAACTACCCAGTTATCAATAAATCTAGGAATAGCAATCCCCCTATGAGGTGGCGCAGTAGTTACAGGCTTCTGCTTTAAGATGAAAGCTTCCTTAGCTCACTTTTTACCTCAAGCACACCTGTACCACTTATCCCTGTGCTAGTGATCATTGAAACTGTTAGCCTATTCATTCAACCAATGGCACTAGCTATGCGATTAACAGCCAGCATTACAGCTGGACACCTACTAATGCGTTTAATTTGAGGAGCCACACTAGTATTATCAACTCAGTCTTCCCACAGCTTCAATCGCTCTCATCATCCTAATCTTACAAACCATCCTCGAATTCACCATAGCCCTTATTACTATGTCTTTACACAATTAGTAAGCCTTTACCTACACAACAACACATAATGACCCACCAAACACATGCCAACCACATAGTTAAACCCAGCCCCGACCACTAACAGGAGCTCTCTCAGCTCTCCTCATAAATCTGGCCTGGCCATGTGATTTCACTTTATTACCCTCTTAACCCTGGGCCTGCTGACCAACACACTAACCATATACCAATGATGACGTGACATTACCTGAGAAAGTACATTTCAAGGCCCCCTCACATCAATCGTCCAAAAAAAAGGCCACCTTACATCAATTGTCAATCATTCCTCTGATATGGAATAATTCTATTTATTATCTCAGAGATATTCTATTTTGCTGGTTTCTTCTGGGCATTCTACTACTCCAGTCTAGCCCCAACTCCAGAATTAGGAGGATACTGATCCCCAACAGGCATTTTTCCCCTCAACCCCTTAGAAGTCCCCCTCCTGAGTATATCTGTATTACTCACATCAGGAGTGTCAATTACTTGGGCTCACCACAGCCTAATAGAAGGTAGTCGAAAGGAGATACTTCAAGCACTATCCATCACAATTACCTTAGGTATTTACCCTTCTACAAGCCTCAGAATATTTCAAGGCCCCCTTTACTATCTCTGATGGAATCTACGGATCCACATTCTTTATAGCCACAGGCTTTCAAGGACTTCACATTTCGCTCTAGCGAACATAATACCCATTATCCTCCTAGTATTTGCTGCCTGCGAAGCTGCAGTGGCCTTTGCCATACTAGTTTCAATCTCCAGTACATATGGCCTAGATTACACACAAAATCTAAATTTACTTCAATGCTAAAAATTATTCCAACAATCATACTATTACCAATAACATGGTTCTCTAAAAATTCTATAATCTGAATCAACATGGTTACCCACAGCCTACTCATCAGCCTCATCAGCCTACTATTTTTTAACCAACTCAATGATAACTCATCCAACTTCTCATTAATTGTCTCTCCTGACCCACTGACATCACCCCTTCTAATCTTAACAACCTGACTGCTACCTCTTATAATTCTAGCAACAACATCACCTAATGAGTCACTTCCATGAAAAAAGCTCTATATTTCTATGCTGATCTCCCTACAGACTTATTTAATCATAACATTTACAGCCACAGAACGAATTATATTCTATATCCTCTTTGAAGCCATGCTAGTTCCTACCCTAATTATCATTACCCGCTGAGGTAATCAAACAGAACACCTTAACACAGACTCATACTTCTTATTTTATACACTAGTAGGATCCCTACCTCTACTCGTAGCTCTTGTTTATACTTAAAATACTTCAGGTTCACTAAACATAGTAGTAATAATACTTACTACCCAAGAGCTGTTAACCTTCTGATCCAACAATCTTCTATGACTGGCATGTATCATGGCTTTTGTAGTAAAAATACCTCTATATGGACTTCACCTGTGAGTCCCCAAAGCCCACGTAGAAGCCCCTATTGGCGGCTCAGTAGTACTTGCAGCAGAACTCCTAAAGCTAGGCAGTTACAGAATAATATGACTTACTCTCATCCTCAACCCCCTAACAGAACATATAGCCTACCCTTTCCTCATGCTATCCCTATGAGGAATAATCATGACAAGCTCTATTTGTCTACAACAAACCAATTTAAAATCACTTATTGCCTACTCCTCCATAAGCCACATAGCACTTGTTATTATGGCTATTCTCATCCAGATCCCTTGGAGCTTTACAGGTGCGGTCACCCCTATAATTGCTTATGGACTCACTTCATCCCTACTATTCTGCCTAGCAAACTCAAACTATGAGTGAGCCCATAGATGAACCATATTACTTACTGAGGCCTTCAAACACTACTCCCACTAATAGCCTCAGGATGACTTCTAGCAAATCAGACTAACCTTGCCTTACCCCCTACCATTAATCTAGTAGAAGAACTCTTTGTGACTATGGCCTCACTCTCCTCGTCAAATATCACTATTATGCTTATAGGACTTAGTATACTAATTACAGCCCTTTACTCCCTGTGTATGCTAATCACAACGAAGGACACTTACGTATCATATCAACATATCAAACCTTCCTTTACACGAGAAAAACACATTAATACTTATATATCTAGCACCTATCTTCCTACTATCCTTAGACCCTAAAATTATTTTGGGGTTTGCATGCTGTAGCTGTAGTTTAAGCAAAACATTAGATTGTGGATCTAACAATAGAAGCCTTCAATTTCTTATCTACCGAGAATGTATGCAGGAACTGCTAACTCATGCCCCCATGTCTAACAACATGGCTTTCTCAACTTTTAAAGGATGAGAGTCATCCGTTGGTCTTAAGAACCAAAAACACTGGTGCAACTCCAAATAAAAGTAACAAGCATGTATTCTTCCACTGATGCAACAGCCCTAGTCCCCTTGCCTACCAATTACTGCTACCTTAACCAACACCTGCAAAAAAGTTCATACCCAAATTATGTAAAAATATCTATCACATGTGCCTTCATCATTAGCCTCATCCCTGCAACAATGTTTATATGCACAGACCAAGAAGTCATTATCTCAAACTGACATTGAATGATGATCCAGACCCTCAAACTCTAAGCTTCAAACGAGACTACTTCTCTACAATATTTATCCCAGTAGCACTATTCGTTACCTGATCTATTATAGAATTCTCAATATGATACATAAACTCAGACCCTAACATGAATGAGTTTTCCAAATGTTTACTTATTTTCCTTATCACATTATTCTGGTTACTGCCAACAACCTCTTTCAGCTCTTTATCGAATGAGAAGGCATAGGAATCATCCTTCTTGCTAATCGGCTAATGGTATGTCCAAGCAGATGCTAAAACAGCAGCCCTCCAAACAGTCCTGTACAACCACATCGGAGATGTTGGCTTTATCTTAGCTATGGCATGGTTCCTCCCATCCTCTAACACATGAGAATTTCAACAAATGTTTATTCTAGATCCTACCCCCAACTCCCTTCCATTGATTAGCCTTCTCTTGGCAGCAGCAGGAAAGTCAGCTCAATTCAGCCTTCATCCCTGACTTGCATCACCATAGAAGATCCAACCCCATTCTCAGCCCTACTCCACTCCAGCACTATAGTCGGAGCAGGAGTTTTCCTGCTCATCTGCTTCTACCCTTTAATAGAAAATAATTTATCAATCCAAACCCTTACATTATGTCTGGGGGCTGTTACTACCTTATTTCTAGCAATCTGTGCTCTAACACAAAACAATATCAAAAAAAATCATAACATTCTCCGTCAAGTCAGCTAGGCCTTATAATAGTCACAATAGGCATTAATCAGCCACTCCTAGCATTCCTTCACATCTGCACCCAAGCCTTTTGTAAAGCTATATTATTTATATGTTTAGGGTCCATCATCCACAGCCTCAGTGATGAACAAGACATCCAAAGAATAGGAGGGCTATTCAAGACTTTGCCCCTCACTTCCTCCTCCCTTATTATCGGCACACTTGCACTTACAAGTATACCTTTCCTTACAGGCTCCTACTCTAAAGACTTCATCATTGAAACTGCAAACACATCATACACCAACCCCTGAGCACTTTTTTTGTTTGTTTTTTTCTTTTTGTTTTGAGACGGAGTCTGGCACTGTCTCCTGGGCTAGAATGCTGTGGTGCGATCTCAGCTCACTACAACGTCTGATTCTCTGGTTCAAGCGATTCTCCTGCCTCAGTCTCCCAAGTAGCTGGGATTACAGGCACATGCCACCATGCCCAGAAAGTTTTTTTGTATTTTTAGTAGAGACGGGGATTCACCATGTTGGCCAGGATGGTCTCGATCTCCTGACCTCATGATCCTCCTGCCTCAGCCTCCCAAAATGCTGGGATTACAGGCATAAGCCACTGTGCCTGGCCATGAGCCCTTTTTATTACCCTATTGCCACCTCCTTGACAGCTGTCTATAGTACCCGTATTATTTTCTTTGTGCACTAATAGGACAACTTTGCTTCACAACTCTAATTACTATGAACAAAAATAACCTCTTCCTAACTAACTCAAGCGCCTAACAATCGCTAGCATCTTCGCCGGATTCCTCATCACCAGCAGTACCATTCCTGTTTCATCCCCACAAACAACCATGCCACTCCACCTGAATTCACAGCCCTTGGTGTGACCATCTTAGGTTTCTCACTAGCAATGGAACTTAATTTTGTAACTAATAATCTTAAACTAAAACACCCCCTACAGACTTTCAACTTCTCCAACATACTAGGATTTTATTCAGCCACAATTCACCATACAATCCCCCACTTAGGCCTATCACAAGCTGAAATCCAGCCACACTTCTACTAGACCCAATTTGACTAGAAAAATCTATACCGAAGACCATTACACAAACCCAAATTTCACCCTCCATTATGGTATCTACTCAGGCCTAATTAAACTCTACTTTGTCTCCTTTTTTATTCCATTCCTTCTAGCCCTACTCCTAATTATCTGTTACTCTAAGTAATTTCAATCACAACATAAATACTAACAAATAATGATCAACCAGCAACTACCACTAACCAACACCCATAGTTGCACAAGGCAGCTGCACCCACAGAATCTTCACGCAACTACCCAGCCCCCTCACCCTCAAAATCATCCAACTCTTTACACTATTGAAATCAATCGTGATCCCCACTTCATCGTGCTAAACTATTCACCAAACCAGCATCAACTCCATTAAAAATCCTAATAATAAAGCCACCCAGATATCAATACTTGATCCTCATGTTTCAGGGTACTTCTCAGTAGCCAAAACTGTAGTATAACCAAAAACAACCGTCATGCCACCCAAATAAATAAAGACTATCAACCCCACAAAACCCCACCAAAATTCAACACAATACCACAACCTACAGCACCACTGATAATTAGCCCTAGACCTCCATAAATAAGAGAAGGTTTTGAAGAGAAACCTGCAAACCCTATAACCAAAAGGACACTTAATAAAAATGCAGTATATGCCATTATTCCCACATGAACTACAACCATGACTGACATGAAAAATCTTCATTGTATTTCAACTATAATAATGCTAATGACCAATCCCTGCAAAACACACCTGCTAACAAAAATTATTAGTCATTCATTCATCGATCTTCCCACACCATCTAAAATTTCTACATGATGAAACTTCAGCTCACTTCTTGGTGCCTGCCTAACCCTCCAGGCATTCATAACAGGGCTATTCATAGCCATGCATTACACATCAGACACCTCAACTGCCTTCTCTTCAGTCACTCACACTATGGCTGAATAGTCTGCTATTTTCATGCTAACGGCACTTCAATATTTTTCATCTGCCTCTTCTTACACGTTGGCCAGGACTTATACTATGGATTATTTGCATTTCTAGAAACCTGAAACATCGGCATTATCCTCCTACTCACAACTATGGTGACAGCATTCATAGGCTACGTGCTCCCATGAGGCCACATATCATTCTGAGGTGCAACAATAATTACAAATCTATCAGCCATCCCATATATATTGGAACTGACCTTGTGCGATGAATCTGAGGTGGGCTCTCAGTAGACAAAGCCACCCTTACGTGATTTTATGCCTTCCATTTCATCTTACCCTTCATCATTACAGCTCTAGCAGCTGTTCACCTTTTATTTCTACATGAAACAGGATCTAATAACCCTTCAGGGGTTTCATCAGACCCTGACAAAATAACTTTCCACCCCACTACACAACCAAAGATGTTTTAGGTTTAATTTTTCTCCTGCTCCTTCTAATAACTCTAGTACTATTTTTGCTTGACCTCCTGAACAACCCAGATAACTACACTTTAGCCAACCCCCTCAACACCCCACCCCACATTAAACCAGACTGGTACTTTTTGTTTGCTTATGCAATCTTACGATCCTTCCCTAATAAACTAGGAGACATACTGGCCCTTATGTTCTCCATTCTCATTCTGGCAGTTATTCCTGTACTTCACATGTCCAAACAACAAAGCATAATATTTTGACCATTGAGTAAAGTCCTATTCTGAATCTTAGTGGCTGACCTATTTACACTCACATGAGTTGGGGGACAGCCAGTCCAATACCCTTTTATCACCATCGAACAGACAGCATCTCTTGTGTATTTCTCTATCATCCTTACCCTTATGCCACTCTCTGGCCTAATTGAAAATAAACTGCTTAAATGAAGATGCTCTTGTAGTATAATTCAATACTCTGGTCTTGTAAACCAGAAATGGAGGATCCTTCCCCAGGACAACTCAGGGAAAAAATATCCTGCTTCACCGTTAACACCCAAAGCTGAAATTCTAATTAAACAATTCCCTGAATTCTTTCTCAGCATATACTTTGACTACCATGTCAGTATTAATCAACTAGCACTATTGTAATAGTGCCTTTATGTACTTTGTACATTACGGCTAGTCCCCATGAATGAGTAATATATAGTATATAAATGCTTAACAGTACATAGTACATTCATGTTTAACAATACATTAAAAATCCAGTCCACATGCATATAAGCATGTACTAATAATCCCTTAATCAACTGTCGCACATCCACTGTCATTAACCGTACATTACCCCACATGGATATTGACCAGTACTGTAAATCTTACATTACTTAATATTACTTAATATTACATAGTACATATACTCGTTCATTGGACATAGCACATTTCAGTCAAGACATCCCTCGTCAACATGGATATCCCCTACCAATTTTTGGTCTCTTAATCTACCAACCTCCAAGAAATCATCATCCCACTCGGGAGTGCTACTCCCCTCGCTCTGGGCCCATAACACTTGGGGGTGACTATACTGAAACTGTACCTGGCATCTGGTTCTTACTTCAGGGCCATAAAACTAAGACCGCCAACACATTCCCCTTAAATAAGACATCTCGATGAACTAATGACTACCACCCTATTAATCAATCATGGGAGCACTGTCATGCATTTGGTATTTTTTAACTTTGGGGGTGCTGTGACTCAGCATGGTCAGAGCCTGATTCCTGCTAAATCCATTGCAGCTGAACTTACCTTGAATATTCCAGGCTGGCATGGTAACCACAAGGTGCTAATTAATTCATGCTTGAAGGACATAACAGTCAATAGACGCTCACACATGCATGTACGTACACTCACTCAATTTCAAGAACTATTTCCAATTAAATCTGCAAGCCCCCATCTCTGACTTTATTATCAACTTAGGTAAACATACTCTTGCCAAACCCCAAAAACAAGAGACTAAAATGCAACCCAGTTTTGATTATTTTTTTCTTACTTTAAAGACATTGAGGCTTCTAAACTAGGAAAACTGGACCCTGAATAATAGTCTGGAAGCATCTCAACAATTCTTTTCATGAGGTTACTGAAAGGCAAAGCTAATGGCAATCAAAGGGTCAGAACTTTCTTCTCACCTAAATGATGCTATCTCAACTTGTGTTGGTAGAAGGATTAGGGAAACCACCCTCTCGTACCACTTCCTCCTAAGCATGCTATGAGAAGCACCCCCACAGCTTAACAGCTGCCAGTAGGCTCTAAACTGCTCAGAATCAGTATCACTTGCATTAGAGAAGGGGGAGGGTAGGTGGCCATATGGTGGGAGGGGATCTCTGTTTTTACACCAAAAGAGAGTTTTTCTTCCCTTTGTATTCCCTTCTTTCCTGTCCTCAACCTCTGCTGTTAGTGCTCTGGGTAAGTGGAGGAAGGTGGACAATAAACAACCTTCTGAAAGACACTCTCTGCCTTTGGTCCCAAATTCCTTTCAGGCAAAAGTTTCTGTTGCAATGTTCGTTTATTTAGGTTTCTTCTAAATAAAAAAAAGAGGGTTAACAAACTTTCTGTAAAGATACAGAGAGTAAATATTTTCGGTTTGAGGGCCATATGGTCTCTGTGTTAACCACTCAACTCTGATGTTGTAGCCCCAAAGCAGCCATAGCCAATGTGGAAGCGAATGAGCATAACTATGTTCCTATAAACCTTTATGGGTGTTGAAATCATCTTCTTTTACTTTTCTTTCTTAACTATTTAAAACTGCAGAAACCATTCTTAGCTTGAGGCCATAGAAAAACAGGCAGCAGGCCAGATATGGCAGGTCAGTTTGCTGACCCCAACTTAAAAGTCTTTCTACCCTAGAATGTTTAAAAGTTAGTGAAGGTAGTTTGACCCATATTATTTGTATTTGCGGGATTAAGTTTAAGTGTAGGTTTTATAATCACTGGAACAATCTATGTGTTTGGTATTTATTATGCTTATAATATTTAAGAGAATTTGACATGATAATCTGATGGATTAGTCGGGGGATTTCACTTTAAAATATGTGATTATAAACTTAGGTTTTTTCTTTTTTGTGGTGGGGACAGAGTCCCACTCTGTCACCCAGGCTGGAGTGCAGTGGCACAATCTCGGCTCACTGCAACCTCCAACTCCTGGATTCAAGTGATTCTCTTGCCTCAGCCTCCCAAGCAGCTGGGATTACAGGCACCCACCACCACACCTGGCTAATTTTTTTGTATTTTTAGTAGAGATGGGGTTTGGCCATGTTGGCCAGGCTGGTGTTGAACTCCTGACCTCAGGTGATCCGCCTACTTCGACCTCCTAAAGTGCTGGGATTACAGGCGTGAGCCACCACGCCCAGCCTAAACATATGATTTTTAAGTTGAAAGTTGGAATGCTTAAAAGAACTATTGGGTTTCTATATTTATACATTTAATTTACGTTGTTTAAATATATTAAAGGTTTTATTGTTTGGGTGGTAGGCTTGTCTGGTCAGGCATTTGAAGTAAAATTCTTTGAATAAATTTACAAATGTAGTATAAAATGCTTAAGGGAATTTGATAAACTACAGGCTGATTATTTAAGGATGTTTATCCTGTGTTACTTAAATTAATCAAACAGTAATCAAAGAGCAAGGAAAGGTGAAATTCTTATTTTAGATATAGATTTATAGATGGAATTAATAAGATTTATATGCTGAACTTAAGTTAATGAAAATGATGTTTTTAATTATGTAACATGTTTTTTTATTATGTAAATGATGTTTTTACTTATTCCTAAATTGATGTTTCTTGAAAATGCAAGTAACTGGAACCAATCCTTTCTGTGCAAAAGCTTCTTGAACTTCAAAACTCATTATAGTAACAGGGACCCATAAGGAGCACAGTGGCAGGAAGAGGACACCAGATGCAGACAGGGTGGCTAGTCCATCTTGGTAATCAAGATGCTGCCCACTTGGCTGCCAGGGATCTCGTGCCAAATTGGGTTGTGCCCATGGTGCTGCACTGGTACCGTGTCTCTATAAGATACACTATTAATTCAAACCAATAGCCAAGACAAGCCAAATCACCAACAGCCAATCAAAAGTCATGGGTTGGGAAGGTGATTGTGTTACATTTGAGCACTTTGAGGGAGGAGATCCGCATCATTCATTTTAGATCTTCAGCATGGTGCCTACCAAACAGCTGATATACAGCTGATATACTGCATTATTTGTAATTTGAGAAATATCTTCTGCATAGAAATGCAGAACAGAAAAGTGGTGTCCTTCTAAACCCGCCATCAGCTTAATCCCAGATCTTTTCTCTGCATATTTTAGAACAAAGGTCAGTAAACAACAGTCCGGGGCAAAATCTGACATGCCACCTGTTTTTGTACAGCCTTCAAACTAAAAAATTTTTTATATTTTTTAATAGTTAAAAACATCAAAATAAAAATATTTTGTGACACATGAAAATGTTATGCAATTCAAATTTTAGCCTCCATAAATATTTGAAATATTTACTATGTTTGGTTCTTTATAGACAATGTTTGCTAAATCCTGCTCTAAGGGAACAATTTTATCATCTCAGGTGAGTTGATGTACTGGGTAGACAATTCGTAGACTGCAACATATTTCTTATCCCACATGACTCGAAATTACTTATCAGCAAGAGGCCTGAGGTCAGGATACAGCCCCTGGGCTGCAAACATTCAGGGTGGTTCTGCCTGACACACAGGTACTCTTCATTCATATTATTTAAATGACATTTATTTCTCCTGGGAGTGAGTTACTCTCTTACGGAATTATTTTTACTGCTTAATTTAGGCAGCAGGTTAAAGTTAACTCATGCTTTCCTTTTGCTTTCAAGAAATGTTAATATCACATCTGATACAAAAGACAATTATTACCTTTTTGGATCCTGAATATTTCTTACACCTGTCACTACTAAAAATACAAAAAATTAGCCATCTTTCTTACGCTTCGAAGAGCGTAAGAAAGATGCCTATTCTTCAATCAGTATATGGGAGTAGTGAATCTTCCCTATTAGGAACCTCCAGATTACATGCTAGGCAAGCTTTTCAAGCCCAGATGGGGAGATGAATTTACTACAAAGCTAATGAAGCTTAAGCTTTAGGACCCCTCCCTGGACAGGCCCTTCCCATGTGTTCACATGCTCACATATAAAAGTAAAATGTTTTATCTGTTTAGACTGATGTCTCATTCCACTTAGAGTTACCATCTGTCACTCATACCCTCATGTCTTTGAAATGGTCATGGTACTGAGGGGATTCAGCTAAAGTGGAATTTGGGATATAATTAGTTTGGGTTAAATGGGATTCCGTTTAAATGACTCAGGCTGGGCTAGGTGACTCAGGCCTATAATCCTAGCACTTTGGGAGGCCGAGGCAGGAGGATCACTTGAGGCCAGGAGTTCGAGGTCAGCCTGGCCAACATGGTGAAACCCAGTCTCTACTAAAATTAGCCAGGTGTGGTAGCAGGCGCCTGTAATTCCAGCTACTGGGGAGGCTAAGATAGGAGAATCGCTTGAACCCCGGAGGCGGAAGGTTGCAGTGAGCTGAGATCGTGCCACCGCATTCCAGCCTGGGTAACAGAGCAAGACTGTCTCAAAAAAAAAAAAAAAAGTTTCTAAGACTTGAAGTCCCTTGGTCTATAGTCATACTACCTGTTCCTTCCACCCACCGTGCCAACACACAACTCAGCGGCTTTATGTTGGGGGAAACATTGTAAAGTGATAAGAATGCATCCTATAGCACTCAGTACCATAAGCAGAGTTAAAGAAGCAATGTTTGAAATTTATGAAGTCAGAAGCCACTCTGTAGAATGTTCTTCATATCATCAGATATGTATAATTGTAAGAAAAAGATTTGTTTCTCATCACCATCTTGTCAAAATGAACATTCCCTGCTGTCAGAAATATGCTTGATAGTGGAGCACGTATGATTCCAAATGCACCATATATTTTATAGAAATTATGTCAAATTAAATTTCTACATTTTTAGAGCATACACCTATAGCACTTCTACAAGCAGTGGGATTTATGTCTATGTGAGTGGTCATATGTTTTACACATCCCAATGTATCAAATCAAATCTTAGTGTGCAGCTAGCACATCTTGACCTGATTAAGTCTGGTGGTTCCAGATAAAATGTTTTTTTTAATTATATACATATAGACGAATTATAGTTGTATATATTTATGCAGTATAAAGTTATGCTAGGATTTTTTTAATACAATGGAATGGTTAAGTGAAGCTAATAAACTTATCCATCACCTCAAATATTTGAAATGTTTGTGATGAGAACATTTGACATTTATTGTCTTAAGTGATGTTAAAATGTACAGTACTCAATTACTAGCTGTATTTACCATGCTGTGCAGTAGATCTCAAAAAAATCCAACTTATTCCTACTATGCAACTGAGGCTTTGATTATCATCTCCCCATTCCTCCAAACTTCAGCCTCTGGTAACCACCATTCTACTCTCAGTTCCCATGAATTCAATTGTTTTCAATACCAAAATCAAGTGAGAACATGTATTATTTGTCTTGTGTTATTTGTTTTTCTGTGTTTGGTTTATTTCACTTCACATGATTTTTTCCAATTCCATCCATGTTGACAAAATTTCTTCCTTTTTTTTTTTTTTTTGGAGACAGAGTCTCACTCTGTTGCCCAGGCTGGAGTAGCTCACTGCAACCTCCACCTCTGGGATTCAAGCAATTCTCCTGCCTCAGCCTCCCAGGTAGCTGGGATTACAGGCACCTGCCAGCATGCCTGGCTAATTTTTTGTATTTTTAGTAGTGACAGGGTTTCACCATGTTGGCCAGGCTGGTCTCGAACTCCTGGCCTCAGGTGATCCTCTCGCCTTGGCCTCCCAAACTGCTGGGATTACAGGCATGAGCCACTGCACCCAGCCCAGAATTTCTTCCTTTTTTAAAGCTGAGTAGGTTAGTATTCCATTGTGTATATATACATTTTCTTTATACATTCATCAGTGATGGACACTTAGGTTGATTCTGTATCTTGACTATTGTGAATAGGGCTGCAATGAATAGGAGTGTAGACATGTCTTTGACATACTGACTTTAAATATTTCAGAGAAACACCCATTTGTGGCATTGCTGGATCATATGGTAAATCTGTTTTCAGATTTTAAAGGAAGCACCATACAGTTTTCCATAATGGCTGTACTAATTTACATTCCCACCAACAGTGTACAAGAATTCCCTTTTCTCCACACCCTAGCCAACACTTGTTATCTTTCCTCTTTTTGGTAATAGCCATCCTATCAGGTATGAGGTGATATCTCATTGTGGATTTAATTTGCATTTCCCTAATGATTAATAATGTCAAGCATTTTTTTCATGTATTTGTTAGCCATTCATATGTCTTCTTTTCAGAAGTGTCTATTCAGATTCTTTGCCCATTTTTAAATTGGATTATTTGTTTTCTTTCTATATAGTTGAGGTCCTTACATATTTTAAATATTAATCCCTTATCAGATGTATGGCTTGCAAATATTTTCTCCCAATCTGTAGTCTGTGTCCTCCCTCTCTTAATTGTTTTCTTTGTTGTACAGAAGTTTTTATTTTTATGTAATTCCAGTTGTCTATTTTTGCTTTCATTGCCCATGCCTTTGGAACCAAACCCAAAAAAAAAAATCGTAGGCTGGAGAAATATCATGTAGTTTTTTCCCCTATGTTTTTTTCCAGTGGTTTTCAGGTTTTATGTTTAAATCTATAATCCATTTTTAGTTAAATTTTTGTATATGGGGTGAGATAAGGGTCCAAATTTATTCTTTTGCATATGGATATCCAGTTTTCCTATCACCACTTATTGAACAGACTGTCCTTTTCCCATTGTATATTCTTGGCACCTTTGTCAAGTTCATTGACCATAGAGGAACAGATTCATTTCTATGATTTCTGTTCTGTTCCATTGGTCAATGTGTCTATTTTATGCTAGTACCATGCTCTTTTAATTACTATCACTTTGTAGTATAGTTTGAAATCAACTACAGTTGGTGTGATACCTCTAGCTTTGTTCTTTTTGTTCATCATTGCCTTGGTTATTTGGGTTTTTTGTGGTTCAATTTGCTTTTTTTTTTTTTTTTTGAGACAGAGTCTCCACTCTGTTGCCCAGGCTGGAGTGCAGTGGCATGATCTCAGCTCACTGCAACCTCCACCTCCTGGGTTCAAGCAATTCTCCTGCCTCAGCCTCTAGAGTAGCTGGGATTACTCTCGTGCCACCATGCCCAGCTAATTTTTGTATTTTTAGTGGAGATGGGGTTTTACCATATTGCCCAGGCTGATTTTGAACTCCTGACATCAAGTGATCTGCCTGCCTTGGCCTCCCAAAATGCTGAGATCACAGTCATGAACCACCACACCCTGCCAAATTTGCTTTTTCTACAGCTACGAAAAGTGACATTGAGATTTTCACATGAATTGCATTAAATCTGTAGATCACTTTGGGTAGTATAGATCTTTTAACAGTATTAATTCTTCCAGAACATGAACACACAGAATATGTTTTAATTTATTTGTGTCTTCTTCAGTTTCTTTCCTTGATTTTTTTTTTTTTTTTTTTTTTTTTTTTTGAGACGGAGTCTTGCTCTGTCGCCCAGGCTGGAGTGCAGTGGCGTGATCTCGGCTCACTGCAAGCTCTGCCTCCCGGGTTCATGCCATTCTCCTGCCTCAGCCTCCCGAGTAGCTGGGACTACAGGTGCCCACCACCATGCCTGGCTAATTTTTTGTATTTTTAGTAGAGACAGGGTTTCACCGTGTTAGCCAGGATGGTCTCAATCTCCTGACCTCGTGATCCGCCCTCCTCGGCCTCCCAAAGTGCTGGGATTACAGGTGTGAACCACCGTGCCCGGCCTCTTTCCTTCATATTTTATAGTTTTTTGTGTACAGTTCTTTCACTTTCTTTGTTAAATTTATTTCTAAGTGTTTCATTTTTGTAACTATTGTAAATGGGATTGTTCTCTTGATTTCTTTTTCAGAAAGTTTGTTGTGAATGTAGAGAAATGCCACTGATTTTTGTGTGTTAATTTTATATTCTGCAACTTTACTGAATTTGTATATCAGTTCTAACAGATTTTTGGTGGAATCTATAGGATTTTCTATGTATAAGATCATGTTGTCAGCCAACAGTGACAATTTAACTTCTTCTTTCCTGTTTGGACGCTTTTTATTTCTTTCTCTTGACCAAGTGCTCTGGCAAGGACTTTCAATACTAAATTAAATAGAGGTGGCATGAATGAACATCCTTGCCTTGTTCAGGATCTTAGAGGAAAGGTTTCTAATTTTTCACCATTGTGTATAATGTTAGCTGTGGGCTTGTTATATATGGCTTTTATTGTGTTTATATACATTTTATCTATACCTAATTTGTTGAGTGGTTTTATCATGAAAAGATGTTGAATTTTGTCAAATGCATTTTTTGCATTTAAAGAAATAATCATGCTTTTTCCTTGATTATGTTAATATGGTGTCTCTCATTTATTGATCTGTGAATGTTGAACCATCCTTGCATCCCAGGAATAAATCCCACTTGATGGTGATTGATCCTTCTAATGCACTGTTGAGTTTGCTAGCATTTTGTTGAGGATTTCTGCGTCTATATTCGTCAAAGATATTGGTCTGTAGTTTTCTTATTTTGTGATATTTTTGTCCGGCCTTGGTGTCAGGTTATTGCTGCCCTTGCAAAAAGAATTTGGAAGTATTCTCTTCTCTTCAGTTTTTTTGGAAGTCTGTAGAGAATTAGTATTAGTTTTTATTTAAACGTTTGGTAGAATTCAGTCATGAAGACTTCAGGTTCTTGATTTTTCTTTAATGGGTGTCTTAGTCCATTTTGTGTCGCTATAAAAGAATACCTGAGACTGGGTAATTTATATACAAAAGAGGCTATTTAGCTCACAGTTCTGCAGGCTGAGAAGTTTAAGGTCATGCATGGCCCTGACCTCTAGAGAGGGCTTTCATGCTGCATCACAACATGGCAGAGAAGATCAAAGGAAAAGCAGACATGGGCACAGAGCCAGGAACTTGAGGGGCATTCTGGCTTTATAATAGGCTCCTCTCATAGGAACTAATCCATTCTTGTGGGAATTAGCCCAGTCTTTCAAAAGCAAGAACTTACTACTAGGAGAACGGCACCAAGCCATTCATGAGGAATCTGCCTCCATAACCCCAGCACCTGCCATTGAGCCCACCTCCCAACACCACCACATTAGGGATCAAATTGCAGCATGAGTTTTGGTGAGAATAAACAAACCATATTCAAACTATAACAATGGGAGACTTTTTATTGCTGATTCAGTCTCCTCACTCCATTATCAGTCTGTTCAGATTTTCTATTTCTTGTGATTCAGTCTTAGCAGGTTGTATATGTTTAGGAATTTATCTGTTTCCTCTAAGTTTCTCCATTGCTTGTCCTATAATTTTTCATGATAGTCTCTTATTTTTCTTTGTATTTCTGCGGTGTCAGTTGTAATGTTTCCACTTTCGTTTCTGATTTTATCTTAGTCTTTTTTCTTTTTTCTTGGTTAGTCTAGCTAAAGGTTTGTCAATTTTGTTTATCTTTTTAAAAAACCAACTCTTAGTTTAATCAATCTTCCATATTGTTTTTCTAGTCTCTATTTATTTGTCCTGATCTTTACTCTTTACTTCTGCTAGCATTGGGCTTAGTTTGTTCTTCTTTTTTGTATTTCCTTTAGATGTGATATTAGATTGTTTATTTGCAAACATTCTTCTCTTTTGATGTAGGCGTTTTTGCTACAAACTTTCCTCTTACAACTGCTTTTGCTGCATTACACAAGTTTTGGTATGCTATGTTTCCATTTTCATTGGTCTCAAGATATTTTTTAATTTCCTAATTTCTATATTGACCTTCATTGCTAAGTAGTATGTTTTTTGACATTTATTTGTGAATTTTCTGAAATTTCTCCTGTTGTTAGTTTTTAGTTTCATACCGTTATGGTTGAAAAAATATTTGATATGATTTCAATCTTCTTAAATTTGCCAAGATTTGTCCTGTGGCCTAACAAATGATCTACCCTAGAGAATGTACTCTGTGTTCTTAAAGTGAATGTGTATTCTGTTGCTGTTGGCTGGAATGTTCTGCATATGTCTGTTAGTTCCATATGATCTAAAGAGTTCTTCAAGTCCAATGGTTCCTCAATAACTTTCTGTCTACATGATCTGTTCTATATTGAAAGCACTGTATTGAAGTCCCCTGCTGCTATTGAATGGCAATCTCTCTCTCCCTTCAGATCCGTTAATATTTGCTTTATATATTTAGGTGCTCCACTGTGGAGTGCACATGTGTTTATAATTTTTATGTCCTCTTGATGAAGTGACCTCTTTTTCATTATAGAATGTCATTCTTTCTCTGTTTGTATAATTTTCTACTTAAAATCTATTTTGTCTGATACAAGCAAGTATCGCTACCTCTGCTCTCTTTTGGTTTCCTTTTTTGTGAAATATCTTTTTTCATCCCTTCTCTTTCAGTCTATGTGTGTCCTTAAAAATGAAGTGAATCTCTTGTAGATAGCATATAGTTGTCTCTTGTTTCTTTATCCATTCATTCACTCTATGTCTTTGAATTGGGGAATTTAATACATGTACATTCAAGGTAATTAATGCTAGGTAAGAACCTACAAATACCATTTTGTTCATTGTTTTCTGGTTGTTTTATAGATACTTTGTTTCTTTCTTCCTCTCTTGATGTCTTCCTTTGTGATTTGATGGTTTTCTGTAGTGGTATGTTCTGAATCTTTTTAAATTTTGTTTTTTCTATCTCTTATTTACTTTTGCTTTTTGGTTATCATGAAGTTTACACAGAATATCTTATAACAGTCTATTTCAAGCTGGTAACAGCTTAACTTTTATTGCGTACAACTCTAAACTTTTACTCCCCTCCCACATTTTATGTTTTTGTTGTCTGAATTTACATCATTTTGTGATATGTATCCCTTGGTAATTTATTTTAGCTCTAGTTGTTATTAACAATTTTGCCCTTTAACCCTCATACTCGGAATATAATTATATATCACTATTACAGTACTAGAGTGTTCTGATTATTGCTCTGTATTACCTACACCATTAGGTTTTGTGCTTTCATATGTTTAGCGTTATTATTTAGCAACCTTTTGTTTCAGTTTAAAGAACTCCCTTTAGCAATTCCTGTAAAGGTAAGTCTAGTGGTGATAAACTTCCTTAGCTTTTATTTGTCTGGGGAAGTTTTATTTCTTCCTCACTTCTGAAAGACAGCTTTTCTGGATAAAATATTCCTTTTTATCTAACAGGAAACCATAACTTTATTAATGATAGAAAGAGTACAAATTTCAATTCAAGCTGCAGTTACTCTTTTGAAACACCGAAAAAAAAAAGTTCTTGTTTTCAGACGGTTAAATTGCTAATTCCATACTCACGTTAACAATATCATTACTGTTGTTCTTCAGGCCTTGAACTGCCTTTGTTCTTGATACATTTGCTTGCAACATGACCAATTCTGTGTCCTTAATTTTCACACGTTTCATCAAGTTCCTCACCTGTTTCATCAACTTCCTCTTTACTCTCCTCTTGTACAGTTGGAAGAGGCTACATGTTTCCTTGAATGTTTGAGAGAGCTTCACCTTGAAATTTGAATTTCTCAGTAGCCGCTAGCTGTGCTTGCTGAGATAAACCTCAATCTCAGCTTCCCTTAAAAACCATGTCGGTATTTGAAGCTGGGATCTTACAGACATCTGGTTTTGTGATGACAGAGTATTCTTAGATTTCCAAATAATGTCTCTAGTAACCCCTGTAACCTGCTTAAAACACAGTTTGGATATAACCTTCTGTGCCTTCTTTTCACTCCAATTCTGTTTTGCATTATTGACTGGTTCTTCATCAATTTCAGCTGCTGCTGACAACTGGGCTTGTTGTGTGGTCGTTGCCTGTGTGGAATTTTGTTCCTCAAGCTCTGGTACTGATTCATCACTGTTAGATTCTGTTACAGACCCTGTCTTAGCCTGTGGCTCTGGCTACTTATGCTCCGTAGCAGAGACAGTTTCTGTGTCTTTACTGGGCATTTTGTAGGGGGAACATGGAACCGAGATGGTGGCAGAAAGTAATGAATAAAGTATTCCTCATTGGCAGTCTTCTTTTTCTTCAACACTTTGAATATGTTATCCTACTGTCTCCTGGCCTGCAAGACTTCTGCTGAGAATTCCATCTACAGTCATATTAAGACTTCATTGTATATGATATATTTCTTATCTCTTTCTGCTCTCAGAACTCTGTCTTTAATTTTTGACAGTTTGATTATTATATATCTTGGTGAACTCCTCTTTGAGTTGAATTTAATTGGGACTTTTGTACTCCCTGTACCTGGATGTTACCTTCTTTCCTCAGATTAGGAAAGTTTTCATTCATTATTTTTTAAAAACACTCTTCCTGCCAGGCACAGTGGCTCACACCTGTAATCCCAGCACTTTGGGAGGCCAAGGTGGGTGGATCACCTGAGGTCAGGAGCTTGAGACCAGCCTGGCCAACATGGTGAAACCCCTTCTGTACTAAAAATACAAAAATTAGCTGGGCATGGTGGTGGGTGCCTGTAATCCCAGCCACTAGGGAGGCCGAGGCAGTAGAATCACCTGAACCCGGGAGGCGGAGGTTGCAGTGAGCCGAGATCGTGCCACTGCACTCCAAACTGGGCAACAAGAGCAAAACTCTGCCTCTAAATAAATAAGTAATAAAAAAAAACTTCCTGGCCCGTTTTCTCTTTCTTCTGTTTCTTGAATGCCTATTATGCATAGGTTAGGTCTCTTGATGGTGTCACGTAATTCCCATGGGCTTTCTTCATCTTTTTCATTCTTGTTTCTTTTTGCTTCCCTGATTAAGTAGTTTAAAATGTTCTGCCTCTGAGTTCACTGATTCTTCAGCTTGATTGAGCCAGCTGTTGAAGCTTCCTATTACATTTTTCAGTTCAGTCATTGTAATCTTCATCTCTAGAATTTCTATTTGTTTCTTTGTGTATTGTCTCTATTTATTTGTCAAATTTCTGGTGTTGTTTGTGTATTTTCTGAATTTCATTTAATTTTTTATCTGTATATTCTTGAAGTTTACTGAACTTTTAAAAGTAGATTATTCTCCATTTTTTCTGTCATTTCATAGATTTACCTTTCTCTAGGGTCCATTGCTGGAGCTTTCTCATTGTTTTTTTCTTTGTTTGTTTTGGAGGTATCATGATTTCCTAAATCTTTGTAATCCTTATGTCTTTGCATTGGTGTTTATGGCTTTATAGAGAAAGCCAACTTTCCTGGCTTTTACAGGAGTTCTTTGGCAGGGATAGACCTTCACTAGTTAGTCTAGCCTATGAGTGTGGATGGGCCAGCTCGTACTGACCCCGGGCAGACAGAGTTTGCTTTCAGGTTATCTAGAAGCCTGAGCTGCTCCCTTTGCCCTGAATTCAGGTGAGACAGCTGGCTAGGCTCTTCTATCCAGCAGGATAGGTACATTCACAAAAATCTGTGTGCTGATCTCTGTGGGCCTCACCTCCTTGCTTTGTTTCTGCCTGACCCCAGGTGGTCTAACTGCACTCTTTCCCCTATGTTCCTCAGTCCCCGTGAGGTAAGGACAGAGTGGGCTTCCTGGGAAGCATCTCAGAATGCTAGGGAAGCTGGCTGTCCACTTCCCTGGTTCTGTTTACTCACTGTAGAAACTATGAGCCCTGGGGAGTACCCTGTGTGGCACTGTGCCAACTTACGGAAGGCAGAGGGGTGACATAGTCAAAGTGAGACTGATTATCCTGCCCTTTCAATGTAGATTTTTATTCAATTCCATGGAACACACAAGTGGTTCAGATTTATTCCCATGTTTTGGGGTTTTCACCAAGGTGTTTGTTTTTGTCTATGAATAGTTCTAGTTGATTTTCCTGTGGAGGGGAATGAAACCCAAGACTTCCTTTTCCACCACCTTGCTGACCTCCAGACAAAAAGCATTACAAAACTGCCACTGACCCAGTTAAATGTCCTGAAGAAAGCAATGTTTTGATGGCAAAACTCCTATGTTTATTCATTGGTAAGTCAATGATTGCCATATAAGAGTAATTTGATTACACCATTATGTAGCTCAATACAAAGTAGGAGCAATTTTTAAATGCATTTGATTGCTTTTGTGCCTGTGTTAAATTTCTATTCTTTTTTAAGAGGACATCTCAAAACTGCATGAACTTCAGGTCTCACAAGACCTAAATCTGCCCTGGCCAGGCCCATGTATCTGATATCCCATAAGAGAGAGGAGTTGCACAGGTTTGTCTATTCTCTTGACCCTATTGTCTGAATAATCATACACATTTAAGAAGAAAGAGGTGAGTAAGGTAGAGGCTCTCCTCTACCATTACTGTAAGTCTACTACTCTCTACATGCCTGCTCCTCTTTCAGTCTGTCCAAGTGCCAACTGATAAATTTTTTCCATTCTTATAGTCCAGATTGCTAGTGCAGGGTGTTCAACTTGCCTTTTCATGCCAGGTCACAGTTTATGTTACATACTGTGGCCTAAAGAGTGGCCACCTTTCACTCCAAACAATGGCTATTCTTATATAAAGAACAGCCTTCTACTTTCCCACCATTCCTGGGCATATCATTTGATTATCTGCAGTACATGAATATTAAGCATCCTGAAGAGGTTAGAGTTCATGCACTGGAACCAATCTACACATTCCCTGTGCTTCTCCAGCAGCTCCTGCTCTCTGGGCATAGGGATGGAGAGGGTGAACTGGCATACTGATCTAGGGTTAGGGTTTGGTGGTGAGGGTGCAGCATGCAGCTAGACCATGAGATAGTTGTACATGTTATCAACCAAAATGTCCACTTTGGGTAGAGAAAGAATGAAGACTAATAGGGAATGGAAGTCAGGAGACAGCAGAAGTATCTAGGGACTAGATATCTAAATGATATTAAAAATCCAAAAGGTGAAAACATAGCCAGGAACTTGTGGTCCAAGAGTGAGAAATTTGAATTTAAGGTTTTAGAGGTGACACAAGATATTGTCCTTAAAGTGGATTGATAAAGTAGACTGGAGATTCACTCCATTGGCATTGAGAAAGTGGAGGCTCAGCTGTCAGATATGGACATTGACAACTTCCTGGACATTTCCTGCTGGTGGGACACTGTACACTATGAGGAGATGCCCATCCCAGTGCAAGAGAGAAGGTGACTGCAAGGTCAGAACAGGGCAGCAATGAGTCAGGACCAATAGTGTTATATCCAAACAGCATTATCTTTGGAGGAAGATGTTCTTCTGCAGGAAAACTAATGACTAATACTATTGAAACGACAATGGGAAGAGAGGAGAATGCCAAACAAAAGAACACTGGAGAATTGGCTATTATCTCCTCTGAGACTTGAGCTATTTATCCAGAGGTGAGGATTTGCTTTTGCCTTGGAAGCCCCTTCAGAAACCATTTGAGTGTCTGGCAAAGAAATGAAAATCATGAATCAGCTGTAACCATTTAGGAGTGAAATTCTCTCTGAAAATTTAATTTGGTCTTGGCAACAGAAAGGATGTTTCCCTTGTCATGGTGACCCTTGTTATCCAAGTATTTGCAGGAGGCATTCTCCAAAGTGGCATACGAGGAGTCTGATATTTTTTTGAAAGCTTTTTCAAAGTGAAGATGACATCTCAGAGAGATCTCATCTTCCTGAGAGTCAAGGTGCTGAGACAAACTGACATTACAAATAAAACCACATTTCAGAGTAGAAATTGATCCATACCAACTAATGACCTGCTCATTCTATTTTCTCTTGGGAAAAAAACTAAACAGTTTGGCAAGGAACTATCCTTGACTATGCAGTCCTAAAGGTCTTTTTCAAGGTAGTTTATCCTGTAAGAAGTGAAAGAAGTGGTATTTTGTGATGGTGATTTGGCTGCACGTCCATTGCCTGCTCTGTTGTTCTGTGTCTGTAGTGACTTGTGCTAGTCATGCACCTCAGACAGTGCAAGGTGCTTCCTTTGATCTATCATGTCAGCAGTGGGAGAGGTCCTTAGCCTAACAGAGGTCTGACTAAAAGAACAGCCTTCAAAGTGAGTGTCATTTTCAGAAATAACCATGCTCTGCCAGATCTGTATGGGGTTTTTTAATCGCATGCTGCTGACAGAACGTTTCTTGTCATTTTTGTTTTTCTGCGTCCCATTATCCTCTTTTTCTTTCTCCTTTGAAGTATTTACAGACAGTCTCAATCTCTACAACTGGGTTTTGAGGAGGATTCTGCAGCAGTTTACAACATACCTAACAACAGAGCAAGATCCTAAAAAACAACAACAAAAAAAAAAAAGAAAGAAAAAGAAAAACGCTGTGGCATAGTCCCAATTCTTGCTCTCTCATTGCCTCCCACCTGCTCTCCATTATCCAATATATTTGTTTTCGGGTCATGCTGATTTAGATAGCCATCTCTAGCTTTAATTCAGATGGCGTAACTGATCCGACCACATGTTACATACTAAATGATCTAGAAGACCACGCTGCGGTTCTCAGTTCATCTTTCAGTAAGCATGTTTTGACATTGAGTCAAATAATCCTATGAAAATCCTTTCATAAGGATTATTTGTCATAACGATAGTGTTATCTTTTGTTGTTTGCAGCTGAATGTTTTGATCATTGTTTAATTGGGATAGACATATTGTCACATTACAGATCATTTTACATAAAAAGAAACCACAGAAATCTATCAGCAATATTAATCCCTAATTAAAATGCATTGACATCATACTTAATGTATGAAAAGAGCTGAATTAAGCCTTTTTAAATTAGAAAATTCACTTTAGGCAGAAATAGTGGCTGGAAACATAGACATTTTTCTCTTCTAGTGGACAACGATGAGTATAATTTTACTGGTATGACAGCTACAAGAACATTCTGTGCCTTTGATTCAGCTCTGTACTGCTCTTCCTATGACCTTGAGAACTCACTTGTATAAGAATTCAGTTTTGTAAAAGGATATATTCTTGAGTCACAAGTAGGAGGCCTGAATTAAATAAGCTAACACCTTAGATGTAGTTCTCTATATCCAAAACATAAAAAAAAAAAAAAGAACACTTTTAATCGTCGCTGCTCAGCTTGCATCCCAGAGAAAGAAATAGAAGCACAGGCTGCCAAAAAGAAACCCCAAACAAACAAACAAAAAAAGCTTTAGGAGCATCACAGGCAGAGACTAGAGAGAAAAATCTGGGTTTTACCACTATAGACCTCTCCAGGAAATGGCAAACTTTAATCCTAGAACCAGAGACCAGTTGCCTAGTGCTTTCTGTTTCCTATTCATGGATTTTGTCTTGCCAACAAGATGATAAACTCTTCTGGGGCAGTGATGTCATTTTTGCAATGCTAAGCACCTATCATGTGGCAGGTGCCCTTCCACATCCTGGATATACAGCTGTGAACAATTTATGCAAAGTCCCTTCCCCAGGACCTCCTAACATCCATTCAGTGGAAGTATATTAGGACCAGTATATAGCACTGTGAAATGTTCTTCCATATTGAAACCTTTGAAGAGGCAACTTATCAATGAGCTACACGTACCCCAAAATATGGAATAGACTTGCAGCCTAAGATGACTGCTTCAGTCATGGGAGTGAGGGAAGGTGGATAAATAATTCTAACTGTGACTCATAGAATGTGGTAGAAATCAGTAAAATTAGTATCAAGGACAGCCTTGAAGGACATGGACTAAACATGCAGATTTGCAGATTTAAAGAGAAAGCATGAGAAAAGAAGTTGGAGGGAAGTGGCCTTCCTAGGGGAAAGGAGTGAGATTTTAAGGCTATACAATCTCAGATCTTTTTGTATCAATCAATCGTCCCTGAGCCCCACAGCCTACTTTTGTGTAAAGGTAGTCAGAAGGAGCTGGATATGAGATTCCTTCTCCCTACCCAAACTCCAGATGGGTTGTTCCAACAGCAGGTTTCCCAGCTGAGGCCTCTTAAAGAATGACCTCCCTGAAAGAATTTCAGAGCTGTGCTTTCCCATGTTCTGTCCAAGATTTTTAGAAAAAAAGGTGATATTTAGCTAACCTTCCTAAGTTGTTACAATTTGCCAGTCACTCATGTTCTTTACATATATGATCTCACTTAATACAAAAACCTCAGGCAGTGAATGACGCTGATAATCCCAGGAAGGTAGAGCTCATAAGAAGCAGAACCATCAGTCAAATGCAACCCAGGCAGCTGTCTCCAGATCTGTGTTCTTGATTAGCATGTTTAATTTACTCAGGAACAGTTACTCTCTGTTTTAGTTAACACCAAAACATACATTTTTATGGTTCCTATTTTAATTAAATAAGTAAAGCATGTTGTCACATCCTATTTGGCCCTGGTTGTGTTTTTTTTTTTCTCTTCATTCTAATTTTTGACTCAGTTTAGTTCTACAAACATTCATTGAGCAACTACTCCATGCTCATCACAGTGATCATTGCTATGGAGACCCATCATCTGCCCTGGAAGAGCTTACGATCCTTTGGGGGAGACAAAACGTATACAGAGAAAACAGAGGGCCATACCATTGCAATATAGTATATCAGGAAATACCAGAAGGTGTGATATCAACTGTCTTAGTCCATTGGGGCTGCTCTAACAAAAATACCAAAGAGTAGGTGGCTTAAATAATAAACATTAATTTCTCACAATTCTGGATTCAGGGTAATCCAAGATCAAGGTGCCAACAGATTCAACATCTATTGAGTGAGGGCTTTTTCCAGATTGAGAGACAGCATCTTTCCACTGTGTCCTTACATGGAAGAAGTTATATGAGAGCTCATTGGGGCCTCTTTTACAAGAGCACTAATCCAATTCATGAGGACTCTACGGTCTTGACCTAATCACCTCCCAAAAGCGTCACCTCCTAAAAGCCTCACCTCCTAATACCATCACCTTGGGGGTTAGGATTCAACATATGAAGTTGGGAAGACACAGTCAGACATAGTACCAACTGTACGTAGAACCACAAAACGAATGCAGAGTAAGGAGCTGCATTGGTAATAGCATCTGCCTTACAACAGCCACCAGGAGGGCTTAGCGCTTTCAACCACCAAATACTGGCTGTGTGCTTGTGTCAGACATTCTGTCAGGGCCAGGAAGGGCGCAAATCTTAACCAAAACTGGAAAAAAATATAGAGCTGTGAGTGCCCAAGTACACTGTGAAGGGAGAAAGTGACAGAGACCTAGAGAGTTGATAAAGGTACAGCAAGAGAAAAGAAGACAAAATAAGCCAAAAAGTACATGTTTATGTATTTGAGGTTGGAAAGGCCTAGATGGGGAAAATTGGACTTAAAGCTCATCTAAAGAACTAGCAGCTTCTGGTTCCCCTCATCGTATTGACACTGCTCTTCTCTCTGCAGAAGACCACATCTCAGAACAGTCTGTAACTTTCCAGAGATCACCTGAGCTCTAATTTTCTGTTTTAAACCTGTAGAATTCACCATTATAAATTCTCATGGGCTCACGTCCTTCCATTCCAACAGCCATTGCTCTACTATCATCTAGGCAATTGCTAATAGTGTCCTAGCTGCTCAGCCTTCTTTCATTATATAGAAGCAGAATAGTAAATGGAAAGCATACCTTTTAATAGCTTCTTATTTTGAAATAAACTTACAGAAAATTTGGAAGTGTAGTATAAAGAAATTTTGTTCTGGACCACTGAAAAGTAAGATGCCCCATCATGCTGAATTCTTTAGAGTACATTTCCTTTAAACAAGGACATTCTCCTAATAATCACAATAGGACCCTCAAAATCAGAAATTAACACCGATATATTACTTAATCCTCAGACCCTACTCAACCTTCACCAATTCTCCCAATAATGGCCTTTATAGTAAAAGCATCTAGTACAGAATCACACAATAGGATTAAGTTGTCATATCTCTTTAGTTTCCCTCAGTCTTTCCTTGACTTTCATGACCTTGATACTTTTGAAGATTTCATGCCAGCTCTTTCAAAGTTATGTTTCTTGGTTTGGCTTTGTCTGACGTTTCCTCGTGACTAGAATCTTGTTATGCTGCTTTGGCAGGAACACAAGAAAATCATGCTATGTTTTCATCGTATCCAATCAAGTAGCATGAGTTTCTATGTGTGCCACGACTGATGATACTCACTGTGATGACTTGATTGAAAAGGTGTCTGCCAAGCCAGGGTTCTTTGCTGTTTTTCCTTTAAGTGCTTTATAGGGAGGTACTTTGAAACCATATTTTGTCCCGTTCCTCATTTGTATTCTCAGCAATGCCTAGTGGAGTTCCTGGAACCAGTTTTTTTAACTAAAGTAATGGAGAGCTTCAAATCACCAAGATTAAAATTTTGAAGTTCTATAAGCAATTTGTAGTAATTATAAATTTGGGGGGTATGGTAGAGACACTGACAGCGGTTGTAACAGAATGATTAATTGGACTGCTCCATGTAAGATGAATTAGAATAGGAATTTTAAAAGGAGATTTTGTTGTCTTTGTGTAGTTAACTAGATAGAATCATCAACATTTTTGTTTATAATATGATTTCAAATAATCAGGGTTGGGTAGGCCAAGCTCCATTTACTCTCCAAATGATAATTATTTGTTTTAAATGTGGGCAGGGAAAATGGCTTTGGTTATAATGTCCACATAAACAGAAATAGGGATGGGGCTAAGCAGGGGAGAGCATAAAGATGATGAGTCACAGAACAGGTGGGAAAAGGACTACGAAAGGAAATGGGAGGTGGCCTAGCAACCCATTTCCATTTTGCTCAAGGCCCTAGTGTCAGCTGGTATCCCACATAGGATGCAAATACCCAAGTTTAAAAGGCAGGAACAGTTGAAAAGGCAGCAAATCTCAGCTTCCTCCAATTCAACCCTTTCCCCCCTTTTCCAGCCACTTCTAGAAGGAAGAGAAAAGAATGAGAATGAGCAGTGATTCTACAGCCCCTCACCCTTGTGCCTCTGCTCCCTACCTCCCTTATTTACACAGTTTATTGCATTATACAAAGGTTTTCCCTATCACGGGAACCAGTGCTCTGTGCCTCTGTGAAGATCAAAGGACTTGCAGAAGACTGTTAACTTATTTCCTACCTTTGAAAGCTTTGTATTTCTTCCTTGCTCCTATGTGTACTAAAGGATAGGAAGTTTGAGAAGGTGTAGCTTTGTCCCACTGAGGAAGAGTGTATATCAGGTTAACAATGCCCTGTGTCATAAATGATGATAATGTCTAGCGAGCCCTTTGGGAGATGCAGTATTTCCTTTTGTAATTAGAGTATTCCTCCATTTCCTTGCGCTGTGGTTTGCAACCATAGCCCTGCCAAAAGTACATCTGGAATATATATATATATATATCCGGAAATACAAGAAGATGTGATACCAACTGTCTTAGTCCACTGGGGCTGCTCTAACAAAAATACCAAAGAGTAGGTGATGTAAACAATAAACATTTATTTCTCACAGTTCTGGACTCAGGGTAATCCAAGATCAAGGTGCCAACAGATTTGACGTCTGTTGAGTAAGGGCTTTTTCCAGATTGAGAGATGGCATCTTCCCACTGTGTCCTTACATGGTAGAAGTTACATGAGAGCTCCTTGGGGCCTCTCTTATAAAAACACTATATATATGTGTGTGTGTGTGTGTGTATACATATATATATATATTTTGTCCAACTTATTAGCAGTAGAAAGCCCCATTGTATAGAATCCTGTTTATGAGGCTACAGACAAATTTCCCATCTTGTTGCCTTCTCTGAATGGCTCAGAGAATGATGCCTACAGTTGTGTGCTGTGATATGGAAAGGTTTTATACTAAGGTTCATCAAAGCCTTAAAAGGACAAACAGAATAGAATAAATAAGAAAGAAAGTTTGCCTGTTTCTTCACACATGCAAAACTTGAGTGGGCTTGGAATATTGGCAATGGACAGTCAGGCCTCCTTTTCCTATAAAATTTTAATGAGAGAACATGGGTAAAAATCTGAAGATTGTATATTGCTAAATCTAAATCCTCTACCCTAGAAAGGAGAGATGGTAGGACATCATGGCCATGGGATAGTGCAGGGGTGTGTGGCAGGCTAGTGTCATTGTCCTGAGGCCGAATTCACAAATAAGACTTGTCTGGGACTTTTCTTCCACCTAGTCTCCTATGTGTGTGTGTGTTTGTTGGGGAGGAGTAATTAATGCTTTCATTGGTAGAAGTATAAGACCTGGTTAATCTATCCCTGGAAAATCATTCCCTGAACAGTCTAGATAAAATTTGATACTGATCTTATGAGGTCACATATATAAAAATATTAAATGGTTTAGAAACAAATATTGATGGTATAGTTAAGGTAGAACAAGAGTGGGACAAAGAGAAATTTCAATGGACTCTTATGAAATACAACATCCCAAAAGTTGGAACGTTTTAAACAAGACCCCAAACACTAGTGCCCTGACACTGTAATAGTCAACCCTCTGATTCACATGGGCCCCAAGACGTATTTTGAAAAGCAACATGAGTCAACATTAGACAGGGTGGTAAAATTTGGGAGCCAATATAATTTGACAGGGCTTTGTTAAAAGAAGATTTCACCAATTTCACTGACTCATGCACATTGCCTTAAATTTTTGCTTATTTGACAAGATTGTACCTTTTTTCTTTTGAGCTAGTACTCAGGGCTTATTTATGGGTACCCTCAGTTTCATGATGGAATGTGACCAGATGGGACGAAGAGCCATAATCCTGCAAGATTTGTGATGTGCATTTGCCTGGTTCAAACACATCAGTGAATGGTTTGCAGCAGCCTTTCTTCAGTCTGACAGACTCTTGTATTGACAGTGTCTTCCAGCAAAACTATGCTTAGCCCTCTTGCTGCCAAACCCTTTTCCCCAGATGACTTACTGTAATGCATGAATGGTTCATCCAATGAAAACTGTTGCCCACTTGTTCTGAGTAGGCTTAGAACAATAGAAGTTATATATTTAGGTACTCTACGTTTCTGGGTTCATTTGTAGGATAAAAGTAATAAATTTACATTGACTTTCACATTTTAGATAGCACTGAAAACTAAATGTATTGTTTGTTCAATAAATACTTAAAGAGGTAGAGTAGAAAATAAGATAGATGCCCTCATGGAGTTTATATTATTCTCCTCACAGAGAAGAAAATCAGCAAATAAAAAAGTAAACAAGATAGCTACAGATGGTGATAAAGGCTACGAAAGAAATAAACGGATTATATAGAAGAAATGCATTTCTTTGGGTGTTCAGAAAAGACCTCTCTAGAAAGGTGATAATGAGCTTATTAGTTGAAGAATAAGAAAGTTAGCTATGCAAAGGTCTCAAGAGAGAACATTCCAGGCAAAAATCATAGCAAGTGTGAAGGCGAATTTGCCAAACTGAGCTTAGCTGTTTGATGGAAATAAACAAAGCTTGTCTGGCTGGAGTGAAGTGAATGGAAGGGGGAAAAGTAAGATATGCAGTCTGAGAGCTACAGCTGGGGCCCGCTCATACAGTGGCTTAGAGAACAGGAGAAAAATGTAGGGCTTTGTTCTAAGGGCAATGGGAAGCCATCAGAACTCTTGTTTTTAAGCAGAGATGTGGTGTGATCTAAACACTCTTGCCTCTAGGGACGGGGAGGGTCTCAGCCATGACACAAAATCAGTATTGAAAATGCTGTACCCCAAGGCTCAGTAACTTTGACTAGAAGGCTAGTTTCTCCTGAAAATTTAGTACAACTAGTGTTTAGTGTCTATTCCTTACTTAATGCTGAACTTATGACCAAAGGCAATAGGCTAGGATTATTACAATTTAGAAGTTTGCAGGAAGACTCCTATGGAGCCAGAATTCAGACCTCTGAGGGGGGCACTGGCTGATACTGGTGCCCCAGGAGCTCTGAGCAGACACCCTGCAGAACTGAGATCAGACCTCTGAAAATAGGGGGTTGGGGAGGTTTGCTGGCCAGATGGTGCTAATCTCTCTGAAGCTGTACAGTGTTGCTGGTTCAGATTGGGTAAGAAAAACTGCAGATTGAATCCAACTGCTGCTACTAGAGCCAACTGATGCAATCACAGGTATGTAAGAGGCAGCAGCAAAGCAAACTTCATTTTCAAGGAGTGAAATGGAAGCTGCATGAATCACTTTCATTCATATCCTGTTGTTCTTACAGGCATAAACACACCTAACTCTCGGTAAACATGCAACTCAATGGGTGGGAGCAGAGATGCACAGATGTTCAATAGAGAATAACCTGCAGGCTTCACCTTCCACTAGTCAGTTTCCTTTATATTGAGAACATGCAGAGTGTCCATTAGTCTGGCAAATTGATTACATGTGGTACAATTAAATCTGTTCAGGACACTCTCTAACCTCTGGTGGCACTCAAGCCTCATCACTCGGCTCTATTTCCAAAAACAAAGAATCCTATTATATAAACCAAAGATAAAATGTGGCCCACAAAGAGGTACAAAGTTAGAGGGGGTGTTCAGAACCATAAATGCAATTTACTAGGGATAAAAGCTCCTTTTTATTATCGTCTCCCCCAACCATGGCAAGGTCTGGCAGGACCAGGGCAAGAAGACATGGAAAGAGGTGGCTCAGTGAAGCTCGGCCTCAGGCCTTAGGAGGAAAGAGTCCTATTCTCCTCACGGTCCAGGTGCTAATCTCAAGGGCCAAGGTCAGGTAAATTCCTAGATAAAAAGCCTATGCAGCAAACTCTCGGCGCTGCCGCTCTTGTCTGTGTTTTGGGCTAAAGGAAGCAAGAGGATCTTGACATTCACAAATAGTCCCTCTAAGTTCACCAAAGTCTGAGTCCAGATAGGGGTTTGGGAGCCGAGCTCTAACTGATAATAGAATAGCATTTTTTCCTGGAGTGTGCTCATAGCTGGGGTGCTTTCGTATGTGTCAGTGTAACTAAGCTGAAAGTAGACTTCCCAGAATTCCCATCCACTTCTGAGTGAGGGTTGGCCCCAGGAGAAATTGCTGGACATTTGGAAGGCAGAGATAAAGAGGCAGCAAGTCCTCTCTAAGTTCTGAGCTGGGGGCCAAGTACCTGCAGGTCACACACATGATTACTGACCTCCCAGCTGAGTCTCCCCTCGTTCACCTTCAAGTTCTGTGCAGGAGTGTGTGTGGAAGCGCAGGATGTCAGCTTCTTCTGCAGGTAGCCACATGCTGGAGGTGGAGGCAGTGAGACAAGCAGTTCTACTCTGTCCTTCCTCTCCCCTCCTCAAGCCCAGAGGATCTGTAGGGACTCCAGCCCCAAGACCAGTGGCAACACTCTTTCCTAAACTTGTTCCTGAGCTCCTACGAACGCAGAAACCCCATCTCCCATAATAAATCCCTTATTCCATATCACCTGAACCTTAACTAATATAATCCAGGTCATGTTATGAAACCAAGTTATGCCTAGACCTTGACAACAAGGTTTGTTTCTTGCTCATGATCCATCCACATCTCTGTTCTGCATGGTGTTCACTCTGGGGCCCAGGCTGAAGGAACAGCCTCTGTTTAGAACATTGCCAGTTACCATGGCAGATGGAAGCAAGATGGAACTACACACTGCTTCAGGCTCTGCCTCACAGGGACTCATAGTTCCTTACACACTTCTTGGCGAAAGCAATTCCAACAGAAATACTTGGATTTCACAGAAAAATGGGTGAATGTAATATAATATGCGTATGGTTTTTCCTGACACCAAATATGTGTGATTTTTCCATGCCAGTTCTGTAATTCTCTAACACCAGCTGCTTGTCCAACAATCCAATTCAATCCTGACACTAACACCCAGAGTTAGCAGAGACCTCACAAGTTAAGGGCTCAGTCCTGCAATTCTGCCCCACTTCAGACACCAGCTACAAATGGGATGCCCAGGCTGCCCATACTTCTGCCTGGCTGACTACAAATTCAGAGGTTTCCCTGAGCCCCTCCTTAGGTTCAATAATTTGCTAGAATGACTCCTAGAACTCAGGAAAGTGCTTTACCTACAATTACCAGTTTAATTTAAAGACTACAACTCAGGAACAGCCAGATGGAGAGATGCATAGGGCAAGGTACGGGGATGAGGGGGCTTCCCCGTCCTCTTTGGGTGCAACCTTCCCAGCTCCTCCATATGTTCATCAACTCTAAGCTCCCCACACACCATCATTTAGGGGTCTTTGTAAAGGTTTCATTATGTAGACGTGATTGATTAAATCATTGGCCATCGATGACTGAACTCAATCTCTGGCCCCTCTCCCTTTCTTGGAAGTTAGGGGACAAAGCTAAAAGTTCCAACCTCCAGTTACACGGTTGGTTTTTCTGGTGACCAGCCACCATATTGAAGCTATCTAGGGTCCTCCCCAACTCTAAGAGTTAGCATATATAAGATAATAAATTCCAAGGGTTTAAGGAGCTCTGTGCCAGGAACTGGGGACAAAAACCAAATATTTATTGTGGGTTGATTTGGGGTTGTCAACTTGACCAAATTAAGGGATACTACCTGGTATAGCATTGTTTATTCTCAGTGCTTCAGTAGGCACTGAGCCCAGCCCTCTTCTGCTGATAGCAAAAAACTAAGTGTTTTTGCTTGTGATTCAGACGATTGGACTGCCCCAGGTGTGACTGTGGGGGTGTTTCTGGAGATTGGCATGTGAGTCAGTGGACTGAGTGGAGAAGATCTACCCTCCATGCAGGCAAGGGCCATCTAGCAGGCTGGGGCCAAATGGAACAAAATGGCAGAGGAAGGATGAATTTGGGCACTCTCTCCCAGAGCCAGGTCACCCCTCTTCTACCTTGGGATGGAATAACTCCAGATTCTTCAGGCTTTGACCTTTGTGACTCACACCAACAGCCCCCAGGCTCTCAGGCCTTGAGCTCAGACTGAGAATTACACCATTGGCTTCCTTGGTTCAGAGGTCTTTGGACTTGGACTGAGTCATGCTAAGGGCTTTCCTGGTTCTCCAGCTTGCAGACAGACTATCGTGGGACTTCTCAGCCTCCCTGATATAGTTTAAATATGTGTCCCTGCCAAATCTTATGTTGAATTTTAATCCCCAGTATTGAAGGTGAAACCTAGTAGGAGGTGACTGGACCATGGTGGCGGATTTCTCATGAATGGTTTAGCTGTTTCCTCTTGGTGCTGCCCTCATGACAGTGAGTGACTTCTCATGAAACCTGGTTGTTTAAAATTGTGTAGCACCTCTCTTATTCTCTCTTGCTCCCATTCTTGCCATGTAAGACACCAGCTCCCCCTTCACCTTCCACCAGAGTAAAAGCTCCCTGAGGCCTCCCTAGAAGCCCAGCAGATGCTGGTCCATGCTTCCTGTTACAGCCTGCAGAATCGTGAGCCAATTAAATCTCTTTTCTTTATAAATTACCCAGTCTCAGGTATCTTTATAGCAGTGCAAGAATGACC
Source organism: Homo sapiens (assembly GCF_000001405.40). Classification (NCBI taxonomy): domain Eukaryota; kingdom Metazoa; phylum Chordata; class Mammalia; order Primates; family Hominidae; genus Homo; species Homo sapiens. Next base: position 67,554,141 of record NC_000008.11, on the reverse strand, counting down.
TATTACACTCCCTAATCAAGAGTGTAATAGACACGTCCTTTTTCATGTGTCTCTCTATATGCTGTATCAGTTGTGTCTCTCTGGAGAACCTTTACTAAAATATTTATTTTTCATTATACCACAATATGTCACAGTGGTAAATAGATAAGTAGACAGACATGTAAGCACATATACATATACCCTTCAGGAATAGCACATGGTTTACAGCAAGCCAAAAATTCAGGTTTGAAAATCACCACTGTCTTTCTCTCTCCATCACAAATAACTAACTATATTGTTCCTTCAGCAATATTTTGGGGACCCAAATTAGGCATAAACATGGTATTTGGTGTTGTTTTAAGACCAAGTCATTCATGTTGTTTATTTTTATTATTTTTTAGTAGTTCTCATTTGATACTAAAATGCCACATTTTATTTCAGCTACAAGATGAGAAAATATTTATTGGAGAAATGCTTGAGTTAAGTATTAGGTTACTTCTGAATCTTGAGACTCAAGAGGAAAATGATTATTTTTTCCACTCTAATATCTCAAAAGTAGACAAATATTGAAGTGGCTGTGAGGAATTGATATCATAAGCCCTTGAGAAATGAAGGACTGTATGCTCATAAAACTACTTCTAGTTTATAGCTATGGTATAATCCATACCCCTTATGTAATAATATTACCAGTAGGTTTCTCTGTGTATTTCAAACAAATGGAAAGTTAGCTTGAGAACTTATAATATCATTACTCTTTACCATAAAATTGTTTATCTGTTTTTCTCCTACTAGGCTACAAGCTTGCTGAATTGATGGGATGCATTGTGTTCATTTCTGTATCCCCAGCAGTTATCATGGTGCTTGGTATAGAATAGATGCTCAACAAATGTTTTACCAATTTTAAGATGCACACATTTTTTATATTTTAACACTTCTCTCAAATTAGGATGCATCTTACAATTGATAGTGGCTTAAGTCACTGTCAGCCAGGTGTGAAAATCTTTAATTTATAACTCCTGATAAAAATCAAGAAAGCATCAACTTCACAGCATAGTCAATTTGATAACATATGGGTGATTAATAAATGATTAAAAGGTTAACTTCCTAGAGTTGTTTATTATAATATTGATTCAAACATATTTTAAAAGGGGATGTCATGAGTGTGACATTAGCATTTTGTAATTTCACAGCTTCATAAATTATACAGTTTAAATCAAAATCTACTTATTGTCATCCTTTTAACTAATTCAAACAAAAATGCAACTGTACAAATGGAACTTATTTTAACCAAATTGATTTCCTTTATTCTTTTTGTTACAATGTAATTAAGAAAGAGGCCCTTCTCTTGTTCTTTTCTTTTCTTTTTTTTTTTTTTTTTTTTTTTTTTTGAGACAGTCTTGCTCTGTCACCCAGGCTGGAGTGCAGTGGCACCATCTTGGTTCACTGCATGCAAGCTCTGCCTCCCGGGTTCATGCCATTCTGCTGCCTCAGCCTCCCGAGTAGCTGGGACTACAGGCACGTGCCACCACGTCCAGCTAATTTTTTGTATTTTTAGTAGAGGCGGGGTTTCACTGTGTTAGCCAGGATGGTCTTGATCTCCTGATCTTGTGATCCGCCCGCCTTGGCCTCCCAAAGTGCTGGGATTACAGGCATGAGCCACCGTGCCCGGCCATCATTTTTTATAATATGTTCAAAAGTACTAAGATGTGTTTCACATTAATTTGTGTTTTGTATTAACCCCATTGATATATATTGAGCACCTATACTCAGCACATAGTCTGCTAAAAGCCATGAAGGTAAAAGTTATTTTTCTATCCCCATGATTTCTGAGACCCTTAAGCCACAGGCAAAACTTCCACTAGGCAAATAGCATTTTGTGTCCCAAGCTTTGGTAAGTAACCTGCCACTACTCCTATTCCGTTTATGAATTTCAATCTACTTAGATGTGTATGCTGCCATTTCTCTGTTTCTTCACTTTTAAGCTTGGTTGTTTTAATAGGTGGGAGGCAAGGGACAGATTTTATTATAAACTCCATGACGATGTTTGTTTACTTTGGAAGGATTTGGAAGAAAGAGAACTAAGAGAATTTTTTAACAGCGTGTTTACATATTGTGCATAAAGTATTGAGATAAAAAGGAGAAAAAGTCTGATTTTAAAGCAACAATCCTCTTATTACATCAGATGATCAGAAATGCCAGCTTGAATTCTTCACTGCCCATTTCATCAGCTGCCATCATTATAGGCTTTAATATAATTCCAGTAGTCTGTAAATTTACACCAAGGCAACTCCTCATATCATACATAAAAAGAATATTCAAATGTGCCCACTCTTTTCCAATATTCTAGTAAAAATCAAGAATGCAATCCCATTTCCAATAGCCACACCAAAAAAATAAAATACCTAGAAATACATCTAACCAAGGAGGTGAAAGTTCTGTGCAAGAGGAACTACAAAACACTGCGAAAAGAAATCATAGATGATATAAACAAATGGAAAAACATTCCATGCTCAAGAATCGGAAGAATCAATATCATTAAAACAGCCACACTGCCAAAAGCAGTGTACAGGTTCCATATGATTCCTATCAAACAGCCAACGTCATTTTTCACAGAACTAGGAAAAACTATTCTAAAATTTATATAGAACCATAAAAGAGCCTGAATAACCTAAGCAATCTGAAGCAAAAAGAACAAAGCCGGAAGCTTCACATTACCTGATTTCAAACTATACTATAAGGCTACTGTGGCCAAAACAGCATGGTACTAGTACAAAAGAGACACATAGACCAATGGAATACAATAGAGAGCCAAGAAATAAAGCAGCACACATACAGCCATCTCATTTTCAATAAAAAATAAGCAATGGAGAAAGGACTCCCTATTCAATAAATGGTGCTGGGATAGCTGGCTAGCCATATGCAGAAGAATGAAACTGGACCCCTACCTTTCACCATATTAAAAATTAGCTCAAGATGGATTAAAGATTTCAATGTAAGACCTCAAACTATAAGAATTCTAGAAGAAAACCTAGGAAACACCATTCTAGACATTAGCCTTAGGAAAGAAGTTGTGACTAAGCCCTCAAAAGCAATTGCAACAAAAATAAAAATTGACAAGTGGAACCTAAATAAAGAGCTCCTGCACAGCAAAAGAAACTATCAACAGAGTAAACAGACAACTTACAGAATGGAAGAAAATATTCACAAAATATGCTTTTGACAAAGGTCTAAATATCCAGGCTCTATAAGAAACTTAATTCAACAAGCAGAAAACAAATAACCCCATTAAAAGTGGGCAAAAGACATGAACAGACATTTCTCAAAAGAAGATATACAAGTGGCCAACAAACACGTGAAAAAATGCTCCACATCACTAGTCATCAGAGAAATGCAAATCAAAACCACCAGAGATATCATCTCACACCAATCAGGATGGCTACTATTAAAAAGTCAAAAAATAACAAGATGCTGCCAAGGCTGAGGAGAAAAAGGAATGCTTATACCCAGCTGGTCGGAATATAAATTAGTGCAGCCACTGTGGAAAGCAGTTCTGAGATTTCTCAGAGAACTTAGGACTACCATTTCACCCAGCAATCCCATTACTGGGTATATATTCAAAAGAAAACAAATTGTTTTACCAAAAAGACACATGCACTCACATATTCATTGTAGCACTATTCACAATAGCAAAGTCATGGAATCAACATAGATGCCCGTCAATGGTGGATTGAATAAAGAAAATGTGGTACATATATACCATGGAATACTATGCAACCATAAAAAAGAATGAAATAATGTCCTCTGCAGCAACATAGATGCAGCTGGAGGCCATTATCCTAAGCAAACTAACACAGGAACAGAAAACCAAACCACATGTTCTCACTTATAAGTGGGAGCTAAACATCAAGTACTCACGGACATAAAGATGACAACAATGGACACTGGGGACTAACAAAAAGGGGAGAAAGGGAGGGGGAAAGGGTTGAAAGACTAACTGTTGGATACTATGCCCAGTACCTGGGTGATGGGATCATTCATACCCTAAACCTCGACATCACACCATATACCCAGGTAACAAATCTGCACATGTAGCTCCAAATCTAAAAAGTTGAAAAAGAAAAAACAATAGAACTATCAAATGATCCAGCAATTTCACTTCTGAGTATTTACCCAATAGAATTGAAATCAGGATCTCAAAGAGATACTTGCACTCCTGTATTCATGGCAGCATTATTTACAATAGCCACAACATGGAAGCAACTTAAATGTCCATTGATGGAATAATGGACATAGAAAATGTGGTTTATATACGAACAAGGGAATATTATTCAGCCTTCACAAGGAAGGAAATCCTGCCGTTTATGACACCATGGATGAACACTGAGGACATTATGCTAAGTGAAATAAACCAGACACAGAGGAAAAAATACTGTATGATACCACTTATGTGAGGAATCTAAAATAGTCAAATTTACCGAAGCAGAGAGTAGAATGGTGGTTTCCAGGGGCTGGAGAGATGGGGGGAAATGGAGATCATTAGTCAAAAGGTACAGATCTTCAACTGTACATGATAAATAAGTCCTAGGGATCTACCATATAGCATAGGGCCTATAGTTAGTGATACTGCGTTGTGTACTTAAAATTTTTCTGAGAGGGTAAATTTTATGTTAAGTGTTTTTGTCACAAAAAGAAGAGTGTGGGAGGAAACTTCAGAAGGTTATGAATATGTTTATGGCATAGATTGTGGTGATGGTTTCACAGATGTATACTGTACAGCTTTTATATGTCAATCATACCTCAACGTGGTTTAAAAGGAAAATAAATGATTCTACAAGTAAGATTGCCTAGGCTTCATAATCTTTCAAACACTCTTGTTACTTTAGTCTTGCTCCCTCCTCTTCTCCTTATTTTCTTCCTTTTACCTCTCAAAAAATTATCTAAATCCTTAGATAAGCAAAATCAGTATATTTCTGATTATTTCTGTAGGCATAAATATGATTGCTCTCATTTTTAAAAGCCTTCTCTTCCTAAGTTAATTTTCTTATTCATAACATTTTCTTAACATTATGCTCCACTCCATCATTTTCTTTTGCTTTTTCAAAATTAGTCTCAATATCATTATGTAGATCCTAAACACCATGCAATTTTTTAAATTAAATTTCAGACAGCTGTAAATTCTATTCTGTCTCACAAGGCACTGTGTCCTTTGGACCCCACAGGGATGCACAGTCCCTAGTCCCCTGACACGAGGGTCACAGGACCCAAACCTACAGGTGACCCTGACTCGACTAATCTCTGGAACTGCAGTATCTGGGACCTCACCTGAGCTGGTGTTTCTGCACAGAGATGCTAACTACAGAGTGGAGGCAGAGGCAGTGGGAAATCCCTCAAACATTGCCTACCACCCCTGTTCCTGAGCTGAATTTACCTCCCCTCCCTGAAGGTAGACATGTGCAATAGCAGCATGGAATTTAATATTTTGTTTGCCCTATAGAACATTTTTCTTACATTAAAAACTCATATTCTGGATATAATTTTAATCACATATCATCTCATAGTTGTTCTTCCTTTGTTTTTTGGTCGTTATCTTTCTTATAAGAAAAAATAATATTCTACTGGGCACAGTGGCTCATGCCTATAATCCCAGCACTTTGGGAGGCCGAGATGAGCAGATCACCTGAGGAAAAAGACCAGCCTGGCCAACATGGTGAAACCCTGTCTCTACTAAAAATACAAAAAAAATATTAGCCAGGCATGGTGGCACGTGTCTGTAGTCCCAGCTGCTCAGGAGGCTGAGGCAGGAGAGGTGTTTGAACCCAGGAGTTGAAGGCTGCAGTGAGCAGAGATCATGCCGCTGTGCTCCAGGCTGGGCAATAGAGTCAGACTCTGTCTCAAGAAAAAAAAAAAAGAAAAGAAAAGAGAGGAGAGGGGAGGGGAGGAGAGAAGAGGGGAAGGGAGGGGAGGGGGAAGGAAGGAAAGGGAAGGAAAGGAAGGAAGGAAAGGAAGGATGAGAGGGAGAGAGAGAGAGAGGAAGGGAGGGAGGGAGGGAGGGAAGGAAGGAAAGAGAAAGAGAGAAAGAAAAGAAAAGAAAAAAAAGAAAAGAAAAGTGAAGTTCCCTGGTCTAAAACAAGAATCTGGTAACTCTATTGCTAAAGATTTTCCTGAGCATCACATAGAATATATAATACAAGGAATAGAATGAAACTTTAAAATCCTATTCCTTCCTTCCTTTTAAAACGTGGTCTAAGAGTAGAAGGACTATGTATTATTAATTTGCAAAGTAACATATGATCACCAGTAAATATTGTAAATTAACTATGAATGGAGAATTCTACTTTTAAAGACCATGTATAAGACTATAATTCGTGGGGCCAAGCATGTTGACTCACACTAGTGATCCCAACACTTTGGGAGGCTGAGGGGGAGGATTGCATGAGCCCAGGAGTTCAAGACCACCCTAGGCAACATGAGGAGACTTTATCTCCACAAAAAATTACAAAATTAGCTGAGCATGGTGGCATTCACCTGTGGGCCCAGCTACTCCAGAGGCTGAGGTGGGAGGTTTGCTTGACCCTGGGAGGTCACTGCAGTGAGCCATTATCGCACCACTGCACTCCAGCCTGGGGGACAGAGTGAGAACCTGTCTAAAAAAAAAAAAAAAAGACTATAATTCATTACTTGTTAATAGTGTAGAAAGTTAAAATTTTATACTATGTTTATCTTAGTCTTTTTTCACTTTTATATATTTAAGCATCTACCATGTACCAGGAATATGCTTAGAGTGAATCAGGTATAGTTCATTTAAAACTTGGCCTTCGGCCGGGCACAGTGGCTCATGCCTATAATCCCAGCACTTTGGGAGGCCGAGGCGGGCGGATCACCAGGTCAGGAGATCGAGACCATCCTGGCTAACACAGTGAAACCCTGTATCTACTAAAAATACAAAAATTTAGCCGGGCGTGGTGGCGGGCGCCTGTAGTCTCAGCTACTCGGGAGGCTGAGGCAGGAGAATGGCATGAACCCAGGAGGCAGAGCTTGCAGTGAGCCGTGATGGCGCCACTGCACTCCAGCCTGGGTGACAGAGCGAGACTCCATCTCACAAAAAAAATAAATAAAATAAAAAATAAACTTGGCCTTCAGCATCACCTGGGATTTTGTTAAAAACGTAAATTCAGCTGGGTGCAGTGGCTCACACCTGTAGTTCCAGTGACTTGGAAGGCTGAGGCAGAAGAATTGCTTGTGCCCAGGAGTTGGAGGCCACCGTGAGCTGTAATGTGCTACTGCACTCTAGCCTGGGCAACAGAGCAAGACTCTGTCTCAGAAAAAAGATAAAGTAAATCCTCAAGCTAAGCATGGTGGCACACACCTGTAGTCTCTGCTACTTGGAAGGCTGAGGTGAGAGGATTTCTTGAGCCCAAGTTTGAGGCCAGCCTGGGCAACACAGAGAGACACCCATCTCTAAAAATAAATAAATAAGTGTAAATTCCTAGACTCCACCCCTGGTTTACTGAATCAAGAACTCTGGACATGGGGCCCAGCAATCAGTGGTTTAACAAGCTCTTCAAGCTAATCCTGATGTACCTTAAGGTTTAGAAACAGTGGTATACAAGAAACAAAAGCAGTTACATGCGATGTTGAAAGTGCCATAATAAAGATGTCTACAAAGACTATGGGAAAAGGAAGAAACAGCAAATAACTGTCTGGAAAAATTAAGGAAGGCTATACAGAAGAGGTAACATTTGAACCAACCTTGAGGGACAGTAGAGTTTTATTCTTTAACAACAAATCTTTAATGAGCACATGCTATCCTAGTCACTCGGCCAGACTGAGAAAGCTTAATAAACAATCATTTCATAAAACTCACTGAGCAATAATTCAGGGGCAGATTTACCAGGAAGCTCACCAAGCTGAAGCTTCAGGTTCCTACAATTGCCTGGGGCCCTTCCAATCCCGTTTATATTTTTGTAATCATAATTGTGTACTCTTTTTCTTACATTAGACCCCACATTGTATAAGCCTCAGGTTCCCACAAAACCTGAAACCACCTCGCTCTTGACATGTTTTGGGGTGGGAGGGATATAGTAAGGAAGCAAGCAAGACCTTCCAGCAAAGAAACCCATCCTGCCAGGGGATGGAGGCAGAGGGGGATGAGTCTGTCTGTGTGACTGGGAGAGGAGATGATGAAAAGGTGCATGACCAGAGAGCTCAGATGTGCTGTCCAGGAGTTTGGACTTTATCTTCTACTCGATGGATGACAGAGATTTTTCAGTAGGTGGCTGCATTTTAGAAAGATAACAGTAGGCCAGGCGAGGTAGTTCACGCCTGTAATCCCAGCACTTTGGGAGGCCGAGGTGGGCGGATCACCTAATGTCAGGAATTCAAGACCAGACTAACCAACATGGAGAAACCCTGTCTCTACTAAAAATACAAAAATTAGCTGGGCGTGGTGGCACATGCCTGTTCTCCCAGCTACTTGGGAAGCTGAGGCAGAATTGCTTGAACCCAGGGGGTGGAGTGCAGTGAGCCGAGATCACGCCATTGTACTCCAGCCTGTGTAACAAGAGCAAAACTCCATCTCAAAAAAAAAAAAAAAAAAAAAGTAACAGTAGCAACTGTGGAAAGAAACAGATTAATGAAAGACTAAAGCCAGGGACATGAGTCAGCAGCATAATGTAAGAGACCAGGAAGAAAACATTCAAGGTGTAGGTTCAGGCAATGGGGCTGAAGGTGAGGGACATTTCAGAGACAGAATCTACCTGAGAACCAATTGGAAGGTAGACCAGGAAGTAGCATTAAAAGTGGCCGTTAGATTTATAGTTTGGGTGCATTATAATGTGGATAACAAATCTCTTGACTCAAAGAAAAATATGGGAGGAGCATTGGGGTTTATGGAGAAATTAATGAGCTGTATTCTGGATAAGGTGAATTTTTCTACATTATTCTTCTGTCATTCTGAAAACATATATATGAAATTCTAATTTAACTACTTTTTGAAAAGAGCTGCTACACATTTGAAAGAAAAATCACTTCTACATAACCTGGTGCTTTATAATTATAAAATATCATTATTCCAAAAATCCTTATACTCTATAGTCATTAATTAAATTAAAATTTCTTTCTAAAAATATAAAATGGAATTTAAGTATACAGGCAAAAGTCTTTCTTGTTGATAAATTATGAATCAAACAGGCTTTAAAATAATTTGGCCTACTCTTTGATGGCCCCCCAAAAAAATGGATCTAAAATATCTGCAAATAGCTTCTAGGATGAAAAAGGGCAGAAGACTCCCCATGTATATCATTAAGTGAAAGGCAGCTGCGTGGGTAAGAAGGGGGAGTCGCAGTAAGCTCTGCTTGCATCCTGGTGGAAGTTGGGGATTAAGGGAAGAAAGTTTAAGTTGTACGAAAGATATATATATGGCAGAAGCAGCGAATTACATCTGCAATCCACATCAAAGAACAAGAAACAGATTTGGTGCCTTGATAAAATTATATGAATTAGACATTTAGCAAAGCGTAAAGCAGCATGATGTCTCAAGAAAAAGGTCATCTAAATGTCCCTGAAGGACTGTTCACTGAGATTATTCAGAAAGACTCAACTCCTCGAGGATATGGGACATCTGTTTTTGGTGCATGAGCTTTTACAGCGCCCATTAGACTTCATGACTTATTCATTGCCATTTAACAGGAAAACGATTGCCAGGGTGCCCCACTCCTAATTCAGTGCTCTGTTTGCTGGGTCATGACACTGCTGCACACAACAGAAAAAAGCAATGGGTGCTCCAGAGATGCCATGAAAGTCATCAGGTCAGCTTAGCATCCACGGAAGCGTTCCTTCCTGTAACAATGAATTGGTACACCTGGGATTCTGACAGTACACCCTGACCACATTTCTGCTCTTAGGATTAGGTAGGTGTAACCCCCTTTTCCTGGATTTATCTCAAACCTGATTAAAGTTAATTCTCCTGGTTCTCTGAGTTTTTTAATAATCCTGCAAGCTAAAGGTTATTTTAGATATTCATACAGTCATCACCTGCTCAATCAAATGGTCAGGAATTTTAAAAAATAATAGTGGAGGCTGGATGCCGTGGCTTATATCTATAATCCCAACACTTTGGGGGTCCTAGGCAGGAGGATCACTTGAGACCAGGAGTTCGAGACTAGCCTGGGCAACAGAGAAAGACTCTATCTCTACAAGAAAACATTTTTTTAATCAGCCAGGCATGGTGGTGTGCACCTGTAGTCTCAGCTACTCAAGAGGCTGAGTCAGGAGGATCACTTGAGTTTAGGAGTTGGAGGCTGCAGAGAGCTATGATCACACTACTGCACTCCAGCCTGGGCAACACAGCAAGACCCTGTCTCTTAAAAATAATAATAATAATAATAATAGTGGAGGGGGAAAAGGGAATTGTTGTTTGATGAGTATAAATGAAAAAGGTCTGGAGATGTGTTTCACAACAATGTGAACATATACATGTATAGTACTGAATTGTATACTGAAAATGGTCCATGGTAAAAATAACATTAGGGCAAAAGTTCTCATTATTTATCATGAATTTTGCCACAAGAAACCCCCAGGCCCTTAACGGATGCCTCAGAACCACAAGCTCTCCCAAGGAAATCTGTCTTCCCATTGCTATTTTTGTGTAGTTTCTGGTCTGATTGTTGAATCTTTAACTGTGTATTTGTCAAACAGAAATTGAGCAGTATGTTCAACCGACAGCATATAATCTGAAGCTATATTAAAAAGAATTATGTGTCTGCTGCTGTAAGAAGTTGTGTAATTCATAAACCAAGCCCCTTGATATCGTGCTGCAAAGCAAGGGTTAGTGATTCCAAAATCAAAGCCAAAAACTGTCTATTCTTCAGCATTCCTCATCACAGAGGAAAACAAAAACATAAGTGACTTGAAATAGCATGAAGATAGACAATCATTTCTATTTTGCTTGAGAATATAAGTGGCTTTGCTGTAATGCAGTATATGCATCCCAGAAAATCTTGTCTTCTATAACATTACACACTAAAAATAGCAGGGCTTTTGAGAAAAACTGGATTAGCCATAGACTACTCAAACCTGTGACAGAATACTAACAACAACAACAAGAAGAAATCCTAATAAAATACTAGCACAGTTTAAAAGGTGTGTCAAGTTCTTAACGAATACTACAAATACTAAATAATTAATATAGATATGGTTAATATAGGTTCTTATTCTAGTAAATAGCAGCAGTTTGATGGAAAGGGGTGATGGAGGGCTGAGGTCACTGAGCTTTGTAGAAACAAGGACAATATTCAGAAAGATCAGGGAAGACCAAGCAAAGGGGACTTCCAAGGCACAGCAGTGGCCAAGCTGAGCCTAGAGTGAGAATATGGGTTGAATAGGGATCAAGAACTGCCTGTCTTCCTCTGTGCCTTGCTTGGCTTTACTGCATCAGTACATCTTATGTTCAGCTGCTATTATCTGGCAGTGTAAAAGATTAATGTGCTGGGTGGATCATGTATGAACCAATGCAAATTTGATATCCTTTTGATATTACCCTAAATTACCAATCATGGCAAAGCTCCTTTGAATTACAGAAATACATATTCTACCAGAACAGATTGTACCTGCATTTGAACATTTTCTGAAAAAGCATGTGTACAGATTTGACTCACGACAAATTAGGAATCGACTCGGTTCCAATCCCTGCATGAGTACCTGTCCACAAATCCTTCTCTGCAGCCAAATAAGTGAATTTTCATCTAAAACTGGTGGAAGACTTAACCTTTCTCAAAGAGCCACTGAAACTGAGTAGCTGGTTTAGCGCTACTAAGAGCATCTGATATACAAAGTAAACAGAAAATTTCAGTGTCTTCAAAACTGTTGTAAAATTTGATGTTAATTTGTCAGTAATGACTACTGGAACAGAGCAGTCATTAAATGCAGAGGACTTTCATAAAGTGTGGTCCTCAGGCCAATGACTGCAGAGCTGCCTAGTGGACTTGTTAAAAAGGTAGATTCCTGTGGGCCCAACCCAGGGCCCTTGACATCAGGTTAGCTGGCAATAAGTAGGTAATAGGTGCCGAAATCTTAACTTTGTTGAGATACCCAAATGAGTCTGGTGCTCTCTAAAGTTTGAGAAGAAATATTATACTGGTTTCTTGCCAGATAATACAAATGGACATAGTGGATAATCGTTGTCTCATAAGATATTTTTCAGATCAACCCGGGCAAGATGCCCAAATAGGAACAGCTCTCGTCCGCAGCTCCCAGTGAGACCAATGCAGAAGGCAGGTGATTTCTGCATTTCCAACTGAGGTACCTGGTTCCTCTCATTGGGACTGGTTAGACAGAGGATGCAGCCCACAGAGGGCGAGCCAAAGCAGGGTGGGCTGTCGCCTCACCCAGGATGCACAAGGGATTCAGGAACTCCCTCCCCTAGCCAAGGGAAGCCCTGAGGGATCGTGCCATTGTAGCAGGACAAGCCGCAGACAAAACCCCTCAGACACCGAGTTAAAGAAGGGCTTTATTCAGCCGGGAGCTTCGGCAAGACTCACATCTCCAACAACCGAGCTCCCTGAGTGAGCAATTCCTGTCCCTTCTAAGGGCTCACAACTCTAAGGGGGTCCACAAGAGAGGATCGTGATCGATTGAGCAAGCAGGGGGTATGTGACTGGGGGCTGCATGCACCAGTAATCAGAACGGAACAGAACAGGACAGGGATCTTCACAGTGCTTTTTTTATGCAAACAACCGATTAGATCAGGGGTCGATCTTTAACTACCAGGCCCAGGTTGTAGTGCTGGGCTGTCTGCTTGTGGATTTCATTTCTGCCTTTTAGTTTTTACTTCTTTCTTTGGAGGCAGAAATTAGGCATAAGACAATATGAGGGGTAGTCTCCTCCCTTACCATGAGGGACTGTGCCGTGAGGGATGGTGCACTCCAGCCCAGATACTGTGCTTTCCCCATGGTCTTCGCAACCCACAGACCAGGAGATTCCCTCAGGTGCCTACATCACCAGGGCCGTGGGTTTCAAGCACAAAACTGGGTGGCCATTTGGGCAGACACCAAGCTAGCTGCAGGAGTTTTTTTTTTTCGTACCCAGTGGCACCTGGAATGCCAGTGAGACAGAAATGTTCCCAGTGGTGCCTGGAACACCAGTGAGACAGAAACATTCGCTCCCCAGAAAGAGGGCTGAAGCCAGGGAGCCAAGTGGTCTAGCTCAGTGGATCCCACCCCCATGGAGCCCAGCAAGCTAAGATCCACTGGCTTGAAATTCTCACTGCCAGCACAGCAGTCTGAAGTCAACCTGGGACACTGGAGCTTGGTCGGGGGAGGGGCGTCCACCATCACTGAGGCTTGAGTAGGTGGTTTTCCCTTCACAGTGTAAACAAAGCTGCCAGGAAGTTCGAACTGGGTGGAGCCCACCACAGCTCTGCAAAGCTGCTGTAGCCAGACTGCCTCTCTAGATTCCTCCTCTCTGGGCAGGGCATCTCTGAAAGAAAGGCTGCAGCCCCAGTAAGGGGCTTATAGATAAAACTCCCATCTCTCTGGGACAGAGCACCTGGAGGAAGGGGCGGCTGGCACAGCTTGAGGAGACTTAAACGTTCCTGCCTGCCAGCTCTGAAGAGAGAAGCAGATCTCCCAGCACAGCGCTTGAGCTCTGCTAAGGGACAGACTGCTTCCTCAGGTGGGTCCCTGACCCCCATGCCACCTGACTGGAAGACACCTCCCAGCAGGGTTTGACAGACACCTCATACAGGAGAGCTCTGGCTGGCATCTGGCAGGTGCTCCTCTAGAATGAAGCTTCCAGAGGAAGGAGTAGGTAGCAATCTTTGCTGTTCTGCAGCCTCCACTGGTGATACCCAGAGAAACAGGGTCTGGAGTGGATCTCCAGCAAACTCCAGCAGACCTGCAGAAGAGGGACCTGACTGTTGGGGAAAAAACTAACAAACAAAAAGCAATAGCATCAACATCAAGAAAAAGGACACCCACGAAAAAAAAAACCATCCAAAGGTCACCAACATCAAAGACCAAAGGTAGATAAATCCACGAGAATGAGGAAAAACCAGCACAAAAAAAGCTGAAAATTCCAAAAACCAGAATGCCTCTTCTCCTCCAAAGAATCACAACTCCTCACCAGCAAGGGAACAAAACTGGATGGAGAATGAGTCTGATGAATTGGCAGAAGTAGGCTTCAGAAGGTGGGTAATAACAAACTCCTCCAAGCTAAAGGAGTGTGTTCTAACCCAATGCAAGGAAGCTAAGAACCTTGATAAAAAGTTACAGGAACTGCTAACTAGAATAACCAGTTTAGAGAAGAACGTAAATGACCTGATGGAGTTGAAAAACACAGCACAAGAACTTTGTGAAGCATGCAAAACTATCAATAGCTGAATTGATCAAGCAAAAGAAAGGATACCAGAGATTGAAGATCAACTTAATGAAATAAAGCACGAAGACAACATTACAGAAAAAAAGAATGAAAAAGAACGAACAAAGCCTCCAAGAAATATGGAACTATGTGAAAAGACCAAACCTACATTTGATTGGCATACCTGAAAGTGACGGGGAGAATTGAACCAAGTTGGAAAACACTCTTCAGGATATTATCCAGGAGAACTTCCCCAACCTAGCAAGATAGGCCAACATTGAAATTCAGGAAATGCAGAGAACACCACAAAGATACTCCTTGAGAAGAGCTACCCCAAGACACATAATTGTCAGATTCACCAAGGTTGAAATCAAGGAAAAATGTTAAGGGCAGCCAGACAGAAAGATCGAGTTACCCACAAAGGGAAGCCCATCAGACTAAGAGCGGATGTCTTTGCAGAAACCCTACAAGCCAAAAGAGACTGGAGGCCAATATTCAACGTTCTTAAAGAAAAGAATTTTCAACCCAGGATTTCATATCCAGCCAAACTAAGCTTCATAAGTGAAGGAGAAATAAAATCCTTTACAGACAAGTAAACTCTGGGCACTTTGTCACCACCAGGCCTACCTTACAAGAGCTCCTGAAGGAAGAACTAAATATGGAAAGGAAAAACCAGTACCAGCCACTGCAAAAGCATACCAAAATGTAAAGACCATCAACATTATGAAGAAACTGCATCAACTAATGGGCAAAATAACCAGCTAGCATCATAATGACAGGATCAAATTCACACATAACATCATTAATCATAAATGTAAATGGGTTAAATGCCCCATTAAAAGACACAGACTGGGCCGGGCGTGGTGGCTCATGCCTGTAATCCCAGCACTTGGGGAGTCCAAGGCAGGCAGATCATGAGGTCAGGAGATCAAGACCATCCTGGCTAACACGGTGAAACCATATCTCTACTAAAAATACAAAAAATTAGCCGGGCATAGTGGCAGGCACCTGTAGTCCCAGCTACTCGGGAGGCTGAGGCAGGAGAATGGCATGAACCTGAGAGGCGGTGCTTGCAGTGAGCCGAGATCACACCACTGCACTCCAGCCTCGGCAACAGAGCAAGACTCCGTCAAGAAAAAAAAGACACAGACTGACAAATTGGATAAAGACTCAAGACCCATTGGTGTGCTGTATTCAGGCGACCCATCTCATGTGCAAAGATACACACAGGCTCCAAATAAAGGGATGCAGGAATGTTTACCAACCAAATGGAAAGCAAAAAAAAAAAAAAAAAAAAACAGGGGTTGCAATCCTAGTCTCTGATAAAACAGACTTCACACCAATAAAGATCAAAAGAGACAAAGATGGGCATCACGTAATGATAAAGGGATCAATACAACAAGAAGAGCTAAATATCCTAAATATATATGCACCCAATACAGGAGCACCCAGATTCATAAAGCAAGTTCTTAGAGACCTACAAAGAAACTTAGACGCCCACACATTAATAGTGGGAGACTTTAACACCCCACTGTCAATATTAGACAGATCAACAAGACAGAAAATTAATAAGGATATTCAGGATTTGAACTCAACTCTGGACAAAGCAGACCTAATAGACATCTACAGAACTCTCCACCATGAATTGACAGAATATACATTCTTCTCAGCACCACGTCACATTTATTCTAAAATTGACCACATAATTGGAAGTAAAACATTCCTCAGCAAATGCAAAAGAACAGAAATCATAACAAACAGTCTCTCAGACCACAGTGCAATCAAATTAGAACTCAGGATTAAGAAACTCACTCAAAACTACACAACTCCATGGGAACTAAACAGCCTGCTTCTGAATGACTACGGGTAAATAACGAAATTAAGGCAGAAATAAATAAGTTCTTTGAAACCAATGAGAACAAAGACACAACGTACTAGAATCTTTGGGACACCGCTAAAGCAGTGTTTAGAGGGAAATTTATAACACTAATGTCCATAAGAGAAAGTGGGAAAGATCTAAATTCAACACCCTAACATCACAATTAAAAGAACTAGAGAAGCAAGAGCAAACATGTTCAAAAGCTAGCAGAAGACAAGGAATAACTAAGATCAGAGCAGAATTGAAGGAGATAGAGATATGAAAAATCCTTCAAAAAATCAATGAATCCAGGAGCTGGTTTTTTGAAAAGATTAACAAAATAGACCACTAGACAGGCTAATAAGAAAAAAGAGAAGAATCAAATAGATGCAATAAAAAAATGACAAAGGGGATATCACCACTGATCCCACACAAATACAAACTACCATCAGAGAATACTATAAACACCTCTACGCAAATAAGCTAGAAAATCTACAAGAAATGGATAAATTCTGGACACATACACCCTCCCAAGACTAAACCAGGAAGAAGTCAAATGCCTAAATAGACCAATAACAAGTTCTGAAATTGAGGCAGTAATTAATAGGCTACTAACCAAAGAAACCCCAGGACCAAACAGATTCACCCCAAATTCTACCAGAGATACAAACAGGAGCTGGTACCATTCCTTCTGAAACTATTCCAAACAATAGAAAAAGAGAGACTCCTCTCTAACTCATTTTATGAGGCCAGCATCATCCTAATACCAAAACCTGGCAGAGTCACAACAAAAAAAGAAAATTTCAGGTCAATATCCCTGATGAACATCGATGTGAAAATCCTCAATAAAATACAGGCAAACAGAATCCAGCAGCACATCAAAAAGCTTGTCCACCATGATCAAGTCGGCTTCATCCCTGGGATGCAAGTCTGGTTTAACATACACAAATCAACAAATGTAATTCATCACATAAACAGAAACAATGACAAAAACCACACGATTATCTCAATAAATGCAGAAAACTCCTTCAATAAAATTCAATGCCCCTTCATGCTAAAAACACTCAATAAACTAGGTATTGATGGAGCGTATCTCAAAATAATAAGAGCTATTTATGACAAACCCACAGCCAATATGATACTGAATGGGCAAAAACTGGAAGCATTCCCTTTGAAAACCGGCATGAGACAAGGATGCCCTCTCATCAATCCTATTCAACATAGTATTGGAAGTTCTAGCCAGGGCAACCAGGCAAGAGAAAGAAATAAATGGTATTCAAATAGGAAGAGAGGAAGTCAAATTGTCTCTGTTTGCAGATGACATGATTGCATATTTAGAAAATCCCATCGTCTCAGCCCAAAAACTCCTTAAGCTGATAAGCAACTTCGGCAAAGTCTCAGGATACAAAATCAATGTGCAAAAATCACAAGCATTCCTATACACCAATAATAGACCAACAGAGAGCCAAATCATGAGTGAACTCCCATTCACAATTGCTACAAAGAGAATAAAATACCTAGGAATCCAACTTACAAGGGATGTGAAGGACCTCTTCAAGGAGAACTGCAAACCAATGCTCAAGGAAATAAGAAAGGACACAAACAAATGGAAAAAGATTCCATGCTCATGGATAGGAAGAATCAATATCGTGAAAATAGCCATACTTCCAGAAGTAATGTATAGATTCAATGCTATTCCCATCAAGCTACCGTTGACTTTCTTCACAGAATTAGATAAAACTACTTTAAATTTCATATGGAACCAAAAAAGAGCCCACACAACCAAGACAATCCTAAGCAAAAACAACAAAGCTGGAGGCATCACGCTACCTGACTTCAAACCATACTACAAGGCTACAGTAGTATGGTACTGGTACCAAAACAGATATATAGACCAATGGAACAGTACAGAGGCCTCAGAAATAACACCACACATCTACAACCAACTGATCTTTGGCAAACTGACAAAAACAAGCAATGGGGAAAGGATTCCCTATTTAATAAATGGTGTTGGGAAAACTGCCTAGCCATATGCAGAAAACTGAAACTGGACCCTTTCCTTACACTTTATACAAAAATTAACTCAGGATGGATTAAAGATTTAAATGTAAGACCTAAAACCATAAAAACCCTAGAAGAAAACCTAGGCAATACCATTCAGGACATAGGCGTGGGCAAATACTTCATGACTAAAACACCAAAATTAATTGCAACAAAAGCCAAAATTGACAAATGGGATCTAATTAAACTGAAGAGCTTCTGCACAGCAAAAGAAACTATCATCAGAATGAACAGGCAACCTACAGAATGGGAGAAAATTTTTGCAATCTATCCATCTGACAGAGAGCTAATATCCAGAATCTACAAAGAACTTAAAAAAATTTACAAGAAAAACAACCCCATCCAAAAGTGGGCAAAGGATATGAACAGATACTTCTCAATAGAAGACATTTATGCAGCCAACAAACATATGAAAAAAGCTCATCTCATCATCACTGGTCATCAGAGAAATGCAAATCAAAACCACAATGAGATACCATCTCACACCAGTTAGAATGGTGATCATTGAAAAGTCAAGAAACAACAGATGCTGGAGAGGATGTGGAGAAATGGGAACGCTTTTACACTATTGGTGGAAGTGTAAATTAGTTCAATCATTGTGAAAGACAGTGTGGTGATTCCTCAAGGATCTAGAACCAGGAATACCATTTGACCCAGCAATTCCATTACTGGGTATATACCCAAAGGATTATAAATCATTCTACTATAAAGACACATGCACACGTATGTTTATTGCAGCACTATTCCCAATAGCAACCCAACCAACCCAAATGCCCATCAGTGATAGACTGGATAAAGAAAATGTGGCACATATACACCATGGAATACTATGCAGCCATGAAAAAGAATGATTTCATGTCCTTTGCAGGGAGATGGATTAAGCTGGAAACCATCATTCTCAGCAGTCTAACGCAGGAACAGAAAACCAAACACCACATGTTCATAAGTGGGAGTTGAATAATGAAAGCATATGGGCACAAGGCGGGGAACATCACACACCAGGGCCTGTCGGGGGGTGGGGGGCAAGGGGAGGGACAGCATTTAGAGAAATACCTAATATAGATGACGGGTTGATGGGTGCAGGAAACCACCATGGCACGTGTATACCTATGTAACAAACCTGCACGTTCTGCACACGTTATCTTAGAACTTAAAGTATAATTTTTTAAAAAAAAAAGATATTTTTCAAAGCATGTGCTACTAATATCTGATACAACCTCATAACAGGCACTGGATAAGGGGAAGGCAGTGCAAGAACAGACTTAGACAAGCACTGCCTGATACTGCCAAAGGATATTACACATGAGATATTAACCTTCAATGTGCATCTATTCTATGAGTGGACATACAGGAAAGTACAGGTTATTCACATCTTGGATATAGATAGGTTGATAACCAATTTACAACAGTTGGGAGGTATCAGGAAAAGAACTGTATATGTACTTTAAACCTACATGTACCTGTATAGCTAGAACAGTTTCATAAATATTGAACCACTTGCCTACTGGATGGTGATTAGCCACTGGCCCTGCCACCTTGATCCCTTCTCTGAGCTCTCCCACCAAGAGCTAAAAGCCCAGAACACAAGGGGCTTCCACAACCCTATCCCAGGCCATGGCCAGCATGTGCTGTGATTGGACAGTATCCATGACATATTCATTATTTTTTAAAATATCCTCCTTACTCATGAGATCCCTGAAGAATACCTATGTGCAAGGTCCTTGAGCCTGGCAGGACCTTCACTCTGTGCACATGATGTCATTGGCAGCTTTCCATTCCAAGGGGAACATTGGGGAATCTACAAGCTTCAGCCTCCAGCAGAGAGCATGCTCTGTTCTCTTCTGGTCCCTGTAGCCATCTCTGCCCAGAGAAACCTGAATTCCTTACCATTCAAGAACTGTTTTGTCTTTACCTATTGGCACCTTTTCGTCAACCACATCATTTTCCTACTGTGGCTTGCCCTACATAGGATGAGACCTACTTGATGGGGAAAAGACTGATAAACTTCTTTAAGACAGAGTAAAACCCTTCAGGCTTTGGTACCCTGGGCCAGTGCTTCAGAGTAAGAAGGGAAACATTCTACTTAGGAAGGGAGTGAGGAGTTGAGGTTCCCTGGGAAAAATCCCAGAAAGATCAAGGAGCAGAAGAGGGATTTGGAAGAACACTATTGAAAGAGGTTTGTTTGCCATGAAGAATGCAACATAAATGCCTTCTTTTCTCTTTATAAATCTTTTACTGAATAGTAAAGTCTATATTGCTCACTAATGCTTGTGCAATAAACTTAGTTCTGCAATCAGAGCAGGTACCAGTGAAAAGCAGAGGCTATCTGTGTGGATACTATAGCAACTGGGAGATGATAGGACAGCTGATATCCGAACTATAGTGCCCGAATTCATTTAGAAATTCACTCATTCATTAGTTATTTGTTTATAACTTTCTCATACTATCAGGAGATAAAGTCATGCCAATCAGTCTATAGCATCAAGAATGAATGTTCTTTGTTATATAAAAATCTTAATCAGCTGAACATGTGGGAATTTTTAATCTCTTAACAGTTAACAATTATCAATCTAAAATAACTGTACTTGCCTCTGAGTGTGTGCAATCATCCTCATTCTACCCTTCTTACGGCCACAGCAATTCAGCCATTTCCTTGTCCCAGGCAGATGATGATCTGACTCCAGGATATAGATATGGAGGTGAGATTGTGAGGGCAAAATGTCCCTCTGCTGTCCCATTCCAGATGTGCTAAATTCCATGATTGAGTGGTTTTTCTTCCAGTTAAACTAGAAACAAGAGTAACAAAGGACGATTTTATTACTTCCTGAAGAAAATCTTACCTATACAATGCCTGATTCCTAGTGAGCCTGGAATAAGTCCTTGTTTGGCTAGAAAGAGTATTCAAGAGGGCTGGCACTTATATTTACAAGTATACATCTAAAACACCCACGACGTTTATTGTACTTAGCCTCAAAAACTTTCAAATGTCCCTTGCCTTGTTCTAATCAATGCCCATCTTTCTTCACTCATGAAATTTATAAATAAAAAGAGCAATAAAAGGTGAATTTTGTGATACCCATTTGGCAACCACCAGATATTGGAAGGGGTGTAGTAAATTATTAATATAATGACAGCCAACTTTGTAGGTTATATTTTGGTAAATTATGTTTTCCTAGGAAATTATTCCTTTCATTTACATTTTTTGTTGTTGTTTGTTTGTTTGTTGACACAGGGTCTTGGTCTGTTGCCCAGGCTGGAGTGCTCACTGCAGCCTTGAACTCCCAGAGACAAGCGATCCTCCCACCTCTCAGCCTCCCAAGTAGCTGGGTCTACAGATACTCGCCACCACGCCTGGCTAATTTTCGTATTTTTTGTTTTGTAGAGATAGGGTTTTGCCATGTTTCTCAGGCTGGTCTCAAACTCCTGGGCTCAAGTAATTGCCTGCCTCAGCCTCCCAAATTGTTGGGACTACAGATGTGAGCCATTGCACCTGGTCATTTAAGTTTTCAATTACACCGGCTTAAGGTCATTTATGGTATTCTCTATTTTTTTTATTTGATGAATCTACATTTATGTCACTTTCTTATTGCTAACATCGGTCATTTCAATCTTCATTCTTTTGTCCTTAAGCAGATTTGCTAACAATTTTTCTATTTTAAATATACTTCAGAAACCAATTTTTTTGTTTGGTTGGTCCATACTAACACTTTTATTTTCTATTTCATCAATTTATCCTCTCATCTT
Source organism: Homo sapiens (assembly GCF_000001405.40). Lineage (NCBI taxonomy): Eukaryota > Metazoa > Chordata > Mammalia > Primates > Hominidae > Homo > Homo sapiens. The sequence goes on along the minus strand of NC_000008.11, from coordinate 67,532,147 downwards.
TATTATGACTTGCCTTCTACTTCTTTATTTTTTTTACTTTTTTGTAGTTGTTCTTTTTCTAATTTCTTGGTTTAGACATACAATTCATCAAGTTTTCGTATTTACCCTTTTGCAGCATTTAAGGTCAGGAATGTCTCTCTTTGAAATGTTACATTTAATTGTGATTTGGGTCTAATTTCTCTACACTGACTTCTTTAATCTGCAAGTTATTTAAAAGTCTGTTTTTAATTTCTAAATATAGATAGTTTTGTCATTGATTTCTAAATTTAATTACATTGTAATCAGAGATCATTTGACATCAATTCTCTGACATTTGTTGAAGCTTGTTTTGTAACCTCGTATTGGGTCAATTTTTGTAAGCATTCTATGTATGCTTGGGAAGAAAGTCTGTTTAGACTTTCAGTTGCTGAGATGTAATTGAATATTTATCATTTACAATCCTTATGATATTGTCCATTTTGCCATATATATTTTGATGCTGTTGTATCAATGTTGGATGCATTCAGATTATTAGTATTTACATCTTCCTGGTAAATTGAGTGGTTTGTCAGTGTATATAAATGTACATAGGAGCATACATATGTATATACGTATACATTTATATTCATATATGTTCACTGTATATAGCGATATATACTGCTATATTATTCTTAAAAATGGTTTTGCCCTAACGTTTTGCTGCTATTAATATAGCTGCACCAGCTTTTTTCTTTAGTATTTGAATGATTTATATTTTTTCATTATTTAATTTTCAACCATTCTAGTTTTATGTGTCTCTGGTAACCAGCATGTAAGAGGATATTTTTATTCAACATACATGTTATTTTACCTAGATAATGTAATCCCTGTTTATTTACTGTGCTTACTGATATATCTCCTCATTTCTTTTTGATGCTTTTTTCTTTTCTGCTTTCTAGATACCTTACATCCCTTTAAGTCCCTTTACCCTTCCCCTGTTGATAATATAATTGTCTTCAATATTTTATCTACATACATTGAGAACTACATCAAAATATCTTCAACTATTCCAAGATTTCCTCATTTCCTTTTTGTTTTGGAAACTTCCTCTAGCCATTTTTTAAGATACCATAAAACTAGTATCTGAAAATCTCAGGTTTATAATCCTGCTATGTGTTGAATCTGTTAGCTTTCACGTATAGTGGCTTGAATGCTCATGTGTTTTGTAATTTTTTATCACAAACTCTTCTTTTGCAAGGTTAGATATAAGAACTATGAGCACCCTGGCTTGAGGGTGTATCTTTCTCTATCTGGAGAGGTTTTGCATTTATTACTACAAAGTTCTTCCTTATCAAATTTTCCTGGTGTGTAGACTTTTTTCCCATCCCCACTCTTTAGCTGAGGCTATTGCCCTTTGAAGGTTCTAGTTTTATGCTAGAATGGCAGTTCCAACTACCAACTTTGGGCCCCAAATCTTGATCCTGTTCCTTGTGTAGTTATAACAGACATCTACAACTTTTAACCAGGACTGCCAGCGTATCACCTCACATGCTTACAGCTCTAGTTGGCGTTTTCTTCATTTCAGACTCCTGGGGGGTTTCCTTGTATTTCTGGGCACTCCACTCTACTGTCAAAGGGGTGTTTGCTGTATTTTATTCAGCATTTTCTAGCTATATTGGAGTGGGGAGTGTTCCAGTTATCTAGTTCTCTGTATTACTAGAAACGTAAGTCCCAGGACTAGTTTGTCGTTACTCCTCTGAAATCTTATGATGATGTAATTTGGTCTGGGTCTATTTTCATTCACTGTGAACTCAACAGCCCCTTTCAATTTGGAAATTCATGTTTTTCAGTTCTGAAAATTTTTCTTGTATTAATTTTCTGATTATGTCCTCCCTTCTACTTTTTCTGTTCTATCTGTATGATTTTTTTAATTTATCAGATGTGGGACTGCATGCCTTATTTTTTTTTTTTTCCTGTCTTTTTACCATTTTGTTCTACTCTCTGGGAAATGTCCTCAACTTTGTTTTCCAATTATTGTATGGATTTTAAATTTCTGCTCTTTTAAATTTTCTAATTGTTCCTTTATTAAAGCATTCTGCTCTTGTTTCTTGAACATATCCTCTCTTACCTGAGAAACATCAATTGCACTTATTAATTATAGTTTCTTTAAAAATCATCTTCTGCTCTCTGGCATGAATTATGTCTATTTCCACAAAACTCTTTTCTGTTTTCTGGTGCCTCTGTCTCTGGTTGGAAGATTTTAGGGAATATCTGGTGAGTCTTGACTGCCCATTCATAGTAAGAGTTGGGCATTAAAAAGCTGATAGGAAGACTGGCATACATGGCTAGAACTTGTCAAAGAGTGGACTTCTTGGGGTATGATTGGATCATTGGGCCACCCCCGTGACACTATTGAGTTATTTTTCTTCTTTGAGGGGAGGTATTTTCTCCAATTTCCTACCTGGAGTGTATATCCCTGGCTTTCATGTCCTTGCTTTGGGTGAGAAAAGTAGCCAATCAGTGTGTTCGTTTTCACTTGACCTACTTATTTTCTATCCAATATATCCCAGCCTCTTCTGTGTCCTGTGTCACTACTTAAAAATCCCTCTGTTTTAATTTCTCCAGAAAACATATTTGTCTGGGGATATTGGAGGGCCCATTATCTAAGAGTGGGGTTGGAACATAGAGAATTTAGAGTCCTCACTCAGATTTTCATATTGTCTCTATATTTTCTTATTACCTTCCATACTCCTCAGTGGTACTGATTCCTGAGCCTGTGTAGGGCTTCTGTGAAGCTAATCAACTTGCTTTTCTTTGATATCCCACCTCTCATCTCTCCCTGGTTAGGTTTAAATTCTCTGTGATCAGCCAAGTCATTTCTAATTTCCTATTTGCTTTTTATCTTTACATTTTATTGCTCAGGTCTACAGCTTGTTTAATCAAAGATAAAGTGAGCATTTCTGTTTTGAGGTCTCCTTGTTATTTTGGAAGCAAGATGGCATTCTCCTTATTCCAACATTTTTTTTTAAATAGGAAGTTCTGTCTGTAGATAAGAACATCAAGTTGGGATCCATTAAGTAGAAGTTGGTTAAAAGAACTTCTGTACTTACAACTCTCCAAATCATGAGCATGCTCTTGTAGGGTCAAATAAAAAACAAATCTGGACTTATGTAAGGTGAGACTATTGAAAAGGATTATTGCAAGAGAGGGGAATAGTCTTTCTCCACTCTTGCAATAATCCTTTTCAATAGTCTCTCCTTAGACTTTTCAATAGTCTCTCCTGTCCTTGGCAGAACATACCAACATTAAGATCTACATATCTTAAAGATCAGGCAGAAAAGTGACTTTATTAGGAAAGAATAATAAAGCTAGAAAGTGCCAGATGTCGTGAAGTGGGATGAACAAGTGGCGGTGGTTTTATTGGACAGTGGATCAAAAATATTTTACCCTGAGGTCAGCTGACACTCAGGATGGGGCATTACAGAGAGGCTGAAATGCCAGCTCAGACTGAGGATGGGTAAAAATTGAGGGATGTGGAGGAAGGAGAGAAGCTTAACTCAAGTTTGGTCAAGTCGTGGTAGTATTATCCAGACTGGTTTATGAGGCAAAGAATGGGAATCTGGAGGGTCTATGTCTAGACTGGTCATAGGAAAACAAGGCAGGAATCAGCAGTCTTATCTGAGTCCTAGGGGAAATGATGGCCCCCCGCAGAAAGCCATTTCTGGGACACAGTGGAGTAGTGGAATTTATATAACTGCCTTTGTCTTTTAGGATCACAGGGCTCAGGTAAACGCCAACATTCCCAGTCCATTCTCTCTCTCTGCTCTTCTATCCCTGACCCAACCAGCCTCTGCATGGAAGCCTCTGAATGGAGCCTCTCACTCCCACTCCCTTCACATTTGCCTGGCCAACTCCTGCTCATCATTTGGTAATATGCATAGGCAACCCCTCTCCTGGGAAGGTGTCCCAAACTACCTCTCAAAATATGTCTGAACAGTAGTGTGTCCTCTCTGTAGGTTAATCACACTGCACGTCATATCTGCTTAGTCCTTGAGGACAGAGCTCTGTCTTGCTCATTGTTGTACCCTCAGCACTTAGCTCAATGGCTGAAATTCTGCAGGCTTTCGGTAAACAGTGAATAAAAGCATGTTGGGGGAGGTGGGGGAGTTACCAAAGCTGTGACTTTTGGAAATCAGCCTGTTCTCACAGACAGCTGAGAGACAGAACCATCTCCGGATCCTCCGCACATTCACAGAGTGATGATTCAGCGGCTTGATCAACCAGCCCTCTACCCTGGGGATTCTTCACTGGCTTTTCACATCAGCTGACAATTAATGTGAAGGAAAATGGAAGAAAAAACAATGTACTGATTTCCATTTCATCTTCTTAGCTGTTATGAAAAAGTTCTTTCAGCACATGGGTTGAAATTAACTTTTTAAAAATGGAATAGTTATCTGGTTTAATATAACTGATCACTGAATGATGATACTTGGGCTATATTATTGAGAGCCTTTTTTCTGATCTTCAAAGTAGGGAGAAAAATATGGGTGAACTTGAGAAATATTTTCCAAGGGAAATGTAAACTTTTACACTCAAAAAAGCACATTAAGTCTAGCATGATTATAGAGTTTAAGGAGTACATGGGAATCAGGTAGTTCAGTTCAACCCCTTTATTTGTAATTAAGAAAATTAAGGCTCTGAGATGTGACATATCAACATTTATATAGAACCAGGAAGAAACTATGTCTTTCATTTCCCAAGTTGGGAATCTTTTTTCACTAAACCAAAGATGAGCTTTATGTGATTTTTTTGGTTAATACACAGAAGAATTCTTAAGCCGACATCTGAAAGAGGAAATGCATAACAAAATCTAAAGTAATTCAGGTTTTCATTTCATCAAATATTAGACCCCAGAAAAGGGTCAGAATTTTTAAATGTAAATGCAATATCATACTGTTGTTGAGAACACCAAATGGAATACTTCTGAATGTAGTGATCAAATATCATGGAGAGGTCATCAGTGTTAAAATTATAAGTCATCAAAAGACAGTAGAGGAAAATCTCTATTACTTGGTGAGATACAGCCCAGGGGCTCTTGTCTTCCAATGTACTTCTTAATGGGTCATGCCAGGTGATCTCTGATTATTTCCATCCATTCTACCTCGGAGCCAGGCTGAAAATGCTAACTCGAATTTCAGGTAGAGGATTATTTTAAGCTAGCAAAACGTAGTGAAATATTTTTTCCCTTATCTAATAGGTTTCTTGGGGGGCTGCTAAGTTCTCAAAACCTCTAACGTAGGAGTCAGAAACCTTTCGTTAGTACTTATAAGTCATCTAATGTTCACTCAGAGGGCAGGAACTAAGGTGGTATTGGCTCTTTTATATGAAAAGGGTAGTGGTGTGTTGATGCTACAGAAAAATGCAGGGTGCCAAAGTCAGGAGTCACTGGGTTCATAATTTCTCCTGGGTGGACCAGCACAGGCCTGCATCTTCCTCTCATAGCCTCTAAATCACCTCCCAACCACCTGGCCTGATAGTGCTGGGAGTTCCCACCCATCCTCTGTGATACCATTAACTGTCACACAACCTCAGGAGAATGGTGGTTACCCTGAAAAAAGGAAGAGCCAGCCTGGCATTAACATCTGAACTTTGGTACTCCTAGGAGGTAGCCCAGCTCCCACAGCAAGACTATAATGTTCCTCTGTTGAACATAAACCATTTCACAGAACACCAAGATTAGACAGGTCCACCCTATGTTCACCATGAAATAAGATAAGAACAAGACCATTGTGATCATGTCTAAACACAGACCATGAAAGAAAAAAAACATGTCTATTTCAGAAAAATCACCAAGCTTATCCCTTTTCTGGCTAATGTCAGTGACCACTGCTTCTTTACCAATTACAGTTTTAGACCCATTTTGTTTCTCCCACCTTCTAGATAAAATTATTAAAATATCAAATGACAGAATTACTCTCCTTCCTCACAGCATTCAGTCCACAGAAAAACCTCAGTTCCTTAAACCCTCCACAAATGTCCTAAAGCAAATCCAAATTCCATAATAAGTCGTTTCTAAGTCTCTCTCACTGAGATTGCCTGTCGTTTCCCATGTTGTGTTGCTCCCACTTGTTGCAACAAGCTAATGAGCGAGGCGAGGGGGAAGGGGGTTGCATAAATTTAAGGTGTACAATTACAGTTTTGTTACATGGATATATTGCATTGTGGTGATATCTGGGCTTTCAGTGTTACCATCACCCAAATAATATGCATTGTACCCATTAAGTAATTTCTCATGCCTCACCCCACCACCCCTCTGCTTTTGCGGGTCTCCAATGCCTATTATTTCACACTCATGTTCTGTGTACACGTTATTTAGCTCCCAATTATAAGTGAGAACATGCAATATTTAACTTTCTGTTTGAGATGTTTCATTTAAGATAATGACCTGTCTTGACAGTCTTTGATTGATGGGCCTCAACAATCATTTCAGGTTGGTGATGTATCAATTGGTAGTTCAGGGAAATATTAAGAATCTTTTTCTTTTCCAACACATGCGCTTTGTTTTGATAAATGAGAGATGCTATCCCATTATGGCAATCAGCATTCAGCCTTGAAGAGAATTAAGGGGAAAACTTGGACACCAAAATAGAGTTTTACCAGAACTTCTTCCTTTACTAATGCTGTAGTAATAATGCTTGACTTATAACTAGTACTCAGGCTGGTGGCATTAATTTCTATTATATTGAAATTTATATTCTTAAGCAATGCTTTCATTTGGACTGGTCTAATTTTATTTCACTGTTGGGCCCCCACCAATTTTTATTATTATTTCAACGCCTAATTAGTTGTTAGTTGATATATTTTCATTTTTCTTTAATGACAAAACAACTAGAGCTTTAGTTTGCCTAAATTTCCAGGGTCTTTTGTTGGAATTATTGGGACTATGCTTTAGGAAAGTGATAAATTGCAAATTACTTCTGTGGTTGGAAAGAAAGGATGGGCCTATGTAAAATTAGTCCCAGAATTTCAACAACCTAACCTGAACCTTTGGTTCACAGAAGACCATAATCTTTGGCCAAGTTTCCCTGTCAGCAGCCCACCAATATTTGAAATGTTGGCAAGTCATAAGTAGAGCAAGGAAAAATAATACAGTGAAAAGTAAGCATTTCTTTAACTGTGTGACTACGGTGGCTGTTACAGTCATCAGAAAACAATATAGTACTGTAACCTATGAAGCAGTATAGTCTAGGATTATACCTAAATGTAATAAAACTTCAAAATTAAGGACATGTAAGTTGAGAAATGGGATGAGTGGACAAAATTCAAGTGGACTACCTTGTCAATTCCATGGTAAGGGGAAATAGGATTCAGAATCTAGAAATGCTCTAGAGAAATCTTGGAGAGAGGATATATTTAAAGAAAATATATCAGTCCCTACTGTCACAGAGAATGGGGGAAACAAATATTAACATTACAATTGTAGTAGGTTGAATGGTGTCCTCAAAAAAGGTATGTCCGAGTCCTAACCACATTCAAGACCTGTGAATGTGACCTGATTTGCAAAAAAACAAAAAAAGTTTTTTCAAATGTACTTAAGAATCTGGAGATGAGGTCATCCTGGACAAGTGACAGAAGAGGAGAAGACACAGAAGAGAAGACCATGGGAAGATGGAGGCATAAACTGGAGTGATGTGGCCACATGCCAAGGAATGCCTAGAGCCACCAGAAGCTAGAAACAGCTAGTAAGAAATCTCCCTTAGAGCCTCTGGGAAAGCACAGCCTAGCCAACACCTTGATTTTGGACTTCTGGACTCTAAATCTGTGAGAGAATAGATTTCTATTGTTTTAAACCATCCCAGCTTTTGCAATTTGTTATGACGGCCCTAGGAAACTCATAACAATTACTGATGCAAATGAGACATAATTAAAAGTTATGGACTGTGAAAAAAAATTCTATGAAAGCAGACAACAAACATACCTTGACCTAAACTTGGAGGGTAGAGAAGCTCTCCAAGAATCCATAGCAAAAGATCCTAAACGAAGATCCAAGAAAGCTAAATGGGTGCAGCCCAAAAAGAATTTTAAGAGTAAATAAGGTACTTTGCAGGATATTAAGATTTTGTGTAAACTAATATTGAATTGATATGATTGTCTAAATTAAACACTAGTCGAAGACAAACTTGATATCAAGTTTTCTTACTCAGAATCCTATGACATGGCACATAAGTGCCCTGCCTAACCCTTTTCCAAACCAACAAAAACTGAGAATAAATATAGAGCAGGAAAGTGCTTCTGTGCTATTTTGGGCAGCTAGGAAGCCAGCCATCTGTTACCAAGTTGACAGAGCACCTTACACATCTTCCCACATCTGTGTATAGGACTCACACTGAAGCTTCTGGAGGACACTGAGAGCCCCATCCCATGGTACCTGAACCAGGTGTGTAATTAGCCCTGGGCTAAAAGATAGGCAAGTGCTTCTCAGAAGTAGGCCAGGCCAATAAGTAAGCACAGCACAAGAACCAAGAGCCATGACATTGGTGCTCAGCGGAATTATGACTTCTTTTCATTGCAAAGAATTTTTTTTGAATTTTGAATTATTTATCATTTAATGAATGCTCCAAGTCACCAGGACTTTTGTTATTGTTTTTGTTTTTGTTTTTTGAGATGGAATCTCACTCTTTCCCCCAGGCTGGAGTGCAGCGGCACCATCTCAGCTCACTGCAAGCTCTGCCTCCCAGGTTCACACTATTCTCCTGCCTCAGCCTCCCAAGTAGCTGGGACTACAGGTGACCACCACCACGCCTGGCTAATTTTTTTATATTTTTAGTAGAGACAGACTTTCACTGTTTTAGCCAGGATGGTCTCAATCTCCTGACCTCATGATCCGCCCACCTCTACCTCCCAAAGTGCTGGGATTATGGGTGTGAGCCACCACGGCCAGCCCACCAGCATTATTTTAGGTACTTTGTGTGTATGTATTCATTTAAGCCTAACAAATATATTTAAAATATGCTATTTATAGTCCCATTTAATAAATGAGGAAACTGAAGTGCAGAGAGCTAAGTAGATTGCCTGCAGTAAAACAGCCTACAAGTGGCAGAGCTGGGATTCAAACCCAGGCTGCCTGGCTATAGAATTCACACCCTAATCACTGCATTTTCTATAATCACTGTAATCTCCATGATAATGGTAACAAAAATAACTACTACTATTATAGGATTCCTTCGGTACCACTTTGTCAGCCAGAAATCTCTGCAGCCACTGTGACCTCTGCCCAAGGTCTCACTCAGGCCGCCAGGCCCACTCCACCCACTCAGCCCAGTAGGTTGTGCTCAGCTTGTGCCCCAGCCTGGATCCCACGCCTGCCCACTGCATCCACCACAGCCTGTGGCTGGACCAGGCATGCTGCAACTGGCTTCCACCTTGGGCGCCAGCATCTGGATGAGAGGAATGCAATGGCACCCAAAAACTGGGAGATGCCAGCAACAGTGAAGCCCCAGGGATGTTAGAGCTCTCGCCCAGGGAGTCCCAAGGTCTGAGCCCCCAAGAAGTGTTACAGCTTTCTCTTTTTCTTGCCATTGGTAGCTTGGTGAATGGGAGTGTGTCACAGCTCACTCATTCCCACCGCCTCGCAGCTCAGAGAATGGCAGCATGTCATAGCTTGTTCAGTCCTGCGCCTGCAACTCGGTGAACGGGGGCATTTAACACCCAGCAGTTTTTTCTCACTCCTGTAGCTCAGTGAGCAGGAGCATGTGTTACAGTTCTTTGGTGGGTTCCAGCTTCTTGTCCCATGACTAAGAGGAATGAGGTACACTGACACTGGAGAGTGAGCAAGGCAGAGAAAAATTTTATTGAGCCACAGGAAACTCTAAACACCAGAGGGGACCTGAAGTGGGTAGCCCACTGTGTGAGAGGGGGCCTGAAAGTGGGTAGCCATCTGTGACGCTGAGTCCAGTGTTTTTATGGGCTCAGAATGGGGGACCAATTATGCTGATTGGTCCATGGGCGGGCCTGAAAAAAGCACCATTTAATTTAATTAGCTAAAAGGCATCAAGGAAGTTCTCACTCAGCTCTTGGACTCCACCCAGAACTGACAGCTTGGTTTTCAGGCTTCAGGCTGTGTTTGGCATGAAGATCGGGTTTCACCGGGTACCTGTCCCTGTCTGCCTAGGAATTTGTCTGTCTCCTGCCGCTATCACTACTAACATTATTAAATATTGACCAATAAGGAAGATATAATTATCATCTTCAATTTACCAAAGAAGAAAGCAAGGCCCAGAAAGTTAAGGAAACTTCCCAAAATCACACAGAGACTAAATGGGAACCTAGATCAGATCGTAGGGAGTCAGACTCCAGGGCCCATGGAATTCATCACCACTATAGTGGCTTCTAATTCAGCCATTTGACTTTGTGCTAGGAAACTTTCCTGCAACTGTTTATATTTTTCGTTTATTTATTGCTTCCTGCCCCCATACCCTTAAAGCCATCTCTAGGTTTTAATCTCTCTGAATGGGGACACAATCTCACCATGTTCTTCATCTTAACCATACGAAGTTGAACTCTGTCCTTATTTTCATATGCTTTTCAAATAGCCTCAGCTTTTCAAAAGAACCTCAGCCCTTCTTTTCATATGCTTTTCAAATAGCAATAATAAGAAACAGTGATTATCCTTTGAGCTCCTACTATGTGACCCTCTGCTATTTTGCTTCTATGATTCCAATTAATCCTCCAAGAAAGCCTGCTGGGTATGTTTTTAAGATTATCTTCACAGTACACATGAGGATACTGAGGCTCAGAAATGTTAAAATGTTAACCTCCCCAAAGTCAAATAGCCAATGCTGCCAGAGCTAGGATTCCAGCCCATGGCTGTCAGATTGAGCAAGACACTGAAATACCTTGGCCTCTTAAATATGTCTGTATATATGTGACTAGTAATCATGTGAGGAAAAGAACACACGGGAATAGTCACCAGGTTCCTAGGCCAGAAGGCTCTACAAAGAGGTATCCTTTCCTGTGGAGTATCAGATGGCTGCTTGCAGCAAATACCTGGAATGGTTGGCAAACAGCCTTGGACCATCCTGATAAGGTTCTTGATACTTTTGTTATGTTGTAGCCCAGAATCACAGAGCTTTGCAGTTCAGAACTACTAATTATCTCATCCAGATGTGATCAGGCCCTAAGGAAACTATTGATAGGAACTTACACACAGGGGGCTGATTAGAACCTTGAAATACCTGCATATGAATTTATGGGACAAATAACCCCACAGGAAAGACCAGAATGTGAGACCTACTGACCAGACCTCCCCAAATACTAGGTCAGGAAGTTGGAAGATGCTTATTTTTCTGGCATATTCTCGGAAGATCCTGAAGACATGAACTGGGTCAGTAAATTACGGACACTGCTGTTAAGCATGTCTTGTATCGGCCATTTTGTACCTGTGCAACCTTGGGAAAGTGACTTAGCCTCTATGAACCTGAATCTTCTCCTTCATTAAATGTATCTACAATTAATTCCTCCTCAAAGTGTTATTGAAAAGATTAAAGATATCTATAAAGTAGATGAAACATTATAAATCTCAGATGGTAATTACTGTCCCGTAAGTCTTCTATAGGCACCTGCCTGCCACCACCCTGACTGAAATATCCATGCTGCTTATTCAAATACCCTTTCCTTAAAATATTACTGGAGAAAAACTAATAATTCATTTTCATTTACTTTCCTAATATCACAACAAAATAGAATTCCTGATTTTGCAAATTCTTTTTTATCAGTTGTCCTTTAGGCCAACAGCTTTCCGAGCACATTTCTGAGCACACTTTGTGAGAAAGTTTCCCAGGAAGCTTTCTCCAAGCCTTGCTGTAGGGTCCATTTCATGGAACTTTCCTGTGGAGAAGCTGCTCTCTTCTGTGGGATGAAGATTCTTACTTCAGCATGTACCCCAGAAAATAGCACTTATAGACTCATCTCCAGAGTGGTAATTCATATTATTTTAGCTACCTGTGCCTCTCTATCTGAATACAGCACAATTTCCTCATATCCACTGGCATTAAGGGGTGGCAGCAAACTGTTATCCTTAATATAAAAAAATCTGCCTCTGTAATGGGTTTAGAGGCAAGTCCCAAAGATTTGATCTTCTAAAGGATTCGAAAATCTAATATATAAAGAAAAGTGAAAGATACCAACATGCTTTTTCTTATAAAGGCAAGAAACCAGCTATTCCTCACTGAAGAATAGAACGCCAAAAAAATAAAAATAAATAAAAAAATAGAAAAAGAAACTATGCTGCAATAGAAGGGATTAAGAAAAATGCCTGACAATCTTGTTAAATGTGAATGAGTTCATTTAGGATATTGTTGACTCTCCTCTATTTGGAGACCTAAAAGATGTGGTTTAGACACACCTATTGGGGAGAGTTTGGTGCAGTCCTAGATATGTCCTTGCCCAAGGGCTGACAGATGGATTGAATGACCTCTCAGCATCCCTTCCAGCCTCACACTTCCGTTGTGCGCTGATTGTTGGACTGGCATGTTAGCTGAGTCAGATTTGCCCTTGCAAGCGAGTGGAGGAGTCAGCTGCATGAAAGAAAACAGGTAGACTCTTTGTCCCCAAAATAAAAGCCTCTCTACCCTGTTCCAGGCTAAATTGTATCATTAGAAGTTTATTTTCCTGAGTCACAAAGTATTTTTGGTCTTCTAGAGTTCCTAACAGAATGCAGGCACTGATACTTAAGTGAAGATAAAGTTACTAAACCTTATCAGATAAGGGCTTAGCAGAGATCAAGGCCCTGCAGCATCCTCCAAGACTGGAGATGCAGGAAGAGGGAGGCCCAGAGCAGTCAGAGGTAGACAGAGGCAGGACTGTGAAGACAAACTGTGCCTAATTAGAAATGATGCTCCAAACTCCTGCAGAGATAGGGCTCTCGTCCCTTCCATCTGCGTTCCATTGTGCCTTTGATGAAGGCCAAGCTCCTACCAGGTGCAGAGCACTGGCTAAGGCACTGGGGACACTATAGTAAGGAAACAGATGTGGCTTCTGCTTTCCTGCAAAATACTGAACATGTAGTGAATTACTACAAAGGGGGAGGTCTACACTCTTGCAACAAACACTGAGTGGCTAATTTACACAAGGCACTGTTCCAGGATGGGTGGTAACCAAATGGGCAAACGCTTTGCCCTCCCGGAGCTTACATTCTGGCAAGAGGAAGCTACATCAAGAAAGAAGCACCAGGTGCTCTAAAAACTATGACAAGGAGACCTACCCTAGCAGCCAAGTCTTCCTTGAAAAGGGATGTTTATATTGACAAGTGAAGGCTGAGTAGGAATTGGAGAAAGGCATGTGTTGGAGGAAGAGCAGGCACCTAGAGAATGGTCCATCTAGGTGGGGCACCGTGGCTCACGTATGTAATCCCAGCACTTCAGGAGGCCAAGAAGGGTGGATCACTTGAGGTCAGGAGTTCAAGACCAGCCTGGCCAATATGGTGAAACCCTGTCTCTACTAAAAAAAAATACAAAAATTAGCTGGACCAGGTGGCATGCACCTGTAATCCCAGCTACTCAGGAAGCTGAGGCAGGAGAATTGCTTAAACCCAGGAGGCAGAGATTGCAGGGAACTGAGATCACGCCACTGCCCTCCAACCTGTGTGACAGAGAAAGACTCTGTCTCAAAAAAAAAAAAAAAGAAAAGAAAAGAAAAAGAAAAAAAAGACCAAGAATGAGAGAATGTTCCATTTGAAATTACCAAATACTCCCCAGCTACCACAGTGTTCTTATGTGGTAGGATGAAGGGTGATTTATATCTTTTTTTCTTACAATTATTCAAGTATTTGCATAGCAAATAATTTTAAAACCATATCAAAATTATACCTAAAACTATTTTATCTCATTTTTACCTTGTAGCTTTAATATATTGGTCTTCAAACTATTATTTGCAAATTATGATCAAATTCTATATGGATATGATATAATTTGGAAACTCAAATTCAAGATCAAATAGTTTTACCCTGATGATGCAAGCATTAAGTCTAATTCCAAAATATGTTTGGTGTTACTATATGCAAACAAAAGAATGTGTTTGACATTGTGACACAGATTTTCCCCCCCTACGTTGGATATGAATTATAGGTTGGTTCCTGCACTACAGGTGGACCTGTGGCAGCCCAGCAGTATCTCCTATGTATCAGAGGGAACAGTTACTGATGTCCATATCCCCCAAAATGGTTCCCGAGCCCTGTTAGCCTTCTTACAGGAAGCCAACATCCAGTACAAGTAAGCATTCCTTTTCACTTGCTATAAAATTTATTGGTACTAAACTGAACCAAATGGTAGTTGTATTTAGGTTATTTATCAAGTACTTACAACAGTGTTTTGGGTACAATTTTTCATATGGGGAAAACTGACATGAATATATTCACCTTGAAGAGCTTATTAGTCCAATGGGGGATGGGAGCAACGATGTGGACCTTTCATTTCACTATTCACTGTTACCACTAAGTGATCAGTGAAAAGATAGACCTTTTTCTGTGAAGAAAGGAGAGCAGCCTAGCAAGGCCTAGAGGGTGGATGAGAAGGCAGGAGTGGAAAAGGCTTTCTGCAGGAGCTATGCCAGCCAGGCAGAGGCAGAGGAGACCACACAAGCAAAGGAAGAAGCAGCATGCAAGTGCAGAGTGGTTAGTGTATGAAGTGCAAGTCAGAGGGCAGAAAGAAATGATGCTGGAGAAACAGGGAGTTCAGATTGTGGGAAATCTTATGTGCAGGGGCAGGAGCTCAGACCTAGTCTTGTGGATGGTGCTGCCCCATTGCAAAGGAGGCACATGTTAGTGGGGCGGGGTGAAGGGGATAGGAAACACTAGTCCAGGGAAGAGGGAGTGAGGCTCTGAGTAGGACCAGAATAGTAGGATCACGAGAGCATTAAAAAAATATTTCAGAGCAGACTCTCCTCATGTTGGACAGTAAGTAGTAAAGGAAGAAGTGAAAGGATGACTCCAAGTTTTCTAGCTTGGGTAACTGAGTAGACAAACTAGAACAGATTTAGATATTTTGAGGGTTGGTTTTAAAAAAAAAAATGGTTAGAGCAGTAAGAAAAGAGCAGGTGGGGCCGGGTGCGGTGGCTCACGCCTGGAATCCCAGACTTTGGGAGGCTGAGGTGGTCAGATCACCTGAGGTCAGGAGTTCAAGACCAGGATGTTCCACATGGTGAAACCCTGTCTCTACTAAAAATACAAAAATTAGCTGGGTGTAGTGGTACGTGCCTGTAATCCTAGCTACTCGGGGGGCTGAGGCAGAAGAATCACTTGAACCCCGGAGGCAGAGGTTACAGTGAGCTGAGATCGCGCCACTGCACTCCAGCCTGGGTAACAGAGTGCAGGCTGTCTGCACTGTCTCAAAAAAAAGAAAAGAGCAAGTGGAAGACAGTCAGAGGAGCTGAAAAAGAAAAGAAAGACTTTAAAGAAAGAGATGGGTCCAGGGTACCAAGTGCTGCAGTGATATCCAGCAATAAAAGGAACAATGAGTTTCCTTTGGATCTGGCAATAGAAAGAACATTGGTGACTCTAAAGGTGGATTAGAATGTTTGCATTAGAAGACACAGATGTGAACAGGAGGTGAGAACACACAGCAGCAGAGTCCATTCCTGTTCTTAGCAGTTAGAATTAGCGAAGCAGAGAATGAGAAGTGACTGGGAGGAGATGCATCACTGATCCCTAACTGGTAGATTTGGGATTTGTTTGTGTAGGGGGAAATCTTGGTGTATTTGTAGGCTGAGGGAAGAGCCTGTAGGGAGGGAGACATCGATGATGCCAGAGAGAATGTGCAGAAAGAAGAGTGTCTGAACAGTAGGAAGGATACCTCATTCTCTAAAACTGAAGAGATAAATGTGGTGGATCTACTTAAGACTGTAGAGAGGAAAGTGGACATGTCAAAAAAGATTACAGCCAATGGCTAAATTTTCTGGATGAATGAAGAAGCAAAGTTATCTACTGAAAGTAAGGAAGGAGGGGTTAAAGGGTATTACCAAGAGAAAAACTGGGGTATGAACAAAGAGAGGTGGTTGTTGCAGAGAAGAGAGAGTGTGACACTGATACAGAGCTGAGTTTCTGTTGGATAGAACCATGGAAAGGTCAGGGTGGCGAGAAAGTTGAGGTCCTCAGTGAAATAATAGTTCAAGTATTCATCCCTGGGTCTAATATGGATTGGAAGGCAGGAGCATCTAGGACGGATGAGGGGGCCAAGTGGAAGAATCAGGGAAGATATTAAGGTCTTTGTATTGAAAACAATGTAGAGTTACTGAGGAAAACAAATGAGAAGGAAAGAAGTTCTGACAAAATGTGAGTAGTTGGATGCTCAGAGTCCGGGGGTAGAATGTTTATGGCTCGTGACAAGATCCACAGGGTAGCCACAGAGATTATTGAAGGGGAGTGTTGTGTGGATATCTTTGAGGCTGGTGCAGTCAAGAACAGGTAGCCTAAATCACCAGAGAATCATCCTGAATCTCCTTGGCTGATGGCAAGATTAGAGGAGGTGGGAGAAAATGTACTTCTGGGGCAGGAACATCAAGGCAGGCCAAGAGTTCGAGGAAAGCAGCAAGAAGTGGCATGACGCTGCAGAGAGGATGAGCTTTCCCTGGAAGCGAGAAGATTCACGGCGTATAAGAGAATACGCTGACCTTCCTCCCTTATGCCCCACGGTAGGCAGGTGGAGAGGGAGATGGGAATAGAAAGCCACAAAAGAATGTGTATCCTTTAAAGAGTCAAATGTCTGATGCGGCAAGAATATGAGAAAAGAGAGTTCCCTGAAGAGGCTAGAGAATGTAGGAAGTTCATTTACAAAGGAAGGGAGACTCCAGTGGGCACAAGGAAAAGCAGGTGGAGGCGAGAAGGGACATCAGTGGAAAATCTAGGAGAAGTGCAGTGTGGTGACTTAATGAGATGAGATAGAGAAGGAGGGAGTGACTTACCCTTTGCTGCGAATCCTAAGATTTGGGGGTTGAAAGGCATGCGTGTAAGTGACCACTCCAACTACCCAAACTTTTTAGCAGGTTGTTGTACTGTCAAAACTGGCACAGAGTTTTGGGGTTTGGGAGGGCCTAGGGCCTGGGGTGGGCTGATGGTCTGTGAGTTAATAGTGAGGGCCCAGTCTCTCTAGAGGGCTGAGCCAAGGGTTGCCAAATGGCAGTGACATCCCTGGTCCACACAGAGACTGCCCTGCCAGAAGGATATCTACAGCTTTATTAACGTACTGATATGCTTTTTACAGAAAGGTATTTTATCTATGCTTCTAGAACAGAATCGCAGCTGTGCATAAAACTATTGTTCCTACTGGACACATTTTAGTCATTGTTGTAGCTTTGAAGACCTGATCTGATTCTCTGAATGCCTGACAGGAAACAGCTTGGCAATTATATCTATAGGTGCTCAGTAACCACTCACATGCTTCATTAATTACTATTCAGTAGAAAAGAATATACCGGTTAGTTTAACAAGTCTCTATTTCCTGTCATTAAATATAGGTCATGTGGAACTGATATAGAATAAAATATCACACTTTATGTCACAGAGAATAAAGTCTAAAAAATGAGTGTTTTAAATCAGTTGCCTCTTCACTGGAGAACAGTCATTTAGAATTATTCATTTCATTGGTCCCAAGATAATAACATATGAGACAATTAAATTCCACGGGCCCAGTAGGTAGAGATCATTTTAATTGACTTTTAGTACTGTAGCCTGGAGTATTTTCAAAAGATTGTCATTTACTCTGTACAAGAATACATAATGTATAGCTATAGTGATTTTTAAAGTGGAGATAATGTGACCTCATGTGTCTGGCCCCTAGGTGATCAATTCCCCTCTATGAAATGATTCATTCTACCATAAAACATTTTGGTTATTCTATAAAGTAAATACCTGTAAACGTTGGTGATGAAATTTCTATTTTTTGATCAGGCGTGGTGGCTCACACCTGTAATCCCAGCACTTTGGGAGGCTAAGGCGGGTGGATTAGCTAAGGTCAGAAGTTTAAGATCAGCTTGGCCAACATGGTGAAACCCGGTCTCTACTAAAAATACAAAAATTAGCCAGGCATGTTGGTGCGTGGCTGTAATCCCAGCTACTCGGGAGGCTGAGACATGAGAATCGCTTGAACTTGGAAGATGGAGTTGCAGTGAGCCGAGTTCACGCCACTGCACTCCAGCCTGGGTGACAGAGCAAGACTCCTCAAAAAAAAAAAAAATTTTCTATGTTTTGAGGGTCCCTCCCCAACCTGGAAACTTTGGGGAGGTGGTTTTGTACTGAGTAATGGCATCACTCAGAAAGTTTAGAATAGTTCTAGTCACCATTACAGGAATATACACAACTGGGGTAGGAATCATCACAGGCTGTGAAGAAGTAAGAAACTACAACAGTTTACAAAGACCGTTCTGAGACTCCATTTCACAGCCTTGTCATCGATACGCCAGTTTCTAGTCAATCACTTAACAAGGAAGATGGGACTTGACCTCCAGTGTCACAATTATTTTTTAATTTAAGGTTGATCTCCTAGGGCCTGCGTTTGGGTGCAATGTAAGTTACTGAACAGAGACCTGGGTTAGTTTGCTGGGGCCGCCATAACAAAGTACCACAGACTTTAACAACTGGAAATTCAGAAGGAGATTCTGGTATAGATTTCCGCCTTTGGCAAATCTGTCTACATTTTTTTTTCCTTAGTTTCTGGGGATCGAAAAAAGTAGCCAGGAGAAATAATAGATGATTTTGGTGACGGTAATATAACTGAAGGTTCCCTGCAGTATTGGAATACGTTGACAATTTATAATTACCCCAGCCCTAGTCAAACTCGTATCCCTCTTGACCATCCCAGATTCTCTCCTAACACAAGGAAGTTAGAAAATTGACATGGAGGTTCATTTGGCTCAAGACTTACTTTAGCAATATTGTAAAATTCTTTAGCCCATACAAGCCTAATCATCTGTAACTTCCTACTTTGAGGGTAAAAAAGAAAGCACTAATACAGATGGTGTTCAGACTAACAACAACCTCCCACTCACATTTTGAGCCACTGCAAGCAGCCATCAGGGACTTAACCAAGCTTTGAGCCACCTCACCTTACCTCGATTTCTAAAATGTTTTCAGTTTTAAAATCAAAAATTGAAACAAAAAAAGCAGTAAGTCAATGATCAATTCCTGATTAAGTGTTTTGTCCATAGTAGGTGCTCAATAAATAACAAATGAGTAAATGAAAAAGAATGTCCTATACCCAGTATGACCCTAAGTTAATTTACTTTCTTCATAGAATGGAAAATATTTCTTTAGGTGATTCAATATAATTTTTTAAAATAATTTTTAAACATTAATATTAAAGGCTTTAAATAACTTTCAGCCTTGAAATTATTTAAAGATGCCATTATATGTTCTTTTAATAGCACTTAAACCATTAAACAACAGGTTCTTTTGGAAAATAAAATATGAAAGCAAAGCTTTTTAGCTACCTGCCAGGCCCAGGAAAATCACTGGGGGGCTTTCTAACATCTTTAAGTAATGCAAATGACTGAAGTGCTTTGCTACTGTGTGAAACTCTAGTTAGTGGAGGCTGGTGAGCATTGAGAAGACAGGCCTGTATTTATCTAACTCACATGTCACATCAAGAACACTAATGACTCTGCCTGGAGCTGGTTCCACAAAGCCTGGAATCCCCGCCCTGGCCTCAGCCTTTAATTTCCAAATGCATTCACTATAATTGGCTGAGCTTCTCTTCTCTTGGCATTCTTGATGCTGGCAGGCAGTGAAATCGCTTTTTCCAACTCTGGGTATTTCTTCAGTTTCCTCTTGAGGACTGTAGCTTCTTTTCCCCTTTCCCTTTTCTCTCTGTCTTGGGTCAGGGGTGCTGGGTAGTGACATGAGCATAGTCTCTTGGTGATGGAAGGGATGTGTGCAGGAAGAAGCAGCAGGAAAAAGAAAGTGGTAAGGGCATGGAAGAGAAGCCTAGGCTCAGTTTTCATGAAGTGACCCTGGACTTAGAATCTCAAGATTGGAATTTGGGTTCACCTTCCAAGTTCAAATTCTGGCTTGGCACTGACCAGTAGAGGGATATTGGTGAGTTCTTAACCCTTTTGAGACTCAGTTTCCCCATTTTATAAATACCAATAACAAGAGAATCTACCACATAGACTATAGGGCTATTAGCTAAGATTATGTACATAAAAGACACAGCACAGTGCCTGGCTGCTGGTAGGTAAGTAGTACTCAGTAAATCTAAGTGCTCGTAGTCATCATTCGGTTGTTGCAGCTGCAAATCAGCAGTAGCTATTGTTACTACTACTATCACTTGAGGATATCTGCCTATAATTTTACATGTTAAATTCATTATACCACTTATTTAACAGTTTTCATTTCCTGAAAAATAACATTTTCCCAACATTTGGTATTTTTAGGAATATTGATCACCACAGTCTTTCTTTACATAGATGCATATGATTTTTTCTGGGTGTTGCCTGATTTTTGCAATATCTCAATTTACTTTTCATCATGTCTGTCATTCCAAATTCAGGGTCCTCATAGAAGATCTTCAGAAAACACTGGAGAAGGGAAGCAGCTTGCACACCCAGAGAAACCGAAGATCCCTCTCTGGATATAATTATGAAGTTTATCACTCCTTAGAAGAAGTATGTAATCAAAAGAGCTTTTTCTGGTTTTTCACAGAGTCATCTTTATCATTTAGGTCTAAGGGAGAAAATTATGTGTTTTATGCTTCTAGGGGAGAAGCATAAAGACAGAGAAGGTACTATGTGAAGAATATATGTAGCTTTTACATGGCCCAGGCACCTTATCTCTTCTATTAAGTCTTTGATGGTATATAAGAAGTATCAAAATAATTTTAATTTCATTTGCTTTACCCATACCACTTTTACATAGGACATAGGAAGCACAATGGAAGAGTGAGGAAATGTTGCTATAATTATCGCTATAATGGCCTTCACTAACAAGCCAAGAAACATAAAGCTAACCAGAGTTTGAGGAAATGATGAATAAAGTGGACCTTACTTGTACCCTCTGCAAAGTTGAGACCTCTCAAAGGCAAAGCTTCATTTGGGGCATCTCTGCACCTTTGAGCATGCTTTTTTATCCTACCTGGAGAACTGACAGCCACCTCATCCACACTGTCACATCCTTTACTATTCACCTGGACAGGTTGTTGTTCTGCAAATCTCAGCTTAAGCAAAAAGGTAGCTGTTCCTATTCTCCCAGATTGGATTAAACCCCTCCTCCACCAACACCTAGTGAATTACATGCCCCCATAGCACAAGGATGTGATACCTATCACAGTTTTTAATTATGTAATTATGTGAGTATTTGATTAATGCCTTTCACCTCTAATAAGCTACAAGTTCCATGAGCGCAGGCCACTTCTTTCTTATTCACCGCTGTAACTCCAGTGGCAGGCAAACAGTGACCTCCAAATACATAGTTGTTGACAGAGGAATAAATGAATGAATCATACATTTTCCATGCTTCCTCTGAATTGAACAAAGGAATGCCAGACATAAAATAAATGAGATGCTGCTCTATTCTTAAGACGGTTTTTGGTTCTCTTGATAACAACTCTCCTTTCAAAATTATCTCCACATATTTCATGTCTAAACATGTTTTGGAAGCTTAAAATTAGAAGCAATAGAAAGGTTTTAGATAACTTTGCACACAGAAGTACTGTTAACATGCACTAGAAAACAGTCAAATTTTACAAATATAATATAGATATGCATAATGTATGTGTATACACACACACACACACACACACATATATCCTGCTCATTAGATTAAATAAGAATAGAAAGAAAAGAATATATGGGTACTTTCCTGAATATATTTAGCTATTTTTTCAGCACTGATCCTTTTATACCATAAAATGGTAGGACACTTTTGTGTTGTTTTTTTACACCTTATAAGGCTTTTAAGTCAGGAATGAAGTACCTTATTCATTCAAATGTATCTTTTCCTGATGACAGATAAGTGTATATGAATGGATCAATGCAAATGTATCACTATCACTGGAGAAATTATTCAGAGTTTGCCCTCTGATATGTAGCTCAGTAAAAGAACCTTTAAATGGAAAAAGATAATGCCTTTTTCTTAGCATTTTCTTTCAGTGGCAAATTGTAATATATGGGACTTTAAGAAACACTTTCAAGTAGTTTGGACAGTTTTCCTAAAGTTGATTTATTTCTTTACCTCTTAAATACTTGTGGAAAATAGAAATAAATTCTGATTTTCAAAAAAACTAGAACACATCAATTTTTTATAAAAATCTGTTACCCGTATATTAATGATATATGGTAGTAGAAGGTATGCTTTAATGGAAGAACTATATAAAGACATAAGCTACTATCTGTAAAGGCAGAAAATTAAATGTAATTTTAAGTATCCCAAAGAAAATTAAAAATAAGAAGTAGGTTTTTTGTTCAATTTTATATTCCATGTGCACTCCTTGAATTCGGAGAACTACTGTTGTCTTTTTGTTTCCTTTTGTTCTCTAAAAGCTCCATTATTTTGAGAGAGTCTAACATAGTTTTTATTTATTTGCTCTTAGATTCAAAATTGGATGCATCATCTGAATAAAACTCACTCAGGCCTCATTCACATGTTCTCTATTGGAAGATCATATGAGGGAAGATCTCTTTTTATTTTAAAGGTAAAAATAAGCAATTGCTGTGTAAATACATAATGTTTACCAAATATCCATCTTTTTCAACTTTAACCTATGGGAAAAGAAATGAAATGATCTTTTATAGAGTCTCATATTTAACATCATCTGATAATCTCAGAAATACTTTCCCTTAGGTTTCTGAACCATATTTCATTTTTGCCATTGGATATTTCAGAGAATACTTTTGCCAACATTTTCAGTTATTGATGCGAAGTATTTGTGAGTTGGTGCTGCCTGAGGTGAACCAATGCAAAACTATTTAAATGTATAAGAAGCTGCTATGGTTTGGGTCTGTGTCCCCACCCAAATCTCACTTCAAATTGTAATTTCCAAAGTTGTGGGAGGAACCTGGTGGGAGGTGATTGAATCATGAAGGCAGATTTCCCCCTTGCTGTTCTTGTGATAGTGAGTTCTCATGAGATCTGGTTGTTTAAAAGTGTGTAGCACTTCCCCCTTCGCTCTCTTCCTCCTGCTCCACCATGTAAGCTGTGCCTCCTTCCTCTCCTCCTTCTGCCATGACTCTAAGTTTCCTGAGGCCTCCCCAGCCATGCTTCCTGTACAGCCTACGGAACTGTGAGCCAATTAAACCTCTTTTATTTATAACTACCCAGTTTCAGGTAGTTCTTTATAGCGACATGAGAACTAACTAATGCAGAAGCTATGTATTATTCTCATTCATCCCTTGACCCTGCATTCTCTTCTGTCTACTGACCTATAGCTCTCTATTCTTTCTCAGCCAAACTTCTAAAAAGACTTACCTCTAATCATCATCTCTACTTCCTCTCCTATCATTCAGACTTTGACTCACCAGCCTTTGCCCCTACAACTCTTCTAAAACTTCTTTCCAAGGCCAGCAACCACTCCTAATTGATTCTCCTCCTGTCTCTCTGACCATCTGGGTCTCACTCACTGCCTCCTTTCCCCTTATCCTTTCCTTAGGTTCAGGTAATCCCTGAGAATCTATCCTCAGCCTTACTTTCATACCACAGACACTCTCTAGACAGGCACATCTAGCCCATAATTTCAATAGTCATCCCAGACCTCTGTATCCATTGCAGTCCACCCTCTGGAACCTTAAATTCACCCACCATTGCCTGCTTGACACTCTTCCCTGGATATTCAGAAAAGCACCTCAGATTCAGAATGGCATCCCTCTCCTCCCAATTCAGAAACATGGACATCATCCTAAATTCCTCTCCTTTAACCATTCACTTTAAATTACCACCAAAAGCTGACCATTTTTTCTTCTGAATATTTTATATCTGCCCCAGTTGCTTCTCTTGTCCTCATAGCTATTACCCTAACTTCTCTCTGTGCCTGTTCTCCCTGGACTATTGCAGTAGTGGCCTCAGTACTGAGCTTCCTTCGAGCCCCCATTCTTGACCCTCTCATGCTCTAATCCATCCTCCACACTGCTGCCAATATGAGCCCTCAAACATGAGCAAGCAAACAGACACACACACACACACACACACACACACACACACACACACACACACACAAAGCACCCCATAGAATACAGGAGGAAGCCTCATCTCTTTTATTTAGTATCCAGGGAATCCACTTTGAGCTTTATCTGCTGTTCCTTCCTCAAACTGCAGGCACAGTTCCTCCAATATGGTGCGCTCAGATTCTCTTCCAGGATTGAGAGGCCTTCCTCCAACTTGTCTGCCAAACAAGCTTTATGTCTTGCTGAAGTACTCAAGTGCTCCTCTTCTGAGAAGCCACATTTTATTACTTAGGAAAATTCAACATAACACTCTTATGTTCCCATGGTAACTTATTGATATTCGCATCATAATGGTTGATTGATTGCTTACATGTTTGCCCTCTCCACTAGTGTATAAATTCCTTGTATTTTCATGTTTGAATCTCCAGTACTGAGCACGATGTCTGACATTAAAAAGGATTTCCTGAAATATTTGTGAAGTGAATTAATGAATGAATGAAAATTAGATCCCCTGTAATTATAATGTCAGGATCTCCTATTGATTTCTCGGTTAGCAACCAGGTTAAAAGTAATATTGATATGGTAGGATTGTAAAGAAAAATCTACCACTTGATTCTAGAAATCAAGTTGTTTTATGTTTTCATTTCGTGGTATAATAAAATTTGACTTTATCCACCTATAAAATATAGCTATTATTTAAGAAATATTCCTTGGGATGGAAAGAGAAAGGGGATGAGGGAGGACTTAGCTTTTTACTTAACAGTCACATACTATATTACAATGAAGAAGCAGGCTGAGCCAGCAGGATTGCAAGAGACCAGGAGTTCAAGACCAGCCTTGGCAACATAGCAAGAACTCAGCTCTTAAAAATTAATTAATTAATTAAAATTAAAAAATTTTAAAAATAAAGAAGCAACCTATTTAGGGATTTTCCTTTTCCTTTTGTACTTTCTAGTTCTTTTATTATAATTAGGACAATAAATATATTGTTTCTGCATAAAGAAGCCTGGACTTTCGAGATAGATAGGAACTCCCTTTGTCCTTTTTATGCATTACCTAATGAACCACACTACAGTGAAGAATTATGCTGAAACCTTATTAAATTATGCTGGTCAGTGAATCTAAAAGCCTGAGTTGGTTACTGTGAATGCTCTTGTTTTCAGCTGGGCAGACGATCACGACTCAAAAGAGCTGTTTGGATAGACTGTGGTATTCATGCAAGAGAATGGATTGGTCCTGCCTTTTGTCAGTGGTTTGTAAAAGAAGTAAGTTAAACCCTTTACACAATGTCCATTTCAGCTAGTCAGTGCTTCCCTGTGTTTTTATTCTGCTTAACAAAGTGGGAATTTGAAACCAATGATACCTGATTGAATAACAGTAACACCTTGATTCCATGGGCTGCTTTCATGTTTATGAAGTTCTCTTGTAACCCTGGCTCAGCTTATCCTCACCTGTGCCCTTGGAAGTGGGAATTGGCAGCTCTCATTACAGAGAAAGAACCTGAAGTTCAGAACCTTTTTAAATTTGTGACAAATTAGGAACTAACCTAGCAATGCATATATGGCACAGCTAAAAACCCAATCTGTGGTGTTCCAAAATAATTTCTTACAAGATATCCAGCTCAGAAAGTTCTACATCACTTGACTTCCTCCTCAAAATCATTTCACATATGCTCTAACAATAAAGAGATGAACAAGGGATTGCTTGTGCCCTCCTGCTATAGGTCTGTAATTTAGATACCAGAAGACCTTTAGCATCTGTGGATTTAACATTCTTAGTTTCAGTTATTTTTCAGTAACCCTAATCGTTGATGACTCATGGTGATTTCTCATTTTCTTAATGCTTCATTTGAGTCACAAGCCCTCTGAGCTAGTGTGTTGAGTGGGT
The DNA here is from genome assembly GCF_000001405.40 of Homo sapiens. Lineage (NCBI taxonomy): Eukaryota > Metazoa > Chordata > Mammalia > Primates > Hominidae > Homo > Homo sapiens. Next base: position 67,506,164 of record NC_000008.11, on the reverse strand, counting down.
CCCTATCCCAAGAGTGGGCCAGCCTTTTGTGCCAACACTTTCGTATGTTCTGATACTTTTCTATTCATTGTCAAGAATGTAATATCTTTCATGGTTTTTTTTTTTTAACCTTGACTTTTAGTTTTGGCAGTTGAGGGGTGGGAAACATCAAAGAAAACCAACCACTAATACTGATAATGAAAGTGAAAGTCGAAGGATATGAAGGGTCTTAGCCACAAAATAACTCTACAAATTTGTTAGCCCTGTACTTATAGAAAACCATTAAAGACACAAAGGATATTTAAGTATATCGGTTATATTTTACTGTGTTTTATGGGGAAATTATGTGCTGCAGTGGAATTTGTAACTTTGAAAACTCTCCTAGGTCCTAGAAAACACAGCTCACAAATGTCAAGAATGTACTAAATTTACAAAATATCTCTGCCACTACCAAAACCACAAAAGTATGCTTAATCTTGTAAGTATTGAGTAATAAAATTTTCTAAACATTCCTACTCAGTTTATTGAGTAATTTGCATTCTCTTGAAACACTATTTCATCCTGCTAGGACAAATGCAAAAGCTAATAAGAAATTAACTCTATTATGTTGCATCAAATACCCAATGTATACATATCAACACATTGTCTGCTATTTCAGGTTAAAAAAAAAGAAATAGTTAAGTACAGAACATCTGTTGTTGATAGGATATAGTCATGTATATTATTGAAGAACATGAGAATGTATCTCCCCAGCATTCCAGCTAAAGTTTTCCCTCACCCCCAACATACGCAATCTTTTCTTTACAACATCTAAATTTACTTTGTCTATTATATTGTTATCATCTTATTCCTGTATCAACTCCAACAAGAGAAACTCTATCCATCTTGTTCACTGTTAAATCCCAACATGTAGAACAACACTTGGCACTTAATAGGTGTTCAAATATTTGTTAATGCACTGAAATGATGAGAATTCAGTGGTAATGATGTGGAAAGATTTCTGGATGATGACTTGTCAAATCATCTCATAGGATATGAATGGTTCCATCTGGATTTTTATAGTACACAATCTGTAGAGCCATATACAGCAGCACTGTAACCTGGGCTAAATTTCCAAGGAAGAGAAGGACAGTGTACCCACAGGTACTCAGGAAAAGGAAGAGGCATATGCAATGACTGTCAACTGAGGGCAGTTGATTTTGGAACAAGAGCAAGAAGCAACAATTGAGATTAGGCTCCATTTCCACCGATACATCATTGGGAGGAGAGGCTTTCCTCTCCATCCTCCTCCCTCCTGCACAGGGCCATCATGTGTGCAGATGAGTGAGGCCATTCCTGTGCCTCTGCTACCCTCCCCACACCTCTTTCACTCCTCTGGATTATGGCTGCCATTTCCTCCTCCACTTTACCACTCCATTTTCTGTCTGAGCCATGGAAGCAACCAGAAATGGAACAAAGGAGGCCTAGAGGTCATTCACCCCAGTGTCACAGTCAAGGTGTCAGCTGGAGCCCTGGGCATGAGGATGTGTGGCTTCACTGGGGGATGATGTGCTTCCAAGCTCACTCACATGGCTGTTGGTAAGCCATAAGTCCTCACTGGCTGTGGGCCAGAGATATCAACTCCTTGCCACATAAGCTTCTTCCTAGGCCAGCTGAAAACGTGGCACCTGGCTTCACTCAAAGCAGGTGAGAGAGAAAGCAAGAGAAAACAGGCCCCAGATGGAAACCACGGTTCTTTTGTAACTTAGGCTTGGAAGTGACCTCATATCACTTTTGCCATATTTTCTTCATTAGAAGTGAGTCACTTGGTCCAGCCCATACTCAAGAGGAAGGAATTATGCAGGGCACAAATACTAAGAGCAGGAATTGTTGGATCACATTAAAGTCTGCCTACCATTCCTTGATGAGATTTCCCCATAACCACTTACATCCTTATGCAAATGTGAACTGGAAGAAAACTTATCAGCCTTTCTAGGATCCTGATAGAGCCTCAGATTGCATAGGTGTTATGTGCACACAGTTGGAAGTCAGGCAACCCCACACTGATGTCAGGGTAATGTCAGCTCTGCCACTTACTGTCTGTGTTATCTTAATGTCAAGTCACTTAACCTTTCTAAGCCTCAGCAAAATGAGGATAATGATAGTATGTAACACATTGGCTTATTGGGAGGATTAAATAATACAACGCATGTGTTCTCTCATAAGTGGGAGTTGAACAATGAGAACACATGGACACAGGGAGGGGAACATCACACACTGGGGCCTGTCAGGGGATGGGGGAAAATGGGAGCGAGAGCATTAAAAGAAATACCTAATGCATGCGCAGCTTAAAACCTAGATGATCTGTTGATAGGCACAGCAAACCACCGTGGCACATGTAAACCTATGTAACAAACCTGCACATTCAGGACATGTATCCCAGAACTTAAAAAAATAATAATAATAATATAATGCATGCAAAAGACTTAACAGAATGTTTGGCATATAATAAACAATAAAATCAATTATTATTACTATTATATCAGCAATTTGGTATTTTTAAATAACTAATGGAAAGGAACAATTAAAAAGAAAATCAAGCTGGGCATGGTGGCTCACACCTGTAATCCCAGCACTTCGGGAGGCCGAGGCAGGAGGATCACTTGAGCCCAGGAATTCGAGATCAGCCTGGGCAACATAGTGAGACCCTGTCTCTACAAAAAAAAAAAAAAAAAAAATTTAATTAGCTGGGCATAGTGGTGCATGCCTGTAGTCCCAGCTACTCCAGAGGCTGAGGAGGGAGGACCTGTTGAACTCAGGAGGTCAAAGCTGCAGTGAGCTGTGATGATGCTACTGCACTCCAGCCTGGGCAGAACAAGACCCTGTCTCAATAAATAAATAAGACTCTGGGAGGCCTAGGCAGGTGGGCCACTTGAGATCAGGAGTTCAAGACCAGCCTGGCCAACATGGTAAAACCCTGTCTCTACTAAAATTACAAAAATTAGCTGGATGTGGTGGCACATAACTGTAGTCCCAGCTACTCAGGAGGCTGAAGCAGGAGAATTCCTTGAACCAAGGGGGCAGAGGTTGCAGTGAGCCAGGATCATGCCACTACACTCCAGCCTGGGCAACAGAGCGAGACTCCATCTCAAAAATAAACAAATAAATAAATAAATAGAAATTAAAAAATCAAGGATATAAAGGAACTCAACAGCACTATCAACCAACAGGATCTAATAGACTGTACCCAACAAGAGCAGAATACACTTTCTTTTCAAGTGCCTATAGAACATATTCTAAAATATACCATATCCTCTTCCAAAACATAGACCTCAACAAGTATAAAATAATTGAAATCATAAGGTGTGTTCTGTAACCACAATGAAATCAAACTAGTAATTGATAGCAGAAGAATAACAGGAAAATCTCCAAACACTTGGAAATTAAACACATTTCTAAATGATCCATGGGTCAAAGATAAAATCTCAAGGGAAGTTTTGATAATGCCTTGAACTGGTTAAAAGTGAAAATACAACATATCAAAATGTGTGGGGCATAGCTAAAGCAGTGCTGAGAGGGAAATGTATAGCACTAAAGGTATATGTTAGAAAAGACGAAAAGTCTCAAAACAATAAGCTCTTCCTTCAATGACCTAGAAAAATAGAAAATAAACCCAAAGCATGCAGAAGGAAGGAAATAATAGAAATAAGAGCAAAAATAAATGAAATTGAAAACAAAGTTATTAGAGAAAATCAATAAAACAATAAGCTGACTGGAGTGCAGTAGCATGATTATGGCTCACTGCAGCCTTGATTTCCCAGGCCCATGCAAATCTTTCACGTCAGCCTCCAGAGTAGTTGGGACCACAGGTGTGTGCCACCAATTCAGGCTAATTTTTTTAAATTATTTTTTGTAGAGGCAGCGTCTCCCTGTGTTGCCCAAGCTTATCTCAAACTCCTAGGCTCAACTACCACCTCAGCCTCCCAAAGTGCTGGGATTATAGGCATGAGCCATGCACCTGGCCTGGTTATTTTAAAAGATAGATAAAATTGACAAAGCTCTAGCATGAGAGACAAAGAAAATAAGAAGATGCAAATTACCAATATCAGAAATGAAATGGAATATCACTACAAACTCTGAAGATATAAAAAAGGTTAATAAGGGAATACTGGGAATAATTCTACCCATGTAAATTTGACAACGTAGACAAAATGAACCAATTAGTTGAACAACACCAACTACTACAACTTACCTATTAGAAAGTAGAGAATTTGAATATCCCTATAACTATTACAAATATTAACTTATGATTTTTAAATTCCCCAAAAAGGAAATTTCAAGGCCCAGAAGCTTTCACTGGAGAATTCTACCAAATGTTTAAAGAAGAATTAACACCAATTCAACACAGTCTTTTCAGAAAATAGACGAGGTTGGAACACTTCCAATTCTTTTTATGAAGCCTGATACCAAAACTAGAGGCAGCACATGAAAAAGAAACTCAGACCAATATCCTTCTTGAAAATAGATACAGAAATCCTGAATAAAGTATTAATGGATAGAATTTAGCAATCAAGAAAAATAATTATATACCATAGCTAAGTGAGATTTATTTCAGGGATGCAATCCCAGTTTAATACTCAAAAGTTAATCATTGTAATCCACTGTATTAAAAGCTAAAGAAGAAAAATTATATAATTTTATCAATTGATGCAGAGAAAGCCTTTGACAAAATTTAACATACATCCATGATAAAACTCTTAAAGAAAGAGAGGGGAAATTTTTCAACAGGATACAAGATAAACATACAAAATCAATTTTATTTCCATATACATAATAGCAATGAACACGTGGACACTGGAATTTTTAAAATACAAGATTATATACAATTACTCAAAAAAGTGAAATACTTTTAGGTGTAAATCCAGCAAAACATGTACAGGACTTACATGCTGAAAACTACAAAATGCTGGTGAAATAAAGAAAATTGAAGTGGAGAGACATACCACATTCATGGATTGGGAGATTTCAAAATAGTAAAGATGGCAATTCTACTCAAATTGATATAGAGATTTAACACAATTCCTATCAAAATTTCAGCAAGACTTTTTTGTAGCCATAGATAAGATTATTCTTAAAAGTATATGGAATGGCAAAGGAAGTAGGAGAGCTAAAACTATTTTGAAAAAGAAGAATGAAAAGGGAGGGAGGATTCATTCTATCTAATTTCAAGACATACTATATACCTACAATAATTAAGAGTGTGTGGTATTGGTGAAAGAATAGACATAGATAAATGGACCAGAATAGAAACCCAAAAATAGATCCACACAAATATTCCCAACTGACTTTTGACAAAAATGCAAAACCAATTCAAAGGAGGAAAGACAGCCTTTTCAACAAATGGTGCTGGAGCAATTGGATATTCATTGCAAAAAAAAAAAAATGAATCTTTTTTTGTATATGGTATGAGTCTAAGTCTCATACCATATACAAAAAAATTAACTCAAAATTGATCATGAATTTAAATGTAAAATGTAAAACGATAAAACTTTTAGGGGAAAAAAGCATAGAAGAAAATCTTCAGGATCTAAAACCAAGACAAAGCGTTCTTTGATTTGACACCAAAAACATGCTCCATAAAAGGAAAAATAGATACATTGTACATTATCAAACAATCAAAATTTTAAACTTTTGCCTATGAAAAACTGTTAAGAGGATGAAAATGATAAGCTGCAGACTGAGAAAACATATGCAAATCACAGATCTAATAAAAGACTCATTTGGAATATATAAACTCAAAACTTGACAGTAAAAAGCAAGCAATCCAATGAGAAAATGGGCAAAAGACATGAAGAGACATTGAACCAAAGTGTATATATACAGATGGCAAATAAGCACACGCAAAAAAGATGTCGTTGGGAAAATTAAAGCCACAGTGAGCTATCACTGCACACCTATCTGAGTGGCTAAAAATAATCAGATAGATAGATTTATATCTATAGATGTATAGGTAGATCTATACATCTACAGATATATATCACAAATATCAACAAATGCCAGGGAGGATGCAGGAAACTAGAACACTCATATGTTGCAGGTGCAAATGTAAAACGGTAGAGCTATTCTTGAAAACAGTTGGCAGTCTCTTTTCAAACTAGGCATGGAACTACTGTATGACCCAGTAATTGCACTCCTGGCATTTATCCCAGAGAAATTAAGACTTATGTTTGCTCAAAAACCCGTGCACAAATGTTTATAGCATCTTTATTTTTAGTAGCCCAAAACTGGAAACAACCCAGGTATCCATCAACAGGCAAATGGTTAAACAAACTGTAGTACATCCATACCATGGAAAACTATTCAACAATTAAAAGGAACAGATTATTGATAAATGCAGCAACCTGGATGAATCTCCAGAGAATTATGCTGAATGAAAAAGCCAATCTTAAACAAATGCCTATTGTATTATTTCATTTATATATTGTTCTCTAAATGACAAAATTATGGAAATGGAGAACAGATTAGTGACTGCTCAGGGTTAGGGAAGGGGTGGAGTTGGAAGGAAAGTGGATGTGGCTGTAAAAGGGCAACATGAGGAATGTGTGTGAGGATGGAAATGTTCTGTATCTTGCCCATATCGATGCCAATACCCTAATGGTAATATTATACTACAGTTTGGCAAGATATTACCAATGGGGAAAAATAGGTAAGTGGTATATGGTATCTGTCTGTATTCCTATAATTACATGTGGACCCTAATTTATCTCCAAATCAGAAGTTTATTATAAAAATAATAGCCAGGCTGCATATCCCTGGTTTCCATTCTTTGGAACCAGGTGCTTCTCTTGCCTAGAGAAACAGTCAATTTCATCTCTGCTCTCTCTTCCCTACTGTGTAATCCTCATCAGCTGGCCCTGACTCTCTCTGCCACAGAAACCAGAAGTATCAAGGGGGGCTCTGGCTCTGTAAGTTCATCTCTTCTTTGGCCAGCATTACCGTCCCATGCCATGCCCGGAGAGCCACTTCCACTTCTGCCTCCATTCCAATTTAGTAGAGTGATCTGTGGATGTCTATTTTGAAAACACAAAGCTCAGAAAACAGTGATACAGAAGCAAACTACCAGAATTAAATGACTGGTAAATTGGGCTTCATTATTTTATTATTTTGAAAATTGCAAAAATGAATTCATTATCTCAACAAATAATTGATAGTTCCTAGTTGACATTTTTTAAATGCCAGATATACCACAAAACTTATGGGTTTTAGTCTTTTAAGTTGATAGTCATTTAATTCTCTTGGAAAACGTAGAGCCATCACCTTTCTGTTTGCAGTACATGCTACCTCTCTTTCTTTCCTAATATTCACATAGCACAAATTTTTTTAATCATGTAAGTAGAATTAAGAAGACAAATGGTTGGTACGCTTAGATTGCAAAATCTTTCTCTTGTTGAATGCTTGCTTATACCAGGTTAGCAAAACCATTACCAATATCATATGATATTTATGGTGCCATGGGACTTTGAGGGGAGAGGAAAAAGATGAACACAGACATGCTGGACTTACTGTTGAAATGTATACTACAGATGCTCCCTTCATCACAAAATTAAAAAGGAGTTTTAAGAAATATTCCCTTTTGGCGTTAATTTTTTTTTTTTTTTTTTTTTTTTTTTTGAGATGGAGTCTCGCTCTGTCACCCAGGTTGGAGTGTAGTGGTGTGATCTTGGCTCACTGCAACCTCTGCCTTCCAGGTTCAAGCAATACTCCTGCCTCAGCCTCCTGAGTAGCTGGGATTACAGGTGCGCACCACCACACACTGCTAATTTTTCTATTTTCAGTAGAGATAGGGTTTCACCATGTTGGCCAGGCTGGTCCCAAACTCCTGCCCTCAAGTGATCCACCCGCCTCAGCCTCTCAAAGTGCTGGGATTACAGATGTGAGCCACCATGTCCAACCTAAAGTTTCTTAAATTTGTCATGGGCCAAGAGGGATGACACAGACACTAAATTCATCAAAGAAAGAAAACTAGAATAAATACATAAGGAGAAATAAGCAGAGATACACATACAGAACTTGGAAGTTATCTTTCTGCAAACGTGAACAGATATCTACAGAAGAGCAAAGAGACTTAAACCTGAGAATGGGCAAAGGCCAGGGAACAAAGAGAATAGACAGCAAGGAGATACTTGTAAAGAGGGACACTTACAAAACTTAAAAGTAATGGACTTGAAAATTAAATTTAAAAATAGAGGATGGCTCACACCTGAGGCGGAATGAATCACTTGAGGCCAGGAGTTCAAGACCAGCCTGGACAACATGGCAAAACCCCTTCTCTACTAAAAATACAAAAATTAGCTGGCCATGGTGGTGCATGCCTGTAATCCCAGCTATTCGGGAGGCTGAGGCAGGAGCATTGCTTGAACCCAGGAGGCAGAGGTTGCAGTGAGCCGAGATCACACCACTGCACTCCAGCGTGGGCAACAGAGCAAGACCCCATTTCAAAAAAAAAAAAAGTAGAGGAAACTACCAAGTTAAAATAGGGTTGAAAACAGTATGGCAGTTCTTCCAAAAGTTAAACATAGAGTTACTATGTGACCCCAAAATTCCACTCCTATGTGTGTACCCAAGAGAACTGAAAGCATATCCACACAGAAACTTGTGCATGAATGCTCATAGCAGCATTATTCATCATAGCCAAAAAGTGGCCATCAACTGATGAATAGTTTTTTTATTGGTATAACCATACAACAGGGCATTATTCAGCCATAAAAGGAAGGAAGGTATTAAGATACAGCAGTGATGGACCTTGAAGACATTATGCTAAATGAAATGAGGCAGACACAAAGACTCATATATTGTATCACTCCGTTTATATGAAATGTTCAGAGAATAGGCAAATCCATAAAAACAGGAAGCACATTAGTAGTTGCAAGGGGATGGAGTAAGCGGGAATTGGAACTAACAACTACCAGGTTCTTTTTGGAGTGGTGGAAATGTCCTAGAATTCAATAATGATGATGATTGTACAGCACTGCAAATATACTAAAAACCACTGAATTGTACACTGTAAAATGGTGAATTTTATATTCTGTGAATCGTATCTCAATAAGAAGTCAATGAAGTGCTGATACATGCTACAACATACATGAATCTTGAAAACATGCTAAATGAAAGAAGTTGATCACAAAATATTACGTATTACCTGATTCCATACATATGCAATGCCCCAAATCAGCGAATTTCTGGAAAAAGAAAGTAGATTAGTGGTTGCCTATAGTGAGGGAAGAGGATAGGATTAGGGGGTGGATACCTAAAGAGTAAGGGCTTCTTTTTTGGATAATGAAAGTATAAGGCCAGGCACCGTGGCTCACGCCTGTAATCCCAGCACTTTGGGAGGCCAAGGTGGGCAGATCATGAGGTCAGGAGTTCAAGACCAACCTGGCCAACATGGTGAAACCCCATTTCTACTAAAAATACAAAAATTAGCCGGGTGTGGTGGCACATGCCTGTAATCCCAGCTACTGTGGAGGCTGAGGCAGGAGAATCGCTTGAACCGGGGAGGCGGAGGTTGCAATCTGCCAAGATTGTGCCACTGCACTCTAGCCTGGGCAACAGAGAGACACTCCATCTCAAAAAAAAAAAATAAAATAAATATATATATATATATATATATATATATATATATATATAAACTATATAGTGGTGATGGTTGCACAACTCTGTAAATATACTAAAACACAGTAAATTGCACACTATAAAAGGATGAATTGTAAGGTGTGTGAATTATATCCCAAAAAAGCTGTTATTTTTTAAATTAGGGTTAAATAGCATTCCCTCAGAAGATATTTATATTAATCAGTTCAACAAATTATGTTGATCACCACATTTTTAGCATTCTGCTTATATTATGGGCATCAACAGAAGTGTAAATCATGGTAACTGCACTAAGGGGTCTGCATTCTATTTGAGGAGGAATATTTATGTGCGGGAAACAACATAAAATAGTGTGTCTTTGGAGGCCTAAGTGTACTGATTATAGTACCTGAAGGAATTAAGGAATTAGAAAAATCCATTAAGACTTTAAAAAGACAAGGTTTGGGGAAGCTTTGTGGAGAAAATGATTCTCCAGCCTTGACTGAGAAGTTGGAATTTGATCAGGGAAATGAAAGTATTCCAAGAAAGAGAAAAGATTAATGTTGAGAATGAGCATGATATGTGGGCGTTGTAGATTTAGTGAGGCAGCAACGTACAGTCTATGTGAGTAAACTCTAATGCCATATAATGCTGCTTGAAAAATTATAGTAAGCCTTGGAAGCCAGGCAGAGTTTGGTCCAATGAAGTAAAATGAGAAGACACTTGCCAGGTGCAGTGGCTGACACCTATAATTCCAGCATTTTGGGAGGCCAAGGTGGAAGGATCGCTTGAGCCCAGGAGGTCAAGGCTGCAATGAGCTGTGATCACACCTCTGCACTCCAGCCTGGGTGACAGAGTGAGATCTTGTCTCAAAAAAAGAGAAAAAGAAAAAGAAAACACTGATAAGGAGCAAAAAACACATCCCATTGTCAGAGAGCTTAAAGATGAAAGGCAATGATATATGGATGAAAGGAAGGAGAAAGAACCCAGAGTGAGGGCTACTAACTAGAAATTTATAGGGCAGGAATCTACACATAGACAGGAAGAGTGGATGTAGGAATGGAAAGTGAAAAAAACATATAAAAAAATTTCAAAGCAGATATTCATTCATACTATCAAATGCTTATTGAGCACTTCTTTTTATATGAAGGCAGCATGCTAAGTCCTGTAATGGCACAAGTACTGTCCTACAGTGCACAAAACATTAACCCTTTCCTCAATGCATTTGCAGTTCTACTTGGGAGAAGAGACAGACACAAAAGAAGGCAGTGATAAAGAAAGTCTTTAGGAATGGATGATTGGCTTGATATGGGAATGGAAGAGGAGGATGGATCAAAGATAAGATGCCCAAGAGATTTGTGGTGTCATTGAAGTTGGGGGAGCATCATTTGAAGCATTGGCAGGACCATTAGTCTGAAGGAAAGTACCCAACACTACACTACACTAAGCTGGTGAAATGATTAATTTATTCAGCAAGTAATTATCAAGTGTTTACTACTATGCACTAGGCCAGGCCCTGTTAAGACACCGTGGATACTGGATAATGGGGAGGGAAAATCAAAAACTCTGCTGTTATCCAACTCATGGATTCTCATGGACCAAAAGAATGAATGCTGTTTGATAAGAGGTGAAAGATCAAGCAAGCTGCCAAAATGAATGAATACCTGATTCACAGGCCTAATTTGGGCAGCAGACAACCAAGAATAAATTCCAGTGATTTTGTCTGCTGTAACAAAGTTGTGTGTAAGTACTTTTCTTGTCTGTATTACATAAGCTGATAAGAAGAGACAAGCAAAGGGATGGAAGATCGTAGAAGTACACCATTGAGGTCCTGGTACAAATTTAGGGCAAGTAATAGCTATATTTAGGATCGCCTAGTAATTTTCAGTGGCAGCTCATTTTTACATCTTTTTGTTTTTTTAATTGTGGAAAGGCCACTTTAATTCTTTGTTGCCAATGCAGATGGAATAGCATTTGCTTCATTTTTCAGAATAACCTCCAACTGAATGAGGCAATTTGGGCTTTGTTCGCTTTTGCTAGTTTGAGATTGTTGACCTCCCAGATTGAGTATCTCAAGCCATGGCTGGTGCTTGCTGGCCCAGAGTTACGCATAGCACTCCAGTTTTTTTCCTCAAATAATTCTACATCGCTGGGATGAATTTGACCAGAGTCATTATTTGTATAATATTAAGAAAGTAACTCAGGGAAATATTTGTTTGATTTCCAAGTAAAGAAGACATTTCCAAGCATAAAAGCAAAGAAAGAGGCGTAAAGGAATGACTGATAGCCCTGACTACATAAAAATATTTTAGTATAGTATTTAATGATGAAGAAAACCCTTCATGACATGTTGCTATGTTTAAAAAAAAAACCAGCATGGACAATATAATTCAATTTTGCAAAATCTGTGTCTGAGAGTTATATAGATATATACCTGAAAAAATGCCAAATGTTAAGAGGATAGGATCATGGGTAATTTTTATTTTCTTCTTTATGCTTTTCTGAATTTCCCAAAATTTTCTACATAAAACATGTCAAAAATGACTATGTTTTTAAAACTAAACTCAGTTACACTTGAGTCATATATTTCTACAGGTTTTTAGAATCAGCAGTTGAATTCTATTTAATTCAGTGGCAGACCAAAGATAAAGCAAGGGCTTGTGAAAAAAATGTTTGGGACTAAAATGGCCTGAAATGGAAAGTTCTCCTAGACATTGAAGATGTATAATATACAGGTGGATCTAATCTGATCCTGTTACAGAAAGGCAGCAGTACAAAAAAAAAGAAAGAAAGAAAGAAAAGAAAAGCAATAAAACATCCTTAGTTCTCCAAGTGAGCCACAATATTCGTCTGCTGTCTATGTAATGTGAAACCTCACCCTTCCAGGCCCAGTTTGATTATTGGAAAACCATCTCTATTGCACATTCCCACCCATCTACACTCAGCACTGCAGTGATGGCTAGTCCTAGTGCCAACATCTGGCATGTGATTCAGATGTACTATGTAGATGATTCAAATAAAAATAAGAATAGGAGACTTTCAGGGAAGCAGGTTATTTTCCAGGCAGAGCAAGTAGTAATATGTGAGGGCTATGGTGGGTTTTCTGTTTAGGACAGAGCTCTAAGAATGACTTAGAGCTGTGGTTGTAGGAGAAGTCCTCCAACTGGGAAGTCTTTCCAGAAGGGGAAGGCTCTTCTCCCAGGATCCAAAAGCTCTCCAGGGAATAGTCCTTTTAGATAATCATTTCTTTCAGTCTCATTATGTCTTGCTGCTCATTAAAGGTAAAATATAAGCCCTCAGATATTGGCATGAAACACCAAGGTCTTGGTTAAGAAATAGATCACTAAAAATAAACATTTTTAAGAAGAGAACTTAAATTGCATGTATGTGCCAAAAAACAGGGAATAAATAATTGAGACAGCTACTAAGCCCAGATCAAGTATCTAATGAGTTCAGCTGAGTAAGCAAACACGTCTTTGTTCTTAATTACCTAATGGAAAACAGCTCATCATATGAAAATGATCTTCATTTTTTAAATTGTCTGACTTTGGTTCACTGCCATTCTGAGTAATTATGATATTTTGGTTTGCTTTTTCCTGGCCTTCAGTACCGTTAGTTCCCTATGTTCTCCCATGCTCACTCTCCCCAATCTCCTTCATTCTTCACATCTTCCAGCCTATCTCTTTCTCCCTTCTATCCAATTTATAATGCCTTGAACATAGCAGAGTTTTGATTCAATATTTGTTTAGTTTCAGTTTGACTAAACTGAAATCCATTGCATTAGTTGTACTCCGCTACCTAATAATAGTGAGTGTTCTGGCCATTGTGTAGACAGACAATGCTTGCTTTCCACCAGTAGCACCAGACTATAAAAGTGGCGACGCAAGCTGAAGCAGGACAGAGCAATCTTCATAATCAATGAGAGAAATTGTTTGTTCCGTGATCCTAAGAGCTTTTGTCATAATATTAAAAACTCTCTTACTTTGTTATACATGTATTGGGAAATGATTTTAAGTAGTAAAACTAATATTTAGTATGCTACATTTTAAATCATGAGAAATACTGTGAATTAAAATGTCTTATTTCTTTGTAAAAAAAAAACCTTATAAAGGGTAGTTTGGATTGTGCTCATTATCTTCTCTCTGTATAGCTTACAATATGAAATAAGCATCTTTCATAAAAAATTTGCCTTGGCAGATTGCCATACTTGTCTCTTCACTGAATCAGCTTCCAATATTTTTTTTTCCTTTGTACTTTCAATGTCACTAAATATCTTACTTTAATGTGAAGTGTTGCCAGGTCACTTCTTCTGGAATATCATCATCCTTTTCATCCCAACCACTTGCCTCATCTGTATTGGTAAGTTGGTCCTCACTGTATTCCTGTGGCTGCATATTTAGAGCTGAATGCTGCAGTGTCAACATTCCTAGTCAGCTATTTGTTCTAAGCTCCATTTATATTTGGGTTCAGATCTCACCTCCAGCATTAGCACTTTTCATTTCTTTGCCACACTTTCACCTTAGTTGGACAATTTCCTCTTTCCACCATCCATTATTGTAAATTACCTTGTAGATTTATCACCGGGAAACAAGGACACAACACAACTACACACTTTGCTGTCTGTGTGTAAACTGATTATGAGATGCACAGTAGTAACCAACCAACCACTGACAGACTTTTAAAGAAATAGTAGAATCGATCACAGGTCTTGATGCTCATTTTTATTTATATAGTGATTTGTAGCAGTGGTAACCAAAATTCACACTTCTGTGGGAGGACTGGTGTTATTTAACTAAAGTGCAGTAACAAATTTGTGTATATAAGAGCCATGCAAAGTGAAGACATCTGTACTTTCTTTTTTGGTAGGTAAAATATCCTTACAGATTAGATCTTCACAATACCAAAGTTGTCCTGGCTTCTTCTCATGAGCAAATACAACCAATGAATCACTGTTGTTAGGCTATCTCTGTGTGAAATGTGAAATGGCATTACTTAGGAAAAAGAATAGACATGTATCTAGTAGTATATTCTTCCTGGTGACACAAAACATTTCAAATATTTATGTTTCTTATTAGAAAATGTAGATTAATTGGCAACATTTTCTAGTCTTCACCTGCCCTGTTAGATTAGTCACTCTGGGTGGTTCTAAGTATAACTAAGTATAAAAATAACTAGAATATACAAGATGAGGAGATCATTTTCAGTTTTTCACCCTTCATTTATGAAGCCTTTTCTTCTCGTTACTTTCAAACTGTTATTTGATTGACCATTTTGTATTTAATGAGCATCTTGTAGTGTGATGTCAGCTATCTTTATAGATTAAGCTCCCCTTTGAAAAAAAAAAAAAAAAAAACTTCCCTGTAAACTCTCCCCGACTCCAATTGATTCTTCTGGTATTGAATTTAAAATACCTCCTTTGTGTTGAGATGCACCCATTTTGGTGCCGCAGTGTTTACCAGTCCTAAGTGATATTCCTGTCCCGTCCAGTTGAGGCTGGTCTTCAGCTTGATGGTGACTGTGCCCCTTTCTTTGGCCTTAGCTGTAACAGGCTTCGTTCTGCCAGTGTGTCCTGCATTGGATGTGTGGTTATTTTTAGGTCCTCTGCAGTGATTCTAAAGTAAAAATAGAAGAAAGTTTTAAAGCTACCTTTTTAAAAGCCATTAACACCAATCCTCAAAAAAGTGATCTCCATATTCCATGCTGTCATGAACTCTAAGAAAGCAACATCCAACCACGTAAATCCGAAAGCATTGAAAAGGAGGGAAACCCTTTACCTCACTTTGTCATGCCACACAAAGGCATTAGTCATGGCAAAATTTGTCTTTGATTTTAACCAAAGTTTATTTGGTGAATTCTGATCTATAACATGTACATAAGTATGTAGAGGCCAAAATAGTCTTGGCAGATGGTGAATACCAAATAGATTCATTCTATGTCTTTCTTAATTAACTTCAGAAATGCCCCAATCAGTTCCAAACTTATCATTTGCCTGGGAGAAGATAATACTAAAAACTTTCCTTAGTATCTTTTAATTGAAAAAATTGCTTTGGTGAAGCCTCTTTAAAATAAATTTAAGTGAGGTGATGCAGTACCTAGGGACCGCCACACTGAGGCGTGTGGTGCATTGTTTTGCAACTGGCTTTCAGATCCCGACTACTTAAGTCTTCCTCATAAGCAACAATAGTAATAAAGAAATTAAACTTTGTAGGTCCAGATGCAACTTGATTATTGGGCATCTCCTTTTCAGTGTGTATGGAGGGTATGTATCGATTGCTAAAAATAGTTCTACACATTAGAAGAAAAGCACACCCCTGTGTTCTTCATGTTTATCATATGTTAGAATAACAGGAAATAGAAAGACACATGGTTACGTTTCTTTTAGAAACCCCTACCTAAACCATAAAAGACAAATGATCTGTGTCCTATTATTTAAGGCACTCAAGCAAGGAATTCTCCTAAATGTCCTGTTCAGTATTTAACAGTCATCACGTCGTGATGATTCTTGCTTTGTGTGACCAGATGGAGAATAGCTGAAATTCTTAGAAAGTTACAAAAATCACAAATACAGCATATGCAATACAATGACACCCTGCTTGTTTGTCAGAGGAAGAACACGTTCTGACAAGTCTTGGAAATTAAACTGTTTCCAGAATAGAATACTAGAGAACAGCTTCTTTGATTAATATATTATTTAGAAATGAAAAAATTTTAAATGATGTTAATGGCCTCAAAATATATAAAACAAAAATTGACAGCATGTAAGAGAAACCAATAAGGCCAAAATAACAATATGAGGTTTTAACACAATTCTCAGTGGTTAAAATAGCAGACAAATTTTTAGTAAGAATATAGGTAATACAAACAATAATAACATAATCCAATGAACACATATAGTATCTTTACCCAATAATTAGAGAATGTATATTTTTTAAGCACAATTGGAACATTCACAACAATTGATTATATTCTAGTCCACAAAGCAAGTATCAACAAATACCAAATAATCTGTTAAAAATATCACATTCTCTAACTGTAATACAGTGTCAGAAATCATTTATTTTAAAAAAAAATGATTAACACATATTTAGAAAAAAACATTTATACGTAAAATTTAAATCAAGGAAATTCAGTATTTAGAACTGAATGATAACAAAACTACTATGTATCGTAGGTGATTTCATCTTGATAGACATATAGAATGCAACTAAGGTAGTATTAAAGGGAAATTTATAATTTTAAATCAATATATGAGAAACGAATAAAGTCTCCAAGTTAGTGAGCCAATCTTTCCACTCACAAGAAATTAGAAAAGGAACAGAAATGTAAATGACAGGTCAGATCTGGTAGCTCATGCCTGTAATCCCAGCATTTTAGGAAGCTAAGAAGGAGGATTGCTTGAGCCCTGGAGTCTGAGACCAGCCTGGGCAACATAGGGAGACCCTGTCTCTACAAAAAAAAGAAAAAAAGAAAAAAAACACTCCTATTCAACATAGTGTTGGAAGTTCTGGCCAGGGCAATCATGCAAGAGAAAGAAATAAATGGTATTCAATTAGGAAATGAGGAAGTCGAATTGTCCCTATTTGCAGATGACATGATTGTATATTTAGAAAACCCCATCGTCTCAGCCCAAAATCTCCTTAAGCTGATAAGCAATTTCTGTGAAGTCTCAGGATACAAAATCAATGTGAAAAAATCACAAGCATTCTTACACCAATAACAGACAAACAGAGAGCCAAATCATGAGTGAACTCCCATTCACAATTGCTACAAAGAGAATAAAATACCTAGGAATACAACTCACAAGGGATGTGAAGGACCTCTTCAAGGAGAACTACAAACCACCGCTCAACGAAATAAAAGAGGACACAAACAAATGGAAGAACATTCCATGCTCATGGATAGGAAGAATCAATATCATGAAAATGGCCATACTGCCCAAAGTAATTTATAGATTCAATGCCATCCCCATCAAGCTACCAATGACTTTCTTCACAGAATTGGAAAAAACTACTTTGAAGTTCATATGGAACCAAAAAAGAGCCCACGTTGCCAAGACAATCCTAAGCCAAAAGAACAAAGCTGGAGGCATCAGGCTACCTGACTTCAAACTGTACTACAAGGCTACAGTAACCACAACAGCATGGGACTGGTACCAAAACAGAGATAGAGACCAATGGAACAGAACAGGGGCCTCAGAAATAACACCACACATCTACAACCATCTGATCTTTGACAAACCTGACAAAAACAAGCAATGGGGAAAGGATTCCCTGTTTAATAAATGGTGCTGGGAAAACTGGCTAGCCATATGTAGAAAGCTGAAACTGGATCCCCTCCTTACACCTTATGCAAAAATTAATTCAAGATGGATTAAAGACTTAAATGTTAGACCTAAAACCATAAAAACCCTAGAAGAAAACCTAGGCAATACCATTCAGGACATAGGCATGGGCAAGGACTTCATGACTAAAACACCAAAAGCAAAGGCAACAGAAGCCAAAATAGACAAATGGGATCTAATTAAACTAAAGGGCTTCTGCACAGCAAAAGAAACTACCATCAGAGTGAACAGGCAACCTACAAAATGGGAGAAAAATTTTGCAATCTACCCATCTGACAAAGGGCTAATTGCCAATCTACAAAGAACTTAAACAGATTTACAAGAAAAAAACAATCCCATCAAAAAGTGGGCAAAGGATATGAACAGACACTTCTCAAAAGAAGACATTTATGCATCCAAAAGACACATGAAAAAATGCTCATCATCACTGGTCATCAGAGAAACGCAAATCAAAACCACAGTGAGATATCATCTCACACCAGTTAGAATGGTGATCATTAAAAAGTCAGGAAACAACAGATGCTGGAGAGGATGTGGAGAAATAGGAACACTTTTATTTACACTGTTGGTGGGACTGTAAACTAGTTCAACGATTGTGGAAGACAATGTGGCGATTCCTCAAGGATCTAGAACTAGAAATACCATTTGACCCAGTGGTCCCATTACTGGGTATATAACCAAAGGATTATAAATCATGCTACTATAAAGACACATGCACACGTTATGTTTATTGCGGCACTATTCACAATAGCAAAGACTTGGAACCAACCCAAATGTCCATCAATGATATACTGGATTAAGAAAACATGGCACATATGCACCATGGAATACTATGCAGCCATAAAAAAGGATGAGTTCATGTCCTTTGCAGGGACATGGATGAAGCTGGAAACCATCATTCTGAGCAAACTATCACAAGGACAGAAAGCCAAACACCACATGTTCTCACTCAGGTGGGAATTGAATAATGAGAGCACTTGGACACAGGGTGGGGAACATCACACACTGGGACCTTTCTTGAGGTGGGGGTCAGGGGAAGGGATAACATTAGGAGAAACACCTAATGTAAATGACGAGTTAATGGGTGCAGCAAACCAACATGGCACATGTATACCTATGTAACAAACCTGCACGTTGTGCCCATGTACCCTAGAATTTAAAGTATAATTAAAAATATACATATATATTCAGAAAAAAAAATTTAATATTTAGCCAAGTGGCTCCTGCCTGAAGTCCCAGCTACTTGGGAGGCTGAGGCAGGAGGATCACTTGAGCCCAGGAGTTTGAGGCTGCAGAGAGCTATGATTGCACCACTGCACTCCAGCCTGGGTGACAAAGCAAGACGTCTCCAAAAAAAAAAAAAATTGTTAAGTCAACAACAACAAAATGTTAAAGAGCAGAAGTCAATAAAATAGAAAACAAGGATATATCTTTCTTAGTGTATCTTTGTTTTATATTTCATTAACTTCTGCTCTAGGCCTAAATGATCTCAGAGCTGAGTTCTACCATTCAGGGAACTAATAATTCAAATATATTAAAAAATATTCTACAAATATAATTTTTAGATACCCCCAAATCACAATAGGGTAATATAACCCTTGTAGCAAAACCAGACAAGGACAAAATACGAAAGAAAATCATACACTTAGCTCATGTGGAAATGTGGATATTAATACAGTCATGCATTGCTTGAAAACGAGGATATGTTCTGGGAAATGTGTCATTAAGCGATTTCATCATTGTGTGAACATCATAGAGTGTATTTAGGCAGACCTAGATGGTATTTTATTTATGTATATTTTTTCATGTGGAAAACTAAATGCCCCAGCATCACTGCTGAATTTCAGCCATTTTCCCTATTGATCTGCAATGCAAATATCAAGTGTCACATAGCAGATTTCTCTACATGTTCCATTATAATCTTGTGGAACCACAGTGGCATATGCAATCCATTGTTGACCAAAACATAGTTATATAGTGTATGACTGCGTTAGCAACCTGAATCCAACCAACATATTAAAAATACACATCATAACCAAATGGGCTTATCCCAGGAATACAAGGATGGTTTAACAACAGAAAATTATTTGACACATCATAACCACCAAATGATTATGACAATACAGGAAGAAAAATCATTTGCTAAAATTCAACAAACATTAGTGACAAAAACAACCTAAGTATAAAACAGAACCTCCTTAATGTGTTCAACCTTGATTTCAAAATTTATGTGAACAGGGAAGGGTCAAAAATAGTCACGATAATTTTAAACTCAAAAAACATGGGGAGACACATCCTACCAGACTCATCAGATTCTATATAAACCATGGTGTGAGTTTGGTGAATTGTTATAGACCAGAGTGCATTAATGCAATTCCATCCACAAATGGAAACTTGTTCTTTGGCATAGGTAACCTGTGCACTCACTGCAGATAGGAGTGTTTACTGATTTAATAAAATATGGCAACATTTAGCATAATTAAAAACATGTAAATCCATGACCCAACAAATCCATTCCTGGCTATATGTTATAAACAAATTCTCATATGTCTAGGAGAAATGTGCAAGCATATTTATTGCAATATTGTAACAGTGAAATACCAAACTCGATCTAACTGTCCATCAACAAAATAACTTGTGTATTTACCTATAATGGAATACCATTTAGCAGTCAAGATGAATAAATCCTCAACTTAATAAACATCAAAAATATATTGGGAGGAAAGCAGATCACAAATTAACATATCTCACTTACATATAATGTTAACGCATACACACAATATCATACATTGTTCTCATGCTACATATATATGTAGCAATACATACAATCATGCATGGAAAAGATAATGTCAAACTTAGGATAGGGATTACCTTGGTGGAGGGAAAGAAAATGGGATCAGGAAGTAATAAAAAGGGAGTTTTTGTTCATAATATCATAATATCATAAACTTTTTACAGAAAAGTAAGGAGAAAAGAATAGAGTCTCAATGCAGTAGGTTCCAAGGTTTGAGGCTGCTACTAATTAGACAATTAAGTGACATGCAGCTGGTCTGTGCTATGATCTATTGTGTAAAGCTATCAAATAGATTTAGGCAGTTATTTTGTCCACAATTGAATGGAATCTAAAAACAGGTGGTTATACAAATCCTATCTATGTTGCTGCTTTCTTAATCAGCCTAAAACTGTAGCCAGATCTTAATTACGATTAAGAGGCTGCCCAACTGATCTCTTTTAACAGCTCTGCTAAAAGATTATTGATAATAAAGAGTTTAATTCAGACAGAAGTCTTAACAGAATTTACAATGTCGAAGACTAAACTTCATGTTAGTTTATGACTTTTTAAACCACCGTATTTGGTAGTTCTCATGGATAGAAAGGATATCTCACACTCTTTTTTCCTCTTTTGGGGACCAATTTAAAAGAAAAATCTCACCTTTGTCTTTTAGGCTCTTCTAACATATAAGAGTGACCCAGCCATGAGAAAAATGTTGAATCATCTATATTTCTATATCATGCCTGTGTTTAACGTCGATGGATACCATTTTAGTTGGACCAATGTAAGTCACTTTGCCTACCCAGTTGAAAAGAGGACTAAATAAATCATAGAAAACAGAGTCACAAACTTCCAGGACAGGAAAGAAGCTGGACAGGCAATCAGCTGAGTGATTCCAGAGATGCAAAAGAGGCCTTCACTCTTTCCCCAATCAGAGCACCAACAATTAGATTTCATTTTCACATCTAGATTTTGTAGAGATTTCACATAAATAAAGATTCCTTCTTCCAAATAAATTGTGAAAAATCACTAGTCTAGTCCAGCCCATTCAATTTTGCCTATAAAGAAATGGGGCCAAGAGAAGGCAAAAAGGCCGGGCGCGGTGGCTCAAGCCTGTAATCCCAGCACTTTGGGAAGCCGAGACAGGCAGATTACAAGGTCAGGAGATCGAGACCATCCTGGCTAACACCGTGAAACCCCGTCTCTACTAAAAATACAAAAAAAAATTAGCCGGGCGCGGTGGCGGGCGCCTGTAGTCCCAGCTACTCGGGAGGTTGAGGCAGGAGAATGGTGTGAACCCGGGAGGCGGAACTTGCAGTGAGCCGAGATCGTGCCACTGCACTCCAGCCAGGGCGATAGAGCGAGACTCTGTCTCAAAAAAAAAAAAAGAGAAGGCAAAATACAGGAAGTTTGTAGCAGAAATTGGAGCATGAACCTGGGTCTCCACTACTAATCCAGTGCTCTTTTTCACTCCCTGGGCTTGTCTATTCACAGGAGAACTCTCCCCTCAGTGGTATGACTCTTTCATTGATTGAGCTATTAAAATGCATGCGAATAACCTTTTAAGTATTTTTCTCAGCACCTGTTTTCTTAATTATGTCTAGGATCGATTTTGGAGAAAAACAAGGTCAAGGAACTCAAGGTTTCGCTGCCGTGGAGTGGATGCCAATAGAAACTGGAAAGTGAAGTGGTGTGGTAAGTTTGGGACCAACTGGGATCCAGATCCAAAGGTTTCTGCAGGTTTTACTCTGCAAAATATGAGTCCAGAGGACTCTCATGGGAGACTCATGTTTTTCTGTATGTGAAAACCTGGTAGAGAAAGGTACAGATACGTACATGATAGCTGTAATTGGCAAAAGAAAATGAAAGGATTCTTTTTTAATATATAAAAATCAAGGATTTTAAATATGTCAATTCGGTCCTGAAAACTGAAAATTTAAATACATATGTAAAAGCAGCAAACTGAGGAATATTTGTCATTCCCCAAATTAAAACATGAACCGTGGTGTAGTATAATTCTGGTTAAATCTTTTTATCCTTTTCATACAAGCACCACTGATGCTGCATTCGGCTGTCTGTCGTGGTCAGAGCTGTCATGACCTTGTCTATATTCTACCACTCTGCTGGTCATACGTGGATTGACCATGCACATTGGGAATGTATTTCTGCTGCATTCCATGTTTCATTAATAATCACCTTTAAAATAAAAGGAAGATGTCATTTTAAGGAAGGAAACCCTTCTACTGAAGAAAGAAGGAGGGAAGTGTCAGGGAGAAATGAGAAAATTAGTCATGGCTAGTTTACTTGCAGCAGAAAAAGGAAAGGATGGAAAATTATTATCAAAATGCAGTCGTTAGGAGCTGCCTTTGTATTGAGTCTTTCTGTAGGTCCCTCAAAATATAGACCCTTGTGTAATGGAAATCCTTCCTTTAGTCCCTTAGAAATGAGGCCTAGTCCACATTCACTCATTCTACAATGAGGGTTAGGTTCTATGTGAGATGCCAATCCTCCCATCCCACTAGCATCAGCTAGAATAACTGGGCGTGGGCTTTGATTCCTTCCACACATCCCTCCAAGCAAGAGGCTTCAGTCAATTAGAATTGGCAAATAAGAACATGACATAGCTAAAAGAATATGGCTCTAAAATAAGACAAATGTAGTCTGATTCTACCATTACTAGCTCAGTAATTTGGGCAATTTTATTCAATCTATGAAAGTATAATGCCAACCACCTCATGAGGTTCTTATAGGGACTAAAGGAATTTATATATGTGAAATGTCTAATTTAGTTCCTAGCTCCAAACTGGGATCTAAGTATCAGTAACCTATCCCTTGTTCCCTGACCCCCAGAACAGTCAGTTCACCTCTAAGCCTCAGATCAGTTGGTGAAACAGCCTCTTTTCTTCACGGGAATGTTGTGATGATGAGCAATAATGTATACTTAAAAGCACTTGCATTTATGAAGGGAAAAACACCATTGTATAAATACTATGATGTGGTATTATAGATGACTATTTCTATTTAGAAATTGTTTTCTCCAACCTATACTGAAACAACAAGCACATTAACTCCTGAAATCCACTAACTTAAAAAAAACTTTTCACTTTCCCTTCTCTCTGATGGGGCCATTTTCCATACTCATAAACACAGGGATGTTTCGCTTGTTAGTGGAGACTCGCATCCACATATATGTCATATACATGCCTACAGGCATCTGCATGAGTGCTCTGGATGGGTAATTGAGCTGAGTAACTCTAGCAGCAGCCAGCTCTGCCTATGTAAACTTAGACTCCTGTTTATATCAGGTGCAAGTAAGGTCTTGCTTCCCTTTGTTGTTCTTCCTTTACCCAGCTTGCTTCCTTCATACACATGCCTTCTTTGGTTTTTCAGTTTCAGCTGCAGACCCAACTAGAATTCCTTTGACTCTTCCCAGTTTTGAATCGTTCTGATTTTTTCTGTGAGCCAACACTCAAGATATACAAGGGATTATGTCAAATGCAGTTGCAAAATGATCTTGATAGACTGTTGGAAGTGATGGGGAAGTGCAGGCAGCCTGGCTGGTACTGTGTCAGCTGCAAGGTCTCCAGAGTGGATTCAGCTGATCCGATAGGCAGGCAGCCAAGTGTGACCTGCCTCCCTCCCAGGGTCAGGTCCATCCCCCCGCAGTTATGTGCTGCATGAAGGGGACAGGGAACTACAATGTGGGAATCACTCTGAGGTCAGGGGTATTGAGGTAAGTATGAAATTCCCTAAAGTGAACCTCCAAATAAACATCCATAGCATAAATGACGTAGAAATGCCCAGACCATTGAAAACACTGTAGGGTCAGCATGGAAGTGACAAAAACAGCTGTTTCTTTCTCTTAAGTCAGTGATTCTTGAAATTAAAGAGCAGAACATGAAACTGCTTTTTACCATGAAGAATCTGTGGATCCCCGTGTGGTAGTGGTTATGCTTTAGTGCGTGCATGTGGAATAGTCCAGCATGCAAGTACAGACAGGCATACTTTTTGAATACTTCATAGCTCCCCTGAGGGTGTTTCACCCATAAGATGAATATCACTGGTCTGAAAGTCCCCCAGAAGGACTCGACAAGTCAGAGTAGTGGTAGGAACTAGGAATAAATGCATAAATTTCTTTCATTCATTTGCCAAAGTTAATCAAGCACATTCTCTCTGTGAAGCACTGTGCTTTTTTCTTTCCTCTGTGCACTCTTTTTAAAATATGCTGTAAGCACTGATTTTCCAAATTGGAACAAATCGAGGAGAAAGGTAAAGGGTTTGGATAATATCCATACTTAATCTTTAACTTCTGAATAATTCAAGTGTTGCCTAAATACAAATTACTATTTAGAAAAACCTATGGAACATAAAACAATTTTGCAAATCATATATCTACTAAGAGACTTCTATTCAAAACATAGAATTCTCTCAACAATAAAAACACAAGTAACCCAATTTAAAAGTGCACAAATGATTTCAACAGATACTCTCCAAAAAAGATATATAAAAGAGAATAAGCACATGAAAATACGCTCAACGTCATTAGCCAACAGAGAAATGTACATCAAAACCACAATAGGAATAGGTACCACTTCACATCTACTAAGACGGCTATAATAAAAAGACAATAACATGTGTTGGTGAGGGTGTAAAAAAACTGGGACATTCATACTTGCTGGTGAGAATGTAAAATGCTGCAGCCACTTTGGAAAACAGTTTGGCATTTCCCTAAAAAGTTAAAAACATATGACCCAGCAACTCCACTCTTAGATATATATATATATACCCAAGAGAAATGAAAACATTTATTCCCATAATGACTTGTACATGAATGTTCATAGTAGTATTATTCATAATAGCCAAAAAGTGGAAACAACCCAAATGTCTATCAACTGATGAATAGATAAACAGAATGTGGTATATTTATAGAATGGAATATTATTTGGGCATAACAAGAATGAAGTACTGATACATTCTGCAGCATAGATACTTAAAAATATTATGCTAAGTGAAAAAAGTCAGTCACAAAAGAGCAAATGAAATGTCCAGAATAGGCAAATCTATAGAGATAGAGAGTAGATTCGTGGTTGCCAGGGGCTGAGGAGAGGGGAAAATTAGGGAGTAACTTTTGAGGGGTAAGGGGTTTCTTTTGGGGGTGATGAAAACATTCTAGAATGAGATGTGACAATTGTGAATATACTGAAAGCCATTGAATTGTACATTTTAAAAGGGTGAATTTCATAATATGTGAATTATAGCTGATTATAAAGCAATACAGCTATTATAAAAATATTTTTGTTTCTATTTAGGAGCAAGTTAGGCACTTATTGAAACATAATAACTCTTTAGAACACTCAGTTACCTAATATTATAAATTAGATATAACACGGAGAAAACTATACGATTTTTTTAGCAGCCCAACCACATGTGCCCCTCTCTATATATGCCCTTTTCCGACCACCACCCTCCCACTCTATCCAAAAAAAAAAAAGTGGAGCCGGGGGCTGTTCTGCTTGACCAATCATTTGGGTAGATCATCTGGAGTGAAGAGAGAAACCATTACAAATTGGGGGTTTTCAGCCAATCCCTATGAAATAACAATAGATGGCCACTGGCCTGCTTTCTAAAACGATGAGTTCCTCCAGCTGAGTGGCTTTTGTTTGGAGAGAGCTATACTAGCTGAGGACCTAAACTGAATTGTTCTGAAAATATAGAGAATTTCAGAGCCTAAATTTGGGGCAAAGAGAGCAATAAAAAGAGGTAATGTTGCTAGACTGTATGGAAAGAGACTTTAGTACTCAAAAATGCCTATAGCGGATTGCAATTAAACTTTGCTGTGAAGTATGCAAATTCTCCAGCATTTCACAACCACCACCACAGGTAATATTCAGTACAATCTACTTCACTAAGTGTAGGCCCAAGGGAAAACTCTCCCTTTGCCCTCTGAAGTTTTGCTGAAAATCAACTGACAAAAGGCAGATTCATAGGATGAAAGGCATACAAATTTTAACATGCATAGCATGAGGGAATCACAGAAGGATGATTACCCAATAATACAATGGGGTACAGAGGTTTATAAACCCTTCTTTATAGGGGTAGGGAGAAATGTGGCAATTTGAGGCAAGGTGAAAGATTTTTAGGGGAATTCAATGGACTTGAAGAATATACAGCAGACAATAGTTGATGACAAATGCCTGTCCAGGTGTGTTGACAAACCTCAGTCTCTACCTGCAATATGAGTTAAATTAATGAAAATTCAGAGAAAGGACTACAGGTAACTGTTTTCTTCTTTGGTGGGTCTGGACTTGAGCTAGATAAGGAAATATCAGCATAAAGCTTCTTCCAGGATCTGCTGTTCTTCAAAGGCCATTAATTGAAAATAATTAGCATGCTAGGGTGCTATATTGGGGGTGTCGATTTCTTTCTTTCTTTTCTTTTCTTTTAGACAGAGTCTTGCTCTGTCGCCCAGGCTAGAGTGCAGTGACGTGATCTCAATTTACTGCAAACTCTGCCTCCCGGGTTCAAGCGATTGTCCTGCCTCAGCCTCCCAAACTGGGATTACAGGCACCCACCACCACGCCGGGCTAATTTTTGTATTTTTAGTAGAGATGTTGGCCAGGCTGGTCTCGAACTCCTAAGCTCAAGTGATCCACCTGCCTCGGCCTCCCAAAGTGCTGGGATTACAGGCATAAGCCACCATGCCCAGCCAGGGGTGTCAATTTCTAAGCCCCAACATAAGGATTTGTGGAATTGGATCTGCCCTCTGGGTAAGGAATGATCAGAAAAACCCAAAGTGTTTTTACTTTTCTTAGTACAACACTTCTGACACCAGATGTTTGAGGTTTTCTTGCTAAACCCCAAGCAACTCTGCAGTGGACACCAGCTGGGTGTCTTATAATTCAATTCAATTCTGACTCTATCTACCTAAAGTGAGTGTCTGATTCCTCAGGTTAAAGGCTCAGTCCCACAAGATTGCCCCCAACCTCAAATGTCAGTTACAAATGCCAGCTTGTGACCTGTACTTCTGACTGACTGGCTATAAATCAGGGTTCCCAAGACCCCCTCTTTCAATTCGATCTGCTACAATGATTCACAGAAACACTTTATATATGTTTATCAGTTTATTATAAAGGATACAGATAAACAGCCAGATGAAAGAGATGCATATAGCAAGGTATGTGGGAAGGGCATGAAAGCTCCGTGCCCTTTCCATGGGCACCACCCTCCATGAACCTCCATGTGTCCAGCTATCCGGAGCTCTCGGAATCCAGTTCTTTTGGGTTTTTACAGAGGCTTGATCATGTGGGCATGCTTGATTAAATCACTGGCCATTGGTGATTGGCTTAACCTTAAGCCTTCCCAAGAGGTTGGGGAGGTGGCACTGAAAGTCCCAACCCTCTCATCATGCCTTGGTCTTTCAGTGACCTGTCCCCATTCTGAAGCTCCCTAGGGACCCCCAGCCACCAGTCATCCTATTAGCATACAAAGACACTTATCACTCCAGAGAGTCTAAAGATTTTAGGAGCTGTATGTATTCCAGGAAACAGGATGAAGACCAAATACATATTTCACAATATCACCCTGGGGATGTGATGAAGTGCTGAGTCTGGCTTCAAGGTAAGCTCAGGGAAAGAACTAATCCACATTAAATTTCAGAGGCATGGAACTCACAGCAAGAATGCACTGCCTTAGAAGAGTGAATTTCTGTCACTGGAGATTAATAGACAAGCTCTGATCCAGGTAACTTCTGGCTGAGAATGACGTGTTGATGCGTACTAAACATCAACTAACTGGTCAAACTAGGCCCTTAAGACTCCTGCCAGCTCTGTTAGTGATGACTCTAACATACATTAATCCACTTTTATATCCAAATGAGTGTATTGAGCCCCTTCTATATTGCAAAGAGCTAGAAATTATATAAGAAAGTCTTGAAAGATTTAATGAGTTCACATCCCACTCCTAAGAAATTATCTGGGATCCTGGAGAAATACAAAGTGAAAAGATCTGTTGGCTTATAGTATTCTTTGCTTAACAACCAATTTAATATGAAAAGATATAAATTACCTAATATCTAACAAAGTTGGTAGAAAATTTTAAAACTAGAAGATGAATGAGCTAAACTGTAATGCTTAGTTATGCTTTTTTTTTTTTCCTTTTTTTTTTTTTTTTTTTTGAGATGGAGTCTCCCTCTGTCACCCAGGCTGGAGTGCAGTGGTGCAATCTCAGCTCACTGCAAGCTCCGCCTCCCAGGTTCAGCCATTCTCCTGCCTCAGCCTCCCAAGTAGCTGGGACTACAGGTGCCCGCCACCACTCCCAACTAATTTTTTTGTATTTTTAGTAGAGATGGGGTTTCACCGTGTTAGCCAGGATGGTCTCTATCTCCTGACCTCATGATCCACCTGCCTCGGCCTCTCAAAGTGCTGGGATTACAGACGTGAGCCACCGCAACTGGCCTTAGTTATGCTTTTTATAAAGGAAGTTAAGGACCTAGAATCCTGGATATGTAGAAATTTAGATCATAAGGATTTGCTCACCATTGTTGATACATGGCTGGCACTTCTTAAGGATTCATTATGTGCCAAGTAAGTGCTAAATGCTCAACACGAACTTCTCATTGGTAGATGCTACTATTATCCCTGTTTGGCTGATGAAGAAACTAAGAGAGAAGTGAGGGAACTTGCTCAAGATTACGAATTGAGCTCAAATGAAAAGTCAAATCTGACTGACTTCAGTGTCTGTTTCTAACCATAATCTGACTCCTTAGGGATCAAGTTGCCATGAATGATTACTTTTACTCATTTGGTTGAAGAGTTAAACAATGTGTAACTGCAGAAGAGCAGTTTAGGTATCAGAATAACCATATGAATTGAACTGTTTTATCCAAAATGAAATAGACAAAAAAAAAAAAAGAGAGAGAGAGAGAGATTGGGAATGTATGGTAAGAAGGAAGTAGCGGAAGATCCCCCAGGTACTATTTCTATTTCTGATCTTGGACCACCACATACCATGCTAATAGTTTGAATTTACAAACCCATGAGATGTCAGGCATATGGTTATGAATTCTCCAGGAAGACCTTTTTCTTTCCCAGCCAGAGTTTGGCATCTTCCCGTGAAGGCAGATTTTTGTAGCCCACATTTTCATGGAAAGTGTCCTACTTTGGGGCGGGCATGTTGGCTCACACCTGTAATCCCAGCACTTTGGGAGGCTGAGGTGGGCAGATCACTTGAGGCCAGGAGTTTGAGACCAGCCTGGCCAACATGGTGAAACCCCACCTCTACTAAAAATATGAAAATTAGCCAGGTGTGATGACACATGTCTATAATCCCAGCTACTTGGGAGGCTGAGGCACAGGAATGGCTTGAACGGTTGCCGTGAGCCAAGATCGCACCACTGCACTCCAACCTCAGCAACAGAGCAAGACTCTGTATCAAAGAAAGGAAGAAAGGAAGGAAAGAAGGAAGGAAGGAAGGAAGGGGAGAGAAAGAAAGAGAGAGAGAGAAAGAGAAAGAAAGACAGAGAAAGAAAGAGAAAGAAAGAAAGAAAGAAAGAAAGAAAGAAAGAAAGAAAGAAAGAAAGAAAGGAGAAAGAAAGAAAGAAAGAAAGAAAGAAAGAAAGAAAGAAAGAAAGAAAGAAAGAAAAGAAAGGAAAGAAAGAAAGAAAGAAAGAAAGAAAGAAAGAAAGAAAGAAAGAAAGAGAAAGAAAGAAAAAAAGAAAGAAGGAAAGAAAGAAAAAAAGAGAAGGGAAGGAAGGGAAGGAAAGGAAAGAAAAGAAAGAGTCCTGCTCTGAGACTGCCAGGTGTGTGTCTGGGTCTTGCTCCCTTTTCCTGCAAACTGAGAACCCAAATACTGATCCCCTGCCTCCACCACATGTGGCCATTGAAACAAGCCTCCAGGTCAGAGACCAGCAAACATCCCAAGCAAGCCTGCAGCTTTTGCTTCAGCTTCAGCCATTATTCCAGCTCCCTCTTCACTCTTGTACCCTCAGGAACATTTTTGAGAACTGTGCCGTGTATTTACATTGTTTTCTTGATCATTTTAGATGTGTTTGTAGCAGGAGCTTTTATCACAGTATGTGCCACAATTCCATCATATTGCTAGAAAACCCAGCTATCATTTTAGACATTAACACACTTAGAATTAGTGCTGGCCTGACTTCTTGATGATGGTTTTAGGGCCTTTTATCCTCATCATAGTGTATCTAAAACAATCTTATCTGCACTTGATTCTCCGGAACTTACCAATGCCAGACAACTTACTTTCTTCTTTGCTGCCTCCTACAAGTAACAATGTCACAACAATAGTATCACAGTTTCCAAATAAAAGTGTAACTTGAAGGTATTTCTCACTCTTATTTTAAATGTTGTCTTTCAAATCCTTTATAACAGTCCTTTTGATACTTAGGGAGAGCTAACAATGAATGCTGAGACTTAGGAAGAACTGGTTTTTTGGGTTTTTTTGTTTTTGTTTTTAAGATAGGATCTAGCTCTGTTGCCCAGGTTGGAGTGCAGTGGTGTAATCATGGCTCACTGCAGTCTCTACTAAAAGCCTCAACATCTTCGGTTCAATCAATCCTTCCACCTCAGCCTTCTGAGTGTAGCTGGGATTACCAGTGTGAGCCATCATACCTGACTAATTTATTTTTTATTTTTCATAGAGATAGAGTCTCACTATATTGCCCAGGCTGGTCTCAAGTTCCTGGGCTTAAACGATCCTTCCAACTCAGCCTCCCAAAGTGCTGGGATTACAGATGTGAGCCACCATGTCCGACCAGAAGAACTGGTTCTTAATTATGTTTCTGATTTTGTTGTTTTAGGTGTTCTCCTTTCAGTTTCTCTAAGAATGAAGTCAGTAGTGTGCATTATGGGCATAGGCACTCTCCATCCATTCCAAACTCTTTCTAAGTGCCTTCCTGTACTGCTGAGGCCAAAAAGATAAAAGCTGCGGCCGGCGGCTGTGGCTCACGTCTGTAATCCCAGAACTTTGGGAAGCCGAGGTGGGTGGATCACGAGGTCAGGAATTTGAGACCAGCCTGGCCAATATGGTGAAACCCCATCTCTACTAAAAATACAAAAAATTAGCCGGGCTTGGTGGCCCATTCCTGTAGTCGCAGCTATTCAGGAGGCTAAGGCAGGAGAATCGCTTGAATCCGGGAGGTGGAGGTGGCAGTGAGCCAAGATCGCACCACTGCACTCAAGTCTGGGCGACAGAGCAAGACTCCGTCTCAAAAAAAATAAAAAATAAAAATAAATAAAAGCTGCATTTCTAGAACTCCTTAAGCTAGGGATCTGGGTGTGACTTAGGTTCTACCTCTTTGGTGCGCTCACCTCGGCTTTTAAAGCATGGAAGAAAGATGGAAGTTGCTTTTCTATGGCTTCCATGGTCCTACTGCCTGCTACCATTATGGAAGTGTGTGGTTCATTCAAAGCAGCTCACCTTCTTGGCTGTCCTCTGAATGTGCTCCTTCCTCGTCTTGGAAGAGACAGTAGCCTTCCTGGTCAAGTCTTCCAAGAAGGCTCTGAAAAATGTTTTATACTTTTTTTTTTTAATCTCCTCTGCTACCAGTCATGGTGGCTCAAGCCCGTAATCCCAGCACTTTGGGAGGCCTAGGCAGGCAGATCACCTGAGCCCGGGATTTCGAGACCAGCCTGGGCAACAATGGTGAAACCCCATCTCTACAAAAAAATACAAAAATTAGCCAGGCGTGGTGGCACGTGCCTGTAATCCCAGTTATTCAGGAGGATGAGGCAGAAGGATTGCCTGAGCCTGGGAGGCGGAGGTTGCAGTCAGCCAAGATCAAACTACTATACTCCAGCCTGGGTGACAGAGTGAGACCTTGTCTCAAAAAATAAAAATAAAAATAAAATCCCCTTAAAACTAGCCATAGGGGATTCTGTGCCTTTTCATGAAACTCTGACCAGTACAGAGTCTTTTATAAACATTTCATTTCCTACTTTGTATCTATTACTTTGACCAAGAATTCTTTCATAAGCTTTGTCTAACATTCAGCTCAATTTTTCTTTTTCCTTGTATTCATTACTGCTACTATCTTACCTTTTCATATTTCATTGCCATCTACCATGCTAATTTGTCCTTTTAAAATAATGTATCTACTAGAAATATTAGTCAGCTATTATCTCCCTCCTTAGCACTACTCAACTGGGGAATATATTAATCCCTTTCAGCACTCCTCTGTCTCATCAACCTTAAACATATTTTTGCAAACTTCATTCTTTCTAGGGTAGAAGATCACAGGCTAACTGGAAATCTTTTGTTTCTAAGATTTAAAGAAAATACAAAAAGCTTTCCTTTTCTTCTCTTCCTATTCAGAGCTATTTTCTAGCTAATACACTGCTAAAAAGAGCTATTCTATCTTTTGTTAAGTTGCTCTTAAGTTGTTCTTTTCCTAATCTAGACACTGATTATATGCAAAAATCATTTCCTCTCCCTGTTTTATATTTCATGATCCTTAGGCAGAACATGCCCAGAAGCTTTTTAAAATGACTTTTTTGTAACAACAGATTATAAATAATGCTTGAGACTCATTTTGTGTGTATACACAAAACACTATATTGTTGTTTTATTTCTCTGATTATTCTTGTGAGTAAATGTGTAAGAATTTGCATTTGAAGGACAATATCTAGTTTATTTATAACATCTATTGCAACATCATGAATAAATATATTTGCTGAAGTTTTTGATAATGACATTACAAACAAAGTTTAAAAACCTTTTACAAGCCAGGCGCAATGGTTCATGCCTGTACTCCCAGCATTTGGGGAGGCCAAGGCAAGTGGATCACTTGAGCTCAGGAGTTTGAGACCAGCCTGGGCAACATGACAAAACCCTGTCTGTACCAAAAAAATACAAAAATTAGTTGGGCATGGTGACGTATGCCTGTAGTCCCAGCTACTCGGAAGGCTGAGGTGGTTAGGATTGCTTGAGCCCAGGAGGCGGAGGTTGCACTGAGCCCAGGCTGTGCCACTGCACTCCGGCCTGGGTGACAGAGCCAGACCCTGTCTCAATAAAATAAAATAAAATAAAATAAAATAAGATAAGATAAAATAAAATAAAATAAAATAAAATAAAAAAATAAATCTTTTACAAATAACTTAGTTTTCAAAGTCAATGAGTAAGCAGCACATAAAAATGCTATTTTTGAAGTGAGACATGGGGGAGGTGGCAGAATTACTCCCTTGGCTCTTGGGACACTAAGCTACTGATTTTTTATTTGGTACTGATTTTGAAGCCCAATAATTTTATTGTCCCTGTTTCAGCAGGTAACACTCCCATGCTGCTCAGTCTTTAGGAGGCCTCCAGTCTTTCTGTCAGCATATGAGTAAGGTTTTTAAAAAGCTCTTACCTACTAATACCTTTTCCACTATACTGGCCACTTTTCAGTGTTTTTTGCATTTCTGATTTCACTGATAACAAAATACATCTCTCTGATAATTTTCCTCCAGCTGTATCATTTGCATTTGAGAAGTCATGCTATTTTTTATTTTCGTAAATTTCATGCCTATATAAGTGCTTTGATTTTTTGGGTCCTTGTTACCATTTTTATCATCTCATAAGCATTATTGCATTATATTCCTCCTGGGTCACTAATGTTATTAAATATTTTCCTTATTTTCAGATTCCCAATTCTCTTTCAATTTATATTCTTGTTTTTAATCCAAACTCCTTATGAAGTAACTTTTCTGTTATTAAAACCATCTCTTTTGAATGCTATTCTCAAACACAGATGTAGGTAAATGATGATATTCTTTTTATCTACCACCTTTTATATTTGTTTGAAACGCTGAGGTATGCTGAATAATGACAAGAGACAGATGGGCAGTCACCTTGCCTTTATTCTGTCTTGCAGAACAGCATTTCCCAAACTCCACAAAACCCTAGTGAACTATAGAACACAGAAGGTGCCAAAAAACAAAACAAACAAACAAAAAAAAACAACACTAATGTTAGGAGTATTTTTAATATGTAAGAGAAAGGGATTTTTTTTTTACAATTAAAAAAATACCAAATGCATTTTATATAGTTGTCACCTCAGAGGTTATCAGATGCATCCTTGAATTTAGTCATTCATGTATTCAACTAGCTGATTATTGGGGAAAACAGCAATGAAGAAAACAAAGAAAGTCAGGTTGTTACACATGCTAGACAGTGCAGCAGTGAGGGTTGGTGAGCTATTTTAGGTGGCCTGGGGAAGCCCACCCTGATGACGCTTGGGAGGGGAGGAAGTCTAGGGAAAGACAGTGCACACAGAAGGAACAGTCATGTAAAGGCCCGCATTGGGAGAATCTTTGGTGGGTTTCAGGAAGAGCCAGGAGAGTGTCTGGCTAGAGCTGAGGGAGGAAGAGAGAGAGGAGTAGAAGAAGAGGCAGAAGTGGTCAGAGGCAAGATAATGGAGGTTCTGTGTCGAAGGAAGGACTTTGGATTTTATTCTGCATAGGTTGGGAAAGCGCTGGAGAGTTTTGAACCAAGGAACAACATGACCTTGCTTTTTAAGAGACTCCTTCTGGCTACTGCATACTAAATGGATCATCAAGGGCAGATATTTAGATTCTAATTATACCTTCCCATTTGAATGCATTGCTTTCAAAATATAATAAAAGCCTAATCTAAGAATATTATTATCTGCATCTTTAGAGAACCATGGCATATACCACATTGAATTGTATATATAAATATACCTTTATTATGTGAAGAATTGTTATTTTAAAAGGTACCAAAATGGAGATAAGCAACCATGTGAAAAAAAAGTATTTGCAGCAAATACAGCAGAGAATGGTTTATTATCGTTTTTATATAAACACTTCAGAATCAAACATTACATAAAAATAATGTTAATAGTCCACACAAAATGTGAAGAAAATCTCCAAGACTCTGGTAGGTTAAAGAAATTTAAAAAGCATAGAGTCTCAATTCATGAAAATAAACAAACATGAGAGAATGAGCAGCCTCCTCATAATCAAAAATAATATTAAAATAAAACAGTGTAACATTTATCTATTAGGTTATTGCCCAAAATGTTTAATGTGATCATCTAAGCTGGGCGCTGTAACTGGGATGGCATATATCTCTCGGGGCGTAAGAAAGCAATTTGGTGAGGCACATCAGAAACATGATCCAAGGCCGGGCGTGGTGGCTCACACTTGTAATCCCAGCACTTCGGGAGGCTGAGGTGGGTGGATCACATGAGGTCAGGAGTTTGAAACCAGCCTGACCAATATGGGGAAACCCCGTCTCTACTAAAAGTACAAAAATTAGCTGGGCATGGTGGTGCATGCCCGTAATCCCAGCTACTTGGGAGGCTGAGGTGGGAGAATTGCTTGAACCTGTTGGGAGTGGACGTTGCAGTGAGCCAAGATCATGCTCCAGCCTGGGTGATAGAGTGAGACTCTGCCTCAGAAAAAAAAAAGAAAAAAAAAAAAGGAAACATGATCCATTCCTCCATTTATTCAAAAATATGAAATGAATGCCTTCTATCTGCCACATTGTGAGCTAGGTACTTGGGAAGCAGAGACAGATGCCACAGATTCCCTGTCTTCATGGAGTTTCAAATCACTGAGATTAGAATGAGTGAAGGGAAGGGGAAAAAAAGAGAGAGAAAGAGGGAGTGGAGAAGGGAAAAGAGATAAACAGAACCAATTGGATGTATAGAGAGAGACAGCGTGTTTAAGGCATTGGTTCACACAATTACAGAGGTTGGCAAGTCCAAAATCTACAGGGTAGGCCAGCAGGCTGGAAACCCAGGGATGTGCCCACGTTGCAGTTCAAGTCTGAAGGCAGAATTCACTCTTGCTAAAGAGAAGAGCAGGAGGGGTGGGGCTGGTCATTTCTTTCTTTTCTTTTTTTTGAGACAGTCTCACTCTGTCACCCAGGCTGGAGTGCAGTGGTGCAATCTCACCTCATTGCAACCTCTGCCTCCTGGGTTCAAGTGCTTCTCCTGCCTCAGCATCCCAAGTAGCTAGAATTACAGGCATGCACCACCACGTCCAGCTAATTTTCGTATTTTTAGTAGAGACAGGGTTTCACCATGTTGACCAGGCTGGTCTCAAACTCCTGACCTCAGGTGATCTCCCTGCTTCAGCTTCCCACAGTGCTGGGATTACAGGTGTGAGCAACCATGCCCAGCCTCTTTTTGTTCTATTCAGGGCTTTAACTGATTGGATGAGGCCCACCCACTTTATGGAGGGTAATCTGCCTTACCCAAAGCCCACTGATTTAAATGTTAATCTCATCCAGAAATACCCTCACAAAACATTAAGAGTAATGTTTGACCAAATATTATATAGGTGCTGTGGCCTAGCCAAATTGACACATAAAATTAACCATCACAGAAACTATAATAGAAATAGATAGATATAAATACGCACACATGTATTCACACTTGGTAAAGTCAGAAAAGTCTTCATAGAGGAGAGAAGGGCAGATTTGAAAATTAAGAATGTATTTGACACCAGGGTAGACTAAACTGTAGGGCAGAAGGTGAATAAAGCAAAGGATGCAGGGTCAAGAGGGCATTCTAGGTAAGGGACACAGGTGGAGACCTGAAGAAAATATGTGGCATGTCAACAGGATGGAATGTGGTGAGGACAGCAAGAGGCCCTGTATGGCTCTGATGAAGGATGACAGGAAGCAGTAGTGAGAAGTGAGGACCCAGAGATACAGTACATGCTGAGGTTCCATGCCACGCTGAGCTGTGCAGATTTTATTCTAGAAGCCATGTTATTCAAACTGGTGTGTTTGCAAGTGGGGTTATGTCACAGAGAAAGTCATAAAAGGTTATTGCCCACTTACAGGGCACATGAATTTCTTTTTCTTATTATTATTATTTTATTTTATTTTATTTTATTTTATTTTATTTTATTTTATTTTTGAGACAGAGTCTCGCTCTTGTCGCCCAGGTGCAATGACGCGATCTCGGATCACTGCAACTTTCACCTCCCAGGTTCAAGCGATTCTCCTGCCTCAGCCTCCCGAGTAGCTGGGATTACAGGCCCCTGCCACCACACCCACTGGTATTTTTTAGTATTTTTAGTAGAGACAGGGTTTCTCCATGTTGGCCAGGCTGGTCTCGAACTCCTGACCTCAGGTGATCTGCCCACTTCAGCCTCCCAAAGTGCTGGGATTACAGGTGTGCCCAGCCAGGGCACATCAATTTCACTGAAAGATTTTGGAAGCTGAATTATTTTATGTGAGGATAAACCCAAACATATAATCAAATAAACCTTAGAGTTCATGTGAATTTTTAAGATAAAACAAGGATTTCAAAGGTGTTCTTAACTAACAGTCTATGTTGGCATTGCCTGTTAGGGGTATTTTAGTGGAAATGTTTGACAAACACAAGATAATTGGGAGCCCTTACAGATTGTTTTTTGGGGTTATTTGTTTGTTTGTTTGAGATGGTGTCCCGTTCTGTCGCCCAGGCTGGAGTGCAGTGGCATGATCTTGGCTCACTGCAACCTCCACCTCCCGGGTTCAAGCGATTCTCCTGCCTCAGCCTCCCAAGTAGCTGGGATTACAGGAGCCTGCCACCACACCTGGCTAATTTTTTTTTTTTTTTTTTTTTTAGACGGGGTTTCGCTCTTGTCGCCCAGGCTTAATTTTTGTATTTTTAATAGAGATGGGTTTTCACCCTGTTGGCCAGGCTGGTCTCGAATTCTTGACCTCAAGTGATTTGCCCCCCTCGGCCTCCAGAAGTCCTGGTATTACAGGCATAAGCCGCCGTGCCCGGTCGCCCTTACAGGTTTTAAAGCTGGAAGAAAACAACTGATCCTTGAGTATCAACAGTGTCAACCAAAGGACTGGTTAGGAAACTACAGCAGGACCATAAGCCATGATGCAATAAAGCAGATGAAGAGAAACCGCAAGGAATGTGGAAGCAGCACTTATTAAGACACCAGCAAGACAGAGAAGCAGAGGGAAAGGGAGGTATCCAGGATGACTCTGTTTCTGGTTAGAGTACCTGGTGGATACAAGCACTACTTACCAAGATTTGGCAGCTAGTAGGAGGTCAGAATCCGGTGAAAAACATGAGTCCAGTTGTGAGCAGTGGATTTGAGGTGCTTGTGGGAATGGAGGGGAAGATAGACAATGGTAAATATATATAGATCTGGAGTATTATAAAAGGTCTAGCCTAAACATATAGACTTGTGGGTCCTCAGCACAAAGGGAGTGATTGAAGCTTTGCAGGAAGATTGGATTGCCCAGGTACACGTCAACAGTGAACAGAGAAGAGACTCGAGGCAGAACCTTGAGCCTGTTTGTACCCTTCGTTCTAAACATTCTGTTTTGAAAATACATTATAAAGAAACAGAAAAAGATGCTGACCATAATGTCATTTATAGTGAGAAGAGTGACCCAAATGTTGAACAAGGCAATGTTTAAATAAATTAATATATATTCAGCTGGTAAAGTTTTAGGAAGCCACAAAACTTGATAAAAAGTTTGTTTTAAAATAATAAAAGAATGTATATTATTGAGCCTAATGCTGGCAATGTAATTATTTTTTCACTGGTTTTAATTCTGTAAAATACGTAATGATGAATCTATATTTATACGTGACAGATATGTGTGTATGATACATACACATTACTATAAACATAGGGAGTGAAAAGACTGAGGAAACATATACTAAAATGCCAGAATTCGAGGACTAGTGTTGTTTTTCCTTCTTTCAAATGTTTTCTCAACCACACAGTCACATGGAAATTAACCAACTTGTTCTTGAATGATTTTTGGGTAAACAACAAAATTAACACAGAAATCACAAAATTCTTAAAAATAAATGAAAACAGGAATAGAACATACAAAATCTCTGGGATGCAGCAAAGGCAGTGTTAAGAGGAAAGTTTATAGTGCTAAATGCCTACCTTAAAAAGTTAGAAAGCCCAAATTAATGATCTAACATAACACCTACAGCAACTAGAAAAACAAGACAAAACTAACTTCAAAGCTATCAGACGAAATTAAAAATCTAAAATTAGAGCAGAACTCAATGAAATTGAGACCCAAAAATTCATACAAACAACAAGCAAAACAAAAAATTGATTCCTTGATAGGATAAACCATATTGATAGACTGCTAGCTAGATTAACAAACAAACAAACAAAAGATGATCCAAATAAGTACAATCAGAAACAACAGAAGTGACATTACAAGTGATCTCACAGAAATACAAAAGATCCTCAGAGACTATAATGAGCACCTCTATGCACACAAACTAGAAAATCTAGAGGAAGTGGATAAAGTCCTAGAAATACACACTCTCCCAAGATTGAATCAGTAAGAAACTGAAACCCTGAACAGACCAATACGGAATTCCAAACTTGAAGCAGTAATTAAAAACCTACCAAAAAAAAAAAAAAAAAAACAAGCCTCAGACCAGA
Organism: Homo sapiens; assembly: GCF_000001405.40. Taxonomy (NCBI): domain Eukaryota; kingdom Metazoa; phylum Chordata; class Mammalia; order Primates; family Hominidae; genus Homo; species Homo sapiens. Next base: position 67,466,068 of record NC_000008.11, on the reverse strand, counting down.
TGAATCCACAGCTACATTCTGCCAGAAGAAGAGCTGGTACCAATTCTACTGAAACTATTCCAAAAAATTAAGGAGGTAGGATTCCTCCCTAACTTACTCTATGAAGCCAGCATCACCCTGATACCAAATTCTGGCAGAGACACAATGAAAAAAGAAAACTACAGGCCAATATCCCTGATGAACATAGATGCAAAAATCCTTAACAAAATACTAGCAAACAAAACCCAGCAGCACATTAAAAAGTTAATTCATCATCATCAAGTAGGCTTCATTCGTGGGATGCAAGTTTGGTTTAACATATACAAATCAATAAATGTGATTCACCACATAAACAGAATTAAAACCATCTGTGTATCTCAATAGACATGGGAAAAGCTTTTAATAAAATCCAGCATCCCCTCATGATAAAAATCCTCCAGAAACTAGCCATCTATGACAAACCCAGGGCCAACATCATACTGAACGGGAAAAACTAGAAGCATTCCCCTTGTGAACTGGAACAAAACAGGAATGCCCATCTCACCACTCCTATTCAACATAGTACTGGAAGTGCTAGCCAGAGCAAGCAGGCAAGAGAAAGAAATAAAAGGCATCCAAATAGAAAAAGAAGTTAAACTAGCTCTCTTTACAAATAATGTGATTCTATACCTAGAAAACTCTAAAGACTCTACCAAAAGCATCCTGGAACTGATAAACGACTTCAGTTAAGTTTCAAGATAGAAAATTGATGCACAAAAATCAGTAGCATTTCTATACACCAATAACATTCAAGCTGAGAGCCAAATCAAGCAATTCCATTTACAATAGACAAAATAAAATAAAACTACCAGAATACATCAAGAAAGTGAAAGATCTCTGCAAGGAGAACTACAAAACACTGCTAAAAGAAATCTTACATGACACAAACAAATGGAAAAATATTCCATGCTCATGGATTAGAAAAATTAATAATATTAAAATGGCCATACTGCCCAAAGCTGTCTACAGATTCCATGCTATTCCTATCAAAATACCAACATCATTTTTCACAGATTTAGAAAAAACTATTCTAAAATTCATATGGAACCCAAAAGGAGCCTGATTAGCCACAGCAATCCTAAGCAAAAAGAACAAAGCTGGAGCCTTCACATTACCTGACTTCAAACTATACTATGAGGCTACAGTAACCAAAACAGCATGGTACTGGTACAAAAACAGATGTATCAACCAATGGAACAAAATAGAGAACCCAGAATAAAGCCACACACCTACAGCCATCTGATCTTCAACAAAGTCGACAGAAATAAGCAATGGGGATAGGACTCCGTATTCAATAAATGATGCTGAGATAGCTGGCTAGCCATATGCAGAAGAATGAAACTGGACCTCTACCTGTCACCATATACAAAAATTAAGTTGGATTAAGTATTTAAATGTAAGGCCTCAAACTATAAAAATTCTAGAAGAAAACCTAGGAAACACCATTCTGGACATGGGCTGTGGGATAGAATTTGTGACTAAGTCCTCAAAAGCAATTGCAACAAAAACAAAAATTGACAATTGGGACCTGATTAAAGAGCTTTTGCACAGCAAAAGAAACTATCAATACAGTAAACAGACAATCTACAAAGTGAGAGAAAATATTCATAAACTATGTATCTGACAAAGGTCTAATATCTAGAATCTATAAGGAACTTAACTCGACAAGCAAAAACCAAATAACCTCATTTAAAAATGGGCAAAAGATATGAACAGACATTTCTACATTTCTCAAAAGAAAATATATAAGCAGCCAACAAACATATGAAAAAATGCTCCATATCACTAATCATCAGAGTAATGTAAATCAAAACTACAATGAGATACGATCTCACACCAATCAAAATGGCTATTAAAAAATAATAATAAAAATAACAGATGCTGGCAAGGCTGCAGTGTAAAAGGAATGCTAATACACTGGTGGTGGGAATGTAAATTAGTTCAGCCACTGTGGAAAGCAGTTCTGAGATTTCTCAAAGAACTTAGAACTAGCATTTGACCCAGCAATCCCATTATTGGATATAGAGCCAAAAGAAAACAAATGGTTTTACCCAAAAGACACATGCGCTCGCGTGTTCATTGAAGCACTATTCACAATACCAAGGAGTCAACCTAGATGCCCATCAACAGTGAACTGGATTTTAAAAATGTGATACATATATACCATGGAATATTATGCAGTCATAAAAAAGAATGAAATCATGTCCTTTGCAGCAACATGGATTAGGTTGGAGGCCATTATCCTAAGCAAATTAATGCAGGAACAGAAACCCAAATACCACATGTTCTCACTTATAAGTGGGAGCTAAATATTGCCTACTCAGAGACATAAAGATTGCAACAATAGAAATTGAAACAACTAGAGGTGGGAGGGAAGGAGAGGGACAAGAGTTGAAAAACTAACTGTTGGGTCCTTTGCTCAGTATGTGGGGGACGGTATCATTCATACCCCAAACCTCAGAATGATGCAACATACTCAGGTAGCAAACATGCACATATATCTCCAAATTTAAAATAAATGTTGGGGAAGGAAAATTTTCTAAACTTAGTTTTAGAATTCTTCTTTTATTTATCTATTTATTTATTTATTTATTTATTTTTGAGAGAGAGAGTGAGTTTCAGTCTGTCACACAGACTGGAGTGCAGTGGCGCAATCTCAGCTCACTGCAACCTCTGCCTTCTGGGTTCAAGAAATCCTCCTGCCTTAGCCTCCCAAGAAGCTAGGATTACAAGTGTGCACCACCACACCTGGCTAATGTTTTTATTTTTAGTGGAGACAGAGTTTCACCATGTTGGCCAGGCTGGTCTCGAACTCCTGACCTCAAGTGATCCGCCCGCCTCGACCTCCCAAAGTGCTGGGATTACAGGCATGAGCCATGGTGCCTGGCCAGAATTCTTCTTTAAAGAACAAATTTGCTTTTAATAGTATGTTTTCTGCATTTATTTTTCCCATACAACCTACAAGTGGTTAGCCAAATAACCAATTAAGCTGAATAATTCTTAAAAGATGCATATATTAAAATGAATCCCAGAGATAAATATAATTTAAATGTAAAATCTTGTTACCACTATGAGGCTTTAAGTTAGGTCATTTGACTATACCTCTCCAAGAATTTATCAAAAGTCAATAGAGCCACAGGAGTCATTCTACAAATATTTACTGAGCACCATCTATATGCAGGCACTCTGCTTGAATGCTACTTTGGAATGTTTCTTCAGGCAGTATTGAGATCAAGGAAACAGATTCTAATTTTCTTCACTGTATTTTTCTCTACCTATCTATATGCAAATGATACTTAAAAACACCTTTTCTTACAAGCTAACTTGGACGTATTGATACTCTTATAATTTTCTGATACAGCACAGCTCTACGTGTTAAAAGAGAAAGAGAGAGACAAGAGAATTGGAAAGATGTGGAAAACAGGCAATATTACACATTGCTTTTGAGTGTGAATGGGTCTTTGGCAATGTCCATCCAAAAAGAAATACATGTGCCTTTTGACTAATTAAGTGATTCTTTTAGGAATATATCCTACTACTATACTCACATATGTGGGAAATAATATAGGTACAAGGATATTCATTGCAATCCTCTGCATAATAGCAAGAGATTAGAAGCATTCCAAATGCTCAACAGAGGACTAGTTAAGTAAATTAGGCTCCAATTATATAGTAAAATACTATATTTAGCCAGAATGAGGCTGCTATTTTATGCACTGACATGGAAAATCTCCAGGATCACATACACACACACAGTTGAACAAAGCAAGGTAAGATCAATAGATGTAAAAAAATACTGCTATTTGTGTAGAAAAGATTTTTTTTCACAGATGGATATAATAAAACTGGCTTTTTGCTTAAAAACACAGAATATCCCTGGATTTACACCCAAAAAAGCAGTGAACATGGTTGCTTCTGGGGAAAAAAAAATAGATGGCTAGACAGACGAAGGAGAAAGCAATCTGTGTGGCATCCCATGTATGTCCATTGGCCATTCAAAAAAATATTTTAAACAGTAAAAATAAGTCAGTGTTCTTTAAAAAAAAAAAACCTAAAAATTTTAACTAAAGCCTCTAGAATGCACAACCACTATTCAAAACCCTTCTCCTTGCTTATTAGCTTTTGTTATTCAGCTTAATTTGTTTGTGTTAGTAAAACAGGGAAGAAGCAAAAAGAGGCCTCATGGGCCCATAAAGAAAGGCGCCCCATCCGGGAGGGAGGTGGGGGGGTCAGCCCCCCGCCCGGCCAGCCGCCCCGTCCGGGAGGTGAGGGGCGCCTCTGCCCGGCCGCCCCTACTAGGAAGTGAGGCGCCCCTCTGCCCGGCCAGCCGCTCCATCCGGGAGGGAAGTGGGGGGGTCAGCCCCCTGCCCGGCCAGCCGCCCCGTCCGGGAGGTGAGGGGCACCTCTGCCCGGCCGCCCCTACTGGGAAGTGAGGAGACCCTCTGCCTGGCCACCACCCCGTCTGGGAGGTGTACCCAACAGCTCATTGAGAACGGGCCGGGATGACAATGGCGGTTTTGTGGAATAGAAAGCGGGGAAAGGTGGGGAAAAGATTGAGAAATCGGATGGTTGCCGTGTCTGTGTAGAAAGTAGTAGACATGGGAGACTTTTCATTTTGTTCTGTACTAAGATAAATTCTTCTGCCTTGGGATCCTGTTGATCGGTGACCTTACCCCCAACCCTGTGCTCTCTGAAACGTGTGCTGTATCCACTCAGGGTTAAATGGATTAAGGGCGGTGCAAGATGTGCTTTGTTAAACAGATGCTTGAAGGCAGCATGCTCGTTAAGAATCATCACCACTCCCTAATCTCAAGTACCCAGGGACACAAACACTGCGGAAGGCCGCAGGGTCCTCTGCCTAGGAAAACCAGAGACCTTTGTTCACTTGTTTATCTGCCGACCTTCCCTCCACTATTGTCCTACGACCCTGCCAAATCCCCCTCTGCGAGAAACACCCAAGAATGATCAATAAAAAAAATTAAAATTAAAAAAAAAAAAAAAGAAATCGAATTATGCTCCTTCCACCACCATTCCTCACGCCTCCGCTCACTAGCCCCACCAAATGGAAAAGGGGTGGGGAAGAGCAAAGCAGAGTTCCACTGAGTTATATTTAATCTAGTCTAATCAACACCAAGTCACTGCTTCCTGTGGCTGTGGCCTCTCCCATCTTCTCTCCTGGTACTTCGCTAGAGATGCTGACTGTGAAACAGATTGAGGGAAAGTGAACAGTTTTACACTGATTCAAAACATTTCACAAAAATATATTCTTTTATTATATAGATAAATAGAACAAGTATATCAGCAAAAACAATTTCTTTAATGTGATATATTTTATTATAATGCAATAAATTTGTTTTATTTTACTGGAATCTATTTAAAATGAGGTTTTGGCATCTCATTCTAGCCTGCATAATTCTGAGAGAAAGATTCCACTATGGCCTTCCAGCAAATTCCACAATTAAGAAATAAGCTAGCGCTAATTCATCTCATTCACTACTCATAGATTGGGAATGTAGACTGGTAACAACAAAAGACAAAGTAATAATATGATTCAAAACTATTGATTTCCTTTCCTTATTATTCATTCATATTTGCTGGTATCTCTACCTTTATTTGCACATATTTTCAGGTTATGCCATAATGGTAGAAAACAGCATCATTGTTCAGGCTCTTATGCAATCTCTTAACTCTTATTATAACCTTATATTATAATAACTGACCTTAAAATGTAAAACACAAATGGAATTTTTATGTGATAGACTAAGAGGGACCTTGCTGTGGGGCAGATTGATTCATTCAATAAACATCTATTGATCCTCTGCTATGAGCAAAGCACAATGCTGGGCCAGTACGAATAATACTTGGTTCTTGTTCTTAGGAACTAATAGTCTAGTGAGGTTGACAAGCCAGCTACATTTCAAGGCTGAGTATTAATAAAAGCCAAGAAATAGAGGCACCCAGGTCACGCTCCCAGAGGAAGGAGAAATTCTGACTGGGTGAGAGTGGGAAAGCTGTAGACAAGTGCCTTTTTTTCCCCCCAAGACTTTACTTCTTTAGAGCAGTTTTTGGTTCACAGCAAAATTAAGAGGAAGTTATGGAGATTTTCCATGTACCTACTGCCCCTACACATGCATAGCCTCCCGCATTGTCAACAGCCCCCAGCAGGATGGTACATGTATTACAATGGATAAAAACCTATACTAACACATCATTACCCAAAGTTCATAGTTTACATTGGAATTCATGCATGCAATGAATACTTTGGAATTGGACTGCATTACACTGAAATGTTGGAACATATGTAAACATAGTTTACACTGGAATTCATTCTATGGGTTTGGTAAAATGTGTAATGACATGTATCCCTCAATATAGTATCTTACAGAGTATCTTCATTGCCCTAAAAACCTTCTGTGCTCTGCCTACTCATCCCTCTCTCCACCCAACCCCATGACAACCATGAATCCTTTTACTTCCCTCACGGTTTTGCCTTTTCCAGAATGTCATCTAGTTGGAACCACAGCAGGTAACCTTTTTGGATTGGCTTCTTTCACTTAGTAACACACGTTTACATTTCCTCCATGTCTCTTTATTGCTCGATAGCTCATTCCTTTTTAGTGCTGAATAATACTCCATTCCCTGCATGTACCACAGTTCATTCATCTGTTCATCTACTAAAGGACATCTTGGTTGCTTCCAAATTTTGTCAATTATAAAGAAAGCTGTTGGCTGGGCATGGTGGCACACACCTATAATCCCAGCACTTTGGGAGGCCAAAGCAGGCAAATAGCTGGAGCCAGGAGTTTCAGACCAGCCTGAACAATGTGGCAAAACCCCATCTCTACTAAAAATACAAAAATTACCCAGTCTTATAACTGGGTCTCAAAGTAAATAAATAAATAGATAAAAATTTTTAAATAATTTTTTTAAAAAAGGAAAGCTGTTGTAAACATCCATGTGTCCATGTGCATGCTTGTGTGGGTATGTTTTCAACTCCTTTAAATAAATTGCAAGGAGCATAATTGCTGGATCATATGGCAAGAGTATATTTAGTTTTGTATACAATTGCCAAACTCTCTTTCAAAGTGGCTGCACAATTTTGTATTACTACAATCAATGAATGAAAGTTCCTGTTGCTCCACGTCTTCACCATCATTTGCTGTTGTCAGTGTTCTAGATTTTGACCACTCAAATTGGTGTGTAGTGGCATCTTGTTTTAATTGGAATTTCCCTGATGACATATGATGTGGGGCATCTTTTCATTTGCTTATTTGCATCTGTGTGCTTTCTTTGGTGATCTGTCTGTTAAGGTCTTTAACCCATTTTTAAATTGTTTTCTTATTACTGAGTTTTAAGAGCTCTTTATATATTTTTGATACTAACGCTTTAAAAGATGTGTCTTTTGCAAATGTTCTCTCCCATTCTGTGGCCTGTCTTCTCATTCTCTTGACATTGTCTTTCGCAGAACAGAAGTTTTTAATTTTAAAGTCCCACTTATCAATTATTTCTTTCATGGATTGTGCCTTTGGTGTTGTATTTTAAAAGTGATTGCTGGCCAGGCACGATGGCTCACTCCTGTAATCCCAGCACTTTGGGAGGCCAAGGCCGGTGGATCACCTGAGCTGAGGAGTTCAAGACCAGCCTGGCCAACATGGTGAAACCCCATCTCTACTAAAAATACAAAAAATAGCCGGGGGTGGTGGTGAGCGCCTGTAATTCCAGCTACTCAGGGAGGGTGAGGCACGAGAATCACTTGAACCTGGGAGGTGGAGGTTGCAGTGAGCCGAGATTGCACCACTGCACTCCAACCTGGGCAACAGAGTGAGCCTCCATCTCAAAAAAAATAAATAAAGTGATCGCCATAGCTAACACTGTCTAGATTTTCTGCTATGTTATTTTCTATGAGTTTTAGAGTTTTTCTTTTTACATTTAGGTCTATGATCCATTTTGAGTTATTTTTGCGAAGGGTGTAGGCTCTGTGTCTAGATTCACTTTTTTGTATGTGGATGTTCAGTTGTTCCAGCACCATTTGTAAAAAAGACTACCTTTGCTCCATTGTATTGCCTGACAAGTAGCTTTTGAGCTGACCCGTCCCAGCATGGAAAGATTTCAATAGGTTTCAAGAGAGGAAATGAACAGCCTGAGCTGAAGGAAGAACGGGAACAAAGGCAAAGAGATGGGGAGGGAATGACAGAGCAGGAATTGGCAAGTGAGGGATGGGGCTGTGGCTGTTTGTGGGGTCTACAGAAGAGAACATGAGCCTAGAAATGTTCGATCAGTAGGGGCTTGGACACCATGCTGAGGAACTGACACTGATGTTGCCCACAAGGAGCCAATGAGCATTTTTTTTTTCTGGGGTTGGGGGAATAACATGATCTATTTTGGTTATAGAAAAGTGCTCTGACAGCAAGATGAAGGATGGATTACAGTGTGAGGGGAACCAGTTTAGAGGCCACGGTGCTATCCAGGTGAGAGGTGATGAAACCAGGATAGAGGCAGAGAGGATGGAAAGAAGAAGGCACTGGAAAGGTAGAATGATGGAACCCAGTGACTGACTGGAGGAAAGAGGAAGGGATCAGATTGCTGTGGAGCTGAAGACTCCAAGATCTTCAGCCAAAAAAATAAGTCCCCCATATATCCAGTTAAAGGGCTTTGACCAAAAACCAAAGAATCTTAATAGACAGGAAAAAAATGAGAATTTTGGAGGGCATCCTCTAGTCTGAATCACATTAATAAATTCATTCATTTACTTAATAAATTTTTAAGAGCAGTATGCTAGGCACAGGAGATACAAACATGAAAAGCACATAATTCCTGCCCTCAAGATTGACAGCTTAGTAAAAATGTTACGCTGTGCTAAATGCTGTGTAGGGGTAAATAAACGGTGCTTGTGAAAGCTTATTTGTGCCCCATTGCTGCTGTAACAAATTACAAACTTGGTGACCTAAAACATGTCAAATGTGTTCTTTTACAGTTCTGGAGGCCAGAGTCCAAAGTGGGTTTTGCCAGGCTGAAGGCGTGGCAAGGCCACACTCCCTCAGGCAGCTCTTGGGAGAATCTGTTTCCTTCCCTTTTCCAGCTCCTAGAGGCCGCTATATTCCTTGCCCTGAGAGCTCTTCCTCCACAGTCAAAGCCTATGGCGTACCATCTTGTCTCTCTGAATCTGTCCACTCTTCTGCTGTCTCATAGCCTTCTCTTCTGCCGGTATTCAAATCTCCCTCTTATAAGGGCACCTGTAATTACATATAGGACCTATTCAGATAATCCGGAATAATCTCCTCATCTCAAGAACCTTAATGTATCACATCTACAGAGGCCCTTTTCCATTTAACAGTCACAGTTTCCATGGATTAGGACCTGGTGATTTTGGGGGGCCATTATTTCACCTACCACAAGGGATATAGAGCAAAGACCCTTCATCTAGCCCCTTTATCTTGAAGGCTGTGGTGAGCCATTATAAAGTTTAAGCAAAGGAATTACATGGTAAGATTTGCATTTTAGCAAAATTAACTTGGGACTTCTGAAGATATAGACTGAAGAAGAGCCTGGGGTCACGGGACCCCTACAATAATTCAGAAAAGGTTTGACTGCTTATAGGAGTTAGGTTGAGTGTATTGAAAGGAAATTGAGACAATGTACCAACTGCTCTTTGCAAATTGTTGGACTCAGTAGATGATTTCTGGTTTGGGCAATCAGGTGCCATACACGACAATTTGTAACAAAAGAGAAGCCAATTTGAGAGGGATTTGGGAGACCTTGAGCAGGGAAGAAAGTTTTATCCAAGGAAAACTGCATTCTGAGAATTAAACGTTTGCTAACTACATTTTAGAATGCAATCCGTCTTCAGAGACTGCCTCTAACAACAAAACCAGAAATCAATTAAGTTACACAACGGTTATTACTAAATTTTGTCCTCAGATCTTTAGGACAGAATCTAAGCATACTGAGGAAAATAAATATGTAATTACATTAAAATTTTTGTTTCACCTGCACTGGAACCATAAACTATCAATGCTGTAAAGAATCTTAGGGCTGAGCACAGTCATAATGGCTCATGCTTGTAATCCTAGCACTTTGGGAAGCTGAGGCAAGAGGATCACCTGAGGCCAGGAGGTCAAGATCAACTCAGATAATATGGCAAGACCCCATCTTTACAAAAAATTCCAAAATTAGCTGAGCATTCTAGTGCATGCCTATAGTCCCAGCTACTCAAGAGACTGAGGTGGGAGGATCACCTAAGCCCAGGAGTTGGTGTCTGCAGATTACACCACTGCACTCCAGCCTGGGTAACAAAATGAGACCTTATCTTTTAAAAAACAAAAAACAAACAAAAAAAACAGTCTTGGCAATCATTTTCTTTTTTTTTTTTTTTTTTTTTTTTTTTTTTGCTTTTGTAGAGAAGGGGCTTCACTATGTTTTCCAGGCTGGTCTCAAACTCCTGGCCTCCTTAGCACTCATTTTCTAATCCAACAATTTTCAACCTTTTTTTTTCTATGCTACACACCCTATTGATGATGAAAGCATAGTCCTGTGGTCAATTCCAAGCACACCCATACTAATTTCACCTTTTTTATCTTCTTCTTTACAAAAGTATATTAGAGTAAAGTAAGAGTTATTTATCAGGATAACCAAACCCATTTTTTTTAGTTAAGTAATTTTATAACATGTAACAAACTACTGTGAGACATCCCCCACTACTGATAGCAACACGTTTTCCCAACACCACAATGAGAACCACGGATTTGGTTCTCAAGTCCACCCAGGACAAATGCAACCAGAGCAGTGGAATGCCTGTCACTGCGCTGCTTCGTGATGCAGTTGTAACTGGAGCACAGCCTCATGATTTTTAGCCCATTGCGGCTTCTGGTACCCCTCCATTCTTCATTTCTCCTGTAAAGCCTAGTTTACATCTTATTATATCATCCAGAAAAGCTAGGGTTCACAGAATCAACAAAACCTTTTCTTTGTTGTCCTTTATTTTTTAATTAAAATCGTATTTTTTTGAGCTCCCTCCATCTTGAGCTCCATTGAGTCTCTTCTTTGCCATTGTAGTTACCCCAGGGCTCCTAATCTTCCCTGCTCTCTCCCCTCCTCTGTGCTCCATGCTCTTAGAGTCTGCACTGCACACTTTACGATTATATCCGGCATTGTCTTGTTCTCTAATTTTCTCATGTGTGCATGTCTTGTCTCCTTTCTAGATTTATGAGGTCCTTGTAGAGTTTTACATCTCAATACTTAAAAACTAAAAAGGTGATGTATGGTATGGAAGTTAAATCGCTGAAGTGTTCAGAACAGAGATGTATGCTGTTTCATTAGACAAGACTAAATTTCCTCTCCACTCTGCACTGCAGAGATCTGTTATATATTCCGCAGTTGTTCTGCATGTGAAGATGAGAAAGAGAATTTTGTCTCTTTCAGAAACAATATATTGGTTCCCATAAACTAAGGGAAAACTAATAACTTTTACATTCTTATACTCCTAAAACATTAAGAATGATGAGTTTGATGCTGCTTGCTCCTTTCTCCTAGAAGAAGTCTATTTTATCACATTTTTTGTTGTTGTTTTTTGCTTGTTCCCTTGAAATGCTATGTCCTAATGCTGTAGCCTTCTGCTCTCTTGATCTTTCATAGTACTGCAGACATTTTCTCATCAGAATCTACATAACTAAGGCCAGATCTGGACAGGACTCTTAAAATAATGTATCCATCCAACACAGCTACATAAAATCCAGAAGGGATTTGGTATTCAACAGTATTTGTGAGCTGTTTCTTTGCATTTTAGTAAAACCTAGATAGTGCCCCAAAAAGGCTATAAATAAAGATAGATGGTTTTAGTGATCTTCTTTCCACCCAAATTAATTTATTTCCATGTTAGAGACACAGCCATTCAGGATTCTGATTTTATTTTGTAAAGACAGGGTTGGTATAGAAGATGAGTAAGGCAACATTTCAGAAATAAACACTGGCAAAAAGAACTCTGGATGTGATAGCCCATTCTGCTGCTGAATCAATACTTAATCTGCAGTAAATAACACTGGCAGGATGCCAATCCATAAAATCAACCATAAAATGCTGTAGAATATTCCAGTGTCTAATGTGCTTCTCAGGCAAACAGCATCGACTCAAGGCACAGTACTTCTGAGTATTACAAGTTTAGCTCATGTATGATAATAATGAAATAAAATGCTTTCTCATTTTATTATGTCTCTAATATTAGTCAAATGCTAGACCCAATCAAGTAGAGAAATGGGTATATACACAATTTTAATGCAGGATACTAAGTTTTTGACAAATGCAGTTAAAGGGCATTATAAGCACATATCGGAGAAGCACCTAACCCAGCCTCAGGGTGTTAGAGAAGACGCCAAATCTATTTTGTTGGTCCTCTTTTTTCCCTACACTCTTAATGTTGGACTGCCCAGGGTTCAGCCTTTGTCTTTTTCTCTTCTCTATCTACATTCATTCCCTTAGACATGTCATCATTCTCTACTGTGTGCCTATGACCCCCAAATCTCCAGATGTTAAACTCTCTCCCAAGCTCCATATATCATATCTATTAGCATCTTCACTGGGGGTATCTAATAGACATCTCAACTCAAAATATCCAGAAATGAACTCCTGACCTTCACTCTGCCAAATCGGCTCTTCCTATAGCCATTCTCAGCTCAGTTGATGGCAACTCCATCCTTCCAGTTACTCAGGCCTTAAACCCATGGATCAATCTTTAACATTGCTCTTTCTCTTACACCATACATCCAACCATTTATGAAATCCCTTTGATTTTACCTTAAGAATCGCTCCAGATTCCAACCCTTTCTGACCACTTCTGTTACTACCATCCCAGTCTAAGTTACCATCATCTCTCATGTGGGTTACTGCAGGAGCCTTCTAACTACTCTCACAGCTGCTACCCTTGCCCCCCTGCCACCCACACAGACATACAAACACACACTCTCCATCCTCAGCCACCATGAACCTTTTAAAATATAAGTCAGATGATGTTAACTGCTGAAAATGCTGCAGTGGCTCCCCATTTTACTTGCCTAAGGGACTTAATATAGCCTATAAACTTCACATAATCTGGTCCCCCATCGATTGATCTCATCTATTTCTATCCTCATTCCCCACTTGGCTCCAGCCACATTGGCTTAGGGTCTTTGCACTGGCTGTTTCCTCTGCTTAAAACTCTTCCCTGGATGCCATAGCCAACTCCTTGAGTTCTACAAGTCTGCTCAAAAGCCAGCATCTGGGAACAACGTCGTCACCATCTCTATCATTGCAACCCAACTCCCCAGTACTCCTAATCTTTCTCACACTGTCCTTTTTCTTGTTTCCATGGCACTTTTCTCCTACACAGTAGAATTCTCGCTTTCACTGTGTCTAGTGTCTATTGTCTCGCCACCACCACTGGAATGGAAGCTCTCTACAAGGCAAAAACCTTTGGTTCATGATGTATCCCAGTGCGTGAGGCATGGTGTGTGCATAGTAAAGACGTGTTGAATACATGAAAGTATCTACATGTAAGTAATAGTTGAGGCTGCCATGTTCAATGAAGAGAGTGACCACTGAAGAACATGGCTAAGAGCAGAACAATTGGATTCGCCTTCATTTAAGGGACTAATAGAAGAAGAAAACCCCATAAAGGGGGTTGAGAAGGAAAGAACAGAGAGACTGGAAGAAAAGTTTGAGGGAACAGTGTGTTAAAAGCCAAGGGAGGAGAATATTTCAACTAGGAGGTCAAGTCCTATGAAAAGCCAGGTAAAATAGGTCCTCTGGCCCTCTTGAAGTCATTGCCCTATTTCCCTGCTCCATATCCCAGCCTGTCCTTTTTGTGGCCCTGCCCATCTTTCACACACTTCTACTCCCTCTGCATGTTCCTTAAAACCTTCCTGTTGTAAATGAACCTCTCCAATTGCACATCTCCCTCCATTGATTCTTTGGAGGAAAGCTCATCAGCACACAATTACAGTTTTTTATACAGTCTGGGAGGAAATTTAATGGTCCTATTTTTCTCTATGAAAATGCTTAGTCATGAAGTTATCACTCCGTATTTTCTTGATAATAAGCATTGATTTGTACCTATGTACACAAACAACTTGGGACTTATTGCCCATATACAAAGATTGTTTAAGTATCTCATTTTCTTTTGGAAACATTTTTTAAAGTACCTACAACTTAGGAAAAACTCAGCGTTTCAGATTTTAAGTTATTCAAGAAATATTTAGGTGATGATAATATTCTCATGGACCAACAGGCTTATCTGAAAATATTTTGTGGTGGTGGTGGTGGTGATATCCATGGTGTGTCCTCAGCCTTCCATAAAGATGAACTGGAGTTTAGTTGTCTAATCAAAGCCTAAATGTTAATTAAACAGTCTAAGGCAACAGTCCCCAACCTTTGTGGCACCAGGGACCAGTTTCATGGAAGACAATTTTTCCACAGACTGGAGAGTGGGGAGGGGATGGTTTCAGGATGATTCAAGCACATTACATTTATTGTGCACTTTATTTATATTATTACTACATTGTGATATATAATGAAAGAATTATAAAACTCACCATAATGTAGAGTCAGTGGGATCCCTGAGCTTGTTTCCTGAAACTAGACAGTCCCATCTAGGGGTGATGGGAGACAGTGACAGATCATCAGGCATTAGATTCTCATAAGGAGCACACAACCTAGATCCCCTGCATGCGCAGTTCACAATAAGGTTCGCACTCCTATGAGAATCTAATGTTGCCACTGATCTGACAGGAGGCAGAGCTCACCTAGTAATGTGGGCAACGGGAAGCAGCTATAAATACAGATGAAGCTTTGCTTGCTCACATGCCACTCACCTTCTGCTGTGTGGCCCAGTTCCTAGTAAGCCATGGACTGGTACCGGTTCATGGCCCAGGGGTTAGGGACCCCTGGTCTAAGGTACAAGCACCTTCCCTGAGCAGGGTCAGCTCCACTTATTCATTTAACTAACATTTAAAGGGTAGTGAGGGTGTCTGTTTTGCTAAGTCACGGGAAACTGTAGTCCAGGACCTCTGTCCTCAAGGAGCTCACCCTCTAAAGGAGAGGAGAGTCTATATAAATAAATAGCTTCAGTGCAACATAAGTGCTATCACTTTTACAGCCTTCTGCCGCCAAACACAGCTACTTCTAAGATTAGTCTATATTCTCTACTCTGCCACTCTTCGCACATCATGTTGGGTCTGTACCGCACCACCTGAGCTAGTATGGGATGTTATAAAGACCCCAAGCTTACCTAAAGAAAGTTGGTGTTGGTTGGATCTAGCGAGGATTCTATGGATAAAGCAAGTAGCCTCAGGTCAAGAGGAGTGCTCCACTGTGGCTATACAGCCAATAGATACAAGGCAAGATTGTCACCACTCACGTCTTCACCCGTAGCCTGATTGCCTTCCACTCCAGAAAGGAACAATAGCACTGGTCCTGTTTTCAGTACAAAATAGTTACCCTTTTTCTTACTCAATCTTGAAGGAGAAAATCAATGTTTGGTTTTTCTCTCCTTAAAAAGGATAAAAGATAGCAATTCCTACCCTTCGTTCATTGACATAAGTCTCTAGACTTCAGGAGTGGCTTAGAAATAGTTAAAAATCTACAGAGAGGATGGAAATTAGATTACTCCATCTTTGTCTTCTTCCTTGAACTTTGAACAAAGCAAGTAATTTATCTTTAGTAACTTAGAATGTTTAGTTATCTATAAGAGGGTCTGATTTTCTAAGGAAACGTCAATAGAGAGCCATTACTTGTTATTCCAAATATGAAGTAAGCATATTACCTATAAGTAAAGTTATCAGGAATTTTTGTAACTCTCAAAACACTATGTTTATGTAGTACATTGACCATAAAAATTTATTGAATGGGTTATATTTTTATTTTGATATCACATAAGCCTCCAAAATGAAATTTAAAGAGATGGCTTGGGTGGCCAGGCGCGGTGGCTCATGCCTGTAATCCCAGCACTTTGGGAGGCTGAGGTGGTTGGATCACCTGAGGTCAGGAGTTCGAGACCAGCCTGGCCAATGTGGCAAAACCCCGTCTCTACTAAAAATACAAAAATTATCCGGGCGTGGTGGTGTGCACCTGTAATCCCAACTACTAGGGAGACTGAGGCATGAGAATCGCTTGAACCCGGGAGGTGGAGGTTGCAGTGAGCTCAGATGGCGCCACTGCACTCCATCCAGCCTGGGGGATAGAGCAAGACTCTGTCTCCAAAAAAAAAAAAAAAAAAGAGATGGCTTGGGTGACTGATTCCCCAGATTGCATTTGATGGAGGTGGAGGTGGAGGACAGGAAGGGAGAACATGAGAGGAACATTGATGGCATCGTGAAGTAGCTTCTACCTCACCGTTCTGAGAAGACCATCTGAAAAACGGCTGTCTATCCACAATAATGACAACAGCAACAGCAATCAAGAATCTGAACAAATGGAACGGCATAAAACTGTCCTTGGATAGGACGACTCAATATAATAAAATCCTCCCCAAATCAGTACAAATTGAATGCAATTCCAGTTAGAATCTCAATGAAGGTTTTTTTGATTTTGTATTCTGCTTTTAGGAATTGGATAAAATGATCATAAAGTTTATATGGAAAAATAAGTAGACAAAAAAGCTGATAAAACTGTAAAAAGAGTAGCAAGGGAACTGTCTCTTGCCTGTATCAGAGCATACTTTAATGCTGCTGTAGATTGTTAGGGTAACAACGTGAGAATAGACACATAGAACAGCAGAACAGAACAGAGAGTCCAATAATTGATCCACACATGCATTACACTTTTGTTTTGCTTTTTTGAGACAGTCTCGCTGTGTCACCCAGGCTGGAGTGCAGTGGCATGATCTTGGCTCATTGCAACCTCTGCCTCCCTGTTTCAAGCAATTCTCATGCCTCAGCCTCTTGAGTAGCTGGTATTACAAGCATGCACCGCCACACCTGGCTAATTTTTGTATTTGTGGTAGAGATGGAGTTTTACCTTGTTGGCCAGGCTGGTCTCGAATTCCTGGCCTCAAGTGATCCTCCCTCTTCAGCCTCCCAAAGTGCTGGGATTACAGGCATAAGCCACCATCCCTGGCTGCATTACACTTTAATATATAACCAAAGTAATGTTTTAATTTGGTAGGAAAATTACAGGATATTTAATAAATTATGCTGACAGAGTTGGCTATTCCTCTAGAAAAACTGAAGGGATGATTGATAACATTATATATGTACAAAAATAAATCCAGAAGGATTAAAGACTTCCATGGAAAAAAATAAAGTGATAAAATTCTTAGAAGAAAATCTAGAAAGTACCTATAATCTTTAAGGATAGGGAAAACTTTCTTTTTTTCTTTTTCTTTCTTTCTTTTTTTTCTTTTTCTTTCTTTTTTTTTCTTTTTCGTTCTTTCCTTTTTTTTTTTTTTTCCTTTTTTGAGATAGGGTCTCACTCTGTCACCCAGGCTGGAATGCAGTGGCACAATCATAGCTCACAGCAACCTCGACTTTCTGGGGTGAGGTGATACTTCCACCCCAGCCTACCAAGTAGCTGGGACCACAGGCGCACACCACCACAACCAGCTAATTTTTTGTATTTTTAGCAGAGACTTGGTTTTACCATGTTGCCCAGGCTGGTCTCAAACTCCTAAATGGAAGTGATCTGCCCACCTCAGCCTCCCAAGGGAAAACTTTCTTAACCAAGACCAAAAAAACAAAAGCCATTTTTTACAAAGACATAGTGATTATATGAAATTTAAAATGTCTAAAATGATAAAGTTGCCATAAATGATTGAATAAACAAATTATAGATTTGAGGATAAAATGCAATGCAAATGACAGTCTTTACAAAGCACTTTCTACTTGGGTAAGGAAAAGATTAATAGCTCAACAGAAAACAAAATGAGCTAAGAACATGATTAAGCAATTCAAAGAGTCCGGTCTAAAGTATGAACACAAGCACACTTCCAGTAAGGAAGGCCAATTGGCCAGGCACAGTGGCTCACACCTGTAATCCCAGCACTTTGGGAGGCTGAGGCGGGTGGATCACCTGAGCTTGGGAGTTCGAGACCAGCCTGGCCAACAGGGTGAAACCCTGTCTCTACTAAAAATACCAAAATTAGCCTGGCGTGGTGGCACACGTCTATAATCCCAGCTACTCAGGAGGCTGAAGCAGGAGAATTGCTTGAACCTGGGAGGTAGTGGTTGCAGTGAGCTGAGATGGTGCCACTGCACTCCAGCCTGGGTGACAGAGCAAGACTCTGTCTCAAAAGAAAAAAGAAAAAAAAGGAAGTAAAATTAAATGTTTGCCATCAAACTGGCAAAAATCAAAAGGTGATACACTTGTAGAGTATTGCTAGTAGGGATGAAGGAGAGATGGTACTCTTACACACTACTTGTGGAAATATAAATAGTAACAATCTTAGCAAGCAATCTGGCAAAAAATCTATGAAAATTAAAAATATCCTTTTATAACTTTAAATTTTTGAATCATGTGAATTTATCACCTATTTAAAATGTGTATGTGTGTGTGTGTGTGTGTGTGTGTGTGTGTGTGTGTGTGTATACACACATATCTCCTTCAGCCCAGGGCCCTATTCCTATAAGTCTGTCCCATAGAAATAAAAGCACTCAGATGTAAGGATACATATACTTTGATGCTTATTGCATTATTGTTTCTTTCAGGTCAGTAGTCATGTCCCCACTTTCTTTATTGTAGTATTGTTTCATCATGGTAAAGAGAGAGAAATAAGCATAATTCCCAACAATAGGCAGGCAGGAGACTAAATTATGTTACAATAGAATGAATTTAAAAGAATGAATTCAAATCTGAATGGAAGGAGTTCCACAAAATATCATTGAAGAAAAAAGCAAGAGGCAAAAAAAATTGTACGATTATGATCTTGTTTTGTGAGTAAAAATAGCTCTTTTGTGTATATATATATGTGTGTGTGTGTATATATATGTGTATATATATGTGTGTATATATATGTGTATATATGTGTGTATATATATGTGTGTGTATATATATATGTGTGTATATATATGTGTGTGTGTATATATATATATGAATGTGTAATTTATACCTATATAGCTATATCAAGATACATATATGCATGGTGTGTGAGTACATATGTGTACTTGTAAACTATGTGTATTTGTTTACACACACACTGCACACCAGTATGTGTATTTGTAAACTATGTTAACTACGCTCAGTTTTTAACATGGGTCATTCCAGGATAATTTGACAGTGGGAGATGCAAGTAAAAAAGAAATCTTTTAAAAGATGACAATTTTTAAATTAGCATTGTGATTCCATTTATGAGAAATTTAAAAGCTATAAATGAAAAACATTGAAAGTGATAATATAACAATGAAAACACGTCACAATAACCATGATCTCCCAATACTGCTTACTAGAGGATTCAACTGCAACTGTCAAGTCAATTTCCACAGGGACCAGTTGCTGTCAAACATAAAATAAAACCAAATATTTCTGCTGCTTTTCTGTTTTTACTTATTTTCCTTTAAAATCTTTTAAATTTTTAAAAAATATATTTCAGATCTCGATTGTTCTTTTCTAATTTTTTTTACTTAAAATTGAGATAATATGACAGAAATAAAACATTGAAAAAAATAATTAGGCTAGGCATGATGACTCATACCTGTAACCCCAGTTCTTTGGAAGGCCGAGGACCAGCCTGGACGAGATATCGAGACTCTATCTCTATTTAAAAAAAAGAAAAAGAAATAAATAATACCATATTGCCAGCCTAGCAAATGACTACTTTTTTTTTTTTTTTTAGATGGAGTCTCGCTCTGTCTCCCAGGCTGGAGTGCAGTGGCGCATCTCCACTCACTGCAAGCTCTGCCTCCCGGGTTCAAGCCATTCTCCTGCCTCAGCCTCCAGAGTAGCTGGGACTACAGGAGCCTGCCACCACGCCCGGCTAATTTTTTGTATTTTTTTAGTAGAGACAGGGTTTCACGGTGTTAGCCAGGATGGTCTCGATCTCCTGACCTCGTGATCCGCCCGCCCCGGCCTCCCAAAGTGCTGGGATTACAGGCGTGAGCCACCGCCCCCGGCCGTAAATGACTATTAATCTTTACTTCATTTTATCTTTTTCCTTTGTTTTTAACCATCTCATTTATACAATTGCATGTTCTTTTTTCCATTAAATATTTAAGTATAATCATTTTTCCATGTATTTTTTGAATTCACTCTCCAGTGTTTATTTTTAGAGAAATAAAAAGGTGTTTTGAATGTCCAGAGAGACAACAGATTGCAATACACATACTTTTCCATACAAATGCCAGTTAGGAGATCAACCAAGAACTTTATGTTCTCACATTCTTTTATATCATCATTTATATCATAAATTCATTGAAGAAAAACAACATGTAGACACTAAGTTATTTAAGTTAGATTTCATCTATCTTTCTCATCCTTATTTTAAGAGAATTAATGCCTTTCTACACAATTAATTTAAAAACTAAAAATATTTTAATTATAGTTTAATTCATCTCTAAACATTTTAAATATTATTTTGGTATGTTTTATATAATATTAGCCTACAAACAAGAGACACATATATAAACTAAAAATATATATCAGGGATATGCAAAAAGTTTCTTACTGATGGGATGAGGAATCAAAGACATTTGAAGAAAACAGGAAATCAGAAGTCCCATCTACTATTCAAGGCCTGTCACTCCACCTGGTTGCTGATTCCACCCATTCACATCTTTTCTAGAACTTTCTCGTATCAAATCCCTCTTTTTCTTTTTTCATCTATACTTTTCCCCTATTCTTTCTTTAGATATGCTTGTCCTCCCAAAAAAAAATCTTAAATCTGCCTCTTATCCCCAAGGTTACCTCTAGCCATCATTTTATATATTTTCTTCACTTGTAGACCAAGCTTCCCAAAACAGATAGTCTATACTTACTATCTCCTTCTCCTTTCTTCCCATTCATTCCTCTAAGCACATATAACATCTGGCTTTTGACCCTACCACTCCACTAACTTTTCTAAAGCAAAAGTCCCCAGTTACTTTGTTACTATAAAATTAAATGAAATTCTTTTCTGCATTTTACAGGCTAACCACACTCTCCTTGAAACATCAAGTCCCTGGATTCTCTGACATCAGTATCTTGTGGTCCTCCTACTTTCCTGACAATTCCTTCCTAGTGTGAATGACAGAGTCCTGTTATACTCCTTGCCTCTTTTAAATACTGATATTCCCCACAGTTTGAAGCTTTTTATTCATTTTGAGTGATTTTACTTTTTTTTTTTTTTTTGAGACAGAGTCTCGCTCTGTTGCCCAGAGTGGGGTGCAGTGGCTCACTGCAACCTCCGTCTCCCGGGTTCAAGTGATTCTTCTGCCTCAGCCTCCCGAGTAGCTGGGATTGCAGGACCCGCCACAACACCCAGCTAATTTTTGTATTTTTACTAGAGACAGGGTTTTACCATGTTGTTCAGACTGATCTCGAACTCCCGATCTCAAGTGATCCGCCCACCTTGGCCTCCCACAGTGCTGGGATTACAGGCATGAGCCACTGCACTCAGCCGATTTTACTTTCACAAAATGATAATGACCCCCACATCTTTTTCTCTAGCCTAGTATTTCCTTGGAGCTTCATATTTATCTTTAGTACCCCATTAGAAATCTCTATTGGCAGCCAAACTTAACATGTCCAAAATGAAATAGACATCTTCCTTTTCTCCCTATATGTCCACATCCCTTCTCATCTATTCAATGTTTCATTCAAAACAACTACTGTCGTCCCGGCGCGGTGGCTCACGCCTGTAATCCCAGCACTTTGGGAGGCCGAGGCGGGCAGATCACGAGGTCGGGAGATCGAGACCAAGCTGGCTAACACGGTGAAACCCTGTCTCTACTAAAAAATACAAAAAGCCAGGTGTGGTGGCGGGTGCCTGTAATCCCAGCTACTCCGGAGGCTGAGGCAGGAGAATGGCGTGAACCCGGGAGGCGGAGCTTGCAGTGAGCCGAGATTGCACCACTGCACTCCAGCCTGGGCGACAGAGCGAGACTCCGTCTCAGAAAAAAAAAAAAAAAACTACGGATGTCTAAGTTGGCCAAGCCAGAGAGGTAAGATGTTATCAAACCCCACCTCATTGCCTTACATATTCAACCAGTCACCAAGTCCAATTAGTTAATCTTCCAAATATTTCTTTGATGCACCCCGTTGGTACCGTTCGTAATACCACTGTCCTACCTCCAGCTGTCAATATCTCTGGCCCAGATTGTTGTAATTGTGTCTTGATTTGGTCTCCCTGATTATAGACTTGCCTCTTACAAATCTATCCTATAAACTTTTACAAGATCAGTCTAACATAAAAATTTGACCATGCGTTAAAATCCTTCATGGTTAAGAGACTGAGGGGAAGAGAAATGTGAATTGACTGCTAAAAAGTATGGGGTTTCTTTCTGGAAATGAATGTTATAAAATTAGATAATGGTGATGGTTGCACAGCTCGATAAATATACTAAAAACTACTGAATTATCCACTTTAAAGTCGTATGTAAATTATATCTCAATAAAGTGGTGATTAAAAAAAAACTTCACAGTTATGGTAGCTCAAGATCTCCAGGAAGCAGGCATCAACTTAGGATTAGATGACAAGAGATGTATTCGAAGGAAACACCTTTGAAGAATAAAGAAGAGGAAGCAAGAATAGGCAGGACAGGGCCCGGGAGCAGTGGCTCATGCCTGTAATCCCAGAACTTTGGGAGGCTGAGGCGGGTGGATCACTTGATGTCAGGAGTTGGAGACCAGCCTGGCCAGCATGGTGAAACCCCGTCTCTACTAAAAATACAAAATTAGCCAGGCATGGTGGTGCGCACCTAATCTCAGCTACTTGGGAGGCTGAGGCAGGAGAATCACTTGAACACAGGAGGTGGAGGTTGCAGTGAGCCAAGATCATGCCACCACACTCCAGCCTGGGTGACAGAGCAAGACTCTGTCTCAAAAAAAAAAAAAGAATAGGCTAGGACAGCTTTTTTGCCATGATGCAGGTCAGAAACCTATGAAAAGAGAGGGAAAAGAAGGATGGGGCTGGAAGAGTCTCAGACTAATATGCAGCTCTAAGAAAGGCTTTGGCAGGTCTGTGGGGATGCATCAAGCCAAAGTTGCCTTGTAAAGGATACCTGCATCTGGCAAGAATGGGCCTGCACTAGTGCCTCTACTATGATCAGTCATTGGCGAGGCGCAGCTGTGGGGAAATGTGGGCTTGATGAGAATGCAGTGATGGATCCAGAGGGTAGCAAGTGGAGCTGTCAGTCAACTATGCTCACTGTACCAAGAGGTCTCAGTAGTGTATTTTATGGGCACCACAGAGGTTCTTCACTGCCTAGAGAACACTACAAGCTCCTTTGCGTCATAAATAAGATGTTCCATGAACTAGTTCCTAATTACCACTCTAGGCGCATCCACCAAAATTCTCTGACTCACGTTTTATGTTGAACCTTACTACCAAATGTCTCTTGCCTTTATACTTTTGTTGATATTGTTCTTACTATCTGAAATTATCTTCTAACTCATATCTATCCCTCTAGATTTGTCTCTTCCAGGGGACATTATCTCCTCTAAGAAGATTTTCCTGAACACTCACACAGGATGATTGCCTCTTTGCCCTGTCTTCTAAATATATCATATTACATTATATTACATTACACTATATTACATATTACATTATATTATATTATATTACATCATATTACAATATCACATTATATTGATTTTTTCTGTTACCTTTATGTCTTCCAGCATAATCTTTATGTTCCTCAACTCAGGGTCTGTGGCTTCTTCATATTTGATCCCCAATGCATAACATAGCATCTAGAACAGAAGTATTCAAAAATTTTTGTTAAGTTGAATTCAACATCAACTTGTAATTTTAAAATATAAGCCCTTTATATTATTACATTATTACACATAGTCTGACTTATGTTGTCATATATATTTGTGTTTCTTTATATTTCCTTGCTCTTTTTGGTGAAATTGTGATTATAATACTAAAAACTTCTTAATTCATTCTACATTCATTATATATGACCAAACATACATAAAGTCCTTTTCCCCCACTGTTCACCCTGCATGTATTCTTGTGAAAAAATTTAGTTATTAAAGAGCACCTCTTTTATATACCCATCCCCATGCTCTGTAAGTCCATCTAGAAGGATGATGTGAAGGAAAAGGGTCAGAGAAAGCCCCTAAAAACAACCAAACCTTTATATTTTTTTCTTCCTTACCATGTCTTGTTTTTGTTATTTAAATCATTAAACCATTTAGAATTCACTTTTGTATATTTATGTACTAAGGATCCAACTCTGGTTTCTCCATATTATGTACTAGTTTCTCAACATCATTTACTAAACAATAATTTTCTTGGTGATTCTGTTCCATTGGTCTACTAGTTTATTTCTGACTTTATATCATATTGTTTCTATGATTATACCTATGTATGTTTTAATACCTGGTAGGATAAGCCCTTCTCTGCTCTTCTTTTCCAAGATTTTCTTAGCTATTTATGCTTTCGCAGAACTTTCAGAGTTCTTTAGTTGAGTTTTCTCCCAAAATCCTGGGGCTGGTATTTTTGTCAAAATTGAATTGAACAAAATAACTAAATAAATAGGGAAGAATGAATATCTTTACACTACCAAGTCATCATATTCATGCACATGGTATAGTTCTCTAATTCAATTCTGAAATTATAGATCTTTTAGTAGAGTTTTAACATTTTCTTTCTAATAGTCAGGCATTCTTTAATAGCTTAATTCTTAGATATTGTGAATAATATCTTATTTTCTACTGCACATCCTTATAAGTAATATTGCCAAGAGTAGAATTACACTATTGAATTTTTTAAGCTGATCTTTTATCCAGGTGTCTTGGAGACTCCTCTACTTCTTGCAAGATAAACAGTGTCTCAGAGAAAGTATCCTATACAGGATCTAGTTTTTCCACAATAGGATAATTCCTCAAAACTGTGGTGGGATTTTGTTCCCCCCAAATTCATATCCACTGAAACCTTGGAATATGACCTTATTTGGAAAAAGGTTATTTGTGGAAGTAATTAGTTAAATTCAGTGAGTTGTCCTTACAATAAGAAGAGAGGACACACAGAGAAACACACAGGGAAGAAAGCCATGTGAACATACAAGAAGAGAATGGAGTACAGTCATGCACCACATGACAATGTTTTTGTCAACAGTGATTGTATGTATGTCAGAGGTCCCATAAGATTATAATACTGTATTTTTACTCTACCTTTTCCATGTTTAGATACACAAATATTTATCATCTTGTTATAATTGCCTATAGTATCTAGTAGAATGATATACTGTATAGGTTTATAGCCTAGAGCAATGGGCTACACCATCTACATTTGCATAAGTACATTCTATGATGTTTGCTCACTGACGAAATTGTCTAATGATGTATTTCTCAGAACATGTTATTTTTTATTATTTTTTTTGAGATAGGGTCTTTCTCTGCCACCCAGGCTGGAGTACAGTGGCACGATCTTGGCTCACTTCAAACTCCACCCCCTGGGTTCAAGCGATTCTCACACCTCAGCCTCCTGAGTAGCTGGGATTACAGGTGTGTGTCACCACGCCCTGCCAATTTTTGTATTTTTAGTAGAGACAGAGTTTTACCACGTTGGCCAGGCTGGTCTCAAACTCCTGACCTCAAGTGATCCGCCCGCTTCAGCCTCCCAAAGTGTTGGGATTACAGGTGTGAGTCACCATACCTGGCCTCAGAACATATGTCTTTCTTTAAGTGATACATGGCTGGAATGCATCCACAAACCAAGAAATGCCAAGGATTGCAAAGAACCACCCAAAGCTAGGAAGAGGCAAGGAAGGATTCTTCCCTAGAGAATTCAGAAGGTGGATGGCCCTGCTGACACCTTGATTCCAGACTTTTAGCCTCAAGAACTGTACGAGAATAAATTTCTGTTATTTTAAGTGGCTTAGTTTGTAGTAATGTGTTACGGCAGCCTTAGGAAACTAATACAAATACCAAGGCTGCCACAATACTAAAAGTAGACATCTGGAATATCTACTTACACCACACTTTTTTCTATGGATCTTCTTTATTTTTCTATATGAAAACATCAGGCCAGGCACTATGGCTTATGCCCGTAATCTCAATATTTTGGGAATCTAAGGTGGAAGGATTGCTTGAGCTCAGGAATTCAACACCAGCCTGGGCAACATAGCAAGACCTCATCTCTATTAAAAATAATTTTTTAATCATTTCCTGCAGGATTCAAGATAAAAAATAAATAAATAAAATAAAATCAGTCATTTGATCAATTAGTTTCACCTATTAGCATTCTTCATGATCACTGTTACTTTAAGACTTATTTCTGCCGTCTTAATTCCTGTATTCCTGTTCTCTGTTTTCCAGTGTTTCTTTTCTTTCTTTTTCTTTTTCTTTCTTTTTTTTTTTTGAGACCGAGTCTTGCTCTTGTCACCCAGGCTGGAGTGCAATGGCGTGATCTCAGCTCACTTCAACCTCTGCCTCCTGGGTTCAAGTGATTCTCCTGCCTCAGCCTCCCAAGTAGCTGGGATTAAACGCATGCACCACCATACCTGGCTAATTTTTTTGTATTTTTAGTAGAAACAGGGTTTCACCATGTTGGCCAGGCAGGTCTCAAACTCCTTACCTCAAGTGATCCACCTGCCTTGGCTCCCAAAGTGCTGGGATTACAGGCATGAGCCACCATGCCCAGCCTCTTTTCTTTTAAGAAAGAGGGTATTGCTCTGTCACCCAGACTAGAGTGCAATGGCACCATCACAACTCACTGTAACCTCAAACTCCCAGGCTCAGGCAATCCTGCCTCTGCCTTTCAAGTAGCTAGGACTACAGGTGTGTGCCACCATACCTGGCTAATTTTTTTAAATTTTTGTAGAGATGGGATCTCACTATGTTGGCCAGGCTGGTCTCAAACTCCTGGCCTCAAGCAATCCTCCATGCTCAGCCTCCCAAAGTGCTGGGATTATAGGTGTAAGCCATTGCAGCTGGCCCTGTTTCTTCTTTTTTCTTTTTTCCTTCTTTACTACTTTCTATTAAATGGTTCAAAATTACTTCCATTAGTTGTGAATTTTGTGTTCTATTTTTCTTATTCTGGTGGTTATTCCTAACTTAAGACTCATACTTAAGTTTTTTTTTCCATCAATTTCTAAATTTAATCAATATCTATATCTCCTTTTCAAAATAGACCAACAATTTAGCATGCTTTTGCCTTCCCTGCCCACCTCCCTCTTTATTTTCCATCAATTTGTTGTCTCCTAGGATTTGATACCTGGATCATTATACTTCGCCCCCCCACTTTGGATATTGCTTATTTAGATAGCAGATGTTACTAAGTTGCTTACTAACCTGCGATTCTCATATCGCTGTAGATATGAGATATGTAGAGTAGGCTCTCTGGAGTTACTCATTATTTTGTGGGAATACTTTCTTCAGGGGTGTTTGCAAAGTATGTCAGTGTATGGTATATTCTTTTGAAGCCTTTTAGATGCTAGAGAACATTGTTATTTCACTCACATTGCAATGGGAATTCAGCTAGATATAGAAGCCTAGATTCAAAATTCCTTTTTAATAAAAACATTGGATATAGTACTCATGTTGCTGTTGAAAAGTCAAATGTGAATGGAATTCTTGTTCCTTTCTAAATGACCTGCTTTTTCTCTCTAGAATTGTTTTCTTTTCTTAAATTTCACTATAATTTGTCAAAGTGTTGATATTTTCCTCTTTATCTCTTTTGTTTGGTGCACAATAAGTCTATTCAATCTTTCCTTAATTGTGGAGACATTTTTAGCCGGGCATGGTGGCCCATGCCTGTAATCCCAGCACTTTCGGAGGCCAAGGCGGGCAGATCACTTGAGGTCAGGAGTTCAAGACAAGCCTGGCAAACATGGTGAAACCCCGTCTCTACTAAAAATACAAAAACTAGCCAGGTGTGGTGGCAGGGTGCCTGTAATCTCAGGTACTCGGGAGGCTGAGGCAGGAGAATCACTTGAACTCAAGGAGGCAGAGGTTGCAGTGAGCTGAGATTGCACCACTGCACTCCAGCCTGAGCGACTGAGCAAGACTCCATCACCCCCCACCCCCCAGAAAAAAAGAATTGTGGAGAAATTTTAATTAGCAGTTCTTCAAATATTTAACTTTAGCTTTTTCTTTCCTTCTAGGGCTCCCATTTATCACATATTGATATTTATTTTATTTTTCATGCCCTTTCATTTTTCTGTCATTTTTCCTATTCTTTACTCTTCCCCATGCCTTCTAGGAATGTTTCAAACCACTCTCCATCTTATTAATTCATTCATCAACTGTATTCATTCAACCCTGAATTAAATTGTTTGTTTCTACTATATCTGGTTGGTCCTTTTTTATAACTCCTTGTCCCTATTTGTTTCCAGTGCCCTCCTACATGCCCTTGAGAATATTTGTTAGGATTATTGTAAATTCTTGTTTTCTCTGGCTCATCAGTTCTGCTCCCTCCAGAATTAGTTGTTTAGTTTGTGATCCTGCCTTTTCAGTGCTTTAGGTCTGTATTCCACAGATCTCTCTTTATTTTTTCCATTCCCTCCAGAGTATCAGCTATAGTTTTTTTTGTTTTGTTTTATTTTGTTTTGTTTTGAGACAGAGTCTCGCTCTGTCGCCCAGGCTGGAGTGCGGTGGCGCAAGCTCCGCTCGCTACAAGCTCCGCCTCCCGGGTTCGTGCCATTCTCCTGCCTCAGCTTACCGAGTAGCTGGGACTACAGGCCCCCGCCACCACACCCGGCTAATTTTTTGTATTTTTAGCAGACACGGGGTTTCACTGTGTTAGCCAGGATGGTCTCGATCTCCTGACCTCGTGATCCGCCCGCCTCGTCCTCCCAAAGTGCTGGGATTACAAGCATAAGCCACCACGCCTGGCCCAGCTATAGTTTTTATATTACATTCTGAGTTCCATCTATAGCCCACTTGCTTCTGAGGCATCTCCAGGATGAGATTCAAAGAAGGGAAACCCCAATTGCTGTAAGTTCCCCACTCGACTCTTGACTTCCCTACAGCATGAACTACACTTACGGTCCTCAAGATTTAGCCCAATTTGACTGGGCTGTCTTTTCATGTTCAGTAGAATTAGGCTACATCACAGAACCACCAAATATTTTCTACTAGTTTATGGAGAGAATTATCATTTTCTAGAGTTAGGGAAGAGACATTAGTGGCCTCATATGGCAAATAACTATGGAAAATCTAATTATTTCCACATTTTCTTAGAACCATAATACTTTGTGATTGTTACAGTGATTCTTATTTTCCTTCCTTCCTTCCTTAGACCTCTTAAATATACCATATATAGTTTGATTTTTAATTCAAAAGTTATTAAAATTTTGTTTTGAAGATTTCATAACTAAACTCTAACCAATCCCCAAGATAACTAGAAAAGCCTCCTGGTTTTACACAACTAGTTTGGATAGCGCTGTTCTAAAAGCATAATAGAAATTGGTGAAATTATTTCTGGCCTGCCTTTATGTTCTTGCTATATCAATATTTGTATCTTATCAGATACCTTTACATATGTCTAGCCTTTTCTTTCTTTTTTTTTGGTCGTTGCCAAAAATATACACATCTTCTTTTCTTTATTAAAAAAAAAAAAAATACCCAACAACAAAAACCCAAACAGAAACACACAGAAAAATCCACACATGCAAAGAGACTGACAAGGCCGGAGCCTGGGGAAGCTGGAAACCCCTACCCTGGGCTCCAACCCCAGTGCAACTGAAACAGGGACATCGGCTTCGCCTTGCCTCTCGCCTCTCTCCTGACTGTCCACTCAGCCTCTGTGCCAAAGGCCTGGGCAGGTGGGGACTCTTTGAAGGTGAGAATTGCCCACTCTACACTGGGGAAATAGCTGGTGGGTGAGGGGACAGTTGTTAGTCAGCTTAGTGGCTCCCCTGGTTGGTGGGGGTGGGGTGCAGGAGGCAAGCTGGCTAATTCTGGGAGGGAGGCTTTTGCTAAAAGCTGTGGCATTTCCCCCCACCTTACGCCCTCCCCCAAGCCCTGGGGCTCCCCTTGTGCCAGAGAAGGAGGAAGCTATCAGTGGGGTAGGGGGCCCTAAGGGGGCCCTGAGACCATGTGGGGTCAGGGGAGGGAAGGCAGGATACTACCCTGATTCAAAGCCCTGTGCCCCCAGTGACTCTCCAATATTGGAGTACTGCTCTGGTGTTTGTTAACCATTCATGCCCCCAGAGAGGGACCAAAGTTGGTGAGGTGGGGAGGGTGCAAATAAGAGCTGGGAGGTCCCCTCTCTGGCACTGCTTCATCTGACCACTGCACCTATCCCTGCCCTTGGCTGCCCTGGGTCCAGGAGGAGAGAGACAGGCAGACAGACACATACACACACACACACACACACATGCACGCACACACACTCACACACTGAGTCAGGCAGCTCCATCTCCCCACCCTCGGCACTCCTAAGTCCAATAGTGCAAACAAAGGGCGGGGCACCAAGGAAGGCCGGAGCCTCCCCGCACCTGCCGTCTCCTCCCCATCACAGGGCCCCAAGAGGTTGAGGAGGCTGGGGCTGAGTGTGATGCTCTCCTGCCCCTTCTCCAGCCCCCAACATCTGTGGGCTTTTACAAGCTCAGCTTGTGCCCCTGCGCTGGGGGGAGGGATGGCGAGAAAAAGTCCAAGGGGTCCCTTCTGCCATCTGCCTGAGCTGGGAAGAAACTGCAGGTAAAGTGGGTCCAGCCCTTCTTCCATAAAAGATTTCCCCGCAGGGACAGGCCCAGGGCCTCTCCCTCCACTTCTCCCCATTCAAGTGCTGATCCATTTCATGTGACAGGTCCAACCAACCCCCTACTTCTTCCATGGCCCACTGTGCTCTCTGGGGGGACCTCCAAAACATTTGCTGGGGATGGACCTCCTAGGTGGGCTTGCAGACTGTCCTTCCTCTGAGCCTCACAAAGCGGACAGTACAGAAAGGGAAGGGGGCCAGATGGAGGGGGCTCCCCTCTCAGTCTCAGTCCTTGACACCAGGAGCTCTCCACACTCCCTGGACCTCAGCACAGGCTCTGGGTCAAGGCTCTCCAGGGTCTGGGCGCAGGCGCCTGCTCCAGGCTAGGACCCCTCAGGCCAGGATCTGTTCCCTCCACTTGGGGGGTCAGGAGGGGTAAGGGTGGATTTAGCCTTTTTCCTGGTTGGCTGAGGCTCCTTTGTCAGCGGTCCCTCCTTTGGGGCCACCGCCACTGCCGTCTGCTCCCGACAGGCTGAGGAAGGGGTTGGTCTGGGCAGTGAGGACTGGAGGTCCGCCTGCTGCTGCCACTGCTGCAGCTGCAGCTGCTGCGGCCATGAGACTTGTGTTGTTGCCAAGCGAGGGAGCCACTAGGGCTCCAGCGGGCAGCAGGGGTGGAGCAGACGCTGTAGGCAGCATAGCCTTTTCTTTCTATCTGACATTAACTTATTCAACAAATACCTGTTGAACACTTGCTGTACTATTGTTCTAGCTGCTAGGTGCAGCTAGAAGTGACAGCTGATAGAGCAATTTCTTTAGAGTGGTTTGTGCATGTTCAGTTGAAAAATCACTACCTGGTTTCTATTCAGGCCCTCCTGTTGTGCATGGGAACTTCAATCACCTTAGAACTTTTGTACTGATTTCCATAAATGAGAAGTTAGATGAATTGCTTAATAATACCATATGTTTGGAGAAATAAAAGAAAAATCACAGCTTAACAGTGCTGATTTGTGTTTCTTGTTTCTTCCCTGCCCACTTCCTTACCCCATTTTCTTTTCTGACTTGCAGATGAAGGAGCTTCTATGCACCCTTGTGATGACACATACTGTGGCCCTTTTCCAGAATCTGAGCCGGAAGTGAAGGCTGTAGCTAACTTCCTTCGAAAACACAGAAAGCACATTAGGGCTTATCTCTCCTTTCATGCATATGCTCAGATGTTACTGTATCCCTATTCTTACAAATATGCAACAATTCCCAATTTTAGATGTGTGGTAAGTATTTGACCCTGTGCATGTACATCAGGCTTCATGCTGCTTTTCTGAAGCTAAGATGGTTCTAAGTACTAATGATAATGGCAAACACATGTTTGTGTTTATCCTAATAAATATTTTACATGTATTAATTCATTTATTCTTCATTAACAATCATATGAGGCAGCTTTTATTATCCCCACTTTACAGGTAAAGAAGCTAGAAGCTGAGAGATTAAGTAATTAGATAGAGAACACACAACTACTAAGTCTCATAGCCAGGATTCAGCCCCAAGTCTAGTTCCCTAGCTGTTGCTTTTAACCGTAGTGCTGCTTCTCAAATACAATCATTTCAAACCTATTTACATTCTTACCACAGGTTACACAGAAAAAGTCAGGGTGGATTTGATTAGTATCATAGTTTTGGTCATGTATGCAAGGCTGTAATTAATTTTATTGAGTAAATGATTATTCATAAATTATAGATTGATTCTCATTAATTAAAAGCAGGTTTTAATTTATAAGTGCTATTTGCTTAATGCTACTAAGTCTTTGGGTATGTATCTGACAAGTTAGTACTAAGAATGAACAGACGTTCAGGCATAAGATTACTTAAAAATGAAAAAGCAGAGTTTCTTTCTCTCCTTATATCAGAAACCCAACAAGCTATTCACTATAGGGCATCAGTCATCATGAAGTGAGTCGTTTCAGAGCCTATAGCATCTAAAAGCCTATAAAGTTCAAAAACCAAGAAAAACTAATATACAGTGCTAGAAGTCAGGTGGTACTTACCTCTGGGGAAAAGGAGGGGGTGCAGTGATTGGGAGGAAATTGGGTTGCTGCTGAAGTTCTATTCCTTGACCTGGATGGTGGTTACATGAATGTATTCAATTTGTGATCGTTTGTTGAGCAATCAACTCAAAAACAGTGTACTCTTCTACGTGTATATTTTAGGGCTTTTTTGGCCTCTTGACACCAAATGTGTGATGTCTTTTTCCAGTACCACCTCTCCAACACCACTTGGGTGTCCAACAATTCAATTCCATTTGGTCACTGACTACCCAGAGTTAGCATCAGACTCCACAGGTTTAAGGACTCAGTCCCACATGACTGCCCTCACTTCAGACACCAGTAGCAAGTAGGGGGTTCCCAAGTTAACCACATTCCTGTCTGACTTGGCTGCAGAGTCGCAGGTTCCTACCAGCCCACCTCTGGTTTGATAATTCACTAGAATGACTCACAGAGCTCAGGAAAGAGCTTTGCATACTATCACCTGTTCATTTAAGATACACAATTGGCTGGATACAGTGGCTCGCTCCTATAATCCAAGTACTTTGGGAGGCCCAGACAGGTGGATCATTTGAGTCCAGACATTTGAGACCAGCCTGCACAACATGGTGAGATGCCCATCTCTACAAAAAAATTAAAAATTAGCCAGGTGTGGTGGTGGCACACACCTGTGATCCCAGCTACTCAGGAGGCTGGAACAGGAGGATCACTTGAGCTCATGAGGTCAGGGCTGCAGTGAGACATGTTCATGCCACTGCCCTGCAGCCAGGGAGACAGAGTGAGACCCTGTCTTAACAATCAATCAATCAATCACACAACTCAGGAATCGCCAAATGGAAGAGAAGCATACGGCAATGTATGGGGGAAGGGGCTCAGGGCTTCCGTGCGTTCTCTGGGTGCATCAACCTCCCAGCACATCCAGTGCTCATTAATCCAAACGCTCTCCAAACCCTGCTGTTTAGGGGTATTCATGACGATTTCATTACATAGGTCTAATTGATTAAATCATTAGCCATTGGAGTTTGGACTCAATCTCTGGCCTCTCTCTCCTCCTCAGAGGGTGAAGGATGGAGCTAAAAGTTCCAACTCTCTAATCACAAAGTTTGGTCTTTCTGGCAGCACCCTGCATCCTGAAGCTACTTAGCGGCCTCCAGCCCCAAGTCATCTCATTACCATCCAAAAGACACCCTTAGCACTCTGGAGATGCCAGGAGTTTTTAGAAACTGTGTGCCAAGAACCAGGACAAGGACCAAGTATTTATTTTTTATTATACCACAATGTTATACCTGAATTTAAAATTTTATTAAAGAGAATCATTCCCTTTCTCCCTACACCTTAAACTCCAAATCCTGCACCAATTGCTTGGGGCTTTAGGAATTTCTGATCTAGATGTCTAAGACTTGTGGAGGGCCTGGGGAAGACTTTTATTCTGTCCAAAAAAGAGAATTTTGTTCTTGGCATTCCAAGAATTCTGAGCAAATTCCACCTCTTTAGAACTATTGTAAAAGTGATAATTATATTCTATACTGCTATTCTTTAGCTGCTCTGCAGGTCAAATATACTTTGTTTTTGTTGCTGCTGCTGCTATAGCTGTTGTTTTTGTTGACCCGGCACCCTAACAATTTGTATCACAGTATTCCTTTAGGCAAATGTTCAGACTTTTTTTTACGTGGGCACTGTGTCTGTTTATATTCATACAACAGATGATGTGGACTATATAATATATAAAAATTATTGTATGAGGGCTGGGCACAGTGGCTGATGCCTGTAATCCCAGCACTTTGGGAGGCCAAGCTGACAGGAGTTCGAGAGCAGCCTGGGCAACATGGTTTAACCCCATCTCTAAAATAAAAAATACAAAAATTAGCCGGGCCTGGTGGCAGACACCTGTAGTCCCAGCTACTTGGGAGGCTGAGGCAGGAGAATCACTTGAACCTGGGAGGTGGAGGTTTGCAGTGAGCCAAGATGGCATCACTGCATTCCAGCCTGGGCAACAGAGTGAGACTCCATCTGAAAAAAAAAAATTATCATATGAGAATGTTCTTCGTATTTTATCTTCCCACCTTAAGTTAAGCCTATTTTCCTTTGTCTTGGATTGGAACATGTGGCATAAAATGGATCATTAGTGCCTATAATCCCAGCACTTTGGGAGGCCCAGGCTGGAGGATTGCTTGGGCCCAGGAGTTCAAGACCAGCCTAGGTAATATAGTGGGACCTCATCTCTACAAAATATTTTTAAAAATTAGCCAGGCATAGTGGTGCATACCTGTAGTCCCAGCAACTCAGGAGGCAGAGGTGAGAGGATTGCTTGAGTCCAGGAGGCAGAGGTTACAGTAAGCTAAGGTTATGCTACTGCACTCTGACCTGGGTGACAGAGTGAGACCCTGTCTCAAAGAAAGGAAAGAAAAAAAAAAGATGAATTTGCTTCCCCATGGACATCTGGCAATGTCTAGAGACATTTTTGATTGGCACAACAGGGTGGGGGGATGCTACTGGCATCTAGCAGGTATAGGCCAAGGATGGTGCTAAACACCCTGCAGTGCACAGGACAGAACCCACAGCAAAGAATTATTCCGTCTAAGATGTCAACAATGCCATTGTTGAGAAATCCTGGAGAGTGTTAATCATAAGCTTGGTCACTAAAATCATGGTTATAATTCTCAGGAACTAGACAATCCCTGAATGTTAAGCAGAAACCATTAAATTTGATGAAAATTGTTTAAAAACATTCCATCAATATGTAAGATTCGGTATTTCTGGCAATGTTTTTTAGTCATTAAGTTGCTTTAAATATGGAAATATTTAAATAAAAATATATACTATTTTGGGAGGCCAAGGCAGGCAGATCAGATCACCTGAGGTCAGGAGTTTGAGACCAGCCTGACCAACATGGTGAAACCCCATCTCTACTAAAAATACAAAAATTAGCCAGGCGTGGTCGCGGGTGCCTGTAATCCCAGCTACTTGGGAGGCTAAGGCAGGAGAATGACTTGAACCTGGTAGGCAGAGGTTGCAGTAAGCCGAGATCACGCCATTGCACTCCAGCCTGGGCGACAAGAGCAAAACTCTGTCTAAAAAAAAAAAAAAACAAAATATATACACACACACACACACACACACACACACACACACACACACATATATATATACCATTTACTTAGCTGAACACCAATAACTGATGCCTAGGTACTTTTTGACAATTGGAAACAGGATACAGTAGAAAAAAGAGGGATCACTGAAATCAGTCCTTTCAAATAGGTGTCTAGCTGTGGCCCCCTGGAAAATAATTCTTGGAAAAAATGATGAAGTTTTTATTTTTGTGGAGAGATCACATCTAAACCCTAGTCAACACGCACCAGTACCCAAGTGGCAGAGGTGCAGTGAGCTCAAAAGGCTAAAACTGTGCATCTCCTTTGTGTAAATAGGCAAAGTGATTATCTTTTTTTTTCTTAGATTTTTTTTGCCCTTGGGTTTAGTCAGCCTAAATAATGAGAAGCAAAGTTCCCTTACTAGCAGAATGAAATAATCTTCTGAATGTAGAAATATCTGCCCTTGCCATGGAATATTGCTGAGACCGTTGGAGAAGATGTTAAAATCTTAGAACAATCTCCATAAAGGTATTTAATTGTGGTGTTTATATTCCTTTTCTGTTGGCTCCCATGAGAAGAATGTCATCGTCAGTGAGATCAATAGTAAACAGTCTGCCAGTTTCTGGAGCCTGGTCCCTGAATATCCACAAATGGTGGCATTTGCTGCAAATACTGCCTCATGCATTTCTGAGCTGAATGAGGACAGCAACCTGAAACTCAGTCCAGCACACACCACCACGTTGTCCGGAGTGCTCCAATTTAAGTATTAAATTATTCATAAGCAAGCTGAAATCGGAGAGTTGTATTCTGGTTTCAACATACTTCTTTTCCTCTCATTTGTCATGTAATACTTCTCTAACTCCTTGTTGAAACCAGTGTTTTTATACCATATTTAAAGGATAGTGAGTATCATTCTAGTTCATGTTAGAATATCCATCTTTTAGTATTTCGATTGTGTTGAATATTTTTCCTAATTTTTGCCATTCTTAGGAAAAGTTCCACCTTAGACTTTCTACCTCTTCGCAGTACCTGTGTAAGATCTGTGGGAGGCATATGTAACCTGAGAAGTCATGAGCATTCTGAAGTTGTTTCCATTCCTAGTGAGGATAAGCACATAGCATTAAGAGAAGTCATTCCTACTGAATTAAGGGGTTTCTTAATTGATTCAGATGTGTTCTAAATACCTTGTACATACCCAGTGAAATATATACTTAAGAATCAATGTAATTATCTTAATACTCTTTCAGATTTATGCTTATTCAACATTCATGTAAGAAATATTGATCAAGCATCTGTTGTATACAGGCACATTGCTAAGTACTGGTTGTGAGCTATGACTGAGACCGACATGGTCCCTGCCCGGCCAAGTATTTTGTAACTTATAGAAATAGGTATCCCTGGCCGGGTGCGGTGACTCATGTCTGTAGTACCAGCACTTTGGGAGGCCGAGGTGGGCCGATCACAAGGCCAGGAGATCGAGACCATCCTGGCTAACACGGTGAAACCCCATGTATACTAAGAATACAAAAAAATAGCAAGGCGTGGTGGCACGCGCTTGTAGTCCCAGCTACTCAGGAGGCTGAGGCAGGGGAATCGCTTGAACCCAGGAGGTGGAGGTTGCAGTGAGCAGAGATCGCGCCATTGCACTCCAGCCTGGGCGACAGAGCGAGACTCCTTCCAAAAAAAAAAGAAAGAAATTGTTGCCTTGAACTAAAGTCAAGGAACGGAACACTAAGTCAGCCTCAGAAAATATGAGTACTTAGCTCAACCATTCTGCGTACCCATTTAACCTTGCTGAGCCTTCCTTCTCTCATCTATAAAATGAAAATATTATTGATCACTGGTTTGTTGTGAGATCAATGAAATGATGTGTTCTAAAACATGTTGCAAAATGTAGCGTGTGACATAAGAGTAATATAATATTATTAATGAATATAGATCTTAACCAATGAAGCCATCTGGTGATGATCGATGAGGCTCAAACAACATAGCAGTGTATCTAAAAGTTTCAATGCAACAATATATAAAATTTCCCCATTTTCCCTCATAGGAATCTGCAGCTTATAAAGCTGTGAATGCACTTCAGTCAGTATACGGGGTACGATACAGATATGGACCAGCCTCCACAACGTTGTGTAAGTTTCCTGCGTACATTGTGTTAGAATCCTCTCTCTTGAACCAATATCCTGTATCATGACTTCCTTTTAGAAGGGAGAAAGTGTGTTCTCCCTAAAGTGAAAATTTTGACTATCAAATTAGCTGAGGAAAATAGAAGGAGTTTATATCTGATTCGTTTTACACAGCTTGACAGAAATCACTGTACCCATTTAAATAAATTCAAAGCAGAGAATATGCTAAGTGTGCAGTAACGACTACAAGCTCATTTGAGAGCTTATGAGAGTAGAACATACCAAAATGGGCTCCTTAAGCAATTCTAACTACTACAAGGGTGGAAACGGGCCTTGGGAAGATAATGAGGTAAATGTTTCAGCCCTACAACTGCTTCCCTTTTACTCCTTTCTGCCACCGTTCTTGTTATGAAATGCTGTTTCTTATGTAGCACCGTCCATTGAATTATCCCTTAAAAGATGATGTAAAAGTATTTCTTTTTTTTACATGGAGAAAAATGTATAGCAGAGCCAGAGATCACTTCCAACCCCCCCTCATCTCCCATCTTTCACTCCACGTAGGTTCTTCAGCTGGATCTGGAAACCAAATTGACACCAGGCAGGTTAAACAAGAGAAAAGTATACAAATTTTATTAATTCTATGTGTACAGGATCTTCATAACAGAGTGAAGTCCAAAGAAGTGGCCAAAGCAAGATGATTTTATACTTTTTGGACAAGGAACGATAAATTTGAGAATAAATAACAGGACAAAAAAATCTGGCTAAGGGCAGCAAATTTTCTAGGGGAGTCACTAGGAAATAAATAGGGGGTATGTAAAACCAATGGAAGATAAGGGTTGCTTTGTTGTTAGGTCCACTGCAGCCTTGAATTCAAGTCTGTGGTGATAAAGGGCTATTTTCTCACCCTTCTTATAGTGAGAATAACCCTCCTCGAGGAATCTTTACTGTTTGCTGCATGCAGGAAGAAACAAGTCAGCTCACCCTTTCTGAAACTACAATCTCCAATGTTTTCAACAATTAACATATCAATCTGGCTTATTTTGGGATGGCATGTCCTTCCAAGTGGGTATATGGCAAGAACTTCGACAAAGAATCATAGTATGGGCATTGTAGTCCTAATTCTGCCAGGTCTGTCAACCAGGCCAAAATATTTATTAATCCTGGGCCTCAGTTTCCACAACTGTAACAAGAATTGGATTCAGGGCCTTTTAAACTCTAAAATTTATTCACTATATGACTTGGAAAATCTAGTGAGAAATCATGTATGTGTGAATGTCGGTGTGTGCAAATGAAGGTAAACACACACATGTTGTATGTATATGTGTAGGTAGTGACATCTGATTATGCTTCTGATTAAGGTAGCAAAGTTCTCCTTGACTTCTTTAATCTACCTATCATTGTATTCCTAATGTTTTACCACTCACTTTCTTCAGCCTTCAGAACAAACACTTGGTTTGTCAATTAACATTGACAAATAAGTTTATTCTAATAATGAGAATGTCAGGAGTATCAATAGTTTTGTTTATTTTTTCAAAGTCCATGATCATTGGTCTCATGTTGACCTTTTTAGAACTGTTTTTCAGTGGCCACCTTGAAAGGGAAAAAAAAAAACTGTATTTAAACAATCATATTACCAATTAATGCCAACATAATATATATAAACATTTTTAAACATTAACGTTTTTTAATCTTACTAACCATTTACCTTTTCAACTTCATATAGAGTCACAGTCAGAGTATTATATTTACTGAGAACAGTCTATTACCATAGAAATGAGGCTGTTGGCCGGATGCGGCGGCTCACGCCTGCAATCCTAGCACTTTGCAAGGCCAAAGCGGGTGGATCATCTGAGGTCAGGAGTTCTAGACCAGCCGGGCCAACATGGCAAAACCCCTTATCTACTAAAAAGACAAAAATTAGCTGGGCATAGTGGCATGCACCTGTAATCCCAGCTACCCAGTTGGCTGAGGCAGGAGAATCGCTTGAATCAGGGAGGCAGAGGTAGCGGGTGCCTGTAATCACAGCTAATCAGGAGGCTGAGGCAGGAGAATCTCTTGAACCCCAGGAGCAGAGATTGCAGTGAGCCAAGATGGTGCCATTGCACTCCAGCCTGGGTGACAGAGCGAGATTCTGTTTCAAAAAAAAAAAAAAAGAAAAGAAAAAGAAAAAGAAATGAGGCTGTCACATCACCGTGATGTAACTGTTGGCACATATTGTCTCTGACTTGGCTACTATGACTACTATTTGTAGTTCCAATGTACCCTAACCAGAGGGACACTGAAGCCACAGCCTATTTTCTGTCCTTAACTGAAGCAAAGGGAATCTGAGAAGCAGAAGAGTCATTTTAATTGTCATCTTTACATAATTATTCCATCTCTGGCCTGGCACAGTGGCTCACGCCTATAATCCCAGCACTTTGGAAGGCCGAGGTGGGTGGATCACCTGAGCAGGAGTTTGAGACCAGCCTGGCTAACATGGTGAAACCCCATCTCTACTAAAAATACAAAAAATTAGCTGGGCATGGCGGTGTGCGCCTGTAATCCCAGCTACTCAGTTGACTGAGGCAGGAGAATCTCTTGAACCAGGGGGACAGAGGTTGCAGTGAGTCAAGATTGCACCACTGCACTCCAGCCTGGGTGCCAGAGGGAGACTCCATCTCAAGAAAAAATAACAATAATAATAATAATTCCATCCTAACTTGTCCTAGGAAAAATAGCATAAAAGCGTTATTTTTTGAGTAAATGACCATGCTTTGAAAATTTAATAATAATAATAATAATAGGATTATCTCAAGCTGGATTATATAAATTTCAGGAAAAATGTATACAAAGATTTTTCCATGAAACATTTATTCATTTAATGAATGATTATTAAAAGCCTGTTAGACTAAAAACTACATATGCACTTGAGGATATAAAGAGGCAAAATAATAAGTTAATATATCTTGAGTACTTTCCAGTGATTTATTACTTTATTTAATTTTCCCAACAACCCTATGTTATGCAGGTACTGTATTATCAGTCTCTTTTTCAAAAAGGGAGACTGAGGCACAGAGAAGTTACCCACTATGTGGTAGGATCAGATACAGCCCAGGCTGCAGGCTACCTCTAGTTCCCAGCTTTCAACTCTGCTGAAAAGCTAGAGAGTGTGAGGTCACAGGAGCCAGAAGGAGAGAGTAGCCAGAGGGCTTGTCAGCTGTGTTAAAGGCTGTGGAGACCTTGAAAGCGGGATCTGAGGGGAAAACAAAAAACAGAAAAAGAGGCTAGGCCTGAGGTCATTGGTAATCTTCAAAAAGAAGGTTTAATACACGGGTAGAGGCAATAGCCAGATTGAAAGTGGTTGAGGATGTAGACACAGTATATATAGGTTCTCCCTCGGGTTCTAAAGCAAAAGAAAGAGGAAAAAGAAGAGGGTAACCAAGGGCATATGGTAGGATAATGTGAAGGAAGTGCTATAGGAAAGGGGTCCTTGAGTACTTTGGCCAATGCAGATGCATAATTAATAACACAAAGTCATGGAGAAGGGCCTTTCACTACCAGAGACGACAATAACCAACAGTATCAAGAGGTGACGCATGTAAAAGACAGGGAGCATTTCTTCCTCTGAGCTCAACGGGGGAAAGTCAGAGGGCTCTAATGTCAGTAGAGGAGGCAATGGGGCAATCATCTACAGCAGCAGTCCCCAACCTTTTTGGCACCAGGGACCGGTTTCATGGAAGACAGTTATTCCACGGACAGGGGTGGGGTGGGGGAGGAATGGTTTTAGGATGATTCAAATGCATTACATTCATTGCGCACTTTATTTCCATTATTATTACACTGTAATATATAATGAAATAATTATGTAATTCACCATAATGTAGAATCACTGGGAGCCCTGAGTTTGTTTTCCTGCAATTAGACAGTCCCATCTAGGGGTGATGGGAGACAGTGACAGATCATCAGGCATAAGATTCTTAGAAGGAATGCACAACCTAGATCCCTCGCATGTGCTGTCCATGATAGGGTTCATGTTCCTATGAGAATCTAATGCTGCCACTGATCTGACAGGAGGCAGAGCTCAGGCAGTAATGCAAGCGATAGCGAGTGACTGTAAATACAGGTGAAGCTTCACTGGCTCACCCACCACTCACTTCCCACTGTGCAGCCCAAGTCCTAACAGGCCTCGGACCAGTACCAGTGCATGGAACTTGTAAATCATACCAGTACCAGTCTGTGGCCTGGGGGTTGGGGACCCCTGATCTAGAGTAGTGGGGACAGTGTAACATGAAGATGAGAAGAGAATGGGAAAGTTTCAGTAAGTAGAGAACTAGAAAAGGAACCTACAGCAACATGGGGGCAGAAAAAGACTTCAGTAATGAGGTAGTGTGACTTTATAGTATCTCTACTCAGCAAAGACTTTCTCTAGCTCCCTCACCTAGTGGAAGCAGAGAAACTGGGCCAGGGGTTGAGGATGAGCCAAACAAAAGCAGGAAAAGGACAGGAATGAGGCATGTTGAGGGTCTGGAGAAAAATTCAGTGAAATAATTGGCCATGGCCAACTAGAGAATCAAATGAAACTACCAGAAAACGGAGGAATCTGGAAAATACCAATCTAAGTAAAGGCACAGAATAGGTTAAGCCGGAGTGGAAACACAGGGAGGTGGAAGAAATAAGGAGGTTTTCTGGGGCCAGGCACAGTGGCTCACGCCTGTAATCCCAGCACTTTGGGAGGCCAAGGCGGGAGGATCAGTTGAGCCCAGGAGTTCAAGGCCAACGTGGTCAACATGGTAAAACCCTGTCTCTACTACAAATACAAAAATTAGCTGGGCATGGTGGCGCGGGCCTGTAATCCCAGTTACTCAGGAGGCTGAGGCAGGAGAATCACTTGAACCCAGGAGGCGGAGGTTGCAGTGAGCCAAGATTGTGACACTGCACTCCAGCCTGGGTGACAGAGTGAGACTCCGTCTCAAAAAAAAAAAGACATTTCTGGGAACACAATTTCAATATTCTAGACACTGAAGTGGAGAAGAACTGAGTGATAACTAAAAACAAAAAGAGTTCTCAGTATAGGTTGTTTATAGGTGAATGAAGTGGGGATGAACATAAACGTTTTTGGAATTGAGGTTGAGAAATTTTAGTCTTCGTGCTGGTAAGGCATTCACACGTAGACTGGATCCTTAAAGATGGTTGAAGGGATGATTTATAAGTTCCATGCACCAGATGCCAAGGAACTCCTGTTAAATCATTCTTATTGAAACAGCATTTAATTGGAAGGATTTAGTAAAGCTTAATAAGCGGATACTTTATAGTATATACATTTAGAAAATTATACTGACTCTTTAGTGAGGCTGATCTTTTTTTTTTTGTTTTAACTTTTAGATGTGAGCTCTGGTAGCTCAATGGATTGGGCCTACAAAAATGGAATACCTTATGCATTTGCTTTCGAACTACGTGACACTGGATATTTTGGATTTTTACTCCCAGAGATGCTCATCAAACCCACCTGTACAGAAACTATGCTGGCTGTGAAAAATATCACAATGCACCTGCTAAAGAAATGTCCCTGAGACAGCCCAAGGCTCAGGTCAACTG
This sequence comes from Homo sapiens, assembly GCF_000001405.40. Classification (NCBI taxonomy): domain Eukaryota; kingdom Metazoa; phylum Chordata; class Mammalia; order Primates; family Hominidae; genus Homo; species Homo sapiens. The sequence goes on along the minus strand of NC_000008.11, from coordinate 67,422,478 downwards.
CCATAGGATTCTGAGCAAGGCCTACTTGGCCCTGGATAGAAATTGTTTTCAAAGAGAAGGGCAGCTGCTTAGAGTGAACATGTCTATGGACTTTAAAAAGACCCCACGCAATTTGACTTTGTGGCAATAGAAAACAGTAAAAAACAGGGCATAGCCTAGTTTGTTATAAGAAAAAGCATCCATTTTCTATCCTTTTAGAGTCTTATTTGATTATGGTGGGAGGGAATGTTTTCAAATTTCCCATTTCTCAAGAAATGTTCATATTAATTGAGGATTTCCCTTCAATAAATCTCATGTCCTCAATTAGGATCTAGGCTAGTAATGATGTTTAATTACTTGGTTCTCATTGGAAATGGAAAATTATGAAATGGAAAAAAACAACTATGCTTCTTAATGTAATAAACATAGGCCGGGCGCGGTGGCTCACACCTGTAATTCCAGCAATTTGGGCTGAGGCGGGCAGATGATGAGGTCAAGAGTTCAAGACCATCCTGGCCAACATGGTGAAACCCTGTCTCTACTAAAAATACAAAAATTAGCTGGGCGTGGTGGCGCACACCTGTAGTCCCAGCTACTCAGGAAACTGAGGCAGGAGAATCGCTTGAACCCAGGAGGCAGAGGTTGCAGTGAGCTGAGATCGCATGACAGAGCAATACTCCGTCTCATATATATATAATATAAAATTTATTAGAACATTAGATTATTCACATCTTCACTTCCTGGTATTAGGTGTGCCATGTATGAATAAAAATACAGCAAGATAGAGCAACATATGTTTAGACTCTGAGAATGCCATTTTTTAAAAAAATAAGTAAACATTAATTGAAGTACAGGCACAGAATTAAGAGCTTTACACTAATCATCTCACTTATTCCCCACAATACTACAATACTATGAGGTATAAACTATCCTCATTTTTCAAATGAGGAAGTTGAGGCTTAGAAATATATTTAAAATCATAGACTTCCATTTCTAAGGCAATGACAAGATAGGTATCTGGACTGCTGGAAATAACTAAAACTTCTAGATAAAATATCATATCTTAGGCCAGGCACAGTGATCCCAATCACAATTATACCTGTGATCCCAATATTTTGGGAGGCCAAGGTGGGAAGATCACTTGAGCCCAGGAGTTCAAGATCAGCCTGGGCAACATGGTGAAACCCCATCACTACACGATATAGAAGAAAAAAAAAATTAGTCAGGTATGCACATTCCTGCAGTCCCAGCTACCTGGGAGGCTGAGGTGGGAGGATCACTTGAGCCTGGAGAGTTTGAGGCTCCAGTGAGCCATGACTGCACCACTGCACTCCAGCCTGGGCAACAGAGTGAGACCCTGTCTCAAAAAAAAAAAAAAAAAAAAAAAAAAAAAACAGGAAGAAAAAATATATATAATTTTTAGAAAATCATCTTAAAGTTATCAGACAAAAAAAGGAAATCCAGGCCAGCCAGGTATTGATTGAAGAAATCTAGAAAGGCAAATGGACCACTGTTATACTGACAGTGTTTGTCTAACCAGCTGAGTGTGGGCATTTTGAGGAATGGGGCCAGAGAGCCAAGCCCAGGGCTACTGCAAGTTGGGAAGTCTAATAGATTCTACTTCTACCAGAATTCTGGGATTCCAAAGAATGATACCTTCAGTGTAAGGGTAAATTAGAAATAAGCCTCCATAGTACTCATAATGGGCCACAAGAAAAACTGACCATTTCAAATTTTGGCAAGAGTGGAGAAGAGAGAAATTGCCACTGAGAATTTGGAACCATGAGGCAGCCTCACACAAGTTTGTGGTCCAAAATCAGACTATCTAAATGGTCTGATAACCCTCTAGCCAAGAGTTTAATTCAGTTTAATCCCAGACTGGCTATACCCCCTAAGCATTTGGTACAAGCAAATACAAATCCTCTTAGAGGATTTGCCTGACCAGAGCATATCATGAACACCAGGATAAAGAGATGAGCCTAAAAACTTCTGGGGTGTTGGAGGGTGGGGGACACTGACAACAGAATGAGGACTAGAGTAGCCTGTAGCTGCTCAACAACACCATTACAGCCAAAAGGCAATGGAGAAATGCCGTCAGAGTTTTTGAGGAAAAATTATACAAAAAAAAAAAATCTAAACCTAGAAAAATTGTCATTGAAATGTAAGGGTAGAATCTCAACATTTTCATAGAAGTGAGGCCCTAAATTACTTACCTTTCTCAGGAAAACCCTGGAGAATGTGCTCTACCAAAATAAGGGAGTATAGCAAGAGAAAGACAAAGGATTTAGGAACACAGGGAAACCAATAAAAACATCTGAAGATCGTGGTGAACGGAAAAGTCCCAGGTAGTAGCTATATGTCAAACTTACAGAACAACTAACTTGGGGTAGGAGGAGGAGAACTGAAGACTTCAGATGAAATTCCCCAAGATAAATATGCAACAGATAGAACACTTACACATGTTCAAAAGCTATTTTTACTTACATTAGAGAACCATGGTATGAATTAGTAATAAAAGCACACAAAACCAAGCAAATAAAAAAATGGATTTATTAACTAGTGGAAACAGTTATACAAGAGAAGAAATAGAATCATGATATACTCTGTGACTTAGCTATAAATAATACTTATATAATCAAAATCATATTAGCCCTAGATACTGATTTAACCAAAAATTATGATATAAATATATCAGAAGGATAGGAGGAAGGGAAATGTATGCAAGAATGCAAGAAGAGGAGGTATAGGAAAGTAAATCCTCATCTTCCATAGAAGGAAGTCAATGGACAAAAAAAAAAAAAAAAAAAGAAGGAAGTCAATGGACAAAAAGACTAAAAAATCAGGAAGTATCTATATATGTATGTTATTTAGAAATAAGAAAGAAAATACTAGAGGAAATAACTAAAAAGATTAAAAATTACCAGACAATGAGAGGGAATAAGTAAGGAGTAAATAATTGTAATTAGTAAGATGAGGTGAAACAAAATACTTGTTTTTAGTATTAGCCTTACCATATTATTTAACTGGTTTTATTTTTTAATATTGAAATATACATACCAAAGAGTATATTCCTTTTAAAGGAAAATAATTTTTAAAAACCAGCTCCCAACTACTCACCACTCAATCTTTCTGATGTTTATAAAATATATCAAAATTAAATTTAAAAGAAATATTAAGTGATATTATATGTGGGGTGCTTAGCACAGAAACTAGAATATTATAGTCAGTATATCTTAGTTTGTCTATGTTTTATCAATCTTAGTCATCTTTTTATTTTGTAGTCCCAGTTATATACCTGCAGGAATGGATCTCAGGCAGTTTTAAGGCTTGGTCCTGCTAAGGAGTACCACACCTGGGAATTTAAACTTCCATTCATTCCATCTGTGGAATTCATCCATCCATCTCAAATGATCTGGGGTGGGGGGTTGTATTATACTAGTTATTTCTACGAGTGTAATAGGCAAAAACCAAAATGTCCAGAAAATCCCAAGGGCTGGAGGCTTGTGAAGACCTTGAAGAATGGAAAGGTGCTGCTTCTCAATGGAACTGACAAGATGCACAGCAATCAGCTAGTGCCCGGTGGCTTTCCAGGACACTTGATGCCAGGAGACTTTCCCCTCTGGTTGGGAGCGTGCTGCCATAGTCTCTGCTCTGAGAGCTGCCTGCATCCAGATCCTTTGCAGGTATCCACTAATGTCTTTCCATCAAATGTCATCACTCTTGTGACAACAAAACAGTAGTCAACTTGGATATTCAGGGGAAACAAAAATCAAAGAATTTACAAATGACCCCCCCAAATTCATTTTTCTTGTTTTTGTTTTTTTGTTTGTTTGTTTGTTTTGTTTTGTTTTGTTTTGTTTTTGAGACAGTCTTGCTCTGTTGCCCAGGCTGGAATGCAGTGGCACGATCTTGGCTCACTGCGACCTCCACCTCCCGGGTTCAAGCTATTCTCCTGCCTCAGCCTCCCAAGTAGCTGTGACTACAGGCATGCGTCACCATGCCTGGCTAATTTTTGTATTTTTTTTTTTAGTAGAGACAGGGTTTTGCAGCCAGGCTGGTCTCAAACTCCTGGCCTCAAGTGATCCACCTGCCTCAGCCTCCCAAAGTGCTGGGATTACAGGCATGAGCCACTGGGCCCAGCCCCAAATTTCTTTTTCATTATATTTTTAATTTTCATCCTTACCAAATCTGTGTAGTAAGGTCTGTTAGCAAGTTAATGCCAAGAACTAAAATGTATATTCTTTTATTTGGCCCTGCACATCACATAGTATTTGTCCTAAGAGTATTTTTTTCAAAGCCAAAATAAGGCAACAGAAAATATAGAATCTGAATAATCCAAAAACTGCAGGGTATATAGTTTCTTTATTATTCATATATACATTCAAGATGAAATTTTGCCTTGATGAACCTCATGCAAATTCTTTTCAATGATTACTCTCGTGTTTCAGTAGTTCTGTATATCTTTTATGGCTTATATTCTATAAGAGTATTTTAATATTTATGGGCTATTTTCATTTTTAATCTTTTTAAATGAAGCCACAAAATATACTGTGGAATGATTTATGTTTAAGGCACTCTGCTAGCTGCTGTGTCTGAGGAACAAAAGTGTTATATTTATGTCAATACTTAAGAATAAAAAAGTTTACTTCAACTAAAAACAGCACATGCACTTTTAAAAATAGTTCAGCAAGATACTTTTTTCCTCACTAGTATAAAAAAGTAATTTCATAAATTCTGGTTACATTGAGTTTCAATTCTCAACTTCTTCAGTTTTAGCAAGTATTTTAGTTTCTTAGGGCCACTGTAACCAAGGACCACAAATTGGATTGCTTAAAACAACACAAATTTGGCTAAGCGTGGTGGCTCACACCTATAATTCCAGCACTTTGAGGGGCTGAGGCATGAGGATTGCTTGAGGCCAGGAGTGTGAGACTAGCCTGGGCAACATAGTGAGACCCTGTGTCTACAAAAAATAAAAATAAAAAAATTAGCCAGGTGTGGTGGCATGCACCTGTAGTCCTAGCTACTCAGGAGGCTGAAGCAGAAGGATTGCTTGACACGAGGAATTCGAGGCTGCAGTGAGCTATTATTATGACACTATACTCCAGCCTGGGTGACAGAGTGAGACCCTGTCTCTAAAACCAAACCAAACCAAACAAATACACATTTTGTCTCTCACAGTTCTGGAGTCTGGAAGTCCAAAATCAAGATGTCAGTGGGGCCATGTTTGCTGTGAAACCTGTAGGAGAACTCCTCCCTTGCCTCTTCCTAGCTTCTGGTTGGTTACCAGAAGTCCTTAGCGTTCCTTGGCTTGCAGCTACAAAATACTAATCTCTGCCTTGGACTTACATGTCCTTCTCTTTGTGTGTTTCTGCCTTAACATTCATCTTAGAAAGACAACAGTCATATTGTTGTCCCACCTTATGGGATCATGGTCCCACCTTATTCCAGTATGACCTCATTCCTAACTACATCTGCAATGACCCTACATTCAGAGGTAGTGGAAGTTAAAACTTCAACGTATCTCTTTGTGGGGAAGGGGGAGATAAAATTTAACCTACAACATTGAGAAACATCATGAGATATTGATGTTAATAAGACTATTTACACAGCCAGAAAGCAGTGACTTTTGCTTGAGTTTAATCTTTAAAAAATAAAACAAATTTTTTAAGTTCTAACACTCCCAATGAGATTTTTTTTAATAGGCTATTAGTGGAAACGGAATGATCTACTCTTTATAGTTTACTTTTGTAAATAATAAAATTATAGTTCAAATTATGATGTGCTCTTTTCAACATAGGAAATGTGTTAGTTTTAGAGTTGTATATTACCCTAGGTCTCAATAATTATTTTGGGCTGCTGCATCATAAAAAGTATTTACAGCTAAGTTGCGCTAGATCAAATCTAATTGATTAAATCAGAATTCTGTGCAGTGTTAATTAAAGTATGCTGTAGATTAAGCACAGTAATTACATGAGCGATTGTATTTAATGCAATATTTTCATGAATCAGAATCAGAATATTGCATAATAAACCTGGAAACAGCTGCACTGAATGCCTAATATATTTCACAAGACACATTGCACCAGGAACTTCTCAGACGTCTGAATAATGCACATGAAAATAAGGCAGCTTGAAGATCTTCTAAGGCAGACCCTAATTAAGTCCTCATTTTCCGCCCCCTGACTCTGTTTCTGCAGTTATGACTTCTAGGACTATTTCCTCTTTCCCCAGTGGATGCCCAATGGGAGTCTCTGCCCAGGGCATCCATCCTTGTTTTACCAGCCCAGGCTAGGCAAGGCAAGCACATCCAATTACAACTTAGGATGTTATAGCGTATACACTGAGTATTATTAACCTTATAATTTAGTTATGAGTTAAACTAAGAGGCTAGCTTCATGATCTATCCATATGACACTGAAACAGTAAGTTCTAAGTTTCAAACTGACTCAATAGTAAATGCTTCCCCATTTGGGAAGAATTGAAAGATAGCAGCAATACCTAGCCCTTCCATGAATGTGAGCCAGCAGTCCAGTGGAAGAAATAATTTGCAATAACCAAATTACTGGTGTTAGGTTCAGTTCTTGCATTTCTATGATAGCTATCCTTTTGGCAGAGACAAAATCCCTGCTGTCCTAGATGGAATTCTTCAGTAATTTGGAGCTGTATTCAGTATTCTAAGGGAAACAATCTGATATCTGCTAAGCAGAAATGGTGTTGCTGGATGTGTTTAGATCCAGCTGTCTATCTCAAGCAATGCTGATCAGAAATATTGTATAAAGTTTTCATTTGGTGGAACAGTAAACGTGAGTAGACAGTTTAATAGCTTTGTGTCAGGGTCAACAAAATTTCATAAAAGAATGAATATTTGAAGTGTCATTGCGCTTGTCACAAACTATCAAGGAAGACACATGAGAATATCCTAAAGAATATCCTAAAGCACTGAGCTCACTAGGAGCATCCGAGAATCACCTAACTATCTGTGACAATAATTTATAGTAACTCTTAGTAGAATTTACTGCTAAAGAATTAATCCTATACTGGGAACCTGAAATCAAATTAATGTTCTTTTTAGACTCATAAATGTGAACACTAGTCTTTATCTTTCCTTTAAAATACCTGTGAGTCTGCTCCTTTTTATTTATTATCTTTAGTCAAGCTGCTTTCCTATAGAAGACACTTGGAACTACAATCAACATTTCAACCCCAGATCTGACAGCATTCTGCATCTTTTAAGACCAGTCAATTATTCCAAGTAGTGCTTAAGTATCACTAATAAAAGTGTCCATCCTGTGACTAGTTACAAGCTTTTAGTGTACCAGTGTCTCTCCCTTTCCCATCCCTTCCCTTAAAGAGAATTCTAGTTTTGCTGGCCTTAATCTGTTTCCTCTGCCTCCCTCCAAGGCAGCTTCTGTCTTACTAGACCAGTTCTTGAGCTTTTGCAATGGGAAATTGAAAGGAGGGCTGAGGAAAGCAGGAGGGAAGGAAGAGGGTCTTTAGACAAGGAATGGGAGCTTTCCCAGGGGCTTTGAGGGGAGGAGGCACAGGCAGCTGCAGTTTGTAGGATTTTGCATAGGAGTGTAAAGAAAAGGGAATTTTTAGGAATCATTGCTGAAGATTATATTTTGCTTTTACAGTGTTCAAACCAATAATTTGAAATTTTGAAATTACTAGGCATTGTTATTTTGGGATGAACCATTTGGATTCTAGTCTTGTCAACATTAAAACTATAGTGGACATTTGCAGTAATTTCTGTGTGGCTAGCACCTTTGAATGCTTTTGTCATGTATAAGAATGTGAAGCTTTAAGAATCCTGCCTTGCTAAGATAGAACCCAAAAAATGTAGTTCTGCAATCTCTTTTACAAAATACAGGCATATGACTTAGGCTCTCCCAGTAAGAATCTGTTCTAGAGTGATGGTTGCTACTCAATGGGTCAAATTTTCAATTATGCAAGACGAATAAGTTCTAGAGCTCCACTGTACAATATCGTGCCTATAGTTAATCATACTGGATTGTGCACTTAAAAATACTTAAGAGAGTAGATCTCATGTTAAATGTTCTTACCACAATAAAAAGAAATCAATATAGGATTTAAAAAAAATTAGTATAGGAAATTTCAGGGAAACAAAGTGGAGCAACTTGAGGAAGGAAATGACATACAGAATCTCTGTGATGGCAAAAATGGCGGCCAAGTTGCTGCTGCGGAAATGGCAGTGTTGGGTGGGGACACCAGCAGTGTCCCTCAGTGCTTGTAGGACAGTTGTGGGGGCCATGGTTGAACACATCAGGCCAGTTCTGCAGCCTGTAGTTGGATGTTATTCCTAAACTCTAAGGCTTGAGCTGGTTCTCTCCTAAATATCCACATAATAAACTCCTTTTCTGCCTAATCGGCTAGCACCAACTTTTGGTACAGGTTGAGCATCCCTCATCTGAAAATTCAAAATCCAAAATGCCCCAAAATTTGAAACTTTGTGAGCACTGACATGACACCACAAGTGGAAAATTCCACATCTGACCTCATGTGACAAGTTGCAGTCAAAACACAGTCAAAACTTTGTTTCATGCATAAAAGTATTTAAAATATTGTATAGGATTACCTTCAGGATCGATACATAAGGTATATAAGAAATACATGTAAATTTTCCATTTAGACTTTGGTCTCATCCTCCAAGATATCTTATTATATATATACAAACATCTCAAAATCCAAGAAAATCCAAAATCTGGAACACTTCTGCATCCCCAGCATTTTGGATAAGGGATACTCAACCTGTATCATTTTATATATATAAATATACACACACACACACACACACACACACACACACACACATATATATATATATTTTTTTTAGATGGAGTCTCACTCTGTCACCCAGGCTAGAGTGTAGTGGTGCCATCTCGGCTCACTGCAATCTCCACCTCCAGGTTCGAGCAATTCTCCTGCCTTAGCCACCTGAGTAGCTGGGATTACAGGCATGCACCACTACACCCAGCTAATTTTTAATTTTTGTATTTTTAGTAGAGATGGGTTTTCACCATGTTGGCCAGGTTGGTCTCAAAGTCCTGACCTCAAGCCATCCATCCGCCTCAGTCTTTCAAAGTGCTGAAATTACAGTCATGAGCCACCTTGTCCGGCCCCTGTATGTGTATGTGTGTGTGTGTATATGCGTGTGTGTGTGTATATATATATATATATATATATTTTTTTTTTTTTTTTTTTTTTTGAGACAGAGTTTTGCTCTTGTTGCCCAGGCTGCAGTGCAATGGCATGATCTCGGCTCCCTGCAACCTCCGCCTCCCAGGTTCCAGTGATTCTCCTGCCTCAGCCTCCCGAGTAGCTGGGATTACAGGCACCTGCCACCATGCCCAGCTAATTTTTGTATTTTTAGTAGAGACGGGGTTTCACCATGTTGGCCAGGCTGGCATCGAACTCCTGACTTTGTGATCTGCCCACCTCAGCCTCCCAAAGTGCTGGGATTACAGGTGTGAGCCACCACACCAGGCCCATTCAATATATTTTACTAAAACAGTTAGCGGTTGAATATGAACATAATGGCTCAGTTTTCCATACTATCTAATTTTAGCCCAGTCATTCTTTGCAGGATCACATAGATTTTCATCGGCCCCTTTAGTTCTAGAACACTAAGTGGAAAAAAAAGTAAGATTTTGTTTCCAAAAGATCAATGAAAATGGCTAGAGTAAACCATGGAATAGACGTTTTCAAAATTCCAAATGTAACTCCTCGTGTAAAAGTAGAGCAGAATAAGACAAGTGTATGTTTGGCTTTTCATGTAGAAAAAAGAAAAGGTTCTGATTATCAGGCCTGGGTCTCTAACTTGCACTCCAGAGGAGGCCTCCTTTGGTTTTGATCGGCAAAATGGGGATAACAAAACCTATATCACAGATGTATTATAAGGATTAAAGGAGGTAACATGGAAAACAGCAGCAAAGAACCTGAGCTCACATTGTCCATACTATGCAAGGTTTTCTAAATTTTACAAATACGTAAGAATATAAGGTAGAGAATGCAAGTAAGCCCTGTCACTGGAGGAAAAAATATTAGTCTAGTAAAAGTATGCAGATCAGATGAGACCCCACTGAGTTAGAAAATGTTTTTCTAATATGCAGAGATCTTCAGTGATTACGATCTTTATTGACGATGGGGAAATCATTAGGTTTCCAACTTGATCTACTTTTCTAACACTCAAACTACCAGACACACAAGCTACTTGGCTAATTAGGAAGTTCATTTTTTTTCTATAGCCCACTGTTGACAAATTTGTCAACTTGGAGAAAAACTGTTTCAATAAATATCTCCTCTAAAAGGAGGAGAAAGTCATCTAAATACAGGCTTTCATGGGAAGAAATATCCCTATTTGGCACTCTGGAATAATAAAAGTTTTATTCTTATAAGTCTAAAATATCAAAACTAGGGCTCGGTGTGGTGGCTTATGCCTGTAATCTCAGCACTTTGGGAGGCTGAGGCAAGAGGATCACTTGAGCCCGGGAGGTAGAGGCTGCAGTTAGCTATGATCACACCACTGCACTGGGCAACAGAGCAAGACCCTGTCTCAAATATAAATAAAGTAACAAAACTAAAATAGTTTATGGATATACTTACCAGTCTGAGTATGTAACAATCTGCCAGAGAAAAATTCATGTCCCAAGGGAATTTGTGTATTTATTCAATAAATGTTTATTGAGTAACTACAGTGTGATTGATACTGCCTCCTGTCAAGGTAATCTACAGGCAAAATTGTAAAGAAGGTAAGTTTTGCATCAATATTTAGCAACTTCTCTCTTAGCAACTTCTCTGTCACCTCTGGATAACCAGCACCCTCTCTTGCCTCCCACTGCTCAGAAAACTCCCCCACCTCCATCACCATCCCCAGCTGAAGCCCTCCCATCCTGCCTGCCATTCCAGGTAGGTCTCAAACTCTGGATTTGTTTCCACTCTTCCTTCTAAAACTAACCCTTCTAGCATGCTGTCATCTGTGGAAAGGGACAGGTAGCTCAGACATGCCACATCATAAAAGAATTTTAAGGCCAGGCGCAGTGGCTCACACCTGTAATCCCCGCACTTTGGGAGGCCGAGGCAGGCAGATCACGAGGTCAGGAGATCGAGACCATCCTGGCTAACACGGTGAAACCTCGTCTCTACTAAAAATACAAAAAATTAGCCGGGTGTGGTGGCGGGCGCCTGTAGTCCCAGCTACTTGGGAGCTGAGGCAGGAGAATAGTGTGAACCCGGGAGGCAGAACTTACAGTGAGCAGAGATCAGAGATCGCGCCACTGCACTCCAGCCTGGGCGACAGAGCGAGACTCCGTCTCAAAAAAAAAAAAAAAAAAGTAGAATTTTAACCCTCTGCACCGAAGGCACCTTCGAGCAGGGGATAATTGCTTAACAACCACAGGAAACAATTTCTAACTATTCAGGAGGATTAGTACACCCTACATTTATCATTTCATACCTGTGTCTACCCCTTCTCTACTGATGTGCAAGGTACATCTCATCCTTGTTTGCAGTCGTTTTGCTTTTCCTGCTTCTTCAGCACCAGTCAGAGACATGCAGTCTACCTGTCCACTGAAGGCCAGGCATGTGATCATGCACTTATTTTCCAGGCCCTCAGGCAGCAGGTCATTTCCAGACCTAAACCATACCCATAGCTTCAAGCCTATAAATAGGAAAGGGGATGTCATGTTTCCTATTCTGGCAGTGTGCCACACAGCCATGCCTGGACTGTAGTCCAAAATTTTTAAATCATTTATGCTTGTGCGCACATAGAGCAACAGACATGCAAGCTTGCATATTTTTACCCTTTAAGTTTTTCCTTTGATATTTACCTGTCTTTGGGGGAACTGACCACAAAAAAAGTCCAAATTAAATAATATAATGTTATTTACACAGTAATATAACCATGTAGTAGATACAGATGGTGTTTAGAAATCTTAAAGGTTGCTTTGCTTTTTCCTCGGAAGCATAAAAGGAGCCAAGATGTGTAACATACTATTTTTTTTTCTGTCCTATTCTCAACGTAGGAGTCTGAGCAGCTGCTATCTCAACAAATACCTAACCTAAATAACTACTTTTAAACATGAAAAAAAAGAAGCTTTCAGGAACCTTCATTTACTGATGATCTGTGCTCCAAGCATTTGTACTCAAAGAATTTCAACAATGGATCTCGTGATAATAATACATAAATTTAATTTATTAATAAGTTTAAATTTTTTTAAGTACATTAACTTTTCAGTTATCTAACAACATGCCTGGGAATTTAGGTAGTAATATCAGAATGCTCCCTACACAGTAAGCCAAGCTCAATAACTGTGCTGATTGAATAATTGCTATACAGTCATTTATAAAAATTGACGCACAGTATATCTATGTGATTCGAGTATGGTTTCTTGTCCCATTAGTGACAGCGGTAAGAATACATGCCGAGCCTTATACTTTTTTTAACTTACTGAAATTTTCAAACATATACAAAAGTAGTATATCATAATAAACCCCACCACCCAGTTTCAACAATTATTAACATTTTGTTTTGCCAAACTTATTTCATCTTTCCTCTTTCAACTTTTTGCTTGTTTCAATATTTTACTTTTTATTTTATTTTTCTCTTTTCTTTTTTTTTTTTTTCCCCAACCTCCCTACTAGCTGGGACCAGAGGCCTGTGGTACCACACCTGGCTAATTTTTTATTTTTTGTAGGAACAGGGTTTTGCCATGTTGCCCAGGCTGGCTTGTTCATTTTTTGGTATAGGGTCTTGCTCTGTTACTCAGGCTAGTCTTCAGTGACATGATCATAGCTCACTGTAACCTCCAACTCCTGGGCTCAAGGGATTCTCCCGCCTCAGCCTCCTGAGTAGCCAGGATTACAGGCACGCACTACCATGTCCAGCTAATTAAAAAAAAAAAAAAATTTTAGAGACAGAGTCTCGCTGTGTTGCCCCAGCTAGTCTCAAATTCCTGGGCTTAAAGTAATCCTCCCACCTGGCCTCCCAAAGCCCTGGGATTACAGGCATGAGCCACTGTGCCCAGCTGCATGTTGCAGTATTTTAAAGCAAATCACAGATGTCTCATTTCATCCATAAATTATTCAGTATACATATATCTCTTAAAGTAGTCCTGTGTGTATTTGTGGCCAATGATCTCCAAACAGTGGCCAAAGGACTCAGACACTCAGCAAAATTTCTAGTACTTTATTTTATTCTTTTCCAATATATGTCTCTCCTGTGTATCCTTCTCCCTCAAAAGAGAAAATCCAAATCAGTAGGCCAAGAAATAGAAAAGTTAAAACAAAGAAAAAATGTCCAGGCGCGGTAGCTCACGCCTGTAATCCCAGCACTTTGGGAGGCTGAGGCAGGCGGATCACGAGGTCAGGAGATCGAGACCATACTGGCTAACACAGTGAAACCCGTCTCTACTAAAAATACAAAAAATTAGCTGGGCGTGGTGGCGGGCGCCTGTAGTCCCAGCTACTCGGGAGGCTGAGGCAGGAGAATTGCTTGAACCCAGGAGGCGGAGGTTGCAGTGAGCCGAGATCACGCCACTGTACTCCAGCCTGGTGACAGAGTGAGATCCCGTCTCCAAAAACAAGAAAAAATAAGTGCAAAAGTTTTGATGGTGGAAATAGGAAATGTCAGCTTCAAAGTTATTTAGAACATTTCAGTATTTTTCAGTTCTATGGATAGCACAAACAAATGCCTCTTATATCTTTCTCCTAGAAGACTAGGTCCCTGGAGAAGTCATGGTGTAGAAACTCCATCCTGGGTACTCCAAAAATCCTGAGGTTGTATAATCTCTCTGTGTATAAATAATATGTTGTGGAAATTGTGGTGTTTAATAAAATATAAATAAAATTCCTGAGTGTCACACCTTGTTAAATATTTATTTGGTATATAAGTTAACGAAGGTTCTCTGATATTACTATTTTATGGATTTATTGAAGTTTGGGTTCTATTCTAATTTTAACATGGAATTTTAATTTCACACTCATTAAAAGGAAATCCATTCACTACAGAGGCAAATAGCTTCCCTACAGAGTGGCCATAAAGTCTGGAAACATAGGCAACTATGCATAATAAATGGTTTATTGATATTACATTACAATATATTATATGTTTGATGTGTTGTCCCTCATTAGCGATGCATAGTTTAATGTGCTAGGCCGAATCACAATGAACAGGATACATTAACATGGCATTTCTAGCAATCCCTGCACATGCATCTGTAATGCATCACCTTAGATCAGTAGTTCTCAGATATGACTCCTGGAATCAGCAGGATCAGCAATGCCTGGGAATGTTAAGAAATGCAAATTTTCAGGGCCTCACCCCAGACCTACTGAATCAGAAACTCTGACTAATAATGTGGGTTTTAACAAGCTCTGCATGTGATTCTGATGCAAGCTAAAGTTTGAAACCCACTGAGTCAGATTTTGTCTCTGATTTTCATGGTGGGTGGTGAGGAGGAACCTGTCTTTTTAGTGTACCTCATGCTTATCAGACTTCGCACATAAAAATACAGGGGGACACTCAATTACACTTATTTATTTTTTTATTTATTTCTTTTTTTTTTTTTTTTTTTTGAAATAGAGTTTCGCTCTTGTTGCCCAGGCTGGAGTGCGGTGGTGTGATCTGAGCTCACTGCAGCCTCCACCTCCCAGATCCAAGAAAAGCTCCTGCCTCAGTCTCCCAAGTAGCTGGGATTACAAGCACCCGCCACCATGCCCAGCCCAGCTAATTTTTGATATTTTTAGTAGAGACAGGGTTTTGCCATGTTGGCCAGGCTGGTCTCAAACTCTAGCCTCGGGTGATCCACCCGCCTCAGCCTCCCAAAGTGCTGGGATTACATGCATGAGCCACTGTACCCAGTCTCAATTAAATTTAAATTTCAGATAAAAACCAGATATATTTTTAGTATAATTATGTCCCTTGCAAGTATGTCCATGCATATACATCCTATATATGCAAGGGATATATAAGTATCCCTTGCATACTTATACAAAAAAATTATTTGTTGCTTATCCAGTATTCAAATACAACTTTTCATTCCATGTCCTAATTTTTTCTGGCTTACCCCATACCCAAGGGTATTCTGGCCATCACGCAGCATACTCCACAGGGCTATGTCATCCAATCCAATTTTAGGAATGATCATCCTACCAGTTCCTCACCACCCTGGGGTCATGTGGTGGTGCTCTCCAGGTTACCTTGCCTCCTGTGTTAAGTGCAGACAGTAATTGGTGGTCACTTAACATAGTGAGACAGGGCAAAGAGCCACCTGTATTTCTAAACTTAGTGGCCACTCTGTAGGTAGAAACATTGGGGGTCAGCTACTGACAAAAGCTACAGAAATGTGTACTGAATCTCATTTAGCTAACTTTTTTTTTTTTAACTTTGTCTTTATTTGTGCTGAATTTATTCCCGTGCCGTTAAGTTTTTGCCTCTTCAGTTTATACTGGGATATCTTTTTTTTTCTGTGCAACATCCTCTTCTGGTTTAGGAACAGTGTGTTCCTTTTCAGCAAGGATCATCTCAATGTGGCAGGGAGAGCTCATGTATGGGTTGATCTGACCGTGAGCTCTGTAAGTCCGATGGCACATCTTAGGTGCTTTGTTCACCTGGCTATGCTTAATGAGCAGAGAATCTACATCGGATAAAACCTTAAGTTCAGCATTACTCTCTGCATTTTTAAGCATGTGCAGCAAAAATTCAAGACTCTTTTTGGGCCACCAACTGTGTGTCCAGCCGCACTGTTTGGCCTGAGAGTACCTACCAACTCCACAATTGTAAAATCAGAATGGTACACAGTTTCTGTAAAGTGACATCTGTCACATACTTGGTGGCTTTCCGTATAGGCATACCCTTCATGGCCCTGGCAGTTTCACAAGTGTTCTTAAAGTGAACATGAAGATTTGAACCTCTTGATTTTCATGATTTCGCGGGGTTTTCTGGGTCAAGTGAATAGCAAACCATTTTCACAGATCACCTTAGGCCACTTAGGGGAAGAGGAAGAGCGGTGACTTCTAGCTAACTTCTAAACTTATGAAATATGCAAACATTTTTACTCTATTTAAAGAGCTTTACTTCATGCAAAGTTCTGTATTTCCAATAAGAAATAATTGCCTATGGATAAAAGTGTTGTTATATCCCTCAGCAGAGCTACATGCTGATGGTGGGTCCTTTCCTATAAATGGCCCTAATAAAGTCAGAAAATTAAAACCAAACCATTTTGAAATGTAAATGTTTGCTGAATTATTCTCACATGGACTTTTCTCTTTCGTTTTTGAACTATTTGTCATCCTGCTTTATCTGTTTAAATGTACATAAAATAAATGCATAGTTTAAATATATAGTTCAATAAATTTTGACAAACATATACCCCCACTCCCATCAAGAACATTTCCTTCATTCTAGAAAAGATGCTCATGCCTCTTTCCAGTCAATACTCCCTCCAGAGGCAACCACTATTCTGACAGTTATCATCACAGAGAAATTTTGTTCGGTCTAGAACTTCATGTAAATGGAATCGCTTTCATTTTTTACATATTCAAACCATATATTGCTATATGGCAGGAAATTTAAACCACATATTGTTTTCCTCTGAAATCACCTATAAAGTGCTAAAGAGAGTGATCGTCCTTTCAATCTCAAGGAGAAAGGAGGGTATTTGACTATAATCTGGCCTGAGGGGAGGCATCAAAACCTGAGGAAGTGACTAGAGGAAGGGGAAAAGAGAGTTTTGGGTCAGGGATCACTGGACTGCCTTCAAAGAGGAGTCCCCAAGTCAGGGTGCACTTGAGCCAGGGGACCCAGGAAAGTATGTCTGTGAGGAGCTGCACCAGATGGGGATACTTCCAGCACCTCAGCAGGGTCTGCAGAGCAACTGCTCAGTTGCCTGGGTAGCAACACCCATCACTAAGCCTCTGGTTTTCAGAAACTGGAATCACACCATCCACCATGTCCTCCAAGATATCTGTAGTAAGGACAGGTATCTATAGCATCTCAGGACCATTAGCAGGGGGAAGGAGCTTCTGTATCTGTATTTTGTGGGCAGACTGGATCATAGTAGTACACCTTATAGTAAGGACAGAGGAATATAGTTACCCTCATTCCAGCTAAGTTAAACATTCATCAGGTTATTTAATATTTTAATGCTTTATAAAGTACCCACTGGAGTAGCATCTAATTATATTTTTTAAAGTCTACTGCCCAGAGAGAACATAAAATTTTAAATGCCCGCAGTATGGAATCTGATATTATCCTCAATGGAAAAAGTATTTCTGTGATGTTCCCTTTTGCTCACATTCCTGGGAGATCCCATGGATAAAAGAGCACATAAATCCAAACAGCCATATTACTAATATAATTTATATAACCATATACAAATGTTATCACTTGAGACAAATTTAGAAAAATACATACAAAAAATAAAACCTTTTTTTTTTTTTTTCCGAGATGGAGTCTCACTCTGTCACCCAGCCTGGAGTGCAATGGTGCGATCTCGGCTCACTGCAACATTTGTCTCCCAGATTCAAGCAATTATCCTGCCTCAGCCTCCCAAGTAGCTGAGATTATAGGAGCGTGCCACCACACCCAGCTAATTTAATAAAAAGCATTTTAAATATACCCCCAAAATGTTTATCCTCTTCAAAAATCCTCACTCCCCCCGAGTTCTCTGAATTCCAAAATCTCTCAACTTACATATTGCAAACTTATGTGTAAATCCTTCAGTGAGGACTCCAAAGTTGCTCTTGCTCCCCAAAAGTATAGTCCATCCCTCTCAGGCCACAAGAGCCCTCACCTTCTTTGTGTTTTAGGAGATACTTGGTAATATTATCACCCATGATACAAAGCCTTCTTGTTTCATTGCTATGGGACGTAGGGTTCTCTGGGAGTAGGTTCCAACAGTTTGAGGCAAGATGTTTATCAAGAATCAATACCTGCAAAGGGGAGGAGGCCAAAGCAGGACTGGACTGAGGAAGTAATTGAACTGTGTTGCAGACCCAGCAAACTCAGCCGGGAGCTCTGGGTTGACTATTGCCCATCAGAATGTCCCCCACAAGGAGAGTATTCACAAACTATGCATCCAACAAAGGACTAATAACCAGAATCTACAAGGAACTCAAAGAAATCAGCAAGAAACAAACAATCCCATCAAAAAGTGGGCAAAGGACATGAATAGGCAATTCTCAAAACAAGATATACAAATGGCCAACAAACATGAAAAAATGCTCAACATCACTAATTATCAGGGAAATACAAATCAAAACCACAATGCAATACCACCTTACTCCTGCAAGAATGGTCACAATTGAAAAATCAAAAAATAATAGATGTTGGCATGGATGTGGTGAAAAGGAAACACTTTTACACTGCTGGTGGGAATGTAAACAAATACAACCACAATGGAAAACAGTATGGAGATTCCTTAAAGAACTAAAAGTAGATTTACCATTTGATCCAGCAATCTCACTACTAGGTAACTACCCAGAGGAAAAGAAGTCATTATATGAGAAGAACACTTGCACACACATGTTTATTGCAGCACATTCGCAATTGCAAAATATAGAACCAGCCTAAATGACCATCAACCAATGAGTGGATAAAGAAAATGTGGTATATATATATATTACATGTAATATATATAATATATATTATATGTAATATATATAATATATATTACATGTAATATATATAATATATATATTACATGTAATATATAATATATATTATATGTAATATATATAATATATATTATATGTAATATATATAATATATATTATATGTAATATATATAATATATATTATATGTAATATATATAATATATATTATATGTAATATATATAATATATATTATATAATATAATATATTATATATTGAGTAATATTCCATGGTGTATATAATATATATTATATATAATATATGTACAAATATATATTATATATAATATATGTACAAATATATAATATGTAATATATGTACATATATAATATATAATATATGTACATATATAATATATAATATATGTACATATATAATATATTATATATGTACATAATATATATAATATATGTGTACATAATATTATATATGTAAATATATATTATATATGTACATAATATATATTATATATGTACATAATATATATTATATATGTACATAATATGTAATATATATTATATATGTACATAATATATATTATATATGTACATAATATGTAATATATATTATATATACATAATATATAATATATTATATACGTACATAATATATAATATATACGTACATAATATATATTATATATAATTTATATGTACATAATATATATACACCATGGAATATTACTCAACCATAAAAAGGAACAAAATAATGGCATTCACAACAACCTGGATGGAATTGGAGACCATTACTCTAAGTGAAGTAACTCAGGAATGGAAAACCAAATATCATAGATCCTCACTTAAAAGTGGGAGCTAAGCTATGAGGTTGCAAAGGCATAAGAATGATATAATGGACTTTTGGGACTCGGGGAAAGGGCTGGGAATGGGGTGAGGGATAAAAGACTATATATTGGGTACAGTGTACACTGCTCAAGTGACAGGTGCACAAAATCTCAGAAATTACCACTAAAGGCCAGACGCAGTGGCTCACACCTATAATCCCAGCACTTTGGGAGGTTGAGACAGGCAGATCACCTGAGGTCAGGAGTTCGAGACCAGCCTGACCAACATGGTGAAACCCCCGTCTCTACTAAAAATACAAAAATTAGCCAGTGACGCACACCTGTAATCCTAGCTACTGGTGAGGCTGAGACAGGAGAATCGCTTGAACCCAGGAGGCAGAGGTTGCAGTGAGCCGAGATCGTGCCATTGCACTCCAGCCTGGGAGACAAGAGCAAAACTTCGTCTCAAAAAAAAAAAAAAAAAGAAAGAAAAAAAGAAATTACCACTAAAGAACTTATCCATGTAACCAAAAACCACCTGTTGCCCAAAAACTACTGAAAGAAAAAAATGGAAATACAGTATGTTAACCAATTTTTCTTCTTAAATTTTAGTATACTATTAAATATATTAACGCTTAAAATTCTTTAAAAAGAGCCGGGCGCAGTGGCTCACGCCTGTAATCCCAGCACTTTGGGAGGCCGAGGCAGGCGGATCACAAGGTCAGGAGATCGAGACCATCCTGGCTAACACGGTGAAACCCCGTCTCTACTAAAAATACAAAAAATTAGCCGGGCGTGGTGGCGGGCGCCTGTAGTCCCAGCTACTCGGGAGGCTGAGGCAGGAGAATGGCGTGAACCTGGGAGGCGGAGCTTGCAATGAGCCGAGATCACGCCACTGCACTCCAGCCTGGGCGACAGAGCGAGACTCCGTCTCAAAAAAAAAAAAAATTTTTTTTAAAAAGAATGTCCCCCACAAGGCCAGACAGCTGGGCCTCTATATCCCAATCTTGCTCTGTCACCAGATGCAGGCTGCTCCAGAAAGGGTGTGACCTTGGTCAAGGCATCTCTCAGGAGCTGAGGCTGACCTGAAAGAGCTGACAGCTGTAGACTGTCTGCTGACCATGTGCTCCACAGCTGGACATCAAGTCTTTCCTTGAAGGTAAAGTACCTACCTCAGCTATTTTCCTCCAACTCTTTCTGCAAGAGCCATATGGTTTTCTCACGATCCCCCAAAGCACCACATTCACCCTTATCTTGGAGTGGGTTTGTATGCCTGGAAAATTTTCTCCACCCTCTTCTCCAGGATAACTACTTCCCATTCTTCAGGTCTCATTCTTAAGAAGGCCTTCTCTCACCCACTTCTTTGTAACACTCATCTCTCTTGTAATTTGCTTAATGCCTTTATTACCTGCTTCAACGCCCTCCATGAGAACGGGAAGGATGCCTAACTTGTTTGTGCTGAATCTTCAGCATTGAACAATGTGCCAACAACAGAGTAAATATTCAGTGTATATTTGATGAATGGATTAATTAGCTAGATATGCTTAGTGTTTTAGTTTGGGTTCCCCCAGAAGCAGATTCCAAAGCAAGGATTCTAGTACAAGCACTTTCTTTGAGAGGTGATCCCAGAAACACCAGCGGAAAAGCAGGGAAGTGAGGCAGGAAAGGAAGGGCAGCCAATTCATTGCCCAGTGCCACTGTGGGCAACTGGAGCTTAATCATGCTGGGGAAATCAGAGAATCAGCTTGAACTTGTGTCTTGATGACATCCATCTAAGAAATGAGGAACCACATGTTGTATGATTCCATTTTTTGTGTTAGTCCGTTTGCAGTACTATGAAGGAACACCTGAGACTGGGTAGTTTATAAAGAAAAGAGGTTTGATTGGATCACTGTTCTGCAGGGTGTACAGGAAACGTGGTGCTGGCATCTGCTTCTGGTGAGGGCCTCAGAAGTTTTCAATTGCGGAAACTGAAGTGTTCAGTGGTGAAAAGTGAAGGGGGAGCAGGTGCATCACATGGCAACAGCAGGAGCAAGAAAGATAGGTGGGGTGGGGAGTCGGGAAACAGACTGGTTTTGTTTTGTTTTGTTTTGTTATTTTTTGGAGACAGGGTCTCACTCTGTCACCCAGGCTGGAGTGCAGTCATGCGATCTCGACTCACTGCAACCTCCACCTCCCAGATTCAAGAGGTTCTCATGCCTCAGCCTCCGGAGTAGCTGGGATTACAGGTGCCCACCTGTAAGCTGGACCACACCTGGCTAATTTTTGTATTTTTAGTAGAGGTGGGGTTTCACCGTGTTGGCCAGGCTGAACTCCTGACCTCCAGTGATCTGCCCACCTCAGCCTCCCAAAGTGCTGGGATTACAGGCGTGAGCCACCATGCCTGGCTGGGAACCAGACTTTTAAACAACTGGATTTCACATGAACTAAGCAAGAACTCACTTATCATTAAGGGGATGGTGCTAAGCCATTCATGAGGCCTCTGGCCATGCTCTATTCACCTCCTACCAGGTGCCACCTCCAACACTGGGAATCGTATTTCAACATGAGGTCTGGAGGGGACAAGCATCAAAACTATATCACATTTCTATGAAGCGTCCAGGATAGGCCAATTCGTAGAGACAGAAAGTAAGGACAAAGGATGGTACTAACTGGTGCGGGCTTCTTTGGAGGGATAGAAACATTCTGGAAGTAGGTAGTAGTGAAGGTTGTACAACATTGTGAATATATTAAAAACCACTGAACAGTATCCTTTAATATGATGTGTTTTTGTGTTTGTTTTTTTTTTTTGAGACGGAGTCTCACTCTGTTACCCAGGCTGGAGTGCAGAGGCACAATCTCAGCTCACTGCAACCTCTGCCTCCTGGGTTCAAGTGATTCTCCTGCCTTAGCCTCCCAAGTAGCTGGGACTACAGGCACCCGCCATCATGCCCGGATAATTTTTTTTTGTATTTTCAGTAGGGACAGGGTTTCACTTTTGTTGGCCAGGCTGGTCTTGAACTCCTGACCTCATGATCTGCCTACCTCGGCCTCCCAAAGTGCTGGGATTACAGGCGTGAGCCACCACGCCCAGCCTAACATGATGAGTTTTATGTTATGTGAATTATATCTCAATAAAACAAGTGGCAAAAACGAAATGAGGGGGGCTGGGATATTTATACACTATTTCATTCATGATTGAAGGCTACTGGGGGATATGGGTATTAATTCCGATAGAATTTCCAGTCTTTTCTAAGCTCAGATGGAACAGGCTCCAGAGACTAGGGTAAACCTTGAGCAAAAAGATGCAGATACCAGCCGTTTGCAGTGTGAAGGCGTGATGCACTAAAGTGAGAAGGCTGAGGCGTCCAGGTAGGGCAGAGACAGGGGTTGCAAGTGAGAGATGGAGATAGTGAACCTGCCTGGCGTATTCAAGGATGAGTCATTCTGTGGGGAAGAAGGATTCCCTCAGAAGCCTACAGCTCCAAGAACTTATTATTCTAAACTTATTCTAAAACAGATCAATACATGGATGACATGTCTAGGGAGCCCAATTATCTCAGCTGTAACCCCAAATCAAGTAACGCTGTAGAAAGAAAAAAAAGCACTAATTTAAGTAGTAGGAGGAATTGTGGTAGGCTGGATAATGAAGCCCCACTGCATATGTCTTTCTTCTAATCCTCAGAACCTGTGAATGTTCCCCCTCTAAGCAAAAGAGAATTTGCAGGTGTGATTAGTTAAGGGTCTTGAAGTTGGGAGATTGTTCAGGATTATCTAGGTGGGCCTGTTGTAATAATAGGATCTTTAGAAGAGGAGTGAAGAAAGAGCCAGAGTCAGAGAAAGAGATGCAATGAAGGAAAGAGGCTGGAATGACGCTCTTTGAAGATTGAGAAAGAGCTGGGTGCGGTGGCTCACACCTGTAATCTCAACACTTTGGGAGGCCAAAGCAGATGATCACTTGAAATCAGGAGTTCGAGAACAGCCTGGCCAACACAGGGAAACCGCCTCCCTCTAAAATTACAAAAATTAGCTGGGAGTGGTGGCAGTGCCTGTAATCCCTGCTACTCAGGAGGCTGAGGCAGGAGAATCACTTGAACCCAGGAGGCAGAGGTTGCAGTGAGCTGAGATTGCACCACTGCACTCCTGCCTGGGTGACAGAGCAAGACTCCATCTCAAAAAAAAAAAAGAAAAAAAGATTGAGAAAGAGGCCACAGGCTAAGGAATACAGGCAGCCACTAGCAGCTAAAAAAGGCAAGGACACAGATCCTTCCCCTCAGGGCTTCCAAAAGGAAACAGTCCTGCCAACATTTTGAATTTTGCCCAGTGAAAATGATTGCAGACTTCTGCCCTCCAAAATGTAAAAGAAATGTGTGTTGTTTTCTGCCAGGCACAGTGGCTCACGCCTGTAATCTCAGCACTTTTGGAGGCTGAGGCGGGCAGATCACATGAGGTCAGGAGTTCAAGACCAGCCTGGCCAACATGGTGAAACTATATCTCTACTAAAACACAAAAATTAGCTGGGCATGGTGGCACACACCTGTAATCCCAGCTACTCAGGAGGATGAGGCAGGAGAATTGCTTGAACCTGGGAGGCAGAGATTGCAGTGAGCCGAGATGGCGCTACTGCACTCCAGCCTGGGCTACAAGCATGAAACTCTGCCTCAAAAAAAAAAAAAAAAAAAAAGGCCAGGCGTGGTGGCTCACGCCTGTAATCCCAGCACTTTGGGAGGCTGAGGCAGGTGGATCACGAGGTCAAGAGATGGAGACCATCCTGGCCAACATGGTAAAACCCCGTCTCTACTAAAAATACAAAAATTAGCTGGGCATGGGGGCACGCGCCTGTAATCCCAGCTACTCGGGAGGCTGAGGCAGGAGAATTGCTTGAACCAGGGAGGCAGAGGTTGCAGTCAACCAAGATCGCACCACTGCACTGCAGCCCGGTGACAGAGCAAGACTCAGTCTCAAAAAAAAAAAAAAAAAAAAGATTGTATTGTTTTAAACCACTAAATGGGCTTTAAAAATCATCGCTTCTGTCCCCGATACATTGCAAAATTTGGAAGGGTCTTGAAATCATAAAGAAAATAAATATTTTGTATTTTGACTTTGTTATGTTCAATGTAGTCAATTTCTATCTTTTAATCTCTTAAAATATCATACTCATACTTGTCTTCATACAATTCCTTTTTAGAATAAACAAATACTATTTGGAATAGAGTGTGTGTGTGTTTATTTTAATAAATTGAATGTTAAAATTTACCTCTTAGACTTGAATTTATAAATTATATTATGCCAAGTAAAAATTCTTACTAGAATATTGGCATAAGGAAAAAAAAAAGTAGATAAATTCTCAGAAAATAACATGTTTACAACTCTAAAAATACTGAGAAATTCAGTAAATTAAATAGAAATATTCCTACTCTATATCAGTTCATATCAGCATATTCAATGTGGGTTGAAGGGAGAGGGCTGCCAGACATGAAGGTGAGTGTGTGAGGTCCTTGAAGGTGAAAATGAGACACAGGGTAGGATAAGGTAGTGAAGTCTTAGAAAAATAGAAAAAAAATGCAAAGGGTTTAAAAAACACTTAAAAAGCAAGGTGTTCCAAGGACACTCGGTGAAAGGCCCATAGAGCTTATCTCTGATTAGCTATTATCCAGTCTCTTCTCTACACTATATCACCAGATAATAGCAAATAAAATTCAGGCCGGGCACGGTGGCTCACACCTATAATCCAAGCACTTTGGGAGGCCGAAGCAGGCAGATCATTTGAGGCCAGGAGTTCAAGAGCAGCCTGGCCAACACGATGAAACCCCCCTCTCTCCTAAAAATACAAAAATTAGCTAGGCTTGGTGGTGGGCACCTGTAATCCAGCTACTCGTGAGGCTGAGGCAGGAGAATCCCTTGAACCCAGGAGGCAGAGGTTGCAGTGAGCTGAGATCACACCACTGGCCCTCCAGCCTGGGCAACAAGAACAAAACTCCGTCTCAAAAAGATAAATAAAAATGATAAAAATAAAATAAAATTCAATCATGTCATTCCTCTGCTTAAAATGTTCTGAAATTTGTTGGGTCAAAATAAAACAAAAAGCCATACACCATAATCTCAATGGCATGCAAAGCCCTTGATGAATGGTTGCCAGCCTCCTTCTTTAACCTTATGATTATCATCCCAATCATGCCAGACAGTCCATTGTTCCCTGAGACAGCTCAGTGTCCTTCATGCCTCAGGGCCTTTGCAAATCCTATTTCCTCTGACTGGAATGAGTCCTCCTTGCTCTCATCAAGTATCTATTCATCCCATCCTATGTGTCTTCTCAGTGTTGTGTTTGCTGGAAGAAGCAATCCCTTGTGAGCTTTGAGCATCCATCCCTGCAGGTTCTTGCCAGGTATGCCAAGAAAACAAGGCCCTGACTGCTCTTTACCAGGGCTGTTTTTCAGCTCCATGGGACTAGGGGGATGGGGGTGGGGAATGGGGACCTGGCACCAGTGTCATGCTCATGCTGCTCACGGTGCTATCAGTCATAAAGTCATTTGTCCCTGACCTAGCGTTCTTATGTCTTCTGCCAGCATCCATTAAACATTACCAGGTGTATTAGTCTGTTCTCACACTGCTATAAAGAAATACCCAAGTCGGGCCCAGTGGCTCATGCCTGTAATGCACTTTGGGAGGCTGAAGCAGGTGGATCCCCTGAGGTCAGGAGTTCGAGGCCAGCCTGGCCAACATGGCAAAACCTCATCTCTACCAAAACTACAAAAATTAGCCAGGTGTGGTGGCACACGCCTGTAGTCCCACCTACTGGGGAGGTGAGGCAGGAGAATCACTTGAACCCGGGAAGCGGAGGTTGCAGTGAGCCGAGACCACACCACTGCACTCCAGCCTGGGTGACAGAGTGAGACTCCGTCTCAAAAAATAAAAGAAAATACCCAAGACCAGCTAATTTATAAAGGAAAGAAGTTTAATTGATTCACAGTTCTGCATGGCTGGGGTGACCTCAGGAAACTTACAATCATGGCGGAAGGGGAAGAGACACATCTTATATGGATGCAGGCCAGAGAGAGTGGCACACAAAGGGGGAAGAGCCCCTTATAAAACCATCAGATCTTGTGAGAATTCACTCATCATCATGAGGACAGCAAGGGTGAAACCACCCCAATGATCCAATCACCTCCCACCAGGTCTCTCCCTAGACATGTGGGGATTATGGGGATTACAATTTAAGATGAGATTTGGGTAGGGACACAAAGCCTGACCATATCACCAGGCTAGCTGGTTAGCTTGCAAGTAGGGTAAAATCCCAGATTCTTCACAGTCCTTGACAGTTCTCTATCTCTCCATACAGGGTTTGTGGCCTTTTCTATCTGTGATCCCACAATATTTGCTCAAATAAAGTAAGTTATGTTATTATAATAGGGCATAAGATATGGCCCACAAGAGATGTATGGAAAAATGTTTGTCAAAGAAATAAAGAAAATATTTCCAGTTCAATAAAGGTCTCTGCTCTGTTAGCTGCGTCATTTGTCCCTAATTAAAACTCAACCCATTTAAATGGAACAGACAAGATGAGAATACCCTTTTATTGTCAGAAGAGATCCAAAAATGACTAATGCTCTGAAGACCTTGGAGAATCTAAAAGTGACAGTATTAGGCTCTTACAGTCTCTCTTCATGTCAATTAAATTTGGCTGGCCTGATCCTCTTAACAATTCCTAGACTTGTGAAAAAAACCCATTTTTAAAGCATTCTTTCTGTAGTCCAGAGAACGCTATGTTTCCTGTCCTTAAGAGTTGAAGGTTATATCTACATTCTGAGATTTTTTAATGAGATTTTTTTTCTGAATGTTGTAAACTGAGGGAGAAAAACTCTTATTAATTATTGAATTCTTTTCCCAGTGATTTTATCATATTTTTGCAGCCAGGAGGCATGGCAGTATATTAATAAGCTGAAAAAAAAGAATAAATAGAATCTCACTTGGTTATGAGATTGTGAAGAGAAATTGGGAAAATGCAAAATAACAAACAGAAGCAGCTGTTAGAAAACCCCAGAAATGAGGATATTATAAAATAACAAACATCTCTCTAGCCAAGGGCAACAGTTTGGCTTAAAAGATGGAAGCCAGAGTTACCCCACTAATGAGCTATACAAAAAACTCATACTTCCTCTTGCCCAAGTGGTAGGGAAAGAAGGAATAACATTTTACTCAATTCAAAATTAGTAAAACAGCTGTATTTAAATTAAGAACTGAACTCCAAGCCTCTGATAATTGAAATCAGATTTATATTGATGAAATGTGTATTTTGTTTTTCAGATATCTTATGGGAGGGACTGAGTTACTGCTGAAAATGGACCCTGGCTAAATGGAGGAGGCTGATCCAGCCTCTCCATCCCTGCTGGCACAGTTACCTGCAAGGACACACCAAGGTTATGGTAACTGAGGCTTATGCTCCAAGCAGTGCCATAGACTGCACATCCTGGCTCCAGGGTTTGATCTGTGCAGAAAGTTAAAAAGCCAGTTAGCTGTTTTGCCAAAACCTTCCAATATTTGGAATGGCTTGAGAGAACACTGCACATTTCATTCAATCTTAATCTACTTTCCTTAATTTTATCCTACATTTGAAGGTGCAAAACTGACCCTATGGAAACATCATTAATCAAAGCAACATGGGTAGAGGAGAGATGAGTCTCCTAACATTCAGAGAAAAGGATTCTACATAGCCTCATAGTTTTGTCAGCTGTGCCGAACTGCCCTTATTGTGGCTCAAGTCAGAATGCTTAGGCTGTATCTTGGGGCTCTAAGAGGAGGTTAGATAATTCCCACTAGCTTTACCCAGGCATTCAATACTTCTATGAATACAACTGACACAGAAGAGGGGGAAAAGCAGAAATGATCAAGACCCAGTCCTTACTTCAGCCATTGCCAATGCACACCAATGGCCCTCACCCGCCTTTTCACTGCAAAGCCAGAAAACCACAGTGCCTTCTACTTTAAAGTTCCATGTGCCAGCTATTTCTCTCTTCAGCAACACCTTCATTATCGATCAGGGGCTGGGAAAAGTGAAATTGTGTTTCACCATTATTCTTTGATAATTAAATAGTTCATTTGGAGAACTCTGGGTTCAGTAGTGGATGAAGTAGGGGGAAACGCTGTGGAAAACAAAACAGCTTGGGAAAAGGAAAGAAAATTTGCTAGTCTCAACACCCCTTCTCCCCCATTTGCCTTCCCTCTCCTGCGAGGGAGAGTCCTTTATCTCAGACTCCAAACTCCTCTCACCCTGTAGATTCCCACTGGCAGCTCCTGCAGGGAATGCAACTAAGGTTCCAGACTACCAAGGATGTGGATTTTTGTTGTTGCTTTTGTTTTTAGAGACAGGGTCTCACTCTGTCACTCAGACTGCAGTGCAGTGGTGCAATCATAGTTCACTGAAGCGTTGACTTCCTGGGCTCAGGTGATCCTCCCACCTCAGCCTTCCTACTAGCTAGGACGACAGGCTAATGCTACCATGCCCAGCTATTTTTTTTTTCTTTTTATTATCTGTTTTTTTAGAGGCAAGATCTTGCTATGTTTCCCAGGCTAGTCTCAAACTCCTGACCTCAAGCAACCCTCCCGCCTCAGGCTTCCAAAACGCTGGAATTACAGGCATGAGCCACCGCACCTGGCTGAAGGACGTGTGTTTCTATATGTTCTGTGTTGCAAACTGATCTAGTAATATGAATGCCAATGAAACCATCTCCTGTACCATTTTGGGTACCTGGGTAATAAGATGAGCACCACTGACAAAGACATCATCAGGGGCACCCCAAGGAAATCTGGAGCTCCTGGTTCTGGTTTACAAATCATGAGAAAAGCCTTTTTGACCCAATCACTCAAATTTGTGCTTGGGTGCACTAAATTGTGGGTTTGGGTTACTCTGGTGGTTTTGTTTCCGTTTTTTCAAACTGGGGAAGTAACTAACAAGTAAAAGTTGTTTTTCACTTCCTCATTTGTAGTAAGAGAAATAATAGAGCTCAAAATTAGAGTCGCCTAGTTACAACTCTACTTAAACGTTGCCTACAACCTGCTAGAGGCTAGTACTTTTCTGCGTTTTGTACTGCAGGGATCTGCACATGCCCCAACCCCAGGGTGGAAAGGTGGGGCCCGCAGAAACAGCCTACAGACATGTTTCTCCAGAGAAATGAGCTTACTGGAATCCCTGGACTGGCAAGTAGTTTAGAGCCAGTAACCTATCAGCAACATCTCAGTTCCCAGAAGTGTAGCCCCCAGAATACTCCTTCTTCTTAAGGCCTATATCTGTTGGGAATGTTCTTATATTAATGGATTCCACAAAAATGGTAAGTAAATCAGTTTTTCAAAAAAAAAAATTGCATTTAAAGGCAATTATAGGCTGGGTGTGGCTCACACCTGTAATTCCAGCACTTTGGGAGGCTGAGGAGGGTGGATCACCTGAGGTCAGGAGTTCAAGAACAACCTGATCAACATGGTAAAACCCCATCTCTACTAAAAATAGAAAAAATTAGCCAGGCGTGGTGGCACGTGCCTGTAATCCCAGCTACTTGGGAGGTTGAAGCATGAGGATCACTTGAACCTGGGAGGTGGAGGTTACAGTGAGCCAAGATCGTGCCACTGTACTCCAACCTGGGCAAGACGAGTGAAACTCCGTCTCAAAAAAATAAATTAATTAAATAAAGGCAATTATATATGGAACACTATAAACAAAAAGTCAAAATACACCCAACTGCTATATTGGGCAATATCCTCTTTCCCCAGCATTTTATTAGAACCGTAAGAATATTCTAAAAGATGTCATTAATCTTGGCTAATTTATAGCTACCATTTAAAACTCAATTACCCTGAGCCACATTTCTCATATAATCCCAAATAGCTGTTATTCCTGATTATCCTGTTTCTTGTAATGGCACCAGTATTCTTCCATTCAACCAGGCATAAAATGTCAGATCCATCTTTCACTCCTTTTCATGACACCCCTTCCCCATATGATCAATTGCCAAATCCCATATTTCCTTAACAAAGTGGCCCCTAATCTCCCTTTCTACTGAAACCCTAGTTCTGGTCCTCATTCTGGCTTTAAATGGCCACATCAGCTCCCAGCATCTCCATTCTTCAACCCATTTTGCACATGGCATTTTGATTAATCTGCTCATATCATCGCTTTGGTTTTAGGATCCACCCATTAAAACATCTTTCAGGACTCTTGCTTACAGCAATGGTTTTCATCTGGTAAGACATAGCACTTTGTGTCTTACCTTGTGTCATACCTTGCATACTTTGCAAACATCCTACCACCTTTTGATCAATAGGTAGAATGCATTCAAAGTTTTTTTTTTTTTTTTTTGAGATGGAGTTTTGCTCTTGTTGCCCAGGCTGGATCACAATGGCACAGTCTCGGCTCACTGCAACCTCCACCTCCAGGGTTCAAGCGATTCCCCTGCCTCAGCCTCCCGAATAGCTGGGATTACAGGTACCTATCACCATGTCCAACTAGTATTTTTACTAGAGATAGGGTTTTGCCATGTTGGCCAGGCTGGTCTTGAACTCCTGACCTCAGTTGATCCACCTGCCTCCAAAGTACAGGGATTACAGGCGTGAGCCACCGCACCCGGCCATCATTCAAACTTTTAAGAGCAATTTCTGTCAAACAACGATGATCTGAGAAACTTGTGGAGTATTAAACAGAGTACAACTTGCTATAAGTAAGAGGAAAGAGGCTTAGAGTAACATCAAGTTTATGCCAAGGGAATGATCTGGTGCTTACTGGAACTTGTGAGAACATCGCCTCCAAGTATTCAAAAGTGCACACTGTCTGGGAATAAACAGCTCTGCTCCAAAAGAAACATAGTGCTGAAGGTCAACCAAGTGAATAGTACAGTAACTATGGATGCTTTTATAGACACTGTGAGACCATAGCTACACTATACTATGGTTTGTGCTGTAATTACTGCTGGCTTGTTTAGTGTATCCAGAATTTTTTTTTTTTTTAAGAGAGGGTTTTGCTCTGTCACCCAGGCTGGGGTGCAGTGGCACAATCATAAGTCACTGCAGCCTTGAACTCCTGGGCTCAAGCAATCCTCCTGCCTCAGCCTCCCTGGTAGCTGGGACTACACGCACATGCCACCAAGCCTGGCTAAAGTTTCTGGACTTTTAATCCTTTCCACTATCCTGCCAAAAATTCTAGCATTTAAAATATTGAAAATCACAAGCTGAAAAGACTTAAGTCCAACACAACATTCCTTAGCACAATGCATGAGGCCCTTCTCATTTTGACCCCGACCTCTCTTTACAGCCTTAATTCCCAATACTTTCCCCCTTGAGTCACATTGGATCACAGATTGTTCTTTGATTAAGCCAGCTCTTCCATGTCTCTGGGACTTTGTATGCAGAAGAAACATTATGTCCTTTTTTTTCTGCACTTATTTATCAAGACCCAATTGCAATAGCATTTCCTCTGATGTCTTTTCTAACTCTTCCAGCGAGAGGTAATTGCTCCCACAGTCCTTTGTACATATCTTCATTATAGCACGTACCCTCAGATTTTGTAATCATTGTTCTACACTTATCTCTAAGACATCAGGAAGAGTATATCTGAGTTGCCAAGGGCAAAGGCTTCATTTTATTCATCTGTGAATTCTCAACTCCTGGGCTATTATAAGCCCTCAATAAATGTTGGTAGAATTGTTTGGGTTTTTTTTCTAGGGTTCGGGCCACCTATAACCTACTGCTAATTAATCCTTCAAAAATGATCTCCCACAACTCTGCTTTATGTTCCTTGTACTCAAACCAAGTTAGAATATTTGCTGTTGCTATGCTCATATGATTCAAAGGATTCTTTTATTTGGAACATTTACCCTGTCTCCATGATAGCCACCCGCAATAAACCTACCCATTCCTGATGACCCAGTTCAAATTCATGTTCTCCTAAAAAGTCATCCCTCATACTGAGGCTAAGCATTTTCTCTAAACTCTTTCATATTTTAGTTATATAGCTCTCAGGACACTGAGTCACTTTAGCATATTTTACTTCCCTTACATGGTTATGATATCCTTGAGGCAGGAATGATGCTTTAATAATCTGTTTCCTCATTGGTACCTACACAATATGGTGTGCATGAAAATTTCCAAATGCATGAACGAATAAAATGATACATATGTCTAGTATATCATTTATTCACAGTAGTCTGTTTACACACGCTATCATACAATTAAATTAAAGACTGGCTTAATTAATAGGGTAGTTTCAGCACTTCCTTGGTACATTATGCAACTGTTATTCCATGTTGCAAATTCTTGTATCACACTGTCAATGCTATTGCAGGCCTATTTGCTTAATGAGATAAATTTTTTAAAGTGTGTATATGTGTATATATACATATATAAATTTTTAGACAGAGTCTCGCTCTGTCACCCAGGCTGGAGTGCAGTGGTGTGATCTCTGCTCATTGCAACCTCTGTCTCCCGGGTTCAAGCGATTCTCCTGCCTCAGCCTCCTGAGTAGCTGGGACTACAGGCGCCCGCCACCACACCCAGCTAATTTTTTGTATTTTTAGTAGAGACGGGGTTTCACCATGTTAGCCAGGATGGTCTCCATCTCCTGACCTCCTGATCTGCCCGCCTTGGCCTCCCAAAGTGCTGGGATTACAGGCGTGAGCCAAGGCACCCAGCCAAGATAAATTTTTAAAACCTTATATAGATGTCTCCCTCTTACGTTGGAATGTGAAAATTCTAATTTATAAAATAGAGTAATAATAACTCCTAATATAAGTGAATTCCTTTTATTCTCTTCTGGGCAAAGTTAGTTTCTCCTCTTTGCTTCAGTTCACATATCCATTATGGCAATTATTTCTATTGCTTTGTAATTATATGTTTTCACTTTTATCTCCCCTCCTAGATTTTGAACTTCTGAAGGCTAAGAATCATGTCTTATATATCTATCTATATATATCTCCCTACTGATTGATCTATAGTAATTAGTTTACATATGTAAATATATGTATAGATATTATATTGAATTTATACTTATACATAAACATGTATTTAATATGTTATTTAATATATTAGTTCTATTCTCCCATTGCTATAAAGAAATACCTGAGACTGGGTAATTTATAAAGAAAAGAGGTTTAATTGGCTTATGGTTCCACAAGCTTCACAGGAAGCAT
Source organism: Homo sapiens (assembly GCF_000001405.40). Classification (NCBI taxonomy): domain Eukaryota; kingdom Metazoa; phylum Chordata; class Mammalia; order Primates; family Hominidae; genus Homo; species Homo sapiens. Next base: position 67,388,896 of record NC_000008.11, on the reverse strand, counting down.
GGCAGCATCTGCTTCTAGGGAGGCTTCAGGGAGCTTTTTACTCATGGCAAAAGGCAGCAAGAGCAGGTGTCTTACATGGCAGGAGCAGGAGGAGGAGGGAGGAGGGGAGGTACCACACACTTTTTTTTTTCTTGAGATGGAGTCTCACTCTGTCGCCCACGCTGGAGTCCAGCGGTGTGATCTCACCTCACTGCAACCTCTGCCTCCTGGGTTCAAGCGATTCTCCTGCCTCGGCCTGCCGAGTAGCTGGGGTTACAGGCGTCTGACACCTCGCCTGGCTAATTTTTATATTTTTATTAGAGACGAGGTTTCACCATGTTGGCCAGGCTGGTCTTGAACACTGACCTCAAGTGATCTGGCCTCCCAAAGTGCTGGGATTGCAGGTTTGAGCCACCGTATCTGGCCACTTAACACTTTTAAAAGGAGTGATAAGAGTGCAGCATTCTAGATGTGAACCTGTGTTTCTTCCACTGTGTATTGCTTCTCTCTCTTCTGTCCTCTTCCACTTCTTAACTCACCCTTTCTACTTTCTTTACCCCCTGGTTTATCTATTCTTCTCTCTTCCACCTTTCTGATTTCTTCTCTTTTTGTCTTCTCTCTTTGAACTGGACATTAGATAAAATTGAAGTATACTTCCAAATTATTTTAGACATGCTCTTTACTTTTGATTGATTCTGTAAGGAGTACTATCCATGAATAGGAAAAAAAAAAAAAAAGAATGCTTTCCTATCCCTGGTGGCATGATGAGATACAAAGCATCTAACATCAAGGGTGAGTGGCTTACGTTCTGATCCCAGTTTCCCAATTTCCACAAGTGCCAATCTGGGAAGACTGAGTTGTTTTAATTATATACGAAACAAAACCAAATCCCTTACTTCCATTTAGTGGAAATGGCTGAAATCTCTACTTATTTGTTACAGAACAAAATATTTCCACTTAAGACAGGCCTGCTGTCTTCAAACCAATAATGGTTTCTGCACTTCTACAGGTCATTTAGGCTCAGTGGCAGACAAAAAAGCTCCCTTAGACAGAGATCTGCAAATTCCCAGAAACATTGTTCCTTTCTCCATCTCTCCACAGACTACAAAGAAATGGGGGTGAGGCCGGAGTGTCTGGGCATCCTCCAAGCCCTACTCCTCTGAAAGGAGAAATGCTTTCTGGTAGAATTGACTGGAGAGCAGTCTACTAAAAAAGCAAAGTGTGACTGCAGTGAAATGGGGTTGATTATCCTGTGAGGCAAAATAGGATCTAGACGTCATTTCTAAAATATTTTGCACATCAGCCCCATCAGTGGAATGAAAACACAACTTCCTAAGCAGATATCTTTGAAAGACAATGCTGGTAATTTCTTTTTTCTTTTTTTTTAGAGACAGAGTCTCACTCTGTCGCCCAGGCTGGAGTGCAGTGGCACGATCTCGGCTCACTGCAAGCTCTGCCTCCAGGGTTTACGCCATTCTCCTGCCTCAGCCTCCCGAGTAGCTGGGACTACAGGCACCCGCCACCACACCTGGCTAATTTTTGTATTTTTAGTAGAGACGGGGTTTCACCGCGTTAGCCAGGATGGTCTCAATCTGCTGACCTCGTGATCCACCCGCCTCGGCCTCCCAAAGTGCTGGGATTACAGGCGTGAAGCCACCGCTGGTAATTTCTTTTTTAAAAAGATTCTTCTTGATAGGACTTAGATCAAATGCCACTTCTTTTTAAAGCTTTCCTTGATCTTTCTTATCAAAATTCATTGTTCTCTCCTTTTTACTTCCATAACTATACTTCTATTAAAGAATAAGCCTCTGGAAATTGGCAGTTAACTTTAATCATATTTGTATACCTGAACTTCTGTGCTGGTGCCTACAAATATCAGGTGTTCCATGCCTGCTTGTTGATTGGACTAAAAATCTGCTAAGTTGTTTATTTTGGCCATTAACAATTACAGTACAAGGGTTGTGAGTCTATGTCACATGGTCATTAAAACTAGCTGTGTTTGCTGAAAAGTTAAGCTTTCAAAACATGATACATAACCACTTGCTTTTTATTTTTACACATCTACCACCTAAGATTTTAGGACATCTTTGGAAACAATAGAATGTTACATAAATGCTAGTGTTACTGTCAGGGTCAGAGATGAACAGAAGATATAGTGTTTCTGTGGCTATGCAGTCTAGAAATGTATTTTTGTTAAATGTGGTTATTTAAAATAAAATGTAGTGTAATAAAACTTTATTGCTATGTTTAATACATCCTCTACTAAAATCAGAATTCATCGTTAGGATTAACTGTTTGGTAGGCTGAGGCGGACAGATCACTTGCGCCCAGGAGTTCAAGACTAGCCTGGGCAACACAGTGAAACCCTGCCTCTACAAAAAAAAAAAGAAAAAAAGAAAAAAAAACCTAGCAGGGCATGGTGGCATGTGTCTGTGATCCTAATTACTCGGGAGGCTGAGGTGGGAGGTTTGCTTGAGCCTGGGAGGCAGAGGTTACAGTGAGCCAAGATTGTGCCACTGCATTCCAGCCTGGGTGCTAGAACAAGATCCTGTCTCAAAAAAAAAGAAAAAGAAAAAAATTATATGAACTGAAGTGTATGCTTGCTCTACCAATAGAAAATTGTTTTGCTAAAAAGAAATAAAGAAATAAAGAAAAAAAGGAAGAAGAACAAGAAAGCAAGCTGTCTTGAAAGAATTTTATAGGTTTCAAATACAAATAATAACATAGCAATGACTGTGTTGTAAAAAACTGTTTTCCCAAAGTAGGTGTCAATGATTTTTTTTTTTTTTTTTTTTTTTGAGACAGAGTCTCGCTCTGTCACCTAGGCTGGAGTGCATTGGTGTGATCTCGGCTCACTGCAACCTCCACCTCCCGGGTTCAAGCAATTCTCCTGCCTCAGCCTCCAGAGTAGCTGGGACCACGCCCGGCCAGTGATTTCTTGCCAACACCTTGGCCCAATAAAGGGGTATCTCTATGGCTACTGTATCTGAAAGTATTAAAGCTGCCCAGTTGTAAAAATACCCCTTTTTTTTTTTTTTTGAGATGGAGTCTCGCTCTGTGGCCCAGGCTGGAGTGCAGTGGTGCGATCTCAGCTCATTACAACCTCCGCCTCCCTGGTTTAAGCAATTCTCCTGCCTCAGCCTCCTGAGTAGCTGGAATTATAGGCACCTGCCACCATGCCTGGCTAATTTTTTTGTATTTTTAGTAGAGACAGAGTTTCACCATGTTGGTAAGGCTAGTCTCAAACTCCTGACTTCAAGTGGTCTGCCCACCTTGGCCTCCCAAAGTGCTAGGATTACAGGTGTAAGCCACTGCACCCGGCCTAAAAATAGCTTTTTTTTTTTTTTTTGAGACAGAGTCTTGCCCTGTCACCCAGGCTGGAGTGCAGTGGTGCGATCTCGGCTTACTGCAAGCTCTGCCTCCCGGGTTCATGCCATTCTCCTAGCTCAGCCTCCCGAGTAGCTGGGACTACAGGCACCCACAACCATGTCCAGCTAATTTTTTGTATTTTTAGTGGAGATGGGGTTTCACCGTGTTAGCCAGGATGGTCTTGATCTCCTGACCTTATCATCCGCCCACCTCGGCCTCCCAAAGTGCTGGCTTTTTATTCACACTTTTCCTTTAGCATAATTAGTAAGGTATATATTTTCTACACAGTTTATTTAAAATTATTTTGAACATGGATCATCAGAGGACCTAGGAAATCTAAGCTATTTTATACAATAGTGACAGAAAATCATTTCGAAAAAAAGACAGTAATAAGGGAAAAAAATCTTCAGTTTTTGCAAGCATACAAGTAAAAAGACTGATTACATTTACAGCAATCTACTGTCGTAAAACATGACATGAAATTTAAAATTCAAAGGATTCCTTTAAATTAAAAAAGGAGGCCGGGCGCGGTGGCTCACGCCTGTAATCCCAGCACTTTGGGAGGCCGAGGCGGGCGGATCACGAGGTCAGGAGATCGAGACCATCCTGGCTAACACGGTGAAACCCCGTCTCTACTAAAAATACAAAAAATTAGCCGGGCGTGGTAGCGGGCGCCTGTAGTCCCAGCTACTCGGGAGGCTGAGGCAGGAGAATGGCGTGAACCCGGGAGGCGGAGCTTGCAGTGAGCCGAGATCGCGCCACTGCACTCCAGCCTGGGCGACAGAGCGAGACTCCGTCTCAAAAAAAAAATAATAATAAAAAATAAAAATAAAAAAAATAAAAAAGGAAGTTCAGAAAGATCAAGATTTCGGGGAACTTAAAACCCGCACTGCTACAGTCAGAAAATCACAAATACTGGTCCATCGGCATTTGATCATATATGCTATTGTTATTGAAAAGCTAATATTTGAGGGACTTAACGCTTCACCCAATGGTGAAAGCCTTGAACTAACTGTAAGTCTAGAATTGTGCAATGCTTTCAGAGTACAAATAGAGGAACAATGACCATAAAAAGATATCTGGAGCTCACATATATTCCACTGAATCTTAGTTCCCATTCTTCAAGTTGTTTTCATTGGAACTTTTAAGTGAAATGATCAGAAAATGAATTTTCCAATCCTAATTCAATAAAGTGAGGCAAGGTAACACAGTCAGAAGTACTCCCCAAGTGGGCACTCAAGAGGGAGAGAATCTCACACTGAGTCTGAGAAAATGTTTGATTAAAGATATTGATACATTCAGGGAAAAGAGAAATACTGTGAACTTTGTTTTAAGGAATACTATTTAAGTGATCACACTTTTGGTTTTTCATTACAAATTTTGTGGAATAACATTTGAAATGTGCTGCAAAGTATTCATGTTTTGAAGTAAGCAATAGGTATAACTCTTGGTAAATGAAATGCCACATTTCTGTATTTAAATGTTTTCTCAGTCAGCCCATATTCCAATCTTATGTCTGGTGAACTTATTTTTACATGCCTTTTTTATTATTCAACTAGAAAAACTAAAAAAAAGTCAGTAAGCAAAAAAGGAGGAAAAAAGTCTATATTGCTACCACCCAGAGATAGACAATATAAACATTTTAGTTTATATACTTTAAGCCTTTTTTGAAAAGAACAACACAGACATTATGTTGTAACTTGACTCTCACTCCTCTCCCTCAAATTACTTGTTGACCTAAAAGGAAAAAGCTGAGGCAAAATTAATATAGGTAGAAAGATTATGGCTGGGCACAGTGGCTCACACCTGTAATCCCAACACTTTGGGAGGCTGAGGTGGGAGGATCACCTGAGGTCAGGGGTTTGAGACCAGCCGGGCCAACATGGTGAAACCCTATTTCTACTAAAAATACAAAAAATTAGCCAGGCGTAGCGGTGAGCGCCTGCAATCCCAGCTACTCAGGAGGCTGAGGCAGAAGAATCACTCGAACTCAGGAGACAGAGGTTGCAGTGAGCTGAGATCGTGCCACTGCACTCCAGCCTGGGCAAGAAGAGCTAAATTCCATCAAAAAAAAAAAAGCGATTATTTGGGGTGAACTTGAGGATTGCAACCCAATATCATAAATTCAAGTAGCTCTGAATATACATTCCAATTAGCAGCAGTTACAAGTGAATTTATTTATTTCATTTATTTTTTCTTTTTTAGATAGCATCTCCCTCTGTCACCCAGGCTGGAGTGCACTGGAGCAATACAAGTGGATTTTTTTTTTTTTTTTTTTTGAGACAGAATCTTACTCTGTCGCCCAGGCTGGAGTGCAGTGGTGCAATCTCGGCTCACTGCAAGCTCCGCCTCCCGGGTTCACGCCATTCTCCTGCCTCAGCCTCCCGAGCAGCTGGGACTACAGGCACCCACCACCACACCCAGCTAACTTCTGTATTTTTAGTAGAGACAGGGTTTCACCATGTTGGCTAGGCTGGTCTTGAACTCCTGACCTCAGCCTCCTAAAGTGCTGGGATTACAGGCGTGAGCCACCGCGCCCAGCCTACAAGTGGATTTTTAAAGGCAAAAAAGGGGGGCAGCAAGTCGAGTGACAAAGTTGATTGTCAGGAATTCTCATTGGTTTACAGAAATAGCATTGATTAGTTATTGGCTATATATTGATAACCTATAGGGTGTGGTTATAGTGCCCAGTGTGGCATAATTAGGTAAACTTATTATAGCTTGTGGCAATAGCAAGCAGTTTCATGGGATGAATACATAGCTCAAAGTGGGGAGAAGGATGTGATTGATGTCTCATTTTAATGTCTCTTTGGGCCTGATAATTAAAAGGGCTTGCATTCCTCAGATAAAAGTTTTTTTTTTCCTCTTACTATAATGTGGACATCTGACCATGCCAACATATATTCATCTCACCATTTTTTTTTTTTTTTTTGAGACAGTCTTGCTCTGTCACCCAGACTGGAGTGCAGTGGCACGATCTCGTCTCACTACAAGCTCTGCCTCCCAGGTTCACACCATTCTCCTGCCTCAGCCTCCCCAGTAGCTGGGACTACAGATGCCCGCCACTACGCCCAGCTAATTTTTGTATTTTTAGTAGAGGTGGGGTTTCACCGTTTTAGCCAGGATAGTCTCCATCTTCTGACCTCGTGATCCACTCGCCTTGGCCTCCCAAAGTGCTGAGATTACATCTCACCATTTTTAATGGCTTCGTGGTAATTTCATTGCATGAAAATATAGCATAATTTACTTAACCAATTCTGCATCTGTAGATGTTTAAGTTGTTTATTATACAACACTGGAATGTGTAAGCAATCTATTCTCTATTCTGCACCTACAATAATCTTTTAAAACATAAATCAAGTAAGTCACTTCCCTATTGGTGCCCTAACTCCTCACCATGGCCTATAAGACTCTACCTAAAAAGGGTCCTGGCTCCACACCAAGAACCTCTCACCCCTCTTTCTTTCACTTACTTGCTGAAACCCCACTTGCCTCTTTCTGTGGTCAGACAAACCAGCAACATTTTTTCTGTCTCAGGGCTTTTGAACATACCTTTCCATTGGAAAGGAATGTTCCTCTTTAGCAAGCTCCTCACCATCCCTTCCTCCACTCAGGAGCCCCTTCTTTGGCAAGACCTTCCCTGACCACCCACCCTGCCACCCTCCACACCCTTCCAGATAGTATTCAGAAATTTTCCTTTGTAGCATGTACCACACTTGTAAATAAATTATTTGCCTCTGAGCACAGTGGCTCACGCCTGTAATCCCAGCATTTTGGGAGGCCGAGGTGGGAGGATCACTTAAGGCCAGGAGTTTGGAACCAGCATGGCCAACGTGGCAAAACCCTGACTCTACCAAATATACAAAAATTAGCCAGGTGTGGTGGTGCACCCCTGTGGTCCCAGCTACTCAGGGGCTGAGGCATGAGAATAGCTTGAACCTGGGAGGGGGAGGTTGCAGTAAGCCGACATCACACCACTGCACTCCAGCCTGGGCCACAAAGCAAGACTCTGTCTCTAAACAAACAAACAAACAAATAAATAAATAATTTGCATCATTATTTGTTTAAACATTTCTCCTCCAAGAGACAGAAACTCCATGAGGGCCAAGATTGCATCTAATTCCCCACTGTGTTCTCAGCTCCAGCAATAATGTCTGACATAAAATAAACACACCAAAAAATATTTGTCAAATAAAAGAAATACTAGTTTTCTCTGGGCAGAAAACACTGGAGTTTAAAAATAAATTTTACAGGGTTGAAATTCTTATTATGTTAACAGCTGGCACAAGAACTCTTCTTAGGAAGGGAACAGTGCCTGGGGTAATACCTTGATAAGCCATCTGAGGAAAGGCGTGCCCTGCCCCAAGACTGTGGCAAAGAAAGAAAAGGCAGGTCAGTTCTGCATGACAAAACAAGAGGAACGTGTTTGGCCTTGCACAGGAAGGAGGGGCACCAGGTAAGGTAGAGAGAGACTGAGTGAAAATTCCTTTGGTGAAGTTGCCACTTTCACGTGTTAGCAATGGCAAATCCATATGGGTCTACAGCAACCTCATTCCTTGCCTCCTCAGAAGAAAAATTCCACTAAGGGGCATAAGGCAGAGTGAGAGACCCATGCAAGTTTTAGAACAGGAGTGAAAGTTTATTAAAAAGTATTAGAGCAGGAATGAAAGGAAGTAAAGTACACTTGGAAGAGGGCCAAACAGGTGACTTGAGAGATTCAAGTGCATGGTTTGACCTTTGACTTGAGGTCTTCTATGTTGGCATGCTTCCGGGGTTGCATTACTTCTCCCCCCATTCTTCCCTTGGGGTGGGCTGACCCCACATGCAGTGGCCTGTCGGTATGGGGGAGGGGTTGCATGCACAGTGTGTTTACTGGAGTTGTACACATGCTCACTTGAGGCGTTCTTCCCTTACCAGTGGAGTGTTCCTAGAAGGTCATATACCAGTTAAACTCCACCATTTTGCCTCTTAATGTGCATACTGGAGCCCACTCACCTAACTCCTAAGATCTTACCGGGAAGCTGCTGATCACCAGTTTCATGTGTTTTCTATTTATTGGGAGACTGCCTTTCCCTGGCACTGGCTATGACCAATTATTATTTTAGAGAGACAGTTAACAACCACCTGACTAACACCTGATGGTCGCCTGACGTTTCTGGTGAGTAGGGGGCCCTCTCCTGCCCTACTCATGTCTGCCTGACTACCTACTGTAACACATGTCTGTCTCTCAAATCGTCGGTAAAGTCCACTTACCACACAAAAGGCCTCCTGGGAGGTGTGTGTGTGTGTGTGTGTGTGTGTGTGCATGCACACAGACTGGGAAAGAGCCTGACTATGATATCTGAGTCAATGAATTACTGAGCAGAAGAAGCAGGCTGGACACGGCGGAATCCCAGCACTTTGGGAGGCCGAGGCAAACAGATCACTTTTGTGAGCTCAGGAGTTCGAGACCAGCCACAGCAACATGGCGAAACCCCGTCTCTACAAAATACACAAAAATCAGCCAGGCATTGGTGGCTCCCACCTGTAATCCCAGCTGCTGGGGAAGCTGAGGCGGGAGGATCATTTGAGCCAGGTTGCAGGGAACCGAGATCACGCCACCGCCCTCCAGCCTGGGAGACAGAACAAGACTCTGTCTTAAAAAAAAAAAAAAAAAAAAAGAAGAGGAAGAACAAGGAGAAGGAAGAAGGAGAAGAAGGAAGAAGAAGAAGGAGAAGGAGAAGAAAGAGAAAGAGGGGGATGGGGAGGGGAAGGAGGAAGGGGAGGAGAAGAAGAAAGAAGAAAGAAGATGAAAAGACACTGAAATAATCCATAAACTGAGGAAACAAAAGTTTGGAGCCAGAGTTGAGTTTGAGAATGTAAACTACTTAGGAATTTCTAGAAATCAGCCACAAGCCTTGAAGCGGGGGGCAATGGGGTATTGATTTCACTTTATCTAGACCTCAAGGGACAGGGAGACCTCAGATCAAACCTGGATTAAAACATCAATGAGTTTTTGCCTCTGAAAGAATCTATATTTGGGAGCAAATGACACATTTAACTCCTCGCCCCATCTGGCCTTAACTGCTGCCCATCCTTTCGCCAGTTTAAAATGTTGGGTCTAAAGAGATGAGAAAAACGGAGAAGGAAAATGGGGGAAAGTTGGACCGAGAGACTCTTCTCCCTTATCACCAGACAAGATAAACTTTACCAAAATGTCTCTTCCTACCTATCTTTTTATTTTATTTACTTATTTATTTATTTTTGAGATGGAGTCTCGCTGTGTCGCCCAGGCTGGAGTGCAGTGGCACGATCTCGGCTCACTGCAAGCTCTGCCTCCTGGGTTCACGCCATTCTCCTGCCTCAGCCTCCCAAGTAGCTGGGACTACAGGCACCTGCCACCATGCCTGGCCAGTTTTTTGTATTTTTATTAGAGATGGGGTTTCACCGTGTTAGCCAGGATGGTCTCGATCTCCTGACCTCGTGATCCGCCCACCTTGGCCTCCCAAAGTTCTGGGATTACAGGCATGAGCCACCGCGCCCAGCCTCTTCCCACCTATCTTTTAAGATAACATAGTAATTTAGTGAATTGGAGTCTTTTAGGCCAGGCATGGCCTGGCTGTGGGAGGCCAAGACAGGCAAATCACTTGAGCCAAGGAGTTCGAGGCCAGCCTGGGCAACATGGCAAAAACCCATCTCTACAAAAAATAACAAATTAGCCAGGTGCGGTGGCATGTGCCTTTGGTCCCAGGTACTCAGGAGGCTGAGGCAGGAGGATCCCCTGAGCCCAGGAGGTCAAATCTTCAATGAGCCATAATCATGCCACTGGACTCCAGCCAGAGAGAGACCTTGTCTCAAACAAAAAAAATTATTTTGGGGAAAGGTACTCTATAAATAAATAGCGTATCCCTTCGCAATTATAATTGCAAATGGTTTTCTTGATTTTTATTTGACCTACTCGAACAGATTTTACCATTTTGAAATATCTTCTGAGCATGAATTGCTTTACTATTTGCAACTCCCTACCTAGAGAATAGCCTGTGAGAACAATTCTATAAAAAAAATTTGATGATGACTCATGAGTGTCCTGCTAGGAGAAAAAAATATCTGATATCAAATGTCCTATTTGTCACATGCGTCCGTGTGAAGAGAGTCCACCAACAGGCTTTGTGTGAGCAACGAGGCTGTTTACTTCACCTGGATGCAGGCAGGCTGAGTCCAAAAAGAGAGTCAGCAAAGGGTGGTGGGATTATCATTAGTTCTTACAGGTTTTGGGATAGGCAGTGGAGTTAAGAGCAATGGTTTGCGGGTGGGGGTGGATCTCACAAAGTACATTCTCAAGGGTGGGGAGAATTACAAAGAACCTTCTTAAGGGTGGGGGAGATTACAAAGTACATTGATTAGTTAGAGTGGGGCAGAAACAAATCACAATGGTGGAATGTCATCAGTTAAGGCTATTTGCACTTCTTTTGTGGATCTTCAGTTGCTTCAGGCCATCTGGATGTATACGTGCAGGTCACAGGTTATATGATGGCTTAGTTTGGGCTCAGAGGCCTGACACTATTCTTTAGGTTTGTGTAATCTTAGAACACTGAAGAAGGAACGAAGGAGTTGCCAGGTCAGACACAAATTATTAGACTATATGTATAAAACAAGTTCTCTTTTTCACAGAACACAGTAGGCTGAAGCATGATTAATACAAGTGTGAACACCTCCAGGCTCCATTACTACCAGTGGCTCCTGTTTTCATTGGAACACCCTCTGATTCTTCCCATAAACAAAGCTTTCACTTTCTGGCCAAATTTGGTCAACTCATGAATCAACACACACTAATACATTTACTCCACTTCCACAGGCAATTTGAATGGGAAAAAGAGGAACCTTCACTGGCTTTTAAGTAGACATTATTATATTCAAAGTAACCTTGTTGATTATTAGCTGATCTAAAAGTAGAGCATGTCTTACAGGTCTATAGTTATACAGAAAACTCCATTCCCTACATGCATATTATCCCACTTTAAAGTGGAGGAACAGCCTATTACATGTACAGCCACGTGCCAAATAACAACATTCTGGTCAACGGCACATAAGTAATCCCATCAGATTATAATGGAGCTGAAAAATTCCTATCACCTAGTGACATCATAGCCATCATAGCCATCACAGCCAGTGATGTAGCATAAGGCATTACTCACCTGCTTGTGGTGATGGTGTAAACAAACCTACTGCACTGCCAATTGTATAAAAGTATAACACATACTATTATGCACAGTACTTCATACTTGCTAGTGATAATAAATGACTGTTACTGGTTTACATATTTCAGATCCTTTAGGTGGTATGCTGAAAGAAGGCATTGTTGTCATAGGAGAGGACAGCTCCATGCGTGTTATTGCCCCTGAAAACCTTCCAGTAGGACAAGATGTGGAGGTGGAAGACAGTGACATTGATGATCCTGACCCAGTGTAGTCCTAGGCTAATGTGTGTGCTTGTGTTTTAGTTTTTAACAAAAAAGCCTAAAAAGTAAAAATTAAAATAAAAAATTTTAAAAATAGGTAAAGGTGTATTATAGATTAAAGATGTAAAGAAAGAAAATATTTTGTATAGCTGTACAATGTGTGTTTTAAGCTAAGTTTTATTACAAATGAGTCAAAAAGTTTTTCAAAATTTAAAAGTTTATAAGGCAAAAAAGTTATAGTAGGTAAAAAGTTGCCTAACAGTACACTTCTCAGAATGTATCCCAATAGTTTATTATTGAAGAAAGACAAATATATTTTTAATAAATTGAGTGTAGCCTAGGTGTACAGTGTTGATGAAGTCTACAGTAGTGTGCAGTAATGTCCTAGGCCTTCACATTCACTCACCACTCACTCACTGACTAACCCAGAGCAACTTCCAGTCCTGCAGGCTCCATTCATGGTATGTGCCCTATGTAAGAGAATCATTTGAAAAAACTTTTATATCATATTTTTACTGTACCTTTTCTATGTTTAGATATATTTAGATACATAAATTCTAACCATTGTGCTACAATTGCCTACAGTTTTCAGTACAGTAACATGTTGTGCAGGTGTGTAGCTATACTAACTAGCCTAGGTGTGTAAGGCTATACCATCTAGGTTTATGTAAGTACACTCTATGATGTTCACACAGTGACAAAACTGCCTAATGGTGCATTTTTCAGAATGTAACCCTATGGTTAAGAGACACATGACTGCATTACATATTTGCATATATGTGAACCTTAAAAAGAACGGAAAGTCACATAATAAAGTGTTTGTGGTTACTATTTCTGAATACAGGAATTATTAGTGCCAACGACGCCCCAAAGATGTTTGTGTCCTAATCCCTAGAATCTGTGAATTTGTTACTTCACATGGCAAAGAAGAATTAAGATTACACATGCTAATCAGCAAACTGATAATCCTAGATTATCCTGGATCATTCATGTTGGCCCAATGTAATCGCAAGTGTCCTTAAAAGTGAAAGAGGGAGGCAGAAGAAAGTCAGAGGAAGATGTGACTAATGATCAAAGAGACACAAAGTTGCTGGCTTTGAAGATGAATGAAGGGGCCGCAAGCTAAAGAATGTGGGTAGGCTGGGCACGGTGGCTCACGCCTGTAATCCCAACACTTTGGGAGGGCAAGGTGGGCAGATTGCTTGAGCCTAGGAGTTAGAGTCCAGTCTGGGCAACATGGCAAAACCCCGTCTCTACCAAAAAAAAAAAAAAATTAGCCAGGAGTGGTGACAGACACCTGTGGTTCCAGCTACCCAGGAGGCTGAGGCAGAAGGATCACCTGAGCCCAGGAAGTTGAGGCTGTAATGACGTAATCGCACTCCAGCCTGGGCAACAGAACAAGACCCTGTCTCAAAAAAAAAAAAAAAAAAAAAAAAAGAGCGGAGGCAGCTCCCATGAGCTGGAAAAGGCAAAGAAACACATGCTCCAGTAGAGTCTCCAGAATGAACACAGCCCCACTGATGCCTTGATTTTAGCCCAGTAAGACCTAGGTCAGACTTCTGACCTCCAGAACTGTAAGATGAATTTATGTTTGTTTTAAGCCATTAAATCTGTGATAATTTGCGGCAGCAGCAGTAGGAAATGACTGCAATAGCTGATTCTGGTTGTTGTTTTTCTGGGGAACTTAAAAGCAAGATAGTTGGATATGTTCCAAATTTTACATAATGTATATGCGTTATCTTTATAACTGGGGAAATCTCATGCTTATTTTTGAACATAATACTAAAATGGTAGTGAGGGCCGCGGTAGAAAGTATTGAGCTTTTAGGCTCACATTTGACAATACCACAGTTGCTCCTTGATGTCTAACTCCATTTATTGAGAAATTGGACTTATTATAATCAATAACTCACAAACAATTAAGACCCAATTTAACAGAAAGTTATTGAGGACCTGCAGAGTACCAGGCACCATCTGGATCTGTCCACTGACGTGAATCTTTTCCATGGAATTCCTTAGTTGGCAGAGGATGGAATTCCCTAGTGGGACAGTGTGCAGCCATTTCCTAGCATACCTTCCCTGTGCAAGCTTGCTCTGCCATGCTGGGTGGCTGTGGTGTCGTTCTGGCAGTAGGGGCTGCTGCTGGTCCAGATTGAAGAGGCGGAGCAGAAGGGTTGAGGGGGGTGATGTCGGACAGAGTGGAAGTGGAGTTAATACTGTGGGGATTGGTGGAAGAGGTGGTGGTGCTGATAGGAGAGGGGTCTGGGTGAGCAGAGGTGATGAACTGTTTCACAATTAGTCACAATTAGGACACTGCAGTGCTACAAAGATGTCCTTGTTGTTGCAACACGTTGATTTCCTTATCCTCCTTTGGTTATCTCTGACCAGTTCAGGTGGACCAGAGAGAAGGTGGTGGTGATGTGTCTGAATGCGGAGATTGAATAACCACCTTTTTCTTTTCTTCATTTCCTCCCAGCTCCGCAGCCTGTTACACAAAGCTCTTGGTGCTTTGTCTAGCATAGCTTTCAGACTCCTGTTTTCTCTCTCCAGGCACTGTTTGCTAGCACCCCATCAACTCTTCATTCCCCACCTTACTCCCGAGACTCAAACTGTCAACTCTGTCTCTACCTTGTTTCCTCAGCCTGGAACACCCTTCTCCTCACTTAAAATTCTTTTATCCTTCAGAGCTCAAATCAAATGCTAACTCCTTCTTACAACAATAAGTGAAGCCATCTGCCAGGACTTTCGTATATATTATATTATCTAATCCATTCCATTTTGAGTCTTAAGCTTTCTCATCTTCCTGTTGTGTGTGCGTTTGAACCTGGAATCTGTATGGTACTTGGTGCTGCTATATAAAACCTCCCATCAGTCAGAACCCACCACACGTCACTCTTGCCTCTTTGTTATCACTTATTTCATCCTGCTTCACAATTAGTTACTGTTTTTTGTGTTTGCTTCTTCCTTCTGCCTCTGCTGTCAGCTTTTTGAGGACTGGTACCTTGTCTTAGCCTCTGTGAGATGCATCTCTGTGGCATGTAGGATGTCGTGCTTTATAACATGCAGGTAGGCAGGCCAATATGTACACATAAAATATACACATATATTAAGTTACAGATCAAGGATTTCTTCTCCAGCTTCTTCTCCCACACAGGAATTTTTATAGAGTCCCAAAGTTTCGAAAAGGTTAGAATTTTCCACCCTACCACTTCCTCTTAATGTGGAAAGTTCATGGGCGTGTCACAGACTGGAGTTAGGAAGTGTTGCTAAAACTGTCACTTGCTACTGCTATTTTTTTTTTTTAAGACTTTAGCTGGCAGGACCTGTTGCTTAATGAAGTGGAGTAATGAACCTTGTAGAAATGGCTCTAGGATTTCAAGATGGGGTGGATAATGTCACTGGAAAGGAAGTATGAGACAATAATTAACTCCAACACACAAGAGACCACCCCTTCCCTTCCCAGCTGAAGTCACCTTTGACTTATAAACATGTTTTTGGGTAGAGGTGGGAGGTGGGGAGACAGGCTATGGAAGACTGGTTTGACATGTTGGTTCTAATGTTCTGACCAATTAGGCAAGGGTAGTTGAAGCCAGATTTGAGACTCTTTGCAGGAGGTTATTGAAGAGTTTCTAACCCATTAAAAGAAGCATGGATATAAATAAA
The DNA here is from genome assembly GCF_000001405.40 of Homo sapiens. Lineage (NCBI taxonomy): Eukaryota > Metazoa > Chordata > Mammalia > Primates > Hominidae > Homo > Homo sapiens. The sequence goes on along the minus strand of NC_000008.11, from coordinate 67,373,449 downwards.
AACTACATAAATTTCACAGAAATGTTTGGAAGAGCAAGTGGGTTTGAATAAATCTTTTTTTTTTTTTTTTTGAGACGGAGTCTCGCTCTGTCACCCAGGCTGGAATGCAGTGGCACACTCTTGGCTCACTGCAGCCTCTGCCTCCCGGGTTCAAGCGATTCTCCTGCCTCAGCCTCCTGAGTAGCTGGGATTACAGGCGTGTGCCACCACACCTGGCTAATTTTTGTACTTTTAGTAGAAACGGGGTTTCTCTATGTTGGTCAGGCTGGTCTCGAACTCCTGACCTCGTGATCTGCCCACCTCGTCCACCTAAAGTGCTGGGATTACAGGCGTGAGCCACTGCTCCTGATCTTTTTTTTTTTTTTTTTTTTTTTTTCTTACAGATGGAGTCTTGCTCTGTCGCCCAGGCTGGAGTGCAGTGGCACGATCTCAGCTCACTGCACTCTGCCTCCCTCGTTCAAGCAATTCTCCTGCCTCAGCTTCAGCTTCAAGCACTTCTCCTGCCTCAGCTTGTAGCTGGGACTACAGGCGTGCGCCACCACACCCAGCTAATTTTTGTATTTTTTAGTAAAGACGGGATTTCACTATACGTTGGCCAAGCTTGTCTTGAACTCCTGACCTCAGGTGATCCACCTGCCTGGGCCTCCTAAAGTGCTGTGATTACAAGCGTGAGCCACCGCACACGGCCCTGTATAATTCTTAAAGGAAATAAATGTTTGATGCCCTTCAGCAATGGCATCTCTTCAAAATACACTGTTAGTTTGCCCCTAAGTGAGACAAGACTAGTGTGTGCTTACAAAATAATCCTAATGTGAGAAATACAAAGATATACCTCTCTTGCCAAAATCTACATATTTCCAAACTTCAGGATTATTTTTATGTCTCTATGCTTTGAAAGAATACTGTGTGTATGCATATGTGTAAATATTCTTTCGTTTATTTCACTATATCATGTGTTTTACAAAATGACATAAACATTTAATAAAGAAAAACAAGAGAGTATATTTCCCCAAAATAAAGCTTTCCTCATACCTTTTTTGTTTTTTTTCTAAAACAAGTGTTTCCAGAAACAAAGACTTCTTTTTGTGGAATGTGTTTTTCCGTTTACAAATGAGATGAAGGGATGAATTAAAAGAGCCATAACTCTTTGGCACTGCCTAGAGTAGAAAGCAGTAGAACACTTCAGTTGTTTTTCCTCCCCTCTCTCCTAATGACCTTCTCTTCTCCATCCAGGGAGTGAATGATAGTCCACTTCCCCAACACACCTCCTCCTATTCTCTGGGAATAAGAAGAGGCTGGGCCAGGCGCAGTGGCTCATGCCTGTAATGCCAGCACTTTGGGAGGCTGAGGTGGGCGGATCACTTGAGGTCAGGAGTTTGAGACCAGCCTGGCCAACATGGTGAAACCCCTTCTCTACTAAAAATACAAAAATTAGCTGGGTGTGGTGGCACATGCCACCAGCTACTCGGGAGGCTGAGGCAGGAGAATCGCTTGAACCCTGGAGGTTGCAGTGAGTTGAGATCGTGCCACTGCCCTCAGCCTGGGCAACAAAGTGAGGCTCTGTCAAAAACAAAAAAAAAGGAAGAGACTGACAAAAGTCTGGGTTACATATTCTGGAACGAAATACAATCTTCAACTATCAAAGTAGAAAGGAAAAGCAATAATTTATAAATTCCATCATTTTTCTTACCCAGACATTCTCTCTGAAACATACATCTGGTTACAAAAAATGTTAGCCAAAGGGCATATTTTAGGATATTTAAGAATTTCTAAAGGGGGAAGAGTCTTGGATTCTACTCACCCTTTCCAATGGCCAATGTTGTCACTGAAGTTTAGCAATAGTGTTACCGTTTCAAAGATAAATGGTGATTTCCAAGACTATTAGTGACCCAGGATCTTTCTAGTTCTCTTTTCAGAGAAAATACAGTGGGGGAAAAAAAAGCAGGGAAAGGGAGTGGAACAGGAGTAGGAAATTTTGCAGACATATTCTTCAGGTTAATGTTTATTGACATAACCAGGCTTCAAGTCACAGTTAACAACTATCAAAGTCCTAATTATATTACACAGAACAAATCTAACCTCCTCTAGCAGTGGTTCTCAGTTTAGTGCATCCAAATTACCATAAAGGCTTGCTGAAACAGATTGCTGGCCCCACCCACAAAACGTCAGATTCAGTAGACAAATTGGGGTGTGGGGGAAAGTATTTGCTTTTTTTTTTTTTTTTTTTTTGAGACGGTGTCTGGCTCTGTCACCCAGGCTGGAGTGCAGTGGCATGATCTGGGCTCACTGCAACCTTCACCTCCCAGATTCAAGCCATTCTCCTGCCTCAGCCTCCCGACTAGTTGGGATTACAGGCACATGCCACCATGCCCAACTAATTTTTGTATTTTTAGTAGAGATGGGATTTCACCATGTTGGCCAGGCTGGTCTTGAACTCCTGGCTTCAGGTAATCCGCCCGCCTCAGCCTCCCAAAATGGTGGGATTACAGGCGTGAGCTACAGCACCAGGCCAAGTATTTGCATTTCTAAGAAGTTCCCAGGTGATAACGATGCTGTTAGCCTATAATCCCCACTTTGAGGGCTGCTGTCCTACAGCAGTTATTCTCAATTCTGATTCTGCATCAGAAGACTCTTCTTGTGAGGTTTTTAATAAAATCTTAATACCTCGGCACCACCCCAGACCCACCAAGACAGAATCTCTGGGGTTGGTCTTGCCAAAGATAAAAAAAAAAAGCTGGTCACTAGTTAAATTGGATAGTTAGCAGAGAGTTAAAAGGTGGGTAAAGTCTATGCATTGTAACTACTGCAGTAGGAAAGAGGGGGCAGTGTGAAGCTTCACTGGGACACAAGGCAGATTTTTTTTTTTTTTTTGAGACGGAGTCGCTCTGTCACCCAGGCTGGAGTGCAATGGTACGATCTCAGTTCACGGCAACCTCCGCCTCCCAGGTTCAAGCAATTGTCCTGCCTCAGCCTCCCCAGTAGCTGGGACTATAGGCGTGCACCACCATGCCTGGCTAATTTTTTGTATTTTTAGTAGAGACGGGGTTTCGTCATTTTAACCAGGATGGTCTCGATCTCCTGACCTCGTGATCCACCCACCTCGGCCTCCCAGGGGTGCTGGGATTACAGGTGTGAGGCACTGCGTCCGGCCAGGCAGGAGACTTTTTAAAGGCTGGTGGTGCCGAAGGCAAAGTGCTGAAGGGTGCGAAGGGGGCACTGGTGCATGTGACCAAGCCATCTGGTGGTTTGTTAATTGGCACTACCTGGAGGAGAAACAAATCTCTGGTAGCTTCATGATAGAAGAGGCAGTGGCGTAAGTTAGAATACAGCATCTACCAAGGTTAGGCCCTTCCCCACCACAGGGAGAAGATCAAGAGTGAGGCTGGGCACAGTGGCTCACACCTGTAATCCCAAAACTCTGGGAGGCCGAGGTGGGCGGACCATCCTCGCCAACATGGTGAAACTCCATCTCTGCTAAAAATACAAAAATTAGCTAGGCGTGGTGGCGCGTGCCTGTAGTCCCAGCTACTCGGGAGGCTAAGGCAGGAGAATCACTTGAACCCAGGAGGCAGAGGTTGCAGTGAGCCGAGATCGCACCACTGCACTCCAGCCTGGCGACAGAGTGAGACTCCATCTCAAAAAAATAAAAAATAAATAAATAAAAATAAGAGTAAGAATTATCTCCTTAAAGGTTTGCATTTCAAAGAGATGGCTCTCAGGCCCTTGAGAAGACAGTTCTGGGTGGTAGATTTACATTTCAAAGGGTCAGAGAAAGGATTTATAATTGCAGGCTTTCTAAAGTAACTGCTCTAAGAGGGGGGACCTATATGCTTGTCACCATGTTTTGGCTGGAACAGTTAGTAATTCTCCTTGCAGCATGGAGCTTTCTCTTAGGCAGGAACTTAAGGGGGCTGGAGTTGTCATGCTAAGGATGTGGACTTGAGCTGTTAGAAACTATGCTACTGTCTGTTCCAGTCTCTTAGTATATGTGTGGTGGGGGTGGGGGGTGAATAGGGAGTGGACAAAATCATTCGTACACAGAGTCAGCAGTTTCTACAGGCCAAGCTTGTGGTTCAGTTAAGAAGAGGGTTCAGAGGAACCTGGCAAGAGTTTAGGTAAGGAGAGAGTTTTTGTCCATCTGGTTACCTGTGTGTTGAAACAAGTCTATGGATGATTCTAGTAGTAACTGCCCAATGGGTTCACCTTGCCCATTGCCTAGAGAGAGCTGATTTATCAAGACAAGGAAATTGCAATAGAGAAAGTAATTCATGTAGAGCTGGCTGTGCGGGAGACCAGAGGTTTATTGTTACTCAAATCAGTCTCCCCAGGCATTTGGGGAGCAGAGTTTTCAAAAACAACTTAGTGGGTCGGGGGAAGCCAGTGAGCCAGGAGTGCTGATAGGTCAGGGATGAAATCATAGGAAGTCAAAGCTGTCTTCTTGTGCTGAGTGGGGGCCGCAAGATCAGATGAGCCACTTAAGCGATCCAGGTGGTGCCAGCTAATCCATCAAGTGCAGGGTCTGCAAATATCTCAAGCACTGATTTTAGAAGCAGTTTAGGGAGGGTCAGAATCTTATAGCCTCCAGCTTCATGACTCCTAAACCATAATTTCTAATCTTGTGGCTAATTTCTTTTTTTTTTTTTTTTTTTTTTTTGAGATGGAGTCTCGCTCTGTTGCCAGGCTGAAGTGCAGTGGCACGATCTTGGCTCACTTCAAGCGATTCTCCTGCCTCAGGCTCCCAAGTAGCTGAGACTACAGGCGCGTGCCAACACACCAGCTAATTTTTGTATTTTTAGTAGAGACGGGGTTTCACCACATTGGCCAGGATGGTCTCGATCTCTTGACCTCGTGATCCGCCTGCCTCAGCCTCCCAAAGTGCTGGGATTACAGGCATGAGCCACGGCGCCCGGCTTACTTGTAGCTAATTTCTTAGCCCTACAAAGGCAGCCTAGTCCCCAGGCAAGGAGGTTTGTTTTGGGAAAGGGCTGTTATTGTCTTTGTTTTTGTTTGTTTGTTTGTTTTTGAGATAGAGTCTCACCCTGTCGCCCAGGCTGGAGTGCAGTGGTGAGATCTCGGCTCACTGCAACCTCCACCTCCTGGGTTCGAGTGATTCTCGTGCCTCAGCCTCCTGAGTAGCTGGGATTACAGGGAGGCACCATCATGCCCAGCTAATTTTTGTATTTTTAGTAAACACAGGGTTTTGCCATGTTGGCCAGGCTGGTCTCAAACTCCTGACCTCAAGTGAGGTACCTGCCTCAGCCTCCCAAAGTGCTGGGATTGTAGGTGTGAGCCACTGTGCCCAGCCATCTTTGTTTTAAACTATAAACTATAAACTAAGTTATTCCCAAAGTTAGTTCAGCCATTACGTCCAGTAATGAACAAGGACAGGTTGGAGGTTAGAAGCAAAATAGAGTTGGTTAGGATAGATCTCTTTCACTGTCTCAGTCATAATTTTGCAAAGGCGGTTTCATAGTGATCAGGGTTGAAAACTAATTCCTATACAGTACTAGTACAGGGGTAAAGTTTGCTAAAATGCATTTATTTTATAAGTTGTTCCTGATACTTACACAACTGTAGATGCAATTAGCAAACAGGAAGGTTTTCTACACTACAATGTAGTGTGGACATGTATGGAGAGTTTCAAAGCAGCTACAGTTACCTTGTATTTTATAAAGTGGCATTTCAATCAAGTTCCAAGTCAAGGAAGATAAGGGACTGAGCAGTAATTGCAACAAACACCCTGAATTTGGTTTTTTCCCCTCAATATTTAAAAATGTATATTCAGGAACATCTAACTATTGACAATGAGAGACCTACTGCAAGCCTCCAGACCACCCCCCACCAAAAAAAAAAAAATCCACAGATATCCCCAGGGCAAATAATATCAAATGATAAACCCCTGGTTTAAGCAATTTTTGTTCAGGGGAAATTATATTAAAATAAACACCAAATAGAGCCTTGAAAGAGATAAAAACTAAAAAAGAAAATGCCTGAGGGGAGAATTTCTTTAACGATGATAGGGCTGAGCTGGTTATGAGATCTGCTATGACCTGAACTGTGTCCCCTGCAATCCCAAATTCGTATGTTGAAACCCTACCCTGCAATGTGATGGTATTTGGAGACAGAGCTTTTAGGAGATAATTAAGATTGAATGTGATCATGTTACTGGAAAGGGGTCCCAATCCAGACCCCAACAGAGGGCTCCTGGATCTCCTGCAAGAAAGAATTCAAAGCAAGTCCATAGAGTAAAGTGAAAGCAAGTTTATTAAGAAAGTAAAGGAATAACGAATGGCTAATCCATAGGCAGAGCAGCAGCATGGGCCGCTGGTTGCCCATTTTTATGGTTATTTCTTGATTGCATGCTAAACAAGCGGGTGGATTATTCATCAGTTTTCTGGGAAAGGGGTGGGCAACTCCTGGAACTGAGAGTTTCTCCCCCTTTTAGACCATATAGGGTAACTTCCTGACGTTGCCATGGCATTTGTAAACTGTCATGGCACTGGCGGGAGTGTCTCTTAGCACGCTAATGTATTATAATTAGTGTATAATGAGCAGTGAGGATGACCGGAGGTCACTTTTGTCACCATCTTGGTTTTGGTGGGTTTTGGCCAGCTTCTTTTTTTTATTTTTTTAGATGGTGTCTTGCTCTGTCACCCAGGCTGGACTGCAGTGGAGCAATCTTGGCTCACTGCAACCTCTGCCTCCCAGGTTCAAGCGATTCTCCTGCCTCAGCCTTCCGAGTAGCTGGGACTACAGGTCTGTGCCACCACACCCGGCTTTTTTTTTTTTTTTACATTTTTCGTAGAGACAGGGTTTCATCATGTTGGCCAGGCTGGTCTCAAACTCCTGACCTCAAGTGATCTGCCCACCTCGGCCACACAAAGTGCTGGATTACAGGGGTGAGCCACTGCACCCGTTGGCCGGCTTCTTTACTGCAACCTATTTTATCAGCAAGGTCCTTATGACCTGTATCTTGTGCTGACTTCCTATCTCCTCCTGTGACTCAGAATGCCTTAACCTCCTAAGAATGCAGCCCAGAAGGTCTCAGCCTTATTTTACCCAGCCCCTATTCAAGATGGAGTCCCTCTGGTTTAAATGCCTCTGACAGTCATACATGTGGGATCCTAATGCAACGGGATTGGTGGCCTTATAAGAAGAGGAAGAGGAAAGAAATCTCTCTCTCCATTGAGCATGACTGAGAAAAGGTCATGTGAGGACACAGTGAGAAGGCATCTGCAAGCCAGCAAGACAGCCCTCACCAGAAACCGAGTCAGCCAGCATTTGATCTTGAACTTCTCAAACTCCAGATCTGTGAGAAATACATTTCTATCATTTAAGCTACCCAGTCTATGGTACTTTGACATGGCATCCTTCACAAATTAAGACAGGATAATTTCTTCATTCATTAACTATCTTCATTCATTAACTTCATTCATTAACTATCCCTCTTTTAGGCACTAGAGGTGTGGCAATGACCAAAATAAAGCTCCAGCCTTTGAGGAGCTTATATTCTACTAGGAAAAAAAAAACAAGCAAGTTGACAAATAAAATAGTATTGTGTGAGAAATGATAAGTGATTGGGGAGAAATAAAGCAGGGTAAGGAGGATGGAGGGGTGGGGAGCAGCTATTTTATGTAGAGTGGTCAAGGAAGGCCTCGCTTATCAGATGATGCTTAAGCAGAGACCTGAAGGACATGAGCTTTGGGTTATCTGGAGGAACAGGATCCTGGGCAGAGGGAACAAGTGCAAAGGTCTGGAAGCAGAACATGCTAAGTTCAGGGAATAGCAAGGAGGCCAGTGTATCTGGACCTGAGCAAGCCGGGGGAGAGTAGTAGCAGTTGAGTGACCACGGCAGGAGCTGTGTTGTGTAGAGCCTTATAGGTCTGTGTTAGGGCTCTGGCTCTAATTCTGAGTAAAATGAGAAGCCATTTGTCTTAATCCATTTTGTGTTGTCATAACAGAATACCACAGACTAGCTAACTTATAAAGAAAATAAATGTATTTCTTATAGTTCTGGAGGCTGAGAAATCCAAGAGCATGTTGCCAGCACCTAGCGAGGGCCTTCTTGCTGCATCATCCCATGGCAGAAGACATACAGCAAGAGAGCCCTGTGTGAGAGAGAGCAAAAGCGCAAGGGGGCCTGAACTTTTCTTTTCTTTTCTTTTTGAGACAAAGTCTCATTCTTTCACCCAGGCTGGAGTGCAGTGGCGTGATCTCGGCTCACTGCAGCCTCTGCCTCCTGGGTTCAAGCGATTCTCGTGCCTCCTCAGCCTCCAGAGTAGCTGGGACTACAGGCACATGTCACCACCCCGGGGAATTTTTGTATTTTTAGTAGAGACAGGGTTTCACCATGTTGGCCAGGCTGGTCTCAAACTCCTGACCTCAAGTGATCTGCTTGCCTTGGCCTCACAAAGGGCTAGGATTATAGGCATGAGCCACTGCACCTGGCCTTGAATTCACTTTTATAACAAGTCTATTCCCATGATAACTAATTTACTCTTGCAATAACGACATTAATCCACTCCTGACCTAATCATCTCTTATTAGGCCCCACACCCAATACTGCTGCAGTGGGGATTAAGCTTCCAACACGTCAATTTTGAGAGATATATTCAAATCACAGCACCACTGAAGGGTGTAGAAGTCATGAGTGATATGATTTGACTTCCATTTCAGAAGACACATTCTTATTGTTGGATAAATGGTGGTGGGATGGGGGGAAAAGTAGAAGCAGAGAGACTTGACTGAAAGTGGATAGATGGCTATCGAGAGTTTTAGTCTATTTTGGTTTGATTTTTGAGACAGCTAATGGTTTTATCTTTTTGCAGGCCTAGAACGGTTATTTTTTTCATATTACTGGGTTATTTAAAAATTAAATAGAAAATATATTACATTTTTATTCACACTCAGGAGCTATGATTTCTCTTTGACTTTAGGTTCTAGGGTATTTATAAGATTTCCATCAGTTCTCAACTTCATGGAAGTCTGCTCAGTGCCCTTTTGCTCTCTATCCTGAAAAACCATCAATTTGCCTAATATCCTAGGGCTACTGGCATTGTCTTTATCCAACTCCATCCTGCCTGTTGCAGCAGTACTTTAAAGTGCATGTAAATCCTCTGGCAGAACCTTGTTAAAGTGCTGATTCTTGATTCTATAGGTGTAGGGTGGGGCACAATGATTCTGCATTTCTAGCCAGCTCCTGATGCTATTGATCCTTGGACAACACTTTGAGTAGCAGTTATCAGAGTACTGGAAGGATCCTACACACTTTAGGCATTCTTTTAGTGAAGAAAAAAATCAGACAAATGTGTACAATGAGAAATTTATTCTTCAGTGCATTTCTACTGAGAATGCTGGACCCCAAGAAGAAAATGGACTTATTGTTTCTTTTTTTCCCAGGCAATTAATTTTTTTAAATGTAGACACTCTTTGTTGAACAAATAGAAAGTAATTTTCATTTGTTTTTGTAATAGGTAAAGCATTCACAGGGTTCAATATGTAAAATATATAAAATGGCCACCAGTGATATATCCCAACTGTTACCCCTGAATCATGTAATTACCCATTCTTCTGTTCCTTTGTATTCTTTAAGGGTTTTTTTTTTCCTGAGAGACAGAGTCTTGCTCTGTTGCCCAGGCTGGCGTGCTGAAGGGCAGTGGCACAATCATGGCTCACTGCAGCCTCAAACTCCTGGCTCAAGCAATCCTCCCACCTCGGCCTCCAGAGTAGCTGGGACTACAGGCACACGCCACCATGCCTGGTTAATTTTTTCACTTTTTTTGTATACACAAGGTCTTGCTATGTTGCCCAGGCTGGCCTGGAACTCCAGGCTTCAAGACATCCTCCCACCTTAGCCTCCCAAAATGCTGGGATTACAGGTGTGAGCCACCTTGCCCACATGATAGTCTTTTTTTTTTCTGAGACGGAGTTTTGCTCTTGTTGCCCAGGCTGGACTGCAATGGCGTGACCTCGGCTCACTGTAACCTCTGCCTCCCGGGTTCAAGCAATTCTCCTGCCTCAGCCCCCCGAGTAGCTGGGATTATAGGCGTGCGCCACCATGCCCGGCTAATTTTTTGTATTTTTAGTAGAAACGGGCTTTCACCATGCTGGTCTGGAACTCTTGACCTCAGGTGATCCACCAACCTTGGCCTCCCAAAGTGCTGGGATTACAGGCGTGAGCCACTGTGCCTGACCGATAGTCTGTCTTATAAGTAAATACACATGTATGTATCTATGTGTGTATGTATAAGTATAAAATTTTCCCATTTTGCATAAATAATAGCATGTTTTGCCTACTATTCTCATTTGCTTTATACACCTAATATATTAAGATATCTGAGATCATTCCATACCAGTACATTAAAAGCATCTTCATTCTTTATTACAGCTACATAATATTCCATTAGATGGATGTACCATAATTTATTTCACTAGTCTCAAAATATAGTTTTAAATTAATATAATTGCAATCGAGAACTCTAAAAACAAATTATAATCCAGTTGTCCAACCACAGAGGAAACATATTTATAAACAAGATGAATACTAAATTATTATTCTTATAATGAATTTAATATTTTCTTAAATATTTCAAAAACTTAAGACTTAGCTCCTCATCAGTGGTGACATTTTAAAAAAGAAAATAATACTGACTTATTTCAGTATGTAAGGGATTCCGTTGGAGTTATGAATGGTATGTTAGGAAATTTCAGAAACTCTTTAGGTTGAAACAATGATAAATCACCAAAAAGAGCTTTGAATGTATGTGTTAGTAGAGTTCCAAAAAATGTAACTTATTGCAGTGGAATCATTTATGTGCCTCAAGAGCCTTACTTGCTTATAGGTGAGTGGAAATGTGTATAATTATCCAGAAAATTCAGTGCATGTCGTAGCTGGATAATTTAGCCTCTTTACTAACCAGACCCTCCTCCCCTCAATACTGCTTACATTTTTCTACTACTTGGCATAGCAAACCTGTGTTTCTTTTAAATTATAAAATAAAAACATCTAGAATTAATCATCTCTCTCTGCCTTATATTCAGTGGGTTCTGATTTAGCAGTCCCATAGAAATAAAAGTGATATTTAGTGGTACTGAAAATAAAGTTTAAAAATATATTATCATAGAGTAAAACTGATGTATTTTTGTGAACAGGTCTATGAATTTACACACACAGATGTATGGATTTCTACACCATCACAACCAGAATAGAGAATATGTGGCCGGGCGTGGTGTTTTACGCCCGTAATCCCAGCACTTCTGGAGGCCAAGGCGGGCAGATCATAAGGTCAGGAGTTTGAGACCAGCCTGGACAACATAGTGAAACCCCATCTCTACTAAAAATACAAAAATTAGCCAGGCGTGGTGGTGGGCGCCTGTAGTCCCAGCTACTGGGGAGGTTGAGGCAGAAGAATCGCTTGAACCCAGGAGGCAGAGGTAGCAGTGAGCTGAGATTGCGCCACTGTACTCCAGCCTAGGCGACAGAGCGAGACTCCATCTCAAAAAAAAAAAAAAAGAAAAAAAGAGAATATCCTCATTACCCCAGTCCCCTAAATTACATTACATCTCTTTATAGACACCTCCTACCTCCACATATGATAGGTGATAACCACTGATGTTTTCATCTCTATAGTTTGGCCTTTTTCAGAATGTCACAGAAATGAATAATATAGTATAAAACCTTTTGAAATTATCTTCTTTCACTCAGCAAAATGCTTTTGAGATTCATCCAAGTTGTTGCATGTATCAATAATTTGTCCTTTTATATTGCTCAGTACTAGAACATTGTATAAATATGCCAGTGTTTGTTTATCCATTTACCCAAAGAAAGACAATATTTGAATTGTTCCCAGTTTTTAGTGAGTATGAACAGAGTTGCACATATGTGTACATGTTTTTGGGTGAACATAAGTTTTAATTTCCCTAGATTACGTAAATATCTATCGTTAGGAATGCTGAGTCACAGGTTAAGTGTTAGTTTAACTTTATAAGCAAGTACCAAAATTGTTTTCCCAACTTGTACCATTCTGCATTTCTGCCAGCAATGCGTGAGAGTTCAGATTGATCTACATCCCCTCTGGCACTTGATATTGCAGCATTTTTTATTTCAGCCATTTTAATAGGTGTATAGTAGTAACTCATTGTGGTTTTATTTTGCATTTCCTTAACAGGTAATGATGATGAACATTTTTTCTTATGCTTGTTTACCATTCTACATCCTCTTTACTGAAGTGTCCAACTATTCTACCAATTTTTAAGTTGGGTTGCTTGATGTTTTTATTGTTGATTTTTGAGAATTTTTGAAAATATGTACTCTAAATACAAGCCATTTGTCAAATATGAGATTTTCAAAATTTTCTCCCATTTTATAGCCTGTCTTTTTTTGCTCTTAATACTTTACAGAGCAAAAGTTATAAATTTTGTGAAGTCCAGTGTATCAATTTTTTTCTTTTATAGATCATGCTTTGGTGTTATCCCCAATAACTTTTTGCCTAACACCAACTCATGAAGATTTTCTCCTATGTTTATTTATCAGAGTTTTATAGCTTTACATTTTACATTTAGCTCTATGATCTACTTTTTTGTATAAAATGTGATATTTAGATTGAGGCCCTTTCTTTCACATATAGATATCTAATGGTTTCATTATCGTTTCTTGAGAAGATTATCCTGTCTTCACAGAATTGACTTTGAACCTTTGTCAAAAATCAACTGACTATACACACAGACACACACACACACAGACACACACACACACATATATATATTTTTGAGAGAGGGTCTCACTCCCATCGCCCACGCTGGAGTGCAGTGGTGCAATCATGGCTCACTGCAGCCTCGACTTCCCAGGCTCAGGTGATCCTCCCACCTCAGCCTCTCAAGTAGCTGGACTACAGGTACTCACCACTGTGCCTGGCTAATTTTTTGTATTTTTTATAGAGAGGGGGTTTTGCCATGTTGCCCAGCCTGGTCTCAAACTCCTGGGCTCAGGTGATCCCGACTGCCTTGGCCTCCCAAAGTGCTGGGATTACCAGCATGAGCCACTGCACCTGGCCACAACTGGCTATGTTTCTGTGGGTCTGTATCTGGACTTCTATTCTGTGATCAATGTGTCTATCCCCCAGCCAATACTCTAGTGTCTTATTGAAACTTTATGTTGTCTCAACATTGGGTATTGTCATTCCTCCAATTTTGTTCTTTTTAAAAATTGTGGCCGGACGCGGTGGCTCACGCCTGTAATCCCAGCACTTTGGGAGGCCGAAGCGGGTGGATCACAAGGTCGGGAGATCGAGACCATCCTAGCTAACATGGTGAAACCCCGCCTCTACTAAAAATACAAAAAATTAGCCAGGCGTGGTGGCGGGCACCTGTAGTCCCAGCTACTAGGGAGGCTGAGGCAGGAGAATGGCGTGAAACCGGGAGGCAGAGCTTGCAGTGAGCCGAGATTGCGCCACTGCACTCCAGCCTGGGTGACAGAGCAAGACTCCATCTCAAAAAAAAAAAAAAAAATCGTATGACTTTTCTAGTTACACTGCCTTTCCATGTACATTTTAGAATCAGCTTGTGTATAACCACGTAATTGGAATTCTGCTAAACCTACAGACCAATTGACATCTTCCAATCCATGAATATATGTCTCCCTGTTTATTTTAGCTTTTATTCTCCTCATCAGCATATTTTGAAAATAATTATTTTAATTTTTGTGGGTACATAGCAGGTGTAAATATTTATGTGGTACATGAGATGTTTTGATACAGGGATGCAATGCATGATAATCACATCATGTAAAATAGGGTATCCATTCCCTCAAGCATTTATCTTTTGTGTTACAAACAATCCAATTATACTATTTTAGTTATTTTTAAATGTGCAATTAAATTATTAGACTATAGTCACCCTATTATCGAATACTAGGTAGCATTTTGTTTTCAGCATATGGATTCTATACATGTTTTGTTAGATTTATAACCAAGTATTTCATTTTTTGGCTTTAGTGTAAATAGAGTTTTTTAAAAAAAATTTTAGTTTCCAGTTGTACATGACAATATATAAAAACAGAATTGAGGCCAGGTGCAGTGGCTCACACCTGTAATCCCAGCACTTTGGGAGGCCGAGGCGGGCGGATCACAAGGTCAGGAATTTGAGACCAGCCTGGCCAACATGGTGAAACTCTTTCTCTACTAAAAAAAAAATACAAAAAATTAGCTGGGCGTAGTGGCGGGTGCCTGTAATCCCAGCTACTTGGGAGGCTGAGGCAGGAGAATCACATGAACCCTGGAGGTGGAGGTTGCAGTGAGCCAAGATTGCGCCACTGCACTCCAGCCTGGGTGACAGAGCAAGATTCTATCTCAAAAAAAAAACAAAAAATAGGACTTTACCAAGATGGCCGAATAGGAACAGCTCTGGTCTGCAGCTCCCAGTGTGATCAACACAGAAGATGGGTGATTTCTGCATTTCCAACTGAGGTACCTGGTTCATCTCACTGGGACTGGCTGGACAGTGGGTGCAGCCCATGGAGGGCGATCTGAAGCAGGGCGGGGCATCGCCTCACCTGGGAAGCACAAGGGGTTGGGGGATTTCCCTTTCCTAGCCAAGGGAAGCCGGGACAGACTACCTGGAAAAACGGGGCACTCCCACCCAAATACTGCACTTTTCCGAAGGTCTTAGCAACCAGCAGACAAGGTGATTCTCTCCCGTGCCTGGCTTGGTGGGTCCCACACTCACGAAGCCTTGCTCACTGCTAGCACAGCAGTATGAGATCGATCTGTGAGATGGCAGCCTGGCTGGGGGAGGGGCATCTGCCATTGCTGAGGCTTGAGTAGGTAAAGAAAGCAGCCGGGAAGCTCTAACTGGGCAGAGCCCACCGCAGCTCAACAAGGCCTACTGCCTCTAGACTCCACCTCTGTGGGCAGGGCATAGCTGAACAAAGGGAGCAGACAACTTCTGCAGACTTAAACATCCTTGTCCGACAGCTCTGAAGAGAGTAGCAGTTCTCCCAGCACGGCGTTTGAGCTCTGAGAATGGACAGACTGCCTCCTCAAGTGGGTCCCTGACCCCTGTGTAGCCCAACTGGGAGACACTTCCCAATAGGGGCCGACAGACACCTCATATAGGCAGCTGCCCCTTTGGGGCGAAGCTTCCAGAGGAAGGATCAGGCAGCAATATTTGCTGTTCTGTAGCCTCCGCTGCTGATACACAGGCAAACAGGGTCTGGAGTGGAACTCCAGCAAACTCCAACAGACCTGCAGCTGAGGGACCTGACTGTTAGAAGGAAAACTAACAAACAGAAAGGAATAGCATCAACATCAACAAAAAGGTCATCTACGCCAAAACCCCATCTGTAGGTCACCATCATCAAAGACCAAAGGTAGATAAAACCACAAAGATGGGAAGAAACCAGAGCAGAAAAGCTGAAAATTCTAAAAATCCGAGAGCCTCTTTTCCTCCAAAGGATCATAGCTCCTTGCCAGCAATGGAACAAAGCTGGACGGAGAATGACTTTGACGAGTTGACAGAAGTAGGCTTCAGAAGGTTGATAATAACAAACTTCTCCGAGCTAAAGGAGGATGTTTGAACCCACTGCAAGGAAGCTAAAAACCTTGAAAAAAGATTAGATGAATGGCTAACTAGAATAAACAGCGTAGAGAAGATCTTAAATGACCTGATGGAGCTGAAAACCATGTCATGAGAACTTCATGATGCATGCACAAGCTTCAGTAGCAGATTCGATCAAGTGGAAGAAAGGGTATCAGTGACTGAAGATCAAATTAATGAAATAAAGCAAGAAGACAAGGTTAGAGAAAAAAGAGTAAAAAGAAATTAACAAAGCCTCCAAGAAATATGGGACTATGTGAAAAGACCAAATCTAAGTCTGATTGGTGTACCTGAAAGTGATGGGGAGAATGGAACCAAGTTGGAAAACACTCTGCAGGGTATTATCCAGGAGAACTTCCCTAAACTAGCAAGGCAGGCCAACATTCAAATTCAGGAAATACAGACAACACCAGAAAGATACTCCTTCAGAAGAGCAACCCCAAGACACATAATTGTCACATTCACCAAAGTTGAAATGAAGGAAAAAGTGTAAAGTGCAGCCAGACAGAAAGGTCGAGTTACCCACAAAGGGAAGCCCAGCAGACTAACAGTGGATCTCTCGGCAGAAACCCTATAAGCCAGAAGAGAGTGGGGGCCAATATTCAACATTCTTAAAGAAAAGAATTTTCAACCCAGAATTTCATATCCAGCCAAACTAAGCTTCATAAGTGAAGGAGAAATAAAATCCTTTACAGACAAG
Source organism: Homo sapiens (assembly GCF_000001405.40). Lineage (NCBI taxonomy): Eukaryota > Metazoa > Chordata > Mammalia > Primates > Hominidae > Homo > Homo sapiens. Next base: position 67,357,158 of record NC_000008.11, on the reverse strand, counting down.
CAAATGCTGAGAGATTTTGTCACCACCAGGCCTGCCTTACAAGAGTTCCTAAAGGAAGCACTAAACATGGAAAGGAACAACCGGTACCAGCCACTGCAAAAACATGTCAAATTGTAAACACCATTGATGCTATGAAGAAACTGCATCAATTAACAGGCAAAATAACCAGCAAACATCATAATGAAAGGATCAAATTCACACATAACAATATTAACATTAAATGTAAATGGGCTAAATCCCCCAATTAAAAGACACAGACTGCCAAATTGGATAGAGTCAAGACACATCAGTGTGCTGTATTCAGGAGACCCATCTCACATGCAAAGATGCACACAGGCTCAAAATAAAGGGATAGAGGAAGATCTACTAAGTAAATGGAAAGCAAAAAAAAAGCAGGGGTTGCAATCCTAGTCTCTGATAAAACAGACTTTAAACCAACAAAGATCAAAAGATACAAAGAAGGCCATTACATAATGGTAAAGGGATCAATTCAGCAAGAAGAGTTAACCATCCTAAATATATATGCACCCAATACAGGAGCACCCAGATTCATAAAGCAAGTCCTTAGAGACCTAAAAAGAGACTTGGACTCCCACACAATAATAATGGGAGACTTTAACACCCCACCATCAATATTAGACAGATCAATGGGACAGAAGGTTAACAAGGATATCCAGGACGTGAACTCAGCTCTGCAACAAGCAGACCTAATAGACATCTACAGAACTCTCCACCCCAAATCAACAGAATATACATTCTTCTCAGCACCACATCACACTTATTCTAAAATTGATCACATAATTGGAAGTAAAGCACTCCTCAGCAAATGTAAAAGAACAGAAATCACAACAAACTGTCTCTCAGACCACAGTGCAATCAAATTAGAACTCAGGATTAAGAAACTCACTCAAAACCGCACAACTACGTGGAAACTGAACACCTTGCTCCTGAATGACTACTGGGTAAATAACGAAATGAAGGCAGAAATAAAGATGTCCTTTGAAACCAATGAGAACAAAGACACAACATACCAGAATCTCTGGGACACATTCAAAGCAGTGTGTAGAGGGAAATTTATAGCACTAAATGCCTACAAGAGAAAGCAGGAAAGATTTAAAATCGACACCCCGACATCACAATTAAAAGAACTAGAGAAGCAAGAGCAAACAAATTCAAAAGCTAGCAGAAGGCAAGAAATAACTAAGATCAGAGCAGAACTGAAAGAGATAGAGACACAAAAAACCCTTCAAAAAAATCAATGAATCCAGGAGCTGGTTTTTTGAAAAGCTCAACAGAATTGATAGACCGCTAGCAAGACTAATAAAGAAGAAAAGAGAGAAGAATCAAATACACACAATAAAAAATGATAAAGGGGATATCACCACTGATCCAACAGAAATACAAACTACCATCAGAGAACACTATAAACACCACTATGCAAATAAACTAGAAAATCCAGAAGAAATGGATAAATTCCTGGACACACACACCCTCCCAAGACTAAACCAGGAAGAAGTTTAATCTCTGAATAGACCAAGAACAGACTCTGAAATTGAGGCAATAATTAATAGCCTAGCAACCAAAAAAATCCAGGACCAGACAGATTCACAGCCAAATTCTACCAGAGGTACAAAGAGGAGCTAGTACCATTCCTTCTCAAACTATTCCAATCAATAGAAAAAGAGGGAATCCTCCCTAACTCATTTTATGAGGCCAACATCATCCTAATACCAAAGCCTGGCAAAGACACAACAAAAAAAGAGAATTTTAGACCAATATCCCTAATGAACATCGATGCGAAAATCCTCAATAAAATACTGGCAAACTGAATCCAGCAGCACATCAAAAAGCTTATCCACCATGATCAAATCAGTGTCATCCCTGGGATGCAAGGCTGGTTCAACACCCGCAAATCAATAAACGTAATCCATCACATAAACAGAACAAATGACAAAAACCACACGATTATCTCAATAGATGCAGAAAAGGCCTTCGACAAAATTAAACAGCGCTTCATGCTAAAAACTCTCAATAAATTAGGTATCAGTGGAACGTATCTCAAAATAATAAGAGCTATTTATGACAAACCCACAGCCAATATCATACTGAATGGGCAAAAACTGGAAGCATTCCCTTTAAAAACCAGCACAAGACAAGGATGCCCTCTCTCACCACTCCTATTCAACATAGTGTTGGAAGTTCTGTCCCAGGCAATCATACAAAAGAAAGAAATAAAGGGTATTCAATTAGGAAATGAGGAAGTCAAATTGTCCCTGTTTGCAGATGACATGATTGTATATTTAGAAAACCCCATCGTCTCAGCCCAAAATCTCCTTAAGCTGATAAGCAACTTCAGCAAAGTCTCAGGATACAAAATCAATGTGCAAAAATCACCAGCATTCCTATACACCATTAATAGACAAACAGAGAGCCAAATCATGAGTGGACTCCCATTCACAATTGCGACAAAGAGAATAAAATACTTAGGAATCTAACTTACAAGGGATGTGAAGGACCTCTTCAAGAAGAACTACAAACCACTGCTCAATGAAATAAAAGAGGACACAAACAAATGGAAGAATATTCCACGCTCATGGATAGGAAGAATCAATATCATGAAAACAGCCAAACTGCCCAAAGTAATTTATAGATTCAATGCCATCCCCATCAAGCTACCAATGACTTTCTTCACATAATTGGAAAAAACTACTTTAAAGTTCATATGAAACCAAAAAAGAGCCCGCATTGCCAAGACAATCCTAAGCAAAAACAACAAAGCTGGAGGCATCATGCTACCTGACTTCAAACTATACTACAAGGCTACAGTAACCAAAACAGCATGGTACTGGCACCAAAACAGAGATATAGACCAATGGAACAGAACAGAGACCTCAGAAATAACACCAGACATCTGCAACCATCTGATCTTTGACAAACCTGACAGAAACAATAAATGGGGAAAGGATTCCCTATTTAATAAATGGTGCTGGGAAAACTGGCTAGCCATATGCAGAAAGCTGAAACTGGATCCCTTCCTTACATCTTATACAAAAATTAATTCAAGATGGATTAAAGACTTAAATGTTAGACCTAAAACCATAAAAACCCTAGAAGAAAACCTGGGCAATACCATTCAGGACATAGGCATGGGCAAGGACTTCATGACTAAAACACCAAAAGCAATGGCAACAAAAGCCAAAATTGACAAATGGGATCTAATTAAACTAAAGAGCTTCTGCACGGCAAAAGAAACTACCATCAGAGTGAACAGGCAACCTACAGAATGGGAGAAAATTTTTGCAATCTACCCATCTGCCAAAGGGCTAATATCCAGAATCTACAAAGAACTCAAACAAATTTACAAGAAAAAAAAACAAACAACCCCATCAAAAAGTGGGCAAAGGATACAATAGACACTTCTCAAAAGAAGACATCTATGCAGCCCACAGACACATGAAAAAATGCTCATCATCACTGGCCATCAGAGAAATGCAAATCAAAACCACAATGAGATACCATCTCACGTCAGTTAGAATCGCAATCATTAAACAGTCAGGAAACAACAGATGCTGGAGAGGATGTGGAGAAATAGGAACACTTTTACATTGTTGGTGGGAGTGTAAACTAGTTCAACCATTGTGGAAGACAGTGTGGCAATTCCTCAGGGATCTAGAACTAGAAATACCATTTGACCCAGCCATCCCATTACTGGGTATATACCCAAAGGATTATAAATCATGCTACAATAAAGACACATGCATATGTATGTTTATTGCGGCACTGTTCACAATAGCAAAGACTTGGAACCAACCTAAATGTCTATCAATGATAAACTGGATTAAGCAAATGTGGCACATATGTACCATGGAATACTATGCAGCCATAAAAAAGGATGAGTTCATGTCCTTTGCAGGGACATGGATGAAGCTGGAAACCATCATTCTGAGCAAACCATCACAAGGACAGAAATCCAAACACCGTATGTTCTCACTCACAGGTGGGAATTGAACAATGAGATCACTTGGATACAGGGCGGGTAACATCACACACCAGGGCCTGTCAGGGGTGGGGGCTGGGGGAGGGATAGCACTAGAAGAAATACCTAATGTAAATGATGAGTTGATGGGTGCAGCAAACCAACATGGCACATGTATACCTATGTATCAAACCTGCACGTTGTGTACATGTACCATAGAACTTAAAGTATAAATAAAAATTAAAAAAACAATTCATTTTCATTCACTGACTTCATATCCTGTGAAGTTGTTAAACTCAATTGTAAGTTCTAGGAGGTTTTTTTGTAGGTTCCTACATATACAATTACGCTGACTGAATAAGGACAGTTTGTTTCTTCCATTCCAGCCTGTGTGCCTTTTCTTTTCCTTGCCTGATTATACTGGTTAGGACTTTCAGTATACTGTTGAATAGGAGTCTTGAGAGTAAACATCCTTGCCTTCTTTCCATTCACGGCATTCAAATTTTTGCCATTAAGTATGTTGCCTGTTGTTGGTCTTTTTGAAGATATTCTTTATCAGGTTGCGTATGTTTACTGAGAGTTTTCAGCATAAATGGATGCTGAATTTTATCAAATGCTTATTCTGCATCAAATGACGTCATCAGGTAGTTTTTCTTTTTCTCTCTTTTTTTTTTTTTTTTTTTTTTTGAGACAGAGTCTCACTCTGTCGCCCAGGCTGGAGTGCAGTGGCGTGATCTCAGCTCACTGCAATCTCCCCTTCCTGTATTCAAGTGATTCTCCTGCCTCAGCCTCCTGAGTAGCTGGGACTGCAGGCACGTGCCACCATGCCCAGCTAATTTTGGTGTTTTTGGTAGAGACGGAGTTTCACCATGTTGGTCAGGCTGGTCTCGAACTCCTGACCTTGTGATCTGCCCACCTTGGCTTCCCAAAGGGCTGGGATTACAGGCTGAGCCACCGCGCCAGGGCCAGGTAGTTTTTCTTTTAGTCTGCTAGTGTAGTCAATAACCTTTCTTGCTTTTCCTTTTTCTTTTCTTTTTTTTTTTTTTTTTTGAGACGGAGACTTGCTCTGTCACCAGGCTGGAGTGCAGTGGCGTGATCTCGGCTCACTGCAACCTCTGCCTCCCGGGTTCAAGTGATTCTCCTGCCTCAGCCTCCCGAGTAGCTGGGACTACAGGTGCGTGCCACCACGCCCAGCTAATTTTTGTATTTTTAGTAGAGACGGGGTTTCACCATGTTGATGGTCTCGATCTCTTTACCTCGTGATCCACCTGCCTCAGCTGGCATTACAGGCGTGAGCCACCGCTCCAGGCCCCTTAGTTGCTTTTCTAACAGTGCCCCAGCTAGCATTCCCAGCATGAACCTCCTGTTGGTTGTGGTGTATTATTCTTTTAACAGTTTGCTGATTTTGATTTGCTAATATTTTGTTGAGGACCTTTGCATCTATGTTCAGGAAGGATATGAATCTGTAGTTCTGTCCTGTTTTTATTTAATTTTGCTGGCCTCATACAATAAGCTGAAAAGTGTTCTCTTTTCTCTGAAAGAGATGGTGTTATTTCTTCTCTAAATGTTTGATAGAATTCAGGAATGAAACCATTTGGGCCTGAAAATTTCTTTTTCCAAAAGTTTTAAAGTAAACTAAAAATTCAATTTCTTTAAAAGGCAGGCTTTTTTTTTTTTTTTATGTGTTAGTAGCTGTTTACTGTGTTACTATACAGCTTTTTTTTTTTTTTTTAAATTGATCATTCTTGGGTGTTAGTCGCAGAGGGGGATTTGGCAGGGTCATAGGACAATAGTGGAGGGAAGGTCAGCAGATAAACAAGTGAACAAAGGTCTCTGGTTTTCCTAGGCAGAGGACCCTGCGGCCTTCCGCAGTGTTTGTGTCCCTGGGTACTTGAGATTAGGGAGTGGTGATGACTCTTAACAAGCATGCTGCCTTCAAGCATCTGTTTAACAAAGCACATCTTGCACCGCCCTTAATCCATTGAACCCTGAGTGGACACAGCACATGTTTCAGAGAGCACAGGGTTGGGGGTAAGGTCACAGATCAACAGGATCCCAAGGCAGAAGAATTATTCTTAGTACAGAACAAAATGAAAAGTCTCCCATGTCTACTTCTTTCTACACAGACACGGCAACCATCCGATTTCTCAATCTTTTCCCCACCTTTCCCCCCTTTCTATTCCACAAAACCGCCATTGTCATCATGGCCCGTTCTCAATGAGCTGTTGGGTACACCTCCCAGACAGGGTGGTGGCCTGGCAGAGGGGCTCCTCACTTCCCAGTAGGGGCGGCCGGGCAGAGGCACCCCTCACCTCCCGGACGGGGCGGCTGGCCGGGCGGGGGGCTGACCCCCCCACCTCCCTCAAAAGGCAGGCTTTTAATAAAAAAATTCCCATTAAAAAAATTTTGGAAAACCTGACCTCATTAGAAAGATTAATGTCCACTTATTCATTAACACTTAAAATTATTTTCAGTGTACTAACTGTTGAGGGTAGTTTCAAAAGAAAGAGACAATGTGGTCCTGCCTTAAAATAATTATGGCACAATACTGGTGAGAAGTCATCTCAAACGGATATTTAGAAATATGTGACGAAGAAAGAAATAGGATGAAACAATGGTTAAGAGCATCCATGGATTATGGCAAATGACAAACTTAGATTTGTATTTGGTTGTGCTACACTGTAACCTTGGGCAATTAACTTGTTGAACTTTTTTCCTTCTCAACTATAAAAAAGAAATAATAATATATGTATCACTGAGTTGTGGATTAAGGATTAAGTGACTTAATGCTTGCCAAGAGCTTCATACAAAGTAAATATCCAATAAGTAGTAGCTATCATTGGTGTGACTTTCCGGGAAAAATTACAACTGTGTAGAGAAAAGTAGAGTACAGTGCTATAGATTAAAAGTAAGTACCTTTCGTCATGCTAGAGAATTGTGAAACCAAACATAGTAGGAAAATTTAAGAGTTTATGCTTTCAATTTTGTTATTCTGTAAAAGATTAGCATTGGATGGTTTTAAATTCACGAAAAGCCATATGGCTCTAGATTTGTATTTATTTATTTATTTTTTTGCAACCACATTCTAACTTTTTGGAATGTTCTCTTTATCAAATACCACCTTATAGTCTCTTTTTCAATAAAAATTTGCTTTCTTTTCTTTCTAAATCAAATTCTTTAATACACAATGCTCTCCCTCTGTCTGCCCTGTCCAATGTCTTGATACCTTGCCTGCAGGACAACAAGTAGAACCACCCAGTTTAAAGATACACTATATCCTTTTTTATTTTTTTGGAGACTGAGTTTCACTCTTGTCACCCAGGCTGGAGTGCAGTGGTGCAAATTTCAGCTCGTTGAACCTTCGCCTCCCAGGTTCAAGCGATTCTCCTGCCTCAGCCTTCCAAGTGGCTGAGATTACAGGCATGTGCCATCACACCCTGCTAATTTTTTTTTTTTTCTTTTTTTTGGTAGAGACCAGGTGTCACCATGTTGGCCAGGTCGTTCTCAAACTCCTGAACTCAGGTGATCTGCTTGCCTCGGCCTCCCAAAGTGCTGCGATTATGGGAATGAGCCACTGCGCTTGGCTAAAGATACACTATATCCATTTACTGTCTTAATAAATGAGGTAAAAACAAGCAGACTAGTGAAAGTGGAATATCAAATTAGCTTACATGAAAAGCCAAGAAAGCAGACCATTTATTTTGGAGATGGCCTTTCTTCTATTAGTCATGCCATTATTGTGGTTTCAGCAAAACTGATTGTTTCTGTTTAATCAATGTTTCTCATCTTTTGCTAAGTTGGCTGCCTCATCTTTTTGTGTATGCCTAGTCTTCAAAAACTTAAAAGTAGAGAATTCAACACTACTGGGGACAGTTAGGCATAAAGTGTAGACACAGAAGGGAGAGAATAGTGTTACTGCAGGTAGAAGAAAGAACTTTTAGGAGAGGATGGAATTTCAAAGAGACTTTGAAGGTTGGGAAGCCTTTGGGGAGAACAAATAAAAGAAAGGTGGCAGTGAGCACTCTGGATCATTTGAAAGACGAACAAAGGCACACAGGTGTGAATGAACTTGGTGTTTATATGAGTACGTTGCATGGGGATAAAAGGTAGAGGGTGATTTGGAGAAGGGAATGAGCTGGAACACGAGTGCCTACATGTGTACAATTGAGGAAGAGGGACTGGGGCATTACCATAAAAGACAAACTAAACTGTTAGAGGCGGCATAGTTTAGTTATTTAGAATATGGGCTCTGGAGCTAGACTTGCCAAATTGTAATCCTGGCTTTGTAAAGGTGTCTCCTCCCCGCCCACTCCCACACCCCCACCCCTTTACCAGGAAAGACAAAAGTTAATCACTGGAGACAACTCTGGACCCTTAGGATTCAATAATACATAACAAATTTTATTACCTAGCTTTCATCTTCTGCTAGTTCTCTCAAATTTGCTTCCCAAATTTGCTACGCTAGAAACTCAAAGTCCTTTCCTTTGTAGGATTTTTCTAAAAATTTATTGTTATTTTATTACGATGCTATGGAAGAACAAGTTCTAACCACCACACTTTTGAGTTACTCATCACTGAGTACTCCCATAACTGTACCACGCACAGGTTAATACATCTTTGCTTTTATTAATCTGTCTTTTGTCCATCTAATTTGCAGAGCCCCAGCCAATGAACTAACAACACGGGTAGAGGGAAAATAATTTTTTTCCTCCTCTACCAATGTCAGGAGTCAGATTATGGAATGTTTAAATTCTGAGATTATGTGAGAAAGACTACCGGAGGCATCACATAGTTTTTTTTAGTCAAGTAAACATGATGTTATTTTTTATGTTAACTAATATTGGCTTTCAACATCAACCAAATATGCTCCACATTAATTAAAATTTTATTCAGATTTTAATCTTTGTGTTACACTCAATGTATATCTATATTTAAAAGGACTATGATAAAGCACACCAATAAAGATGCTAAAACCCAGATCAAAGTCTTTTATTGCTTGATATTATTTGACTCTTTGGAAACAAGTGGGAAAATTATCCAAGAAGTAAAGCCAAAGCAGCTAGTACGCAGCAAACTAACAGATGGAAGGGGAAATGATGAGGGGGAATTAGGTGATAGGAAGGTGAGAGTGCAAACTGAGAGGCAAAATGGACTCAGGAAAGCAATTATGTATAAGAAAAATATATAGCTGGGCTTAGTGGTGGGCGCCTGTAATCCCAGCTACTCAGGAGGCTGAGGCAAGAGAACTGCTTGAACTCGGGAGGCGGAGGTTGCAGTGAGCCGAGATCGTTCCACTGCACTCCAACCCGGGTAACAAAGTGAGACTCCGTCTCAAAAAATAATAATAACAAAAAACAAAAAATAAAACAAAACAAAAAAAGGAAAAATATATTTCAAAATTTAGAGGATAGATATTTTAGAAATTCAGAAATAGAATTTGGATGTTTTGAAAACTGCAAGGAGCCAAGTGCAAGTGAATACTGAGATTGCATTTATTTACATAGCTGTATATTAGCACCAAACAACATTAATAATAAAAAGTAAAAAATATATATATACAGGGGAATGTACTCATAATTTCTTTTCTTTTTTTTTTTAATTGAGATCGAGTCTCACTCTGTTGCTCCGGCTGGAGTGCAGCAGCATGATCTTGGCTCACTGCAACCTCCGCCTCCTGGGTTCAAGCGATTCTCCTATCTCAGCCTCCTGAGTATCTGGGATTACAGGCACCCGCCACCACGCCCACCTAATTTTGTATTTTTAGTAGAAACGGGGTTTCACCATGTTGGCCAGGCTGGTCCTGAACTCCTGACCTCAGGTGATCCACCCGCCTCAGCCTCCCAAAGTGCTGGGTTTACAGGAATGAGCCACAGTGCCTGGTCTGTACTCATAATTTCATGTAAAAATCTCCTTTGCCACTCCCTGTGTACCTGTCAATAAAAGATTGAAAATATCCAAGAGCATCAGCTTTATTCTAGAGTCTTACTCTATTTTTGCTACAGGTCTGAGTTAGTATCTTGAGTTTCAAGTGGATAGGAGTGCCCATCTCGTAAGACTACTCCTACCCCCCTCCACCCTCAAGCACCACCACCTTTTGGGTAAACCCAGCAAGGGAAGAGGATGAGTTGTCCTCCCAAAGGAAGATGCAAATCATTCCTTCTGGGAGGGTTAGGTCATATCTCAGAGGAGTTTATTCTTCTGAAACTGACAACTACACTCTTTACCCTCAAATCTTCCATCTAGCCTATCTCTACAAATGGCATTTCCAACTGTTCACTGGTTCCCAGCAGAAACCTGGTATTCATTTGTGACCTCTTTCTCTCTCTAACCTGCACTCCAGTTAATTAAGTCCGGTTTATTCTGCCACCAAAGTATATCCCAAATCTGTCTACTTTGCTCCATCTCCATGCTACCACTGTCATTTCTGGGCTAACCTTTATGCAAATTAGTGAAAGAAGCCTCTTCTTTTGGGCAGACAGTGGGGCTGGATTTCAGCCACACTTGCTCCCTTGTGCCACGATCTCCACAACCTTGCTTGGTGGCCCTGGACCTGACCAAGCCATCCTGCGCTGTTGTAATAAATTTCTTAAAATGTTTTGCCACATCCTCACTTCTCCCCCTCCAATCCATTCTCCATGTAACAGAGGGATTATTTTAAAATCACCAATTTGATCACTTTATCCCCCACTTTTAAAACCTTTCAATGAATTTCCATTGTTATTACGATGAAATTGCAACCCCCTAACATGGCCTACGAGAGTCTGAATGATCTGGTTCCTAGCTCCCTCTTCATCCTGACTGGCACCATTCTCCTTGATCCTTTCAGCCACACTGCCTTGTTTTGTTTCCTGAAACTTGCCAAGCTTCCCCCTACCCCAAGAGACTTTGCCTGGAAAGTTCTTCATGACTTAGTTTGGCTAATGTCTACTCTTCTTTCAGGTCTCAATTTAATTTACTTCTCCCTTCTCTCACAGCACTCTATTCTTTAATCATACTCAACAGATTTGTAATTGTATATTCACTACTGACTTAATATCTTTTCCCTACTCTATACTGTAAGGTCCAAAAGGGCAGGTATCATGCTTGTCTTAGCCTGGTGCCTTTCATTTATCCAAGTTTCTATAAGTTTATAGCAAAGGCCTTCTCTATGCCAGCAATATAATAGATGATGGGCACACAGAAGTGAATAGACAGAGATATGAGGTCCCTGCACTTATGAGAGAAACATGCAACCAATCAACAAGCAAGGCAAGCAGATGAGATGATTATGAATGCTGTGGCACTATCATATCATAGTTCACTGCAGCCTCGAACTCCTGAGCTCAAGCGATCCTTCCTCCTCAGTCTCCTGAGCAGCTGCAACTACAGGTGGATGCCACCGTGCCTGGCTAATTTTTCTTTATTTTTTGTAAAGACAGTGTCTTGCTACGTTGCCCAGTTTCATCTGCAAATCCCGGCCTCAAGCCATTCTCCTGCCTTGGCCTCCCAAAGTGCTGGGACTACAGGTGCCAGCTTGTCTTGTTCATCAATGAATCCCAAGTATGTTTTACGATAAAGCTGACAGCTAAACATAACCGAAGAGTCTGCTTCGTTCATGTAAAGTACAAAATAGTTATTCTAGATGGTTCTTCTCCAAGAGTTCCAATTCAGAAACTAAGACTCCTAACTTGTGGTTCTGCCATCTTCAGCTGTGGCCATAGAAGGGAAAAGAGAGACTGGGCATGGTGGCTTATGCCTGTAATCTCAGCACTGGGAGGCTGAGGCAGGAGGATCGCTTGAGGCCACGAGTTCAACATGGTGAGATGCCATCTCTACCAAAAGAAAAAAAAAAAAAAGGGAAACAGCATGAAAGATTGCTTGTGGGAATTTCTTGTTGGTTTTTTAACAATAGGTTAAGCCTGGATGGCTACACCTAACTTCAAGGGAGGCTGGACAATGCAATTCTATACTAAGAAAGAAGAGTAAATGGGTTTGGTGATCAGCTAGTACCCTCAACAGTACCTGGCACAACACTCCATTATGAAGAAACAAAGATGAATTAGAAATGGATCAACACCTGTGAAAGAAGGGAAGAAAAAAATAAAAGAAATGGAACTTGTTCTAAAAAAGTTTATTAACGTATACACAGAAATCAGTATTATATCTGATCTAAGAGTATAATGAATCCTTCATTTCCAGGAATCTAGAGATAGTCTCTAAAATAAAATTAATGAATTTATAGATTTGTTTCTCAGGACAATAAAGTTTAAAAAAATTAATCTATTTTTCCACTTTAATTTGTCACCTTCAAGTTTTCCATTTTATTTCCTCTGGGTTTTAGCCTTCCTAAATCTGGTCACTTCACTAAGTTCACAGAGTCACTTAAGTTTCTCCTTCCTTAGGTTTGGATGGTTACGTTAGGACAAGCCTATAGTTAAGGCAATCTAATAGAACAGAACAGTGACAGATGCATAGTAAACATTAGGGAACCTGTGTGCGTGGAGCCACAGAAGCTTAGAACTTGGAGACGTGACCCTAGATCACCATATATAATGTTTGCAAATATTTTTATGGTATTCTTTTTCTGCTCAGAAGGAAACTGTAGAAATTAAATACTGCAGAAATTTGAGTTCTACACTCAGACTAAAGCAAACACATGGTCACGTGTGTTAATCTGTTTGTACTTAAAGCTTTTCCATTCTAAACTGGTTTACATGTCCTGGACTAAATCTTAGTATTAAAGGCACAGAAACACAGAACTCTAAGGGACCTCATTCACAACCATTCACCTTAACTGAGTCAATTCAGAAGGGACCTGAAATCTAGAGTTGACCGATTTATCCGACAGAGAGAGAAAAAAGTGAAACATTTTTGAACCCTTATCAATAGGTTTTGGCTTACTTTTCCCAAAACAGAATCCTCCCTGAGGTAGTCGGAGAGCAGAGTCCTGGACAGCAGTTCCGTGCACTAGGGAAGGAAATTTTAGAGTCGAGTGATGCAGGCGGAGACCCTGCGGCTGAGAACGGGCGATGCGGGTGTTGCTGTGACCCCTGGAATGCAAAGGACTGCACCCCCATCAGAAAGTTAGAAAGCCAGTGCAGAGTAGCCAGGAGTCCTGTTCACTCGGCAGGAGCAGGGGTGCCGAGTGGGGGGATCTCTGGTCCCGCAGCTCGGCCGCCACCAAGAGCCCGAAGTGCTGGGCGCGGTGCCACCAGAGGCCCGCCACGCCCCACGCCGCCCTGCAGGCGAACGCTGGAGGCCCCGCCGGGCCGCCGTAGCGCTGCGGCTCGGGCCGCTCCTCCCGCGCCGCCCTCCGCCCCCAGCCTCCCGGCGCCGCGGCAGCTCTGGGCAGGGAGCGCCGCCGCCGCCGCCGCCGCCGCCGCTTCCTCGTCTGCAGCCGTTCGGCCGCTGCGTGACGCGTCGTTTCCTCCCAACATGGCGGCCGGGGCAGGTCGGCGGTGATGGGGGCCAGTTCGCGGCCGCGGCGGGTGCTAATCCCCACAGTAGCCAGGGTAGCCCTTCTCTCGCGGTGCCTCTGAGAGCCGCCGCCACCTCGTCCCTCAGTTCCCGGCAGACAGCCGCCCGGGCCGGGCTCCCTCACCGCCACCAGGGCCGGAGGGACGAGTGAGAGGGGCGGCCGGGACGCGACCCCCGGGCCGGGAGAAGCGGAGGCCCGACGGGCGCGGCCCTCGAGGTACGGCTTCTTGGGGGCGGCGAGGACCTCGACGCCCTTCGCCGACACCGCGGCTGGTCCCGCTCGCCCGCCCCTTCCTGATCCTGCCGCTGCCCTCCACGCCTCCAATCCCCCACCTCCACCCCCTCTCCTTTCTCTCTTCTCTTCCTTCCTCTCCTCCTCCTCCCCTCCAGCCGCTGGGAGCCGCGGGTCGGACGAGCCGCCGCCTCCTTCTCTGCGTCCATGTATGAGGGGAAGAAGACGAAGAACATGTTCCTGACCCGGGCTCTGGAGAAGATATTGGCCGACAAGGAAGTGAAGAAGGCGCATCACTCCCAGCTGCGCAAAGCTTGCGAGGTGGCGTTAGGTGAGCGGGGAGGAGGCCCGGGGGATGGGGTGCTTGTTGTGGGGCGGGGAGGGGGGCGCCTGTGGGGGGGTGGGGTCGCCCGGGGCTTGCCCGAGGCCCGCGCCTCTGACCTCGGGAAGCCCTCGCGGAGCCCTCTGTTCCCTGTCTGGAGTTGACAGGAACTCGGCTGGATGTGGGGCAGAGGCGGGGTAGAGGAGGAAGGGCAGTGAGCTGGGCTCGGGAAACGCGGCAGGGCTTAGGATCGCGGGGCACCTGGGTTCGAGGGATCGACTTGAGAGTGAGAGGATTTTGTTGGTGGTCCGTGAGGTGCGGACTGGATACCACCCTTTGTGATGAAGCAGAAGATGAGCTGTTGTTTATTAGCTTGGAAATTGAGGTGGGGCTGGTATGTCAAGATTGGGTGTGGGAAAGGTTCCGTATCATAATTAACAATAACTTTTTCGTTTGGCGAGGTACTTTGGGGAGATAGGCTGCTGAAGTTGTTTCCTTGTTGACAGTCTTGAGAAGGGGTTTGCAAGAGGTGCAGCCCGTTCTGACATCTCTCCGCCTCCGCCACAGGAAAAACATAGAGTAATATTGTATCTGACTGGGCTGACCTGGAAGAACAAGACCGGTGGTTAAGGGGTGAGGGTGGGGGTGGCGGCATGAAAGCAGGGAAGCAAAGAACCTTTAGATAAAATGGCTTTAGGTGACAAGGGAAGGGAGGGTTTGAAATGAGGAAAATGAAAAAGACAATGACACCCACCAGCCACATGTCTGGACAGTGGCAGCTGCTCTCAAGCTTGAATTGTGATTTATAGTTCAGATGGAAGAGATCTAGTGTAATGAAGCCCGCAGCAGGGAAAATCCAAACAATACCTCCTACCTATGAGGTTAGGCAGATGAGGAGTTGTTAAAGGGGGAACATTGTTAGATCTATTGCATCCATCAAAGTTGAAATCGTTTGAGAGACCAGAACATTTAACACAAAGATACATTCCTAATGTTTACACTTTATAGCACTGGAAATACACTAGGTCAAATTGGCAAGAAAAGGAAGCTTGTTAAATGGGCTTTACAAAAAAGCATTCTTGAAAGGGGAAAAATCCACAATAACTTAAAGTATGCTAGAGTTAAGGAGTCTAGACAACTTAAAATTAGCTTTTAATTATTAAATGGAAGACTACCATTTAATTTGCTGTAATATACTGTAGTTTTTTTTTCCTAGATCGTTAAAATTGGTAATATGAAAAACGTCGAAGAAATTTCATCTTAAAACATTTGAATGTGTAGTATTAGGGGCTTAAGATTATTTTTTCACCTTACTTATCGACCAGAAGTTTGCATTTTGTTATTTTTGTAGCTAACAAAAGACTGTTCCCGGTGTATGAGAAGACAGTTGTCTAGTGGCAAAAACTGTATTTATATCTAGATCCTGAAAGGAATAATATTAAATTGGAGTGAGACTGGGGAGAAAGTGATTTCAGGATTTTTAAAAGAATTGTTATATGTAGGTTTGTAAATTACTTGAAGGTTGAAGAACTTTAGAGAGATTCAAATTAAAGTTTTAAATTTTTGTTTGTTTTTTGAGACAGGGGCTTGCTCTGTCACCCAGACTGAAGCGCAGTGACACAATCAGTGCTCAGTGCCGCCTCAAACTCCCAGGATCAGGCATTCCTCCTGCCTCAGCCTCCCAAGTAATTGGGACTTCAGGCACACCACCACACCTGGCTAATTTTTTTTTTTTTTTTTTTTTTTTGGTGGAGATGGCGGTCTCTCTATATCGCCCAGGCTGGTCTCCAAATCTGGGCTGAAGAGAGCCTCCCACCTTGGCCTCCCAAAGTGCTGAGTTTATAGGCATGAGCTACCTCTCCTGGCCTTAATTTTTTATAATTCAGATTTTTCATGTTACAACATATTTTTAAT
This sequence comes from Homo sapiens, assembly GCF_000001405.40. Taxonomy (NCBI): domain Eukaryota; kingdom Metazoa; phylum Chordata; class Mammalia; order Primates; family Hominidae; genus Homo; species Homo sapiens. The sequence continues at coordinate 67,341,258 of NC_000008.11, read as the reverse complement.
ACATTAAATTGTAAGTATCAAACTGAAGAAATGGAGTGTGTTGTGTGTATGTATATATTTTCCTTCTCCAAAGTAGTAACATAAGTAAGCATATTTTAATGGAGAGCCTACTGGAATGAGAGTCTGAGATCCTAGGTTTAAATCCCAGTTCTGTTACGTTGTAGTATTAGGCAAGTCCCTGGGCCTTAAGTTCTCTGTAAAATTAGGGTATTGAACTTAATGATTGTATGGTCACATCTCCTCTAATGTGCCATAAATGTGATTGCACTGTCCTGTTAACTCGTGCATTGGGTATTCCCTACCACTCATGAGCATCATCTTTAGAGGGCCTATAGCGCTCTAAATGGTCCTTGCCATTTCTGGAGGTCGGGATTACTTGATATGTGTGCCAACTGTACCAGGGTTGTCTATTCCAGATTTTGACAGTTTTTACTTTTTTGTCCCTTCTGTATACTCAATAGAAGCTTGTTACGAGGAATGTGACTATCCAGGGAAGGGCTAGGCACCACAGTACTTTATTTACTTGAGATGTATGAGGCATTTTTTCCCACATTTCGTAAAGTTACATTTAGCCTCCAACAAAGCAAAATCTCAGTAATCTCATGGTAGCTAATCCCTGGTGAACTTTGTTTCTTCCCTTGCAGTCTATCTACATCACCACCCAAACATAAATTGATAAGCATAACTCATTTTGTCTTTGCAGAAAGTATATTTTGCAGGAAGATGGTATTCCCACAAATGTATTGTCCTTGAAGACCGTTAGAGACTTATCTTCTCCACTTCACTATTGAGACCTGGGCCAGGCCCGCTCTGGTCTGTTGGTAATCTATGTGGCCATTAAGCAGGATGGGAAAGCAAACTGAAAAGGCCTGATTTAGTCCTCTCGGTTCTATAGATTGTGAGTGGGTAGGTGTTGGATGGTGAAGATACAGAGATCATTTTGTGGGTGGTGTTATAACCCTTCTAAATACCCACCTGTCTGTCTTCATTCTTTCCCCAAATATTTATTGAGCATACAGCTGAAGGGAGATGGACAGTTAACAGGAAAATACATAGTATGTCAGACATTTAATCCTTTTTTGTTTGAAAATCATTGTATTGGCATGTGAGTAGATTTCTGAGTATTGCCATTCAAAATTAATTCAGCTACCTTTTAACATATGGCCAATTATAGATGGATTTTCTGTAAACTATACTCATGAAATTACAGCTTATTGTGTATTCTTAAAACTTTTTTTTTTGTCAAAAAGTATAACTTATGAAACAGCATGTAGATTAGGGGAAATTTTACTTCATTAAAACAATCCATTCTCAAAGACTTCTCAAGGAACTTTTATTTTCACAGAAAGAAAAATAAACCTTTAAAGGGATGCAGAGTTAATGTAAAACGTTTTTCAAATTTTCTTATGTCAGACTTCATTTTGAAGTAAAGAATGGTTAAAAAAGAAAGAATCCCCCCCCCCGCCCCACACTGTTACACTGTTACAACTGATAAGAAGCCCACAGGCCCAGGAACAGCTCCAGGTTGCCCTCTTTTGGTACCTGCCCTACTACAGCTCTCTGCAGAGAGAGGGAGTCTAGGCTGCCCTAGCTTAGCCTGATCCATTCCTGCTCTCGAGAATCCTGACTTAAAAATAGTCTGGCCATCTGCTGGCAGATGAGACAACAGCTGAGCTATTTTTAGTTTCAAAGAATTTAGGATTGTTGTGGGATTGGGCTTGAAGGTAGCATTGTTTATCTGCTAGGGAGGGTGCAGTTGGGACTTATTCCAGTAAGGCCTCTAAGTTTCAGGAGTTTCTTTTATGTTAGGGTTGTGACTAGTTCAGCTTATGCTTTCTGACATCGAATGAAGAGTATCTATGAAGATACTCTGCAAATGTTAGGATGAAAGAGTTCAAGGTTGGAAACTGTCACTGATACACAATAAGAGTGAAAAAGTTGAAGAGCTGACCAGAAGAAGGTTTTAAAGGGAAGGGAGGCATATACTGGCAGTGATAAGGGTGGGTTCCCAGGAGGTATATGGGAAAATAATGGAGACAAAATTGTTAGGGAAGTAATTTTTGCATCAGACAGGGTATGAATTTATATTGTTCATCATATTATAAAGTGATCCTGCTGACTTAGTTTTCTTATATAAGAGTCTATTACCTGTAATTATAGTTTCATCCAGAGATACAATATTGAGACTCAAACTTTTCAGAACTTGCTTCCTTCTGCCCCTTTAATCCCACCCTTATTTTTGTTGGTGGAGTTATAAAAAAGATACGTCAGTGGAGGGGAAATTACTTGAATGCTTTGGGCCCTGGTTTTATGCTACTTTTGGTAACTATTAATTTTCATCACTCTTCACCATTTATGAAAAAATGATTTATCCCCAAACAATATCCTGCCATCAGTGAACACCTTAATTATAATTTAAATCCATTAACAAATCTCCGTTTAAGCCTTCTTTGATATCTAAAGTAAAAGGTGTTTTCAGTAAGCCAGGCTACCTGAATTTTTGAGATGGGTAGAAGAAAAGAGTATAATTAATGACATAACCGAAAGATTGATCCTATTTGTATTTGTTCTTTTCTTTCACATTTCAGATTTGTTTTTAGGACACTTGCTCTAGAATAGTGTTGACTGAAATAAATGTTGCAGAGTACAAGTTCTTAGAGAAGCTCTTTGAAGAAAATAAGTTTGGGTTGAAAAAATAAGTTTGGATTATAGTGTGTAATCTGTTTCCATTTGGGAAATTTATAATGCACATGAACATAGTTAAGATTCTGAAAAGTCCTCCAAGAAAGACACCTGCTCAATTTTGTTTAATGAAGTTCTTCCTGAATTTATGTGATCCTTTTTCATTGTTTGCTAACTCAGTTAACTCCCCTAGGATATGTTGTTCCTTGGAACTTACTTTGGGACACTGGGGAAAGAAAGACAAGTACAATAACCCTAACTACTGGTGAGACCATCTTCTAGAAGAGGTTTGGGGAAATCAGTGCACAAACCTGTGTTTCTCTAAACACAGGTTTGGGGAAAGTAGTAGATGTGTTAATAGTGTGGGAAGGAGAAGAAAGTCCGAAATAAGGAGCAGTAGAAATATCGAGATCAGAGGACTGTTTGCTGACTAGCTTTCTTTCCCACCCCATCTAGGGGCAGGTAACTCATTTGTGTCTCTTGGTAAGGTTTAACTTAGAGAGAAAATTGTGAATGGGAAATAATTTGGGGAAATATTTGTCATAATATTCCTCACATAATGGAGGAAGGAAGATATTTGAAAAGGAAAAATACATGAGTAAGTTATTGTTGCCATTCCGAACTAGGTATATATTTCAATCAGATATTTGTTGAACTCCTCATATGTTCCAGATACTACTTCATTGCTGGGTATACAGCAGTGAACCAAACATGCTTTCATAGAACACACATTCTAGTGGGGTGAGGGTGATAGTAACAACCTTATATCATCAGAAGAAAGAGTTCAGAAGGTTAAAGGGAAAAGGGTGGGAGTACTGATTTAGTTAGAGTTGTCAGGAAAGTCCTATCTGTGAGATGACATTTGAGCAAAGAAGTGACATAAGTGGGGGATTTAGTCTTTCAGATACTTGGATGAAATAGAAACAGGAAATAGCAAGATGGATGTGTGCTTGGTGTGTTTCAGGATGCAAGGAGGCTTGTGTGGCTGGGAGAGAGACAGAGAGAAAGATGGGAGGGGGTGGGCAGATTTGGGATTTTAGTGACAGCATGTTTATGTTTTTAAAGGCTCACTGTGGCCAGAGACCATGGGGACTTAGGCTAAGTTGGTGGTGGTGGAAAGGGTGATAATTGTGTGCATTTGGAATATATTTTGGAATCCACAGGATTTGCTGATGGGTTGGTTAACAGAGGGGATGGCATCCAGTCTTGTAGCCAGAGCTTCAGGGTAGAGGAAGATGGCATTCACCTCAATGGGGGACACTAGGATAGAAAAAGCCTTTGGGAAATAGATTTTTAGACAGTAAAACATTTTCATCCTGCCTTTTATATGTATTTTAGAATGTTTTAATGATAGAATTTTCAGATGATATAATAGGATATTTTCTACTGAGAATAACACAAAATAATTTCAATTTGTTTTGTCTGTTTTTTTTTTTTTTTTTTTTTTTGAGACGGCGTCACGCTCTGTCACACAGGCTGGAGTGCAGTGGCGCGATCCTGGCTCACTGCAAGCTCCGCCTCCCGAGTTCACGCCATTCTCCTGCCTCAGCCTCTCGAGTAGCTAATCTCGTGTAGCGCTACCGCGCCCGGCTGATTTTTTTTGTATTTTTATTAGAGATGGGGTTTCACCGTGTTAGCCAGGATGGTCTCGATCTCCTGACCTTGTGATCCTCCTGCCTTGGCCTCCCAAGGTGCTGGGATTACAGGCGTGAGCCACCGCGCCCGGCCTGCCTTGTCAGGTTTTTTGCAGGGAGGTTTTTTTATCAAAGAAATGAGCCTTTCACTTGTCTGGTTCTTTTCCTGGAATAGGAACTTTGTGGATGTAGTGAAAGATCTCAAGGTGAAGTTGAGATCCTCAACTTAGAGCCTTTAGGTGGGCCCTAAATCCAGTGAATGGTGTCCTTTTAAGGAAGAGGAAGGGACACAGTCACATACAAAGGAAAAAGTCCATGTGAAAATGGAGACGAGATCAGTTACTGCTGCCACATGCTATGGAATGCCAGAAGCCACCAGAAGTAGGAAGAGGCAAGGAGGGATTCTTCCCTTTGGATGTAGCATAGCTCTGCTGTGACCTTGATTTTAGATTTTGGGCCACCAGAACTATGAGAGGAAATTTCTGTTGTTTTAAGCCACCAAATTTATGGTAATTTATTAAGGCAGCCTTAGGAAATGAATGCAAGTTCCCTTTTATCCTAACTTTTCAGACCCATTTTGATTTCTTTATTCAAGTTTCCACTTACAGAGTCTACTGTACATATGTTTACACAATCAGATCCTGTCTTTGGCTCATCTCTGATTGTTTCATGAATCTAGAAAGCAGTTATTCTGAGGCTTTAGTGTGTTATAAGTAGAGGCTCTTGAAAAGCTTCTTAAAAGGTCTGGGCTCAAGTATTTAAGAATATTTAAAAAGTTTTGTGTTCTGCTTTTGATATTTTGTTTTGCTTAGACTTAGACTTGATGTAACTAAATTTGTTTATATAACCTATGTTATCTTTTCATTCAGAAAAGTCTTTGAAAATCTTTAAAATGGCCGGGCGCGGTGGCTCACGCCTGTAATCCCAGCACTTCGGGAGGCCGAGGCAGGTGGATCATGAGGTCAGGCGTTCGAGACCAGCCTGGCCAGCATAGTGAAACTCCGTCTCTACTAAAAATACAAAAAGTTAGCCGGGCGTGGTGGCAGTGGGCGCCTGTAATCCCAGCTATTTAGGAGGCTGAGGCAGGAGAATCGCTTGAACCTGGAAGGCGGAGGTTGCAGTGAGCCAAGATTGTGCTACTGCACTCCAGCCCGAGAGACAGTGCGAGAGTCCGTCTCAAAAAAAAAAAAAGAAAATCTTTAAAATATTTCATATTACCACTGGCGTGTCTTTAGGAAACGCCATGTGAGGCTATTAATTTTTCTTAACAAAAATGTGTACATTGAGACTTCATTTAATCAGCTGTTTAACAATCCTCATCTGTCAGAACTTTGCTAAGAAATAATAAAAATATAAGCAGTCAAAGTACATATTTTGAAGGCCAAGCACTTTATATAGAAGAGAATCTCTATGGCTTTTACTCAGTCTGTATGCTTTTATAATTCCAGTAAGTTTGGTAATTTGATATTTTTTATAAACGAATCCTTCAAATCATTTTCAAAAGTGTAACTACAACAATAAAATTTACTGTGATACGGGGCCCGGCGTGGTGGCTGGCGCCTGTGATCCCAGCACTTTGGGAGGCTGAGGCGGGCAGATCATGAGGTGAGGAGATCGAGACCATCCTGGCTAACACAGTGAAACCCCGTCTCTACTAAAAATACAAAAAATTAGCCAGTCGTAGTGGCGGGCGCCTGTAGTCCTAGCTACTTGGGAGGCTGAGGCAGGAGAATGGTGTGAGCCCGGGAGGCGGAGCTTGCAGTGAGCCGAGATTGCGCCACTGCACTCCAGCCTGGGTGACAGAGTGAGACTCTGTCTCAAAAAAAAAAAAAAAAAAAAAATTTACCGTGATACTCTTAGCTGAAGATAAATAACTACTGTTAACTTTTTGAAAAACAACTTTCTGATAAATGATTTACATACTATAGTATTTACTTTTTTTGAGTGTAATGATTTTTGGTAAATTTACTGAATTATGCAGCCATCAGCATAAATCCAGTTTTAGAACATTTCTATTACCTCAATAAAATCTGTAGTGCCCTTGTTGTCATCCCTAGCTTCTGGCATTCACTAATCTATTTTCTGTCTTTAGAGTTGCCTTTTCTGGACATTTCATGAAATGCAGTTATACACAGGTGGTCGTTAGTGTCTGGTTTCTTTCAGTATGTTTTTGAGGTTCATTCATGAAGTTTGTATCCACACTTCATTTCCTTTTATTGATGAATAGCATTCCATTGTTTAGATATCCTATATTTTGTTTATCCATTTACCAGTTGATGGATATTTGGGTTGAATGAATAATACTGCCATGAATATTTGTGTATAAGTCTTTGTGTGGACGTAAACTGTTATTTGTCCTAGGTAGACAAACTGGGAAGGGAATTGGTGGGCCACTTGATAAATTTATGTTTAACTTTTTAAGAAACTGCTAAATTCTTTTCCAGCCTACATACCCACCAGCAGTGTATGAGGCTTCCCGTTTCTTCAAATTCTCACCAATATTTGTTACTGCCTTTTTATTTTTAGCCATCCTAGTTGTTATGATGAAGTGTTACTTCATTGAAACACTGTTAACTTTTTGAAGTACAGATTAAATATCCTTTATCAGAAATGCTTGGGATCAGAAATGTTTTCAATTTTGTTTTTTTTTTTTTTTTTGGACTTTGGAATATTTGCATATACATAATGAAATATCTTGGGGATGAGATTGAAGTCTAAACACAAAATTTACTAATGTTTCACATCCACCTTATACACAATCCAAAGGTAATTTTATGCACTATTCTTTTTTTTTTTTTTTTTTTTTGAGACGGAGTTTAGCTATTGTTGCTCAGGCTGGAGTGCAGTGGTGCGATCTCAGCTCACTGTAACTTCCGCTTCCCAGGTTCAAGTGATTCTCCTGTCTCAGCCTCCCAAGTAGCTGGGATTACAGGCATGCGCCACCATGCTCAGCTAATTTTGTATTTTTAGTAGAGATGGGGTTTTGCCATGTTGGCCAGGCTGGTTTCAAACTCTGACCTCAGGTGATCCGCTGACCTTGGCCTCCCAAAGTGCTGGGATTACAGGCATGAGCCACTGCACCTGGTCTTATGCACTGTTGTTAATTTTGTGCATGAAACAAAATTTTGACTGTGTTTTGACTGTGACCCATCACGTGAGATGAGATTCGGAATTTTTCACTTCTGGCTTCATGTCAGTTCTCAAAAAGTTTCAGATTTTGGAACATTTCAGTTTAGGAATGCTCAACCTGTATTTTTCCAAAACTTCATTCTACACACACATACATGGGAGCATGGACATGCACAAGCATATTCTTCAAAAAATTGAACAGCCAGATGTGGCGGCTCACACCTGAAATCCCAGCACTTAAAGAGGCCAAGACAGGGAGATCCCTTGATCCCAGGAGTTCAATACCAACCTGGGTAACATGGCTAAACCGTGTGTCTACAAAAAATACTAAAAAAAAAAAATTACTGGGTGTGGTGGTGTGCACAAGCTACTTGGGAGGATGAGGTGGCCCAGAAGGTTGAGGCTGCAGTGAGCTGTGATCCCACCACTGGACTCCAGCCTGGGTGACAGAGTGAAACCCTGTCTCAAAAAAAAAAAAAAAGGCCAGGCATGGTGGCTCATGCTTGTAATCTCAGCACTTTGGGAGGCCGAGGTAGGCGGATCACAAGGTCAGGAGATCGAGACCATCCTGGCCAACATGGTGAAACCCTGTCTCTACCAAAAATACAAAAATTAGCTGGCTGTGGTGGTGCGTGCCTGTAGTCCAGCTGCTCGGGCGGCTGAGGCAGGAGAATCGCTTGATCCCGGGAGGTGGAGGTTGCAGTAAGCTGAGATTGCGCCACTGCACTCCTGCCTGGCAACAGAGTGAGACTCTTGTCAAAAAAAAAAAAAAAGTATTTAATTTTTAAGGCAATAATAGGAGGAAAAAGAATAGCTAACATTTATTGAGTGTTTACTGTATGCCAGTTTCCGTGCCAATTAAATACTTCATTGACTTTATCTCAGTTAGTCCTCAGAACAACCCTATATGCTTAGGTTCTGTTATTACCTGCATTTTGCAAATGAAGAAAATGAGTTTGTGTTTGGCAGAATTCGAATATGACCTTAGAGCCTACATAGTCATCTTGGGAGTTGTGTTGCACTCTGCTTTTTGGCCTAATGTGTCAGTCCTGTGCTGCACCTTTAATCACAGTACTACATGTTTGTAAGTAACAATACAAAAAGGAAAAGAAGGGCAACTGTAGAAAGAAAGGCACTGTCAAAAAGAGAAAAAGGGCCATATACTGAACAGACATAGAAATAACAGCAATACAGGAAAATATTGCCATGTACATTTCAGTGAATCTCCAGGGTAAATATTCATGTGTTCATCATGGGATCCCCAAATCTGTCGTGTACAATATAATTTTAATTCTCTTTTCTGCTTAAGAAGTCAGGCAAATTCGTGTGTATGTATCTTCTAAGATTTAATTTTAAAGTAAAGTGTCAGTAATTTAAGCCATTTGGAAATTTAATGTGCCCTGTAACACCTCCCAGGGATTCAGGATAGGTTAGCTTTTATTGTGCTTCTATGCCTAACCGTTTAAAACTACTCTCATTTGCTTTTTATATTAATATTTTGTAACATTTCAAATCATTTTAAGAATTGATACAAGAACAAAATCTTATTAAAATGTTATGTTATGTGAAATTACCAATAAGACTTTATCTTAAAATAACTAGTTGTAAATCTCAGTGACTTCATATGTAAGTATATAAAAGTACTTATTGTGTAATTGTCATGATTTTCTGTTCTCTCATCAATATTTCATGTGCATTTTCTATATATCTATGTTGTCTTCCTACCTAGCATTTTAACAGTGTGTCATTTGTTTAAATATTTTTGAGTTTGGGGACATGTTACATTTAAGTTTTGCTGCACAGATTTTTTTTTTAAATTAATCCCTTGCAGAGTTTGTTTAGTGTTTGTTATATATGCAGAACTGTTTAAAATAAACTCTTAAGATTTTGATTGTTGGATTAGAGTGTGGTCATTCATGACTGTTCCTTAAGGCAAGGTTGCCATACATAGTATACCTGTGCTAGGTACAAATAAACAACAGAGCACTGAGGAGGACAAGACAGAGAATTTGCTGTCTTTAGATTTATTGGTTTTGATCAGTGTTTTATCACTTCATCTTTCCTTTGCATTTTTTTTTTCTGTTCTAAGAGTGAAAAACAAAGACATAAAAATTCCTCTTTATAGTTAGGATATCTGTACTTTCATTTTCTATGAATTTGATATTTTTCATCCTTTTTTTCTTGAGGGTTATTAGAGTATATCTTAGTCTGTTTAAGCTACTATAACAGAATACTGTAAACTGGGTGGCTTATGGACAACAGAAATTTATTTCTCACAGTTCTTTATTTCTCACTGGGAATTCAAAGATCAAGGTGCTGACAGATTCCATATCTGGTGATGGCTGGTTCCTTATAGACAGCACCTTCTAGTTGTGTTGTCACATGGTAGAAGAGTGAAATACACCTCTTTTATAAGGGCACTAATTCCATTCATGAGCGCTCCACCCGTATGACCTAGTCACCTCCTGAAGGCCCCACCTCTTAATTCCATCACACTGGGAATCAGGTTTCAACATGTGATTTTTTTGGGAGGACACAAACATACAGACCATAGCAGGGTATATAATAAGTATGTATTTTAAAAGTTCATTTTGTTTCTCTGAATCGATGGGTGTTTTAATAGCAGTTACTAAGTAATTTTAAAACATCACATCATATTCCATCAGTCATTTTCAATTTGTATTAGTATAGTACTTAATGTGGTATCTGGTAAGATTGACTAGTCTTCGTTGTTTCTTAATTTTTTTTTAATAATATTACTTCTTTTTCCAAATAACTTAAGGATTTTCTTTTAAGTTTTCTAATGCTCATTCTTAACATCTTATTAACATGTTACTTAATCAGATTTTCTTGCCTTCTCTTCTTATACATTAGATAAAAAGTGTTATAGTTGGGAAGTAGTTGATTATTTTGTTTCATCCAATTTGTTGGGTCCCCATGCTTCCATTCCCTAAGTTTTACTTTTTACCTGATAATTGAGAATGTGTTTGTTTAATGCAGTATCAGAAAGCAACAATGTTTAATGCAGTGACAAGCAAAGCTTATGTGTAATTTCTGATGTGCTTTGATCTTTAGAAATAAGAATGGAACCATGTGCATCTTCTGCAAAGATGAAGAGTAAAAATAAGGTGTAGGTTGTTTGATACTAGTTAATAGTCAGTAGTTAAGATTTTATAGTATACACCAGTGTCCAAAAATGAGTTTTTACAATTATTAGAGAAAAAATTTTTTATAGTAAATAACAGCTCTGTGTCTATAGTTATCTTGCTAGAAGATACAAAGGCAGAAATAAAGTTATATTATTAGAATGTGTTTTTTTTACTAACTGCAATGATGAATCTGTGTGTTTGAATAAATGAAGTGAAGGTATTTTGTTCTTTTTGTTTCTACCCTCAATCCCCATTTTTATGACTGTTATAGAAGATTCCTTGAGTGGTAAAGTAGAAGGAAAGGTTCTTTTGTTTGTAATATGTACACATTCTTTCCTTAAAAAGTCAATGAGTATGCCAACATATACTCTCTTAAACTTGTATATATGGCTACCTTTATTGAATTGTTTTCCTTATGAAATAGTTAAATATTTCTCAATTCTTAATTTTCTTTTACATTTCAAAAAGCACCCTTTAGTAGGTAATTAATATGCAAAATTATGGTTTCTCTAAGAAAATGTTAGGTTCTCAAAATTGTCACTATTATAGTTCTTTTTGTTTGATTGCTTTTTCTTGGTTTGAATGAAAAATATCTTTAAGAAAGATTTGCTAATCTTTTTCTGTTTTATCACTAAGTTAAAATTATATTTATTTTTACTAAGTAGTTTTCAGTTTTGTGTTATTAAATTGAGTAGCCTTTGTTTTTTTTTATTTTTAGCACTCCCCTAAATGGTTTCTACCAATTCAGTCTCATTGAAGCTTTCTATCCTTAACATTTGTAAAAATAATATAATCTTTCATTAATAGCAAATAAGCTTTGTTTGGTTTTGCTGCTCATGCATGCCTAATGCTGTTCTGTGTAAGATATATCTCACTAGTTAGCTTGACTAAAACTTCTTAATGTAAAGGTTTTATTGATTTAGTAAATTAATGTCCCTAAATATTTTGTCTAAGATAGTCACTGTTAATAATTTGGCTTTTCAGAAAGTGTATAAGAAAACAAAAATTTTTTTTTTGAGTTTGGAAATTAAATGTTCTTAAGAATATTTGCTTTTTTTCTAGCTCTTTCCATTTTTTAAAAAATTCTTTTTATTTATTTATTTATTTATTTATTTATTTATTTATTTATTTATTTTGAGATGGAGTCTTACTCTGTCGCCCAGGCTGGAGTGCAGTGGCACAATCTCGGCTCACTGCAAGCTCCGCCTCCTGGGTTCACGCCATTCTCCTGCCTCAGCCTCCCGAGTAGCTGGGACTACAGGCACCTGCCACCACGCCTGACTAATTTTTTGTATTTTTAATAGAGACGGGGTTTCACCGTGTTAGCCAGGATGGTCGCCTGCCTCAGCCTCCCAAAGTGCTGGGATTACAGGCGTGAGCCACTGTGCCCGGCCTAAATTCTTATTTTTATCCTGAATTGTTTGTTTTTTTGTTTTGTTTTTTGTTTTGTTTTTAAAGATGCCCAGGCTGGAGTGCGGTGGTGCCATGTCGGCTCACGGCCATCTCCGCCTCTCGAGTTCAAGTGATTCTCCTGCCTCAGCCTCCCAGGTAGCTGGGATTACAGGCACATGCCAGCATGCCTGGCTAATTTTTGTATTTTTAGTAGAGACGGGGTTTCACCATGTTGGCCAGGCTGGTCTTGAACTCCTGATCTCGTGATCCGCCCGCCTCAACCTTCCAAAGTCCAGGGATTATACAGGTGTAGGCTACTGGGCCTGGCCCTGAATTTTTTATTTTAAAAAATTACCACAGTATTTCCATTCCTTTTTTTGACCCATTTACGTTAATTTCCTACCGGATTCTCCTTCTTTCTCCTTCTTTTCAAACCCTCAGAATCTCTGTCAGCATTGATTTATGAAAACATTCTTGATTTATAAAGACATTTTAACTCAATTCAAACAGTTTAAAAATAATCAGAGGGTAAGCTGAAATACAAATACACATTTAGTTTACAACTCTTGATGTATCCTTACAAATGACCACTATGTTGCAGAAATGAGGGAAAATTCACTACATGGTAGAACAGTGATAGGTGGAAGTTTATTGCTAGATCCCAGGAGGAATGAAAAGCTAAAAGGATGAGAGAGAAGAGCTAGATATGGAGGACAGGGAACATAAAGCTGTGTAACATATGGATAACTCATTTTCTGAAGCATAAAACAAAAACTAGAAATTGCTGGCAAAACAATAATCAGAGAGATGCTGGAGAAAACTTCTGCACTAAAAAATACTTGTGTGTGCAAACTGCTATATTCTAGGAAGAAAAATACTCGATGTAAAAAGACTTACAAATCTCAGTCTAGCAATATTTTTTAATATTAAAGATAAAAAATTAATCTTGTAAATATCCAGGCAGAGAAAATAAGCTTCCAGAAGAATAGTTCAGTTTGTTAAGACTGTAAAGAATTAGTAGCACCCATGGCTATTTAAGGAAAAAAAAATTATAACAGTTTCAGCCTAGGTACATTTAATAGGAATTTGCTGAAAATGATAAAACAGCAACTCTGCTAATAAACATAGGCATTCTCTTTTATATCTTTTTTAAAAAAATGTCTTATCTCACCTCTCTGTCATCTTTTTCCCTTGTTCCCTTCTTTATCTCCCTCATCTCTCCACCCCTTTCTTTCACCCCCTCTATTTCAAATTCTTCTAGAATATTGTTAGAAAACAATGAGAAATGTGTTACAAAGATATATGTACAAGTGTATTCATCATTTTGCTGTTTATAATTAATAAAATGAAAATAACTCAAGTAGTCAACAATATAGGATTGATTAAATGATGTTGTGTTAATACAAGGGAATGTTACAAAGTACTATGTAGTGATGTGCTTGAAATATACTTACTGAAATGGGAAGATGAATGATTGGAAAAAGCAGATTATATAGTACTTTTCTTAGAACAAATATGTGTAGGTATACAGGGAAAAAGTGTTGCAAATACAAGGAAATTTTGACAAATATAATCATACCAAGTAACACGTTTTACTGTCTTGTGGTAGAACTACTATAAAATATTCATGGTGTGGTTAGAAGTATGTCATTGGGCCAGGTGCGTTGGCTCACGCCTGTAATCCCAGCACTTTGGGAGGCTGAAGTGGGTGGATCACCTGAAGTCAGGAGTTTGAGACCAGCCTGGCCAACGTGGTGAAACCCCATCTATAGTAAAAATCCAAAAAATTAGCCAAGCTGTGGTGGCAGGTGCCTGTAATCCCAGCTACTTGGGTGGCTGAGGCAGGATGATAGCTTGAACCTGGGAGGCGAAGGTTGCAGTGAGCCGAGATCGCACCATTGCACTCCAGCCTGGGCAACAGCGAAACTCTGTCTCAAAAAAAAAAAAAAAAAAGACGTACGTCATCGAGGAGTCTGTATGCTTCTGAAGAACTTCTACAAATGCAAAAATATTACCTATTTATCTTCTTTCTCAAGCATGTGGTATTTAAATATAGAGTAAGAGGAAAAAGAAAACATACACACAAGTATAAGTAGTGGGCTTATTGAAGTAGAAAAATAAAATCAAGGAAGAAGGTTGCTGACATCAAATATAGATAATTGAATAATAGTCATATTTATTTACAAGCAAGTCAACCTCATAGTGAACACAGGGATAATTTAAATGTTTTTGATATTGCTTGGAGTATGCCTAACTAGGGTATTAGATGTTGATTGTACTTTGGGCTTTATTACCCAATTAGCTTCTAATAATAGGAAGGAAATTGTTTTGTTCTTCAAGTCAAGACCTTTCTCACTTTGATTTCTCAAAATGAAAGAATAACTGGCCTGACATAGGATTTTGACTAGGAAATATTTATACAGTAAATCCTGACTTAATGTCATTGATATAGGTTCTTGGAAACTGTGACTTTAAGTGAAATGACATACAGCAGGTCCTTGAATAACATTGGTTAGTTAAACATCATGTCATTATAAGGTTGATTAGAAAAAATTGATTTTGTTATACATAATTTTGCTTAAAATCACAGTTTCCAAGAACAACAATGTTAAGTGAGGACTTACTGTAATTTATGTCTTTGGTAATCTTAAGTATTATATAAGAAATAAAAAGTATTTTTGAGAGAACCTAATTGGTTGCTGTTATTTTCTAAAACACAAGCCTTAGCTTCATCACAAAAAAGAAACCTAAGTTAAGAAAGGTGTGTAAGGTTTCAGATCTCATTTTCATGTATGTATCCATTTAGGCCTTCTCAACACATCCAGAAAAGGTATGGAAAGCTAATTCAAGAGTATAGGTTGTTTTAATGTTTGTAGAAAGCCCGGTGTTAACCAGTATAGATTTACTCTTGCAGATACTTCGGTTTACATCCTTTCTAGAGATGGATACCAAGTTCTTTTCAATTATATGGAAACTGCCATTTATCAGTTATTTTCCTGTATTTCATATTTGAGTCACAAAACAGTACTGTGAGTCATAGATGTTCTTTTTCTTTTATTTCTTTTTTTATTTTTTGAGATGGAGTTTCACTCTGTCAACCAGGCTAGAGTGCAGTGGCACAATCTCAGCTCACTGCACCCTCCATCTCCAGGTTCAAGTGATTCTCCTACCTCAGCCTCCTAAGTAGCTGGGACTACATGTGCATGCCACCATGCCTGGCTAATTTTTATATTTTTAGTAGAGAAGGGGTTTTACCATGTTGGCCAAGCTGGTCTTGAACTCCTGACCTCAAGTGATCTGCCCGCCTCGGCCTGTAATCCCTTTGGGATTCCAAAGTGGTGGGATTACAGGCATGAGCCACTGCGCCCAGCCTTTTTCTCATATTTCATATTCATAAGTGCTTTCCTGAAATTAGCTAAAATTTGTGCTTATTCCATTATAACTTGATTAAAACTTTTTTAGTCCTGAGTAGATGCACTTCTGTCTTCCTTCCCTTCTTTGCCCATTGGGAAATTTCTCAAAAGTCTTCCTTCATAATAATTCAATATTTATTTATGTTTGTTACTAGTATTTATTTGCAGATAACCTTTGGGAATATTAGACGTATTAGTTATTCATATGTTGGTACTGTCCTTAGATTTTTGGAGAGAGCTTTCTTGCCTTCAACATCTAGCTGAGTTTTGTCCCACTGAGAGAATGGGAAACTTGACTGAAATGATGGGAGAGAATGGATTAATTTTGGAACATGGGGCATTATGGGACATGGTAGGACTGGGACAGGCCTGATAGAGGCTCCTTTATGTAATGTAAGCATAGCATGAGGTTGTAAGGAGACAATAGATAGGAAGGTGCAGACTGGTGAGATGAGAAAGTATTAAAAACAACCTTTGAAGTGATGAGATGAGAAAGCATTAAAAACAACCTTTGCTTTGCCCTTAGGAATAATGTGTATTATTTAAAAGGTGTAAGCACTCATTATAATTTGTTGATGATAGTTTAAGTATATGGGGTATGCCCATTAGCCATTTTCTGTTAAAAAAAAAAAAAAAGTGGATTTTTCGGCCTGGTGTGGTGGCTCACGCCTGAAATCCCAGTACTTTGGGAGGCTGAGGTGGGTGGATCACCTGAGGTCAGGAGTTCAAGACCAGCCTGACCATCATGGAGAAACCCCGTATCTACTAAAAATACAAAATTAGCCGGGCATGGTGGTGCATACCTATAATCCCAGCTGTTCGGGAGGCTGAGGCAGGAGAATTGCTTGAATGCAGGAGGCGGAGGTTGCAGTGAGCCAAGATAGCGCCGTTGCATTCCAGCCTGGGCAATAAGAGTGAAACTCTGTCTCAAAAAAAAAAAAAAAGTGGATTTTTTTCTCTCTGGCTCTTTGGGTTAACCTAATGTTTTGTATTTTAAATTGTGTTACTGTGAACTCCAGTTTTACCATGGGATTAAAAGCTAATGTAAATACTTTTTAGTCTTCACTATTTTATTTAACAAACATTTATTGAACATCTTAAGTGTGTCTTAAAATTGTATTAGGCACTAGGGAAACTAGGGAACACATATGTGGTTCCTACCTTCAACAGCTTGTAATCTCTTGGGGGAAGGCAGATTTGCAGTAAATAGATGTTAGAATTGATAAATAGGCGCTATGGTAGACATATATGAAATTGATGGAAACCCAAAGGAAGAATAATTGATAAGTTCTTTTCAGGAGTACTAGGGTAGGGTCATGGGTCAGGAACAGCTTTATAGAGGAATCACTCTGGACTTCAGGCTTGGAAGATCACTAGATGAGTTTGCCATAGAATTATAGGAACATGCTGTGGCAGAACTAATTGTATGAGCATAGAGAGGTATAAGGAAGCATGTCTGCACTTAGGGAACTGCAGGGAGTTCAGTATGACTGTGGGAATACAGTTTGGCAAAGAAAGCAAGGATGAGATCATTGAAGACCTTTTTTTGTTTTGTTTTGTTTTCTTTGAGACAGAGTCTCACTCAGTTGCCAAGCTAGAGTGCAGTGGCGCGATCCCGCCTCACTGCAAACTCTGCCTCCCATGTTCAAGCGCCCCACCTTCTATTGTAGACAGTAGAATGCCAAGCAAAGGAGTGAAATTGTTGTTGCATTTCAGAGAAATCATTCTACTCTGATTGGCATATTGAAAAGTAGGTTGTGGCTGGCTGCGGTGGCTCACGCCTGTAATCCCAGCACTTTGGGAGGCCGAGGCGGGCGGTTCACAAGGTCAGGAGATTGAGACCATCCTGGCTAACATGGTGAAACCCCGTCTCTAGTAAAAATACAAAAAAATCAGCCAGGCGTAGTGGCAGGTGCCTGTAGTCCCAGCTACTTGGGAGGCTGAGGCAGGAGAATGGCATGAACTCAAGGGGCGGAGCTTGCAGTAAGCGGTGATGGCACCACTGCACTTCAGCCTGGGCAACAGAGCAAGACTCTGTCTCAAAAAAAAAAAAAAGTAGATTTCTGGGATTCAGAACTGCAGGCAGTGAGACTGTTAATAAACTGTTGCCTTAGCACAGGTTTGAAGAAGTAAGGGTTTGAACCTGAGGCACTGAATATGGAAAGCTTAGATCTCAGTAAATTAACAGGACTTCATAAATGTTTGGGTGTGAGGAATGAGAGAAAGGAAGGCATTTAGGATGATTCTGAGGTTTCTAATGACATGATTTTGAGAAGTTGGATCTGTTCACCAAAAATGGCAGTATGAGAAAATAAGCACATTCGACATAAATGGGTTGAGGAAAAATGGACTTATGGTTATATTGAGTTTGAGTGCATATGGGACACCAGAGTAAAGATGTTTGGTTGATAGTAGTTTATAACATGACACAAGCCTAGGGGAGAGATCTGAGTTGTAGATCAACTTTTAAGTTATCAGGTTAAGTTTAAGGTTTAGGTGTTACCAACATATGTTACCCAGTTAGGTCTTTTGGAGAAAAAGAGATGTATATTAAGTTACCTGGTAAATTTACTCTCTCATTTATTGCTTTTTTGTTGTTGTTGTTGTTGAGATGGAGTCTTGCTGTGTCACTCAGGCTGGAGTGCAGTGGCGCGATGTCTGCTCACTGCAACCTCCACCTCCTGGATTCAAGCAATTCTCCTGCCTCAGCCTCCCGAGTAGCTGGGATTACAGGCTTCTGCCACCATGCCTGGCTAATTTTTGTATTTTTAGTAGAGACGGGGTTTCACCATGTTGGCCAGGCTGGTCTCAAACTCTTGACCTCAGGTTATCCACCCCCTCTCAAAGTAATCTGGGATTACAGGCGTGAGCCACCGTGCCTGGCATTTATTGCTTTCTTTGGAAAACATTTAAGTATATATTTGTTCCCGATTTTATTCTAAGCCTGATGAATGTAAAGATGTGGTATAAAATGTGGTCTTTGCTGTTAAGGAGCAGATTGAAGGAGATAAATACATAAAATAATTTCAATATGCTAAGGTAAGTAGTGATAGTAATAACTGGAGGAAGCTATGGGAATAGAGAAGTGTAATTATCTTAGCCTAGAAGTGCAGGAGAAGACTTTTCGGTAAAGACAGGCTTTTGTTTTTGTTTTTAAGAGACGGTCTCACTTTGTTGCCCAGGCTAGAGAGCAGCAGTGCAGTCATAACTTACAGCATCCTCGAACTCCTGGGCTGAAGTGATTCTGCTACCTTAGCCTGCCTCCCTAGTAGCTAGGACTATAGTCACATGCCATCATGCCTGGCTAATTTTTTCTTTAACTTTTTGTAGTGATGGGGTCTCTCTATATTGCCCAGGCTGGTCTTGAACTCCTGGCCTCAAACAACCATCCCCACTGGGCCTCCCAAAGTGTTGGGATTATAGGCATGAGCCAACATGCCTGGCTGATAACAGCTATTTATTCTAGAAGGATGAATGGATTTTAGCCAGGAAAAGATGGGTGGAAAAAGTATTCTGGGGAAGAAGGAGCATCATTAGCTAAGGCATGAATAGCCGAATAAACCCAAAGTGTGAGAGAGTTACCTAGAAGGTTGGCATTTTAAGAGACTTAAGTGTACAGCAGGAATGGTAGGAGATGAGGCTCATGGAAAGTGTTATAGGTAAGGATGGTTGGAAAACCACTGAAAGGGGTTTTAGTTGGGAGTGACAGAGAACATATGACTGAGGCAACCTTGAAAGGTACCTGTTGGACATAGTGGTGGTGGGATGGAATTCAGGCAGAGGACACCATTTGAGCAAAAGCCTAGAGGTATGAAATGGCAGATCTTTACAGGGGATTTACAATGTTCCTTTACAATTGGAGTGTGGAATGCAAGGAAGGGCATGCAGAGAGATGAGAGTGGTAGGCAGGAGCCAAATCATGGAGGCTTTTGTGTGCCATGCTGAAGAGCTTGAGCTTTATCTTTGTCATGATCACTCTGGCACTATGTAGAAGATGGATTAGAGCCAGTAGGCCTGATGAGAGATGAAGCCCTGACCTAAAGTTAAAGTGGCAGAAAGGATGGAGAAATTAAAATTAAGGCATTAAAACAGAAGTTCTCGGCCGGGTGTGGTGGCTCATGCCTGTAATCCCAGCACTTTGGGAGGCTGAGGCGGGCGGATCACGAAGTCAGGAGATCGAGACCATCTTGGCTAACACGGTGAAACCCCGTCTCTATTAAAAATAAAAAAAAATAGCCGGGCGTGGTGGCGGGTGCCTGTACTCCCAGCTACTCGGGAGGCTGAGGCAGGAGAATAGCGTGAACCCGGGAGGTGGAGCTTTCAGTGAGCCGAGATTGCACCACTGCACTCCAGCCTGGGCGACAGAGCGAGACTCCATCTCAAAAACAAAAAACAAAACAAACAAAAAAAACAGAAGTTCTCATCCTTGGCTATACAAATACACCAAGATCACCCGTGGAGCTTCTTAAAAATACAACCAACTACGTCACATTACTGGAGATCCTGCTTCACTAAGTTGGAGTATGGATGTAGGCAACCTATTTTGCTTTGTATTTTTGTTTTTTACGTTAACATACAGTAAATTTGACTTTCTTTTTTACTGTACAATTCCATGAATTTTAACACACATGAAGATTTGTGTAACTTCTATCACAGTTGGGATACAGAATAGTTTTAGCACCCCCAAACCCCCCCCCATACTTATAGTCACACCATTTCTCACATACCTAACCCCTGGCAACCACTGATCTGTTCTCTGTCGTTTTAAGAATGTCATAAATGTGGAATGATACAGAATGGAGGCTTTTGAGACTGGCTTCTTTCACTCAGCATGCATTTAGGGTTTATCCAAGTTGTTGTATGTATTAGTAGTCTTGTTTCTTTTTTTGTTTGATTTTTTTTTTGAGATGGAATCTCACTCTATTGCCCAGGCTGAAGTGCGGTGGTGCGATCTGCTTATTGCAACCTCTTCCTGGGTTCAAGCAATTCTCCTGCCTCAGCCTCCCGAGTAGCTGGATTACAGGCGCCTGCCACCACGCCTGGCTAATTTTTGTATTTTTAGTAGAGACGGGGTTTCACCATGTTGGCCAGGCTGACCTGGCCTCGAGCTCCTGACCTCAGGTAATCCACCTGCCTCAGCCTCCCAAAGTGCTGGGATTATAGGCGTGAGCCACCACGCCTGACTGTCTGTTTCTTTTTTACTGCTGAGTGTATGGATGTCGTATAGTTTGTTTAACACTCATTGAAGGGCATTTGAGTTGTTTCCAGTTTTGGCAGTATGGTTAGAGCTGCTATAAATATTCATGTACAGATTTTTACATAAACTTAAGTTTTCATGTTTGTCTAGGGTAGATACCCAGGAGTGGGACTGCTGGGTCATATGGTAAGTATATGTTTAACTTCATGAGAAACTTACAAACTGTTTTCTAAAGTGGCTGTGCTATTGTGCATTTCTACCAACGGTGTATTTGCGTTCTTGTTGCTCCATATCCTTACCGACTCTTGGGAGTGTCAGTATTTTTAAAATTTAACCATGTTAATAGGTGTGTAGCATTAAATCATTATGGTTTTTCATTTGCATTTTCTTAATGGCTAATTATGTTGAGCACTTTTTTTTTTTTTTTTTTTTTTTTTTTGAGATAGCGTTTTGCTCTTTCACCCAGTCTGGAGTGCAGTGGTGCGATCTCGGCTCACTGCAACCTCCGCCACCCCAGGTTCAAGCGATTCTCTTGCCTCAGCCTCCCAAGTAGCTGGGATTATAGGCACCGGCCACACCAGGCCCAGCTAATTTTTGTATTTTTAGTAGAGACAGGGTTTCGCTCTGTTGGCCAGGCTGGTCTCGAAATCCTGACCTCAGGTGATCCACCCGCCTCGGCCTCCCAAAGTGCTAGGATTACAGGTGTGAGCCACTGTGCCCGGTCTGAGCATCTTTTTTTATGTTTATTTGCCATGTGCATATCCTCTTTGGTGAATGTCTAAGTCTTTTGCCCATTAAAAAATTTCGTTGTTTTTTTACTGTTGAGTTTTAAGAGTTTTTAAAGTATATATTCTAGATACAAGTCTTTGCCAGATAAACAATTTGCAAATATTTTCTGTAGCTTACCTTTTATTCTCTTAACATTGTCTTTCACAGAGCAATCATTTTAATCTTGATAAATCCATTTTATTTTTTCTTTTATGTCACATGCTTTTGGTATTTTATCTAAGAACTCTGCCGAATCCAAACTCACAGAGAGTTTCTCCTATGTTTTCCGAAAGTTTGATAGTTTTTTGTTCTAACATTTAGATCTGTCATCCATTTAAGTTAATTTTTGTATAAGGTGGGAGTTTTAGGTCAAGAGTTTTTTTTTTTTTTTTGCAAATGGGTGTCTAATTCCAACACTATTTGTTGAAAAGATTATCCTTTCTCCATTGAATTGCACTTGTACTTTTGTCAAAAATTAATCATCTATAGTTCTGTGGGTCTGTGTCTGGACTCTATTCCATTGATCTGTGTTTCTGTCTTTAACACTACATTGTTTTGATTATTATAATTTAAAATTCTTAAAATTGGAGATAGGGATTTCTCCCAAGTTATTCTTCTTTATTAGAATTGTTTTGTCTATCCTAGTTACATTGCCTTTCCTAACAAATGTTAGAATCTGTTTATGTGCAGAAAATCCTGCTAGAATTTTGATTGGCAGTGGATTAAATCTGCAGATAATTTTGGGGAAATCTTTATTGTTTTTATACTTTCAGTCAATGAACTTGATATATTTATTGTTTTTTAGTTCTTTGATCTTTTTATCAGCATTTCTTTCAGTATATATTTTATATGTGTTTTGTTAAGTTCATACTTAAGAATTTTATTTTGTGGTGAGCTATTGTGAATTTTTTTTTGTTTTTGTTCTGTTTTGAGACAGGGTCTCGTTCTGTTGCTCAGGCAGTGGCATGAGCCTAGCTCACTGCAGCTATCACCTTGTGAGCTCAAGTGATCCTCCTGCCTTGGCCTCCCAAGTAGCTGGGACTACATGCATGCACCACCCTGCCTAATTTTTAAACTTTTTTGTAGAGATGGCGGTCTCACTGTATTGCTCAAGCTGGTCTTGAATTCCTGAACTCAAGCCATCTTTTTGCCTCAGCTTCCCAAAGTGCTGGGATTACAGGTGAACCATTGCACCTGGCTGTAGATAGTATTTTTTTAAAATTTTGGGTTTCCAGTTGTTCATTGCTAGTATATAGAAATGTGATTGATTTTTGCATGTTGCAGCCTTGCTAAATTCATTTATGAGTTCTTAGAGTTTTTTTCTTCTTCAAGATTTCTTGGGATTTTTTACTTAAATAATCATGTAATCTGTGAATAAGAACTGTTGTATTTCTCTCTAACCTATATACCTTTATTTACTTATTTACACTGTCTGGGATGTTCAGTACAAAGTTGAGTAGAAATGATGAGAGGGTTTCCTCACCCAACCAGCTCTTGGTTTTGTGTAGCTACTGTTTATCATTCTCCTCTATTGCTAGGTTACTGAGTTTTTAAAATCATGAATGGATGCTGAATTTTGTCAAATGATTTTTCTGTATCAATTGAAATGATCATGTGATTTTTTTCTTCTTTAGCCTTTTTTTTTTTTTTTTTTTCTTGAGACGGAGTCTGGCTCTGCTGCCTAGGCTGGAATGCAGTGGCACCATCTCGGCTCACTGCAAGCTGCGGCTCCCGGGTTCACGCCATTCTCCTGCATCAGCCTCCCGAGTAGCTGGGACTATAGGCGCCCGCCACCACGCCCAGCTAATTTTTTGTATTTTTAGTAGAGATGGGGTTTCACCGTGTTAGCCAGGATGGTCTCGATCTCCTGACCTCGTGATCCACCCACCTCAGCCTCCCAAAGTGCTGGAATTACAGGTGTGAGCCACCGCGCCTGGCCTGTTTAGCCTATTTCTATGGTAGATTACAGGGGTTGACTTTTTTTTTTTTTTTTTTTGAGACAGAGTCTTGCTCTGTCACCCAGGCTGGAGTACAGTGGCACAATCGCAGTTCACTGCAAGCTCTGTTTCCCTGGTTCAAGCAATTCTTGTGCCTCAGCCTCCCGAGTAGCTGGGACTACAGGCAAGTGCCACCGTGCCTGGCTAATTTTTATATTTTTAATAGTTTCACCATGTTGGGCTGGTCTCGAACTCCCGACCTCAGGTGATCCACCTGCTTCAGCCTCCCAAAGTGCTGGGATTACAGGTGTAAGCCACCGCTCCCAACCTTTTTTTTTTTTTTTTTTTAAATATTAGTTCTGTGTCTTTAGAATAAACCCCAGTGGGTCATGGTATTTAATTCTTTTTATACCTTGCTGGATTCTAGTTAGTATTTGATGATTTTTGCGTCTATATTCATGAGTGATATTTGTCTGCATTTTTCTATACTGCCTTTGTTCAGTGCAGTTCTGATGCTAACTACATCATAATTTGGTTCTGGAGTTGAGTCGTATTTCACAGGTTAAAGGCATAGTCCTTGGCAAAACTGTTTTCACTTCAGATACCAGCTAATGCTTGAGAGTTTCCAGACCACAAGCACTTCTGACCAACTGGCTACAAATTCAGGGGTTCCTGTTATCTCCTCCGGTTACGTAGAGCAACTCACAGAACTCAGGAAAGTGCTATTTCAGGATTGTGGTTTTGTTATAAAGGACACAAATTAGGATGATTCAAAAGAAGAGAACTATAGGATGAGTTTGGAAGGGCCTCAGACGCAAAGCTTTTGTGTCGTCAGAATGCTTTACCCTCTCAGCTCATTGATGTGTATCACTAACCAGGAAAGCTTACCCAAGCTTTGGGTGTCCAGGGTTTTTGTTGGGGTGTTATTACACAGGAATTATTGAGTGAGTCATTGGTCACATGATTGAATCTGAACTGCAGCCCCCTCCCCTCCTTGGAGGTGGGGCTGAGATCATGTGGTTCAAAGCCCAAACTTTACTCACATAGTTGGTCTTTCACTAATCCCTATCCTGAAACTGTCCAAGGGGTTCATCATGAATAATAAAGATGCTCCTGTCAGGAAGTGTCAAGGGTTTAGAGGCTCCCTCCCTGAACCAGGGACAAAGACCAACCAGATTCTTAATTATACAACAGTTCAGGCTGAGGATGGTGGCCCATGCCTGTAATCGCAGCATTTTGGGAGGTCGAGGAGGGCAGATCACTTGAGCCCAGGAGTTCAAGACCAGCCTGAGCAACATGGCAAAACCCTGTCTCTACAAAAAATACAAAAATTAGCTGGGTATGGTGGCACATACCTGTGTCCTAGCTACTTGGGAGGCTGAGGTGGGAGGATCATGGAGCCTGGGGAGGTTTAGGCTGCAGTGAGCTGTGATTGCGCCACTGCACTCCAGCCTGGGCAACAGAGTGGACCCCGTCTCAGAAAAAAAAAAAAATTATACAACAGTCCAGTTTTGTTATCAAGATAATATTGGCCTCTTGAAAGCAACTGAGATGTGTTTTATCCCCTAATATTTTCTAGAGGAGATTGTACAGGATTGTTATAAATTCTTTTATAAACGTGGTAGAATTCTCAGGTGAAACCATCTGGTCCAAGATATTTCATTTTTGGTAGTTTTTAAACTATGAATTCAATGTCTTTAATAGTTATAGGACTATTCAAATGATCTATTTCATATTGGAAGAATTGTGGTAGCTTGTGCTTCTTGAGGAATTGGTCTATTCATCTCAGTTCTCAGGTCTTTGTATGTAGAATTGTTTGCACCTAGTCCCTCTTAATGTCTGCGGTGTTTGTAGTGATACCCTGCTTTATTTTTTCTTTCCTCTTGTTGGAGTTTCAATTTTATTGATCTTATCAAACAATCAGCTTTTTAAATTGATTTTTCCTATTTTTCTATTTTCAGTTTTGTTGATTTCTGCTCTTGTATTTATTATTTTTCCTTTTTTTTCTGCTTGCTTTGGGTTTATTCTGTGCTGCTTTTCCTAGTTTCTTAAGGTGGGAGCTTAGATTTGGGACTTTTTTCTAATGAAGTATTAAGTGCTGTAAGTCTCCCTTTAAGCTGTATCCCATACAATTTTAGCTGTATCCCATAAAATTTGTTATATTTTTATTTTTATTGAGTTCCATGTATTTTTTAAAAATTTCCCTTAAGACTTCCTCTGACCCATGGATTATTTAGAAGTGTGTTGTTTAATTTCCAAGTGTTTGGAAATATTAGTTTTTCTCCATGATTCCTATTTTTATTTCATTTTGGTAGAGAACACACTCTGGGCTGCTCTGCCTGTGGAGTAACCATTCTTTTATTCCTTACTTTCTTAATAAACTTGCTTTCACTTTACTCGGAAAAAAAGAACACACTCTGTATGATCTCAGTTCTTCTAACTTTGTTGAGATTTGTTTTATGGCCCAAAATATGGACTGTCTTGGTGAATGTTCCATGGACATTTTAAAATAATGTGTGTCTGTTACTGAGTGGAGTATTCTATAAATTTATACCCTGCCGATTGATGGTGGTGTTCAGTTCTGTATCCTTAGTGATTTTTTTTGTCTAGTAGTTGTATTGTTGTAAGAGGGATGTTTACTTCTTCAGCTAAAATAGCAGATTTGTCTGTTTCTCCTTTTAGTTCTATCCATTTCAATTTCATGTTATTTTGAAGCTCTTTGTTATATACACATTTAGGATTACTATGTATTCTTGATGTATTTGACCCTTCTATCATTGTGTAATGTCTTTTGTTCTGGTCATTTTTTGTTTTCAGTTCTACTTTATCTGATATTAATACAGCCACGCCTGCTTTCTTTTGATATCTTTTTCCATCTGTTTACTTTCATCCTACTATATCATATAGGTGTGTGGGTATGTGTGTTTTCTTTTTCTTAAGAGACAGGGTCTTGCTCTGTCACCTAGGTTGGAGTGCAGTGGTGTGATCACAGCTTGCTCAAGGAGTCCTCCTGACTCAGCCTCCTGAGTAGCTGACACTACAGGCACATGCCACCATGCCCACCCAGCTAATTTTTAAATTTTTTTATAGAGTTGGGGTCCTGCTACGTTGCCCCGACTGCTTTTGAACTCCTGGGCTCAAAGATTTTGGGATCATGGAGGACAGGAGGCCAGATTAGATTGCAGCTCCGGACAGAGCAGCATGTGGAGGCTTGCATTGTGAGTTTTAGCTCCAGATCGACTGCAAGAACAAACCAGCAATCCTGAGAGGACCCACAGACCCTCTGAAGGAAGTGGACTGCTTTGCAGGACCCGGGAGATTTCCACCCACCCTGGCCCCCAAATACTGTGAGTGCCCCAACTGCAGAAGTGGGAAAGGGAGACCCTCCTCTCCCAAACACACACCCCCGCTGGAGAAGCTGAAGGTCTGTTTGCGGGAGAAGTTTCTGACTTTACCTGGAGCTGAGTCAAGTTAGTTGAGCCAAGCGAAATACAGGGGTAGAGGAAGCAGCAGAAAGGCCCTGGGAGCTTGCTGGGTCCCCAAGCAGCCCATTCCTGCCTGGCATCACAGGGATCCATCAGGAGGTTGGCTAGAGGAGCAGGGGGGTAAAACTCCACAGGGAGAAGGAATTCTCTAGCTGAATTTTGTAGCAATTTGAATGAGAAGCCTCCTAGTCAGAACTCAGGGGAGGACTTGAATCCATCTGCGGCTTGTAGACTTCACAGTTAGGGAAAGAACTAAAGTCCTTTTCTTTCACAGCTGGGAGGCGGAAAGCCTCAGGCAAGTTTTCAAGCTCCTTTTGCGCTTCACCTGGAAACAGACTTGGGGCTGTTGCAGGGGGCAAGGTGGGAGTGAGACTGACCCTTCAGTTTTCATGGGAGCTGGGTGAGACCTGTGACTGCTGGCTTTCCCCCACTTCGCTGACAACCTGGATGACTCAGCAGAGGCAGCCATAATCCTCCTAGATACACAACTCCAGTGACCTGGGAATCTCACTCCTGTCCCCCACAGCAGCCACAGCAAGACCCACCCAAGAAGAGTCTGAGCTCAGACCCACCTAGCCCTGCCTCCACCTGATGGTCCTTCCCTACCCACCCTGATAGTGTAAAACAAAGGGTGAGGTGTATAATCTTGGGAGTTCTAGGGCCCTGTCTACTGCAGGTCCCTCTCCACACTACTACAGCTGATGCTTTCTGGAAAGCACCACTCCTGGCAGGAGGCCAACCAGCACAAAAATAGAGCGTTAAACCATCAAAGCTAAGAATTTCACGGAGTCCATTGCACCCTCCGCCACCTCTACCAGAACTGGCACTGGTATCCATGGCTGATCACAGAACTTTGTTCAGACAAGCCTCAGTACCAAGCCTGGAGCTGGGTAGACTCGCTGGGTGGCTAGACCCAGAAGAGAGACAACAATCACTGCAGTTCGGCTCACAGGAAGCCACATCCATGGGAAAAGGGGGAGAGTACTGCATCAAGGGAACACCCTGTGGGACAGAAAAATCTGAACAACAGCCTTCAGCCCTAGACCTTTCTTCTGACCGAGGCTACCCAAATGAGAAGGAACCAGAAAACCAACCCTGGTAATATGACAAAACTAGGCCTGTCAGCATCCCGCAAAAATCACACTAGTTTACCAGCAGTGGATCCAAACCAAGAAGAAATCCCTGATTTACCTGAAAAAGAGTTCAGGAGGTTAATTCTTAAGCTAATCAGGGAAGGACCAGATAAAGGTGAAGCCCAATGCAAGGAAATCCAAAAAATGAACTCCTGGGCTCAAGTGATCTTCCTGGCTCAGCCTCCCAAGTAGCTGGGATTCCAGGTGCACACTATCGCACCCAGCTAAATGTCTTCTAATTGTTGTGCTTGGACCTTTTATATTTAATGTAATATTTGTATATAAGGGCATAAGTCTGCTACTTTACTTTTGCTTTCTGTTGTTCCCTCTGTTTTTTGTTGTCCATTTTCATGCATTTATGTGGACCTCTTGAAAAATTTTTAGAATTCCATTTTGATTGTTCTGCTGGAGTTTTGAGTGTATCTCTTTATATTTGATTTTTGGTGGTTGTACTAGGCATTACATTATTCATACATAGCTTTTCACAGTATACTGATGTCAGCATTTTACCAGTTTGAGTAACCTGTAGAAAAACCTTAGCTCCATTTAGGTCCTTTTATCTTCCCTCTCTGTAGTATTGTCTTAAATACTTTTTCTGCATACATTAGCAACCACATAAGACAGTGTTTTATTTTTTGTGTTAAATGTGTAACAATTTTTAAAACTCGAGGAGAATAGTGTTATATGTTTCCATATTTTTACACTTCCCATTCTTCACGGTGTTTCAAAACTTCTGATTTCCTTTGTGTTTGAAGAACTTTAGTTATTCTTTTAGGACAGATCTTGTGGTGACAGGTTTGTTTGTTTTTTTTGTTATCCTTCATCTGAGAAGATCTTGATTTTACCTTTATTCCTTTAGGATTTTTCACAGATTATCTATATAACTCTGGGTGACAGATCTTTTCTTTCACCTCTTGGAAATGTTGTGCCACAGCTCCTATTGGCTTCCATGGTGTCCAATAAGAAGTCCACTGTCACTGTAATCATTTTTCTTCTATCGATATTATGTCATTTCTTTCTACCTGCTTTCAAGATTGTTTTGTCTTTAGTTTTCTGGGGTTTGATTCTGGTGTGTGTTGTTTTTTTTTTTTTTTAATTTTTTTTTTATTGATAATTCTTGGGTGTTTCTCACAGAGGGGGATTTGGCAGGGTCATGGGACAATAGTGGAGGGAAGGTCAGCAGATAAACAAGTGAACAGAGGTCTCTGGTTTTCCTAGGCAGAGGAAACACTGCCTTCCGCAGTGTTTGTGTCCCTGATTACTTGAGATTAGGGAGTGGTGATGACTCTTACCGAGCATGCTGCCTTCAAGCATCTGTTTAACAAAGCACATCTTGCACTGCCCTTAATCCATTTAACCCTGAGTGGACACAGCACATGTTTCAGAGAGCACAGGGTTGGGGGTAAGGTCACAGATCAACAGGATCCCAAGGCAGAAGAATTTTTCTTAGTACAGAGCAAAATGAAAATTCTCCCATGTCTACTACTTTCTACACAGACACGGCAACCATCCGATTTCTCAATCTTTTCCCCACCTTTCCCGCCTTTCTATTCCACAAAGCCGCCATTGTCATCCTGGCCCGTTCTCAATGAGCTGTTGGGCACACCTCCCAGACAGGGTGGTGGCCGGGCAGAAGGGCTCTTCACTTCCCAGTAGGGGCGGCCGGGCAGAGGCGCCCCTCACCTCCCGGACGGGGCGGCTGGCTGGGCGGGGGGGCTGACCCCCCCACCTCCCTCCCGGACGAGGCGGCTGGCCAGGCGGGGGGCTGACCCCCCCATCTCCCTCCCAGACTGGGCGGCTGGCCAGGCAGGGGGCTGACCCCCCCCCACCTCCCTCCCGGACGGGGCGGCTGGCCAGGCGGGTGGCTGACCCCCCCACCTCCCTCCCTGATGGGGCGGCTGGCCGGGCGGGGGGCTGACCCCCCACCTCCCTCCCGGACGGGGCGGCTGGCTGGGCAGAGGGGCTCCTCACTTCCCAGTAGGGGCGGCCGGGCAGAGGCGCCCCTCACCTCCTGGATGGGGCAGCTGGCCGGGCGGGGGGGCTGACCCCCCCCACCTCCCTCCCGGACGGGGCGGCTGGCCGGGCGGGGGGCTGACCTCCCCACCTCCCTCCCGGACGGGGCGGCTGGCCAGGCAGAGGGGCTCCTCACTTCCCAGTGGGGGCGGCCGGGCAGAGGCGCCCCTCACCTCCCAGACGGGGCAGCTGGCCGGTCGCGGGGCTGACCCCCCCACCTCCCTCCCGGACGGGGCGGCTGGCCGGGCAGAGGGGCTCCTCACTTCCCAGTAGGGGTGGCCGGGCAGAGGCGCCCCTCACCTCCCAGACGGGGCGGCTGGCCGGGCGGGGGGCTGACCCCCCAACCTCCCTCCCGGGCCCCACCTCCCTCCTGGACGGGGTGGCTGCCGGGCGGAGAGGCTCCTCACTTCCCAGATGGGGTGGCTGCCGGGTGGAGAGGCTCCTCACTTCTCAGACGGGGCAGCTGCCAGGCGGAGGGGCTCCTCACTTCTCAGACGGGGTGGTTGCCAGGCACAGGGTCTCTTCACTTCTCAGATGGGGCAGCCGGGCAGAGACGCTCCTCACCTCCCAGACGGGGTCGCGGCCGGGCAGAGGCGCTCCTCACATCCCAGATTGGGCGGCGGGGCAGAGGCGCTCCCCACATCTCAGACGATGGGCGGCCGGGCAGAGACGCTCCTCACTTCCTAGATGTGATGGTGGCCGGGAAGAGGCGCTCCTCACTTTCCAGACTGGGCAGCCAGGCAGAGGGGCTCCTCACATCCCAGACGATGGGCGGCCAGGCAGAGACACTCCTCACTTCCCAGATGGGGTGGTGGCCGGGCAGAGGCTCCAATCTCGGCACTTTGGGAGGCCAAGGCAGGCGGCTGGGAGGTGTAGGTTGTAGCGAGCCGAGATCACGCCACTGCACTCCAGCCTGGGCACTATTGAGCACTGAGTGAACGAGACTCCGTCTGCAATCCTGGCACCTCGGGAGGCTGAGGCTGGCGGATCACTCGCGGTTAAGGGCTGGAGACCGGCCCGGCCAACACAGCGAAACCCCGTCTCCACCAAAACCAGTCAGGCGTGGTGGCGCGTGCCTGCAATCGCAGGCACTCGGCAGGCTGAGGCAGGAGAATCAGGCAGGGAGGTTGCAGTGAGCCGAGATGGCAGCAGTACAGTCCAGCTTCGGCTCCGCATGAGAGGGAGACCGTGGAAAGAGAGGGAAACCGTGGGGAGAGGGAGAGGGAGAGGGAGAGGGGAGCGATTCTGGTGTATCTTAACTTGGATTTCTATCCTGTTTGGGTTTGCTCAGCTGAATCTATAGGTTTGTGTATAATACCAAAGTATTTTGTATTAGTGGTTACAACGCAAAGTTGGATCGTGAAGTCAATTTTGTGGCTTATGACTAGTATTATGATTGGTTTTTAATAGAATAGAAAATGAAAATATATCCCAGAATAACAAGGATAATAATTAATTTTTTATTTTCATAACATATATGTAGGTGTTTTCTGGGATCCAGGATAGTGGTTTGCAGTCAGAAACGTTGGAAAACTATTGATTAAGACCATTCACAAGATTTTGTTTTGTTTGACAAAAGAGGCTAGTTAACACCCCTGAATCTGAGACTCTGATGCTAATGAGCAAAAAGTATTTTTTTCTCCAAATCACCTGGGCTTCATAGTTTGTTTCTTCTAACCAGTTAAATTGTTTAAAAACTTATGAATCTAAGTAGAGGTTACACTTTGTATAAACTCAAAACAGATGGCTTTAGGAACAGTGTCACTTTCTGCCCCTGATGTTATATGTAATAATCATAAGTAGGGAAGGTATGCGAAGGAAAAGGAAAGAAAATAGCAAAGAAGAACAAGATGGTATTTTTTCTTTCTCTTTTAGTTCTCCAGAATATGGTAGCATTTATTAAATGTCTGCATACTATGTAACTCACACTGTGCTGGATGCTAGGAATGCAAAGAAGAATGAAAAATGTCCCTGTTCTATGTAACAGATCACTAAAGCTTATTCTTCTGGTCTAGCTGAAATTTTGTATCCTTTGATCGCTATCTCTCTTTTCCCCATTTATGTACCTCCTCTAACTTCTGGTAACCCTCATTCTACTCTACTTCTATGAGTTTGACTTTTTTAGATTCCACATACAAGTAAAATCATGTGTCTTTCTGTGCCTGACTTTTTTCACTTAGCGTAGTATCTTCCATTTTTTCACTTAGTGTAATATCTTGCCTATGTTGTCGCAAATGACAGGATTTCCTTCTTTTTAAGGCAGAATGGTATTCCATTGTGTATATTTTATTAGATTGTCTTTATCCATTCATCTGATGATGGACACCTAGGTTGCCTCCATATCTTCGCTACTGTGACTGTAATAAATAATAATGCATTATATATTTCAGAATTACTAAAGGTAGATTTTAAATATTTTTACAATTAAAAAAGTATGTGAGTTGGATTTGTTAATTAGCTTGGTCATTCCATATAGTAAAAACATACCAAAACACCTCATTGTACCCCATAAATATATAATATATACAATTAATATGTGTCCATTAAAATAATAAAATTAAAAAATAAAAAAATTTCCTTGCATTCAAGTAGCTCAGAATCAAAGGTAAGCAAATAATCTCAGTGCTTTATAAATAAGTGCCTTATAAAAATAGGTCCTTGTTTCTATGGGAGCACATAAGCAGGGATGATGAGTAAGAATGGCAAATGGGCAAGAGGCTGAGGCTGTGGAATATTTCACCTAAGAGGTGAAGTTCAGCCTCCATCTTGAGGGGAGGAGTCAGGGATTGCCAGGCATATTACAAAGGAATTGATTTAGGGGACAGAGCCCTAGCTGCATTTTATTAAGCTCTATATCTGTTAACCATGTGGTTTCCTTATCTAGATTTTCACAACACATTAAAAGAGCTTTCCATGATCCTGGCAATCCTTTTGTACCTCTAGGTAGCTGTCTCTCCCATTTGCCAAGAAGTTATTTCAAACCCCATTCTCTCTAAGCCTCTTTAACTTTTCCTATTCCAGGTGTCCATCGCTGTATAATAAACCACCCAAGACTTAGTGGTGTAATGCAGTGATCATTTTATTATGCTTACAGGTTCTGTGTGTCAGGAATTCAGATGGGGCATGCTGCTGCTCCACAGTGTCTGGGGCCTCAGCTGGGCAAACTGAAATGACTGAGGGAGATGTGAATGGCCAGGAACTGGAATCCTCTGGAGCCATCTTTACTTACATGTCTGGTGCCTGGATGGTGATGACTTTGAAAGCTGGGCTCAGCTGGGACTGGTGACGGAACTATTTTTTGTAGCCTCCAAGTGGCTTGGGCTTCTCACAACAGGGCCATTGGGCTCCAAGAGGGGGTGCCTGGAAAGCCAGTATTCTATTCTAAGAGAATCAGGCAGGAGCTGCTTGGCCTTTCTGACCTAACCTCAGCTGTTGTTCACTGTCACTTCCACTGCATTTTGTTGGTTATAAATGAATCTCTAAGGCCAGCCCAGATTTAAGGGGAGGGGAGTTAGAATATCTCCTGGTGGCAAGGTCACTATGTAGAAGAACACGTGGTATGGCAGATACCATAGTGGTCGTTTTGGGAAATATAGTCAGCCACACTCTCTCCCAGTTTTCAAATTCATAAATCTTGATTCTTGCTGAATATTGCCACTTGAATATCCCACAGTTACTTAAAATGAAACATGACCATTAACTCTTCTTCACTCCTACCCCTCCAGCTCTACCCCTGCACATTGAGAAAATGGCATTGTGGCTAAGTACGTCTATTATCCAGTTATGCAAGCCAAAACCCCTTTTCTTCCTAACATGTCCCTGCCTTACTAGGTTAATGAGATTGTTCCATTCTTCTTCCTTGTCCGTGGAATTTACATTTACTCATCCCTGTTGTCACCAGCTTTTCTTAGAACAGTGCTTGCACACACACAGTTTGAGACAGATCACAGAAATACTGAACTTTTGTTTTGCAGTCACATTCCATTCTTCAGACTTGGCTCAAAGCTACTTGTGATTAATTGGTGGCTGGTTTGATTCTCTTTCTAGATGATTTTCCTTTGTGAGTTTATTCATTTAAAAGGAGGAGGCAAGCAGGAAAGAAGCACAAAAAGATGAATTCCATAAGTATTTTTGAATACTAGCGGCATTATGGTAATTGATATATAGACTCCCAGAGTTACTGCTTTGAAGGAGACAATGCTTTGGATGTGTAGGTTCTCATGTGTTTATTAAAAACTATCCATTTGTGGCTGGGCGTGGTGGCTCACGCCTGTAATCCCAGCACTTTGGGAGGCCAGGGCAGGTGGATCACCTGTGGTCAGGAGTTCGAGACCAGCCTGGCCAACATGGTGAAACCTCGTCTCTACTAAAAATACAAAAATTAGCTGTGCTTGGTGGCGGGCACCCCGTAGTCCCAGCTACTCAGGAGGCTGAGGCAGGAGAATTGCTTGAACCCAGGAAGAGGAGGTTGCAGCAAGCTGAGATCGCACCACTGCACTTCAGCCTGGGCAACAGAGTGAGACTCTGTCTGAAAAAAAGGAAAGCAAAACAAACAAACAAAACTATCCATTTGCTTTCGAGAGCTTTCCTTAAATTACCACTTCAGTTTGCATTGAGTAGCTGCTGTTACTTTGTAAACTATACTATATATAAGACAAAATTGATGTAATGAGAGGTAAATACAAATAATTCATAGTGTACAGATAATAGAATTTGTTGAATCCATATAAATATTATTTTGCGGGTTGTATTTGTACTGTCAGTGGAAAAAGCAGCTAAACAAGTTGATAGTAAAAATAATATTATGAGGGGAGATGTTTAATATACTTAGGAGATCAGGTATAACTCGCATATACTCAGTTTAAAAAAAAAGTCTTTCCTGTTTATTAAATGTGTCCTGTGCCTTATAAACAGTGTTGATTTGGCTAGAAAATATTACATAGAAATTCCATAAATAAGCAATTGTTAAGTTTTAAATTGTACACCATTCTTAGTAGCATGATGAAATCTTGCCCTGTCCCACCCAGGATGTGAATCTTTGTCCAGTGTCTCCATGCTCTATAAGCTACCTTCCCATTTAGTCACATAGTAGCCATCTCAGTTATCACAACTGACTGTTGTAGTAGGGCATGCTTGTGTTCAAGTCACTCTTATTTTACTTAATACCCCCAAAGCACAAGAGTGGTGATGCTGGCAATTCAGATACGCCAAAGAGAAGCTTGTGAAGTGCTTCCTTTAGGTGAAAAGGTGAAAGTTCTCAACTTAAGAAAAAACAATCATATGCTGAGGTTACTAAGATTTGTAGTAAGAAAGAATCTTCTGTCTGTGAAATTATGAAGAAGGAAAAATAAATTCTTGCTAGTTTTGCTGTCGAACTTCAAACTGAAAATTACGGCCATAGTATATGATAAGTACTTAGTTAAGATGAAAAAGGCATTAAATTTGTCATGAAAGACATGAACAGAAATATGTTCTAGTTGACAGAAATCAAGTTTGATTTAATCTGAGGTTTCAGGCATCCGCTGAGGTCTTGGAATATATCCCCTGCAGATAAGGGGGGAATGTAATCCTGATAATTGTAGAATGATATTTTTCACTTCATTTGCACCAGTTATTACAAGTTTGCTTAAATATAGCACAATGTATTGGGTAATACACTAGTTTAAGACTAGAAAAACAAGGCCGGGCGCGGTGGCTCACACCTGTAATCCCAGCACTTTGGGAGGCTGAGGCGGGCTGATCACCTAAGGTCAGGAGTTCAAGACCAGCCTGACCAACATGGAGAAACCCCGTCTCTACTAAAAATACAAAATTAACTAGGTGTGGTGGCGCATGCCTGTAATCCCAGCTACTCAGGAGGATGAGGCAGGAGAATCGCTTGAACCCGAGCAACAAGAGCAAGCTTTATCTCACAAAAACAAACAAAAACAACTAGAGAAACAAGTTTCTGGATCACCGCCTATCAGTTATCTGACCTTAGAACTGGCCATTATTTATTCTGATCCTTAGTTTCCCTATCAAGTTGATTGCAGATGTTCAGCTGTAAAAACTGTTCTTCCACTCGTGGGCTGCACAAAAACTTATGGTAGGCTTCTGTTCACCCATGTTTTAGAATATAAGGAACCTTTATTATCTAGTAGTTAGTGAAGTTAGAGTTGTTTCTCATGCTCACAGTTATTTAGTGATATTTGGTATCAAAACACAGTGCTCTTTAAAATGTTTCATTTCCTCTGATATTCCTAGTTAGCGTATAATTTACTTAACTAGAATATCCTATTCTGTAATTATTTTACAAATGGGAATTCACCTTATAACAAAAACTGCCAGCTCCTCTTCTTCCCCTGCCTTGCCTTTTTTCCTGCCTTACTGGTTTGTAGTAGTATCTCAGCCTCTTAAATAATGATAATTTTTTTAAATGAAGAATACTTAAATTATTTTATGATGATTTAGGTCAGTCAACACAGCATTTCCTCCTTATCCATACATTTATTTTATTTTATTTATTTTTGACACAGAGTCTCATTCTGTCACCCAGGCTGGAGCGCAGTGGCGCAATCTCAGCTCACTGCAGCTTCCGCTTCCTGGGTTCAAGCGATTCCTGTGCCTCAGCCTCCCAAGTAGCTGGGACTACAGGCATGCACCGCCATGCCCGGCTAATATTTGTATTTCATGGGGTTTCACCATGTTGGCCAGGCTGGTCTCAAATTCCTGACCTCAAGTGATCGATGTGCCTCGGCTTCCCAAGGTGCTGGGATTATAGGTGTGAGCCACTGCGCCCAGCCCACACATATATTTTCAAGTGATAAAGATTATTTTTGATTGTATCTGTTGGTGAGCCGTGCAATTTTAGTAACTGATATACAGATCTTAAATATCATTGTGAACCTTTATTAAAGTGGTATTTTAAATAGCTGCAGATAATATTTTTATACTATCTGCCTTCTAGTTCTACCAGTAATAAAATGGAAAGGGGTTTGGTTCACAGAAAACTAAACTGAAATACTGAACATCAGATGCCTGGCACACAGTAGGCAATGAGTAAATTTGTATGTATTGTATGAATAAGTTGTATGGATTGTGCGAATGAATTGTAGAAATTGTATAGCAAGGTGATTTGTCAAAGTCGCTTTTTAAAGGGTTTAATACAGTATCTGGTACGTGAAAGATGCTCAGTTAGTGATAGTGTTAAAAATGTATAGGCCAGTAGTTGTTTATCATACCCCAATTTAGCACAGTTTGTTCAGTTTCTCAGATACACCTATATGGTAGAACGGTTAATAAACCAGAATCTGTAGTTAGATTACCTAATATTGAAACCTGATTAGCCATACGTCCAAGCCATGCAGCCTTTGGACAAGTTGTTCAACCTCTCTTCCTCAATTTTCCAGTCTTTAAAATGAAGATATAATAGTACACACCTCATAGGATTGTTGTCAAACATAAATACATTAGTTGCATGTAAAGTGTAATAGTCTATGTAAAGTTTAGTATATGTAAAGTGTAGTAGTACTTGGCACACATTTGAATACCTTTTTTCCAAATTTCAGGCAGATTTAGTCAATTAGCCAGATTCCCCAATATATTAATTAATTATTATTTTTTTTTTTTTTTAAGAGATGGAGTCTCACTCTGTCGCTGAGGCTGGAGGGTGGTGGTGTGATTTTGGCTCACTGCAACCTCCGCCTCCCAGGTTCAAGTGATTCTCCTGCCTCAGCCGTCCGAGTAGCTGTGGTTATAGGCGCGCACCACCAGCACGCCTGGCTAATTTTTGTGTTTTTAGTAGAGACGATGTTTCACCACGTTGGCCAGACTGGTCTGGAAGTCCTGACCTCAGGTGATCCGCCCACCTTGGCCTCCCCAAGTGCTGGGATTACAGGCATGAGCCACTGTGCTCAGCCAATTAAATTTAAGGGTCTTCTATTACGGGTAGGATTTGTCTAATTTATCTGATACCTTATAGTATAAATAGTGAAAGGGAAAATTTCCCATTAAATTGAGCATGTGTATTTTATAGGGCCTTGTATAGTCATAAATAGAAAAATGAGTTAAATATCAATGCACAAACATATTTAAGAAGTTATAGTTCTGGTCTGATAATCTCCCTGGGGTAATCACAAGGTTGGTGCATTGAGGTGTTTTTCCTCCTGTCCCCAAACATCTGCCGTACATTTTGTGACTTCATTATAGCATACACATTATTCTGTTGTGATTTTTTTTTTTTGGTGGGAGGACAGGGTCTTGTTCTTGTGCCCAGGCTGGATTGTAGTGGAGTCTAGTGGTTATAGCTCACTGTAACCTTTAACTCTTGGGCTCAAGGGACCCTCCCACCTCAACCCCCTGCCCCACATAGCTAGGACTGTAGGCATACACCACCATGCCCAAGCTGATTTAAATTTTTTTTTTTTTTTTTTTTTTTTTTTAAGAGATGGGGTCTTTGTTGCCCAGGCTGATCTCAGACTCCTTGCCTCAAGTGATCCTCCTGCGTTGGCCTCCCAAAGCACTAGGATTACAGGCGTGAGCCACTGAACTTGGCCCTGTTCTTAATATTAATGCTTCTGCTTAATGTAACTAGTTACTTGACGAAAAAGGAAATGCTTTGAGAAAAGGAAATGCGTTGGGAATTAATAATCTGTAACTTCACCTATCCTTATGTTTGTTAATGTACCTATTCATATAGTTTTATGTTATTTGTGTAAATTAAAAAATTTAGATGAAACAATTTTAGCATCTAATTTTTATTAAATTTGCATTCTTTCCAACTTTTTGTAGAAGTTCCAAATGAGTTTATAGAACTTAAGAAATTACTCAGTCTTTCTGCTGTCCAGTTTTCTAATGTATGCTTCTTTTTTTTTCCCCTCAGAGGAAATAAAAGCGGAAACTGAAAAACAGAGGTTTGTGGGATTTCTTTTCTTTAGTAAAAATAATTTTCAAACTTGTCAGTCTTGGTCAAAATAATATAGTCATCTGTATTTTAGTGTGGCAAATTCTCTGCATGTGAGTTTTATAGTAAAATCAACTTTAAAAATAGGTTTTAAGAAATACAATTATATAAAAACAATAAATACAATTATATTTCTTAAAACCTATTTTTATATATATTTATAAAAATGTATGCATATATTTTTTTGGAGACAGGGTCTCGCTCTGTTGTCCAGGCTGGAGTGCGGTGGTGTGATCACAGCTCACTGCAACTTCTGCTTCCCAGGCT
This sequence comes from Homo sapiens, assembly GCF_000001405.40. Classification (NCBI taxonomy): domain Eukaryota; kingdom Metazoa; phylum Chordata; class Mammalia; order Primates; family Hominidae; genus Homo; species Homo sapiens. The sequence continues at coordinate 67,302,118 of NC_000008.11, read as the reverse complement.
CAAGTGATCCTTCCACCTCAGCCTGCCGAGTACCTGGGACTACAGGCGAGCACCACCATGCCTGTCTAATTTTTTGTAGAGATGGGATTCTGCCATATTTCCCAGGCTGGTCTCGAACTCCTGAACTCAAGTGACCCACGCACCTCGGCTTCCCAAAGTGCTGGGATTACAGGCATGAGCCACCAGACTCTGCTCTAAGCATACTTAAAAATACAAAAAGATTCTCATATAAATAAGTATATAAAGATACTTCTGAAATACCATAAGATAGGCTTCAGAGTCTTTTCTTAAAGACTTTGATTCATATTTGGAAAAATTACTAGGTTTTTTGATAGTGTTGGCATTTTTAGGACAATATTGAATAACTAAAAAAACTCACTTTGACTTAAGGACAAATAGAAAGGCCATTGCTTTTTAAGGTATTATGATACCAAATTTGTTAAGTGACAATAAAATATTTCTGTAATAGAAGCAACTTGAATTTTACAGTTTTTGTAGACCAGTTTTGCAGACAAGATTTCAGCGTCTTGTGGTTAGTCACAGCTCTGGCCACTAGCTTTTGACTATGTGGCAAACCACTTCACTTCTCTGGGCTTGGGTTTCCTCTCGAAATATGGGAAGATAGAGGACTGGTTTAGCAAGATTCCTTTTAGAACTGAAATTCTGTGTTTCTACATGGGTTTATTATCAATATTATAAATGTGATACGCTATAATCAGACTTTTCTTTCTCATTTAGTCCTCCTCATGGAGAAGCAAAAGCTGGATCAAGCACCCTTCCACCAGTGAAATCAAAGACAAATTTTATTGAAGCAGACAAGTACTTCTTGCCTTTTGAGTTGGCATGCCAGTCCAAATGTCCTCGCATAGTTAGTACATCTCTAGATTGCTTACAGGTATGTCTAAAATGGCACTTTCTAAAAACTGTGTACTTTGAATGTGTTTCTAAAACATTACTCACATTGATGATTCAGACATTTCCATGAAAGCTTTGAATACTCTTTTTTGTGGTAAAAAATCCAAGTGATTTTTTATATTTAAGACAGATAATAATAGTTGCAAAAAGATATTTCTAGTTTAATACTAACAATCATTAACTTAGTGGGATATAAAATCTTTACTAAGTTTATCAATAATGAAAAGTGTTGATTTGGTCTCTTCTCATCAGTGAAATGCAAGACCTGTAATACTTTTAACCTGCTGCCGACTTTACATACATCACCATTTGCAAATAATTTTTCTAAGTGTCTGCTGTTTTTTTTTTTTTTAATTTTTTGAGACGAAGTCTTGCTCTGTTGCCTGGGCTGGAGTGCAGTGGCGTAATCTTGGCTCACTGTGACCTCTGCCCCCTGTGTTCAAGCAATTCTCCTGCCCCAGACTTCTGAGTAGTTGGGAATACAGGTGTGTGTAACCATGCCCAGCTAATTTTTGTATTTTTTTTTTTTTTTTTTTTTTTTTTGAAGAGACAAGAGTTTCACCATGTTGGCCAGGCTGGTCTTGAACTCCTGACCTCAAGTGATCTGCCTGCCCGTCTTGGCCTCCCAAAGTACTGGGATTACAGGCGTGAGCCACTGTGCCTGGCCAGTGTCTGTTTTATATGAAGCAATAGGTTAATATTGGCAGCTTAATATAATTTAATATTTAACTGCTATACTTTAGCGATGGCAGTCATTTATGTCAGAAAAATTTCTGAACTCTGTTACCCTGTTTGACACATATACAGAGGATCTTCATAGATATTATATTTGTAAGACAAGTTTCTAAGTAGAGGAATACTTCTCTTTTCAGATGTTCTCACTATTTGGGAATTATATGTATTCAACTATAATTCAGTAGCTAGGAAAAGACCATATTATTTGTCCTTAAGGATAGGTTAAAGATAAGTTCATCTGAATTGTGATCTTGTTTTCACTGGAAAATTAGAATGATAATATGTAAAGCCTTCCTTCCAGGGTATACTGATAATGATGAATGAACAAATCTATGATTTATCTCAGCTAGTATATGGAAACTGGGTTTTATACATATTGATGAATCATTTGGAAAGAGATTGGGGGTCATATAAAAGCATGAAGATAATTTTCACAAAAGCAGTATCAATAAAACCTTGTTTATGTGGAAAGCAATAAGCAATTTTTTTTTTGTTTTTTTTTGTGACAAGGTCTCACTGTCACCTACGTTGGAGTGCAGTGGCGCAGGCTTGGCTTACTGCAACCTCCACCTCCCAAGGCTCAAGCAGTCCTCTCACCTCAGCCTCCTGAGTAGCTGGGACTATAGGCATGTACCACCACACCCAGCTAATTTTTTATTTTTTGTAGAGATGGGCTTTCCCTGTGTTGCCAGCTGGCCTCGAACTCCTAAGCTCAAGCAGTCCACCCAATGTGGACTGACAATGTGGGAGGCAAGCAGGCCTCCCAAAGTGCTGGGATTACAGGCATGAGCCACTGCGCCCAGCACAGTAAGCAATTCTAACTCATCAGAGACAGGTTCTCCAAGGCCTGACTTTCTCAAAATATTACCTGATGGTTTTATTGTGGTTATTGTTCTGTTTTTGTGATTATTACAAGTATAAATAACTTTGCATATTTGAATAAAGTTTCTACAGAAAAAGTTGGTATAGCTTTGGCTTTGATAATACCTTTATGTTTTTGTGTAAAAATTTTATGTATATTCAATTGTATACTGTAATTTTAATGTATATTGCATTAGTATGTATAATATTTGTTACCTTACTTAGGATCTTTGTTTTCTTTCTCCATTTTAGAAACTTATTGCTTATGGGCACTTGACTGGCAATGCTCCAGATAGTACAACACCAGGCAAAAAATTAATTGATAGAATTATTGAAACAATATGTGGCTGCTTTCAGGGCCCTCAGACAGATGAAGGAGTTCAGCTGCAGATAATAAAGGTAATTATTATATAAAGTAAAATTGTTATTAATAATCTGTATCTTCAAAATTCAGATGCCTTTCACCTTAAAACATTAGGAAAGATCATTTTATGTGCATTCCAGCTATAATACAGGTTATTCGAGGCCGGGCTCAGTGGCTCATGCCTGTAATCCCAGCACTTTGGGAGGCCAAGTTGGGCGGATCACTTGAGGTCAGGAGTTTGAGAGCAGCCTGGCCAACATGGTGAAACCCCCATCTCTACTAAAAATACTCTACTAAAAATACCAAAAAAATTAGCTGGGCATGATGGTGGGCACCTGTAGTTCCAGCCACTCAGGAGGCTGAGGCAGGAGAATCACTTGAACCTGGGAGGCGGAGGTTGCAGTGAGCCAAGACCATGCCACTGTGCTCCAGCCTGGGTGACAGAGTGAAACTCAGTCTCAAGAAAAAAACGAAGAGGTCATTTGGATGCTTTCTAGACTCCATATTAGGGGATTTTAATGTTGTATGCCAAGAGTTTGTTAGAGGAAAAGTATGTTCTCATATCTCTTCTTTTGAAGGTCTCAGTTTAGACTTAGTCCCTAGAGTCTTCCAAAGTTTTTCTGTTTCTGGCATGTTTTTCATATGTATATATATATTGCATCCATCAAACTTTAGGGTAGTTCTTAAAGCTGTGACCCCTCTAGTTTCTTCTGTACTGTTGGACCTTTCATAGCTTGTCCTCTCAACTCACAAATTACCAGGTGGACACTACTTATCCGCCAATTCTCCTGATATCGTTGCACCCATCCATCTATAGAACTTGCTCAGCAAAACCCTGTTCTGAGTTTGTGCTGTAACGTACTTGTTTGATTGAATTCCTTTGGAGAAAAATTAGTAATGTTTTCATTCTGTTACAGATACTGAGTTCTTAATGTTATTGCTAATGGTAGTGGTGGTATATTTTTATAGCAGTAAAATTTTCATGTGCTATATATAGTACAGTACTTTTGAAATTGTTTTTACGTGTATATATGAAGTGTTCTTTCATGTGTGAATACAACCCTTTTGGAGCCTTTCAGTTTTATAGTTGTGTTTACTTCAGAAGCCATACAATATCTTTATTCTAAAAAAAAAAAAATACTGGGCATGGTAGCTCATGCCTGTAATCCCAGCACTTTGGGAGGCCAAGGCAAGAAGGTTGCTTGATCCCAGAAGTTCGAGACCAGCCTGGGCAACACAGCAAGACCCTGTCTCTACAAAAAATAATTTAAAAATTAGCCAGATGTGGTGATGTGTGCCTGTGGTCCCAGCTACTCAGGAGGCTGAGGTGGGAGGATTACTTGAGCCCAGGAATTGAGGCTGCAGTGAGCCATGTTCACTGCACTGCACTTCAGGCTTGGCAACAGAGTGAGATCCTGTCTCAAAAAAGAAAAAAAAAAAAAACGGGTTGATCATTTTGACCTATCATGTATAGTTTCATGTCATTTATGGTTTAAGATAATGCCCATTAATGCTGACCCTGCATAGCATTGTACAACATAAAGAAGACAAAAGATAAGAGTCTTTGCTCTTGAGAAATTGGAAGTAACCCAATATGTGAAAATTCACATAGGTTAAATTTGTTCATTTTATTGAAATATTTGCCTTAGGAATTTGTTTTTTAATTTGGGACAGTCTCACTCTGTTGCCCAGGCTAAGTGCTGTGGCATGATCACAGCTCACTGGAGTCTTGACCTCCCTGACTCAAATGATCCTCCCACCTCAGCCTTCCAAGTAGCTGGGGCCACAGGTATATGGCACTTACGCCCAGCTACTTTGGGATTATTTTAAATGCTTTATTCTAAAACATTTATAAACCTCTTCAACAATAACAACAACAGCACAGCTATTGAGTTCAGTGTGTTAAAAAAAGATCTCAGAAAAATTTAGAGGCAAATAAGACACAGTGTGTATCTTCCCAAGTTGATGGTCTAGTTCAACAGATATCTCATGTGACGTATCTGTGCTCTGCTGTAACAGCTTTCATGCTGTGCATTTTAGTAAGTTAAATAGTATTTTCATTAAAATGAAACCTTGGTTGAAACAAATCAGTTAAATGGTTTTCAGATTATGTGGAAATTACTGCCGCAGTGAGGAAAACATCAAATATTTTAACAGTTGATGATATATTCAAGGCCAGTAGAAATTCTGTGTATACTACCCGCAAGTGGTAATTGTTTCTGAAAGTTTTAATTGTAATATGAAAATGCTTAATTTTTGTGCTGAAACTCTAGATGCAGAAAATCACTTTAAGGCTGGGTGTGGTGGCTCATGCCTGTAACCCCCGCACTTTGGGAGGCTGAGGTGGGAGGCTTGCATGAAGCCAGGAGTGAGACCAGTCTGGGCAACAAAGAGAGACTGCATCTCTACAGAAAAATAAAACAAAATTAGCCGGGTGTGGTGGTGCTCACCTGTAGTCCCAGCTACTCAGGAGGCTGCTGCGAGAGGATCACTTAAGTCCAGGAGTTCAAGGCTGCAGTGAACTATGATCACACTACTGCACTCCAGCCTGGGTGACAGAGCGAGAAAGACTGTCTCCAAAAAAAAAAAGAAAAAGAAAATCTCTTTAACTTTTTCCTTTTTTTTTCTTAAAGGCTTTACTTACTGCAGTAACATCACAACACATAGAAATTCATGAAGGGACTGTACTGCAAGCTGTGAGAACATGTTACAATATCTACTTAGCAAGCAAAAATCTCATCAATCAGACAACAGCCAAAGCTACTCTCACTCAGATGCTAAATGTTATCTTTGCACGCATGGAAAACCAAGCAGTAAGTATTTTAAGAAGAGAGAGGTTGTATAGAACACAACAGGCATTAAACATAGAAAGGAGTTTACAGTAATTAGAGTGAAATCTTTGTACCTGTAGAAAAGAATGTCTTTTATTTACATTTCCACTTACTGGAGATTTGTGGGATTGTGTTTTATTTTGTTTTGTTTTAAGGTTTACCGACTTAACTTTGGACAAAGTATTTTTAGTTGTTCACAAATAGTATGTGAAATATGCTGATTGCCATCTTCCTTGTGGAAGTACTTATGAATTAATACTTTTATTGCATTCAAACTTAGTAGAGTGTAATGTAGCTATAAAATACTTAATCTAATCTGAAATAAAATTATTCATTAAGCCTTAAAAAAGTATATTTCCATATTGATGAAATACGTTTTTTCCCCTGTATGATAAAGGGGCATGATATTCCTTATACTTTGAACTGCTTCAGGTTGATTGTTAAGAGATCAGCAACTAGAGAATTGTTTTTAAATGCATAAGTCTTCACTATTAAAAATCAACATCAAGCTTCTTATTTTGAACTCTTTTTAAACGTAGAGAAAAGTTGCAAAAATTTTTCAGAGCAATCCCTTTTACCCTTCACCCTGGTTCCCTTAATGCAGTTAACTTACATACCTACATAGTACAATTATCAAAAGCAGAATTAACACTGGTACAATACTGTTAACTAAACCACAGACCCTGCTTGAATTTCACCAATTTTCCCACTAATGTTTTAAGATTTGACCCAGGATCCCACATTGTGTTCAGTATGCATTTAGTTCTTATGTCTTAGTCTTCTCCAGTCTGTGACAGTTCCTCAACTTTTCCTTATCTTTTTCATGATCTTGCTATTTTTAAAAGGATACTAATAATTTATTTTGTTGAATTTTCCTCAGTTTACTTTTTGTGATGTTTTCTCGTGATTAGAATGAGGTTGTGCATTTTTTGCCAGAATATCTCTGAGACAATGTTGTGTCCTTTTCAGTGCATTTTGTCAGGACTTCATGATGTTGATATACCTTAATGTTGGTGATGTTAACCTTGATCACTTGGTTAAGGTAGTTATCTGTCAGGTTCCTCCACTATGAAGTTAGTAGTTTTTCTTTTGCAATTAATAAATATCTTTGGGGAGATATTTTAAGACAGTGCAAATACTGTTTCTCTTCAGATCCTCCCCTCACTTGCTCAGTTTTAATATCTGTCAGTGGATCTTGTTGGCAACAGTTAATTATTGTGGCGTTTCCCTAATGATTTTCCTGTTTCTCTCTTCTGTATTTATTAATTGAATTTCTCCTCCCTTAATTTATTTATTTATATCAATCTGTAATCACAGATATTTATTTTATTTTATGGTTGTAATGTGTGCTACAGTTACTTATTTTGTTGCCCAAATTATTACACTTTTGGCCCTGTGTCCTTGTGACCAGCTCCCATCCTTTTTTGAGTACTTCCATGCTTTCTGGATTCTCAAGATTTTCCAGGCTCATTTTGAATTTTCCCAGCTTCAGCCTTGGAATCAACCACTTCAATAAGGAGCTGTAGCTCTTTTGATTGGAGAATGGTATTTAGAAACCAAAATCTGAGTGCTAGTTGTATTCATTGTCACTCTGTGTTATTGCTTCTAGGCCTCTCAGCAGATAGAGTTAGGAAATATATGTTTATATACTATCCCTTCCGTCCCACTCAATTCCTACACCTGTATGTGACTTTCCATATGTAGGTAATAAAACCATGTGTTCATACTGATATTTCTGATTCCAGTGCAACAATACAGGGTTCATTTCAGTCTTCTCCCTTTATATGTAAACTTCTTTCTCTAAACAATGAGAAATATGGCTTTTGTATTCTAAATACATTGATTGTTCAATCCTATTATACCCATTAGTTTTAGAATTGCTAATCATTACCAGTGTGAGAAACAAATTTACTAAGTAGATTATAGCATTTATATTCAGGTTTTTTTGTCTTTAGCCTTATCCATTCAAAATATTATTTTCTAGTTACTTAGATTAGTTCCTTTCTTCCCCACACTCTGCAATAGGGTAATGCTATTCCTTTGTGATAATAGTTAGACTCATTTGTTACTCTCTGCTTTTCATTTTTGGTATTCGTCACATCCTGGTTAGTTTTAATTACAGTCATCCCTCAGTATTCATGGGGGATTGGTTCCAGGGCCCTCCCATGGATACCAAAATCTGTGGATACTCAAGTCTGTTTTATAAAATGGTGTAATATTTGCATATAAGCTACACACATCCTCTGTATACTTTAAATCATCTCTACATTACTTATAATACCTAATACTTTGTAAATAGTTGTTATACTGTATTGTTTAGGGAATAACGACCAAAAAAAAAAGTTGTCTGTACATGTTTGTTCAGTACAGACACAGCTATTCTTTCCCCCCGCCATCAGTATTTTCAATCCCTGTTTGGTTGAATCCACTGATGTAGAACCCATGGATACACAGAGGGCGAACTGTACTTATTTATTTTTTAGGTATGTAAAACATTACTGCGATTTAAGAGTCAGAGCTGTACAAAAGGTCTACTCAGAAAAGTACCAATTCCTACTAATTCCTACCACTGCATTCCTCTTCTTCCCTTCTTTCCACCCCTTGAATGTAAGACGGAAGCCACATGTCTACCTTATAATCAGAAGCGGTCACACCGGTACATTGTGGAAAGGGACTACACAAGGGAGTGAAAATTGAGAGGTGGACATCATTGGTGACCATCTTGAAGACTAGCTACCACATATGCTATACATTCTCTTTTGTATTTTGCTCTTATCATTGAGCAGTATGTCCTAGAAAGCATTTCATATCAGTCCTTAAAGACCTTCCTCATTCTTTTTTATAGATGATAGTACTTTAGGATATAGCCTATTATCTATTAAGTCACTCTCCTCTGTAGTGGCATTAATTTATTTCTAATATTTTGCAGCCACAAACAGTGGTTTTGCTGCTTTTTTTTGAGGACATAAAATATTTTTGTCACTTTTTAATAACAAAGTTTTATTGGTTTGATTTGATTAACAGACTTTTTATTAAGTTCCTTATATGTTCCTGGCACTGTGCTAGGCCTCACTTATACAGTGACGAGCAAAACCGACTTGACTATTACCTTTGAAGATCTTAGGAACATTTGAGGCAAAGAGTTTCCCTTAAACAACTGCAGAACTGAATTATGATAAAGGCTATGAACATGTATTGTGTTACAAAGGATATTTAGTTCTGTGCTATGGATAATTATAGAAAAGGTGGAAAAGAGGGAGAGAAAATAAGGGGAAATGGGATACAGACGACTTAACTTCCACATTTGCTAAAATCTTCTAAGCCAGATGTTGAATTCTTTGATATTAGCTACTGGTAACCTTAATTTTCCCCTTCCCCCACAAAATAAAACTCCTTACAAAGCAAATCTTGTCAGACTTTATTATTAAAATCCTTTAATTCAAGCTTATTTTATAAATTCGTGTAATTCTGGCATTTCCACCTAACCTGGAATATTACTGGAGAATATGAAATGTTCATATTTACTACTGTATAAGATTTATCTTGGTGGAAATTAATTCTGTGAGACTCATTCTTATCAGGTCTTGAGGACCAAAAGAGATGTGTGAAAGCAATAAAGTGCTAAAAAATGAAATCTTGTGATCCCAGTTAATGTTTCTAACATTTTGTGAGCCAGTTTTACAGATAGTATTATATACATAATAATGACAGTTTTTCTAAAATAAAATTCAGACATTTGTAGATATAGTTTTTTTCATAATTATTAGATGGCTAGGCAGAGTGATTTAAGCCTTCATTGTAATTCTATTAAATGTAATTTTAATTTTTTTATTAAAAGATATTTGACAAGGTGACATAAGAACATGCTCCAGAAGGATAAACACTGAAAAGTTGCCTCCCACTCTTGTTTTCCATTTTATTTCCTAATCTCTACCCTCTATAGGTAATTGTTAGTACTAGCTTCTTATGTATTTTTATAGACTTTCTGTATGTATAAGCAAAAGTGAATGTGTGTGCGTGTGTTTCATCCACACAAACACCAAATACAGTGAAAATGCTATATAGTGAAAGTCTTTCATCTCTGTTCTTATGTGCCAATTTCCAGCCACCTAAGAAGTAAACATTGTTCATTGTTTTTAGTATAGTTTATGTTCTCCATTTCTGATAAACTTTAATTTCCAAGCGTAGAGAGAATGGCACCTTATAGAAAGGATTGTTGGAGGTAACATTATCCTTCCAAATTTTAAACAACTTATTTTACTAATATTGGAAATTTTATTTATTTCCAGTTACAGGAAGCAAAACAAATGGAAAAAGAAAGGCATCGGCAGCATCATCATCTGTTACAGTCTCCAGTAAGCCATCACGAGCCTGAATCACCTCAACTTAGATATTTGCCACCTCAGACTGTTGATCATATATCCCAAGAACACGAAGGGGACCTTGACCTCCATACAAATGATGTAGATAAAAGTCTTCAGGATGACACAGAGCCTGAAAATGGATCTGATATTTCCAGTGCAGAAAATGAACAGACTGAAGCTGATCAGGCAACTGCAGCTGAAAGTAATCTTCTTGAAAAGGGGGTTTGGGGTGTGTGTTAAGGGAAATGTGTAGGAATGAGAGTTTTGATGAAGAAATGTTGAAAGGATAATATGATTTAATAAGTGTGTCAGACACATTGTGGTAATTGTGGACTTTCCTCATTGTAGGTGGTAAAATTAATTTGACTCTAACCTACAAGATATCTATGAATGATACTTTGCATTTATTAGCATCTCATGAGCAGTATGATTTATAGATTTCCTTTGGAGCGCAGATATATTTCTAAAGAGGGTCATAAATGTCCGTTAAATGTTATATAGGAATTTCAGTTTTCTTAAGATTGGTTTCATAGCAAACAAGTGACCTAGTAAGGTTTTCTGGAATATGACTGAAAATTTTAAAAAATCATTACCAGTTTTAAAAATATGATTATGGTAAAAAAAAAAAAGTACTGAAATTAAATATAAAAACAAAGTTTTTGAGTAACCAACTGATAGAAATTTTCATTTTTTAAAATCATGATGCATAGTAATCACTAAAATTGAGATGTTCTCTGATTTTTTAAGTGTATATTATAAGAAAACGCTTATAAGATTATAAAAATTATATTTATTTTACAAATTTGTTTCTCTGTAAAAATAATCCCATGAAGTTATTTTTTTCCTAAATGTTATTTTCAGCTTTAGCTGTTCTGTGAAACTACCAGGGAGTTGGTGGTGTTCTCCCTTTGCCCTTCCTTAGCTTGATGTCATTTTTAAATGATGAGAATTCTGTTGCCTCTCCAGTGTGGTTGTCTAGAACTAGCATGTTAGGAGTCAGTTACAGTTCATCTGAAGTCTGTGTTTTTACTTCACTTTGAGGAAGGATTTCTGTAATATGTTTTCAGCTCTTGATTTTTTTTTTTTAAAACCATGCCTTTTCCAAAACTTAGTAGTGGCATGAATACGTGCCTTTTTACATTTTCCCCCCAGCTTTCTGAGAGGCATGCTTTTAAAAACAGTACTTTACTATTTGTTTTAAAAAGGATGACTTCGATAAGCTAAGCATTCATAGTACTGAAGCTAATAGTGAATCCATACCACTTAAATGATTTACATTTGTCTAGCCTGCCCTTGCCAAAATTTCCCCCACTTTCACTGTGAGCTTATAATGGGCAGATTCAAAGGGCTAATCTCTAATAAAGCTGGGACTTTATTTATTTTTTTGTTTATATATCTATGCATTTAGCAAACCTTCATTGAGCATACTGTGTCTTAGGCACCATGCTAGGACTTGAGGTTAAAAAGATGATGGAGATACAGCCACTGCTTTTAGTGTGATCTTAGCATACTTGGAAGTCAAGTGAGCATAAATAAGGTATAATATGTGATAGGTGTCCTAAAAATGCCATGCACAAAGTAATTCTGCTGAGAAGAGTTAGGAAATTTCTTTGTAGAGAAAGTGGTGATATTTTAGTTGAATCTTGATAGATAGGGGTAGGAAATTTCCAATCAAGGAAACAACATGGACTAAGACCCAAGAAATGGGAGCATCTGCTGTGTGTGAGGTACCTTAGGGGTAGGAAATTTTCCAACCAAGGAAACAACATGGACTAAGACCCAAGGAATGGAAGCATCTGCCGTGTGTGAGGTACCGCTGTAGAAGCCTTGTAGAATATAGAGTTAGAAAGACATAGTTTCCTGTGGGATTGTGATGATTATTTTGGCTCTAAAGATGTTTTTCTCCCAATAGCTGATATAAATGAAAATTCTGTTTGACAGCCATTGGTTCAGAGTGCATTTTTGGAGCACACCTCTGTCACTTACCAGCTGCGTGACTTTGGACATAATAGTTAACTTCTCTAAGCATTTCCTACATGTAATAAATATTAGTCATTGTTATTCTGTTCTGTTTCTTTCAGATACTTATGTGAAAATTGACCCTTCACTAGTCATTTCGTACACTTTTAGATAGTGGTTATGTATATTAAGTTACTTTGAAACTCTAGTTTTCAGACTTGAGGTAATTTTAGCCAACTAGAGCATGGAAATAAAACACTTAAGAATGGCAGAAAAATTATCTTTCAAGACATTTATGTTTTTATTCACAGAAGACTCTAAATGCTATTTTTATTTGGATATTTTATAAAATAAGGTTGCTCATTTACATGCATATTTATCTGGTTTTCTCTTGTGGCATTCAGTATTTTTGGGATACTACAGACAGTAAATTAGTAAAAGTGAAATTATAGGGAGGACAGGCACCTAGAAGCCACTATTATAAGTAGTGGTCCTTTTTTTGTCCTTTTTTCCTTTTTTTTTTTTTTTTTTTTTTTTTTTGGATACAGAGTCTTGCTCTGTCACCCTGACTAGAGTGCAATTACACAATCATGGGTCATTGCCTGCCTCCCAGGCGCAAGCGATCCTTCCATCTTAGCCTCCCAAGTAACTAAGACTATAGGCAGGTGTCACCATACCCAGCTAATATTTAAATTTTTTGTAGCAACTGGGTCTCACTGTGTTGCCCAGGCTGGTCTTGAACTCCTGGGCTCAAGTGATCCTCCCACCCAGCTTCCCAAAGTGCTGGGATTACAGGTGTGACCCCCCCTGTGCTCAGCTGTAGTGGTCCTTTATAGTAGTGGGAAGGTTCAAGGAGTTGAAACTGCAGCACCATCAGCTAATATGCTGTCTGATGCCCTTTGGTGTAGAACGGTAGCTCAAGACAGCATTTTGAATCCCAGGGCATTCTAAAGTGATAGTTGAGCTGCTTTGACATATTTTCAACATTTTAAAAAGCCCAGTGGAATTCCTATTTTTCTCTGCAATAGACTGTGCAAGCTATCCAGAACATCAGATTTCATCAGTTTCTCTTAGGCTATTCAGAAGTTCGATTGGCAGTTATCTGTTGTTGGTGATTTTGTTTTTTTTTTGTTTTTTTTGTTTTTTACATTAAATTGGACAATGAATTCTTTTTTAGCTTCTTAAATTTAGTTTTACATTAGATATGTAGATTATGTTGGTGAAAAAATAGGAAGGGCCAGAAAGTACTGGGGAAGGCCCAGATGCTTCTTCAGGGACCTCACCATAGAGTACCATGTTGATCTTACTATTGATGAGCCTAAGTAATCGAAACAAGCTTTAATTACTTTTTTTTTTTGAGACGTCGTCTTGCTCTGTCACCCAGGGTGGAGTGCGGTGGTGCAGTCTCAGCTCATTGCAACCTCTACCTCCCGAGTTCAAGCAGTTCTCCTGCCTCAGCCTCCCGAGTAGCTGGGATTACAGGCGTGTGCCACCGCGCCTGGCTAATTTTTGTATTTTTAGTAGAGATGGGGTTTCACCATGTTGGCCAGGCTGGTCTCCAACTCCCCACCTCAGGTGATCCACCCACCTTGGCCTCCCAAGTTGCTGAAATTACAGGCATGAGCCACTGCACCCAGCCTACTTACATTCAGTATATTTGATAAGGGATAGTGTAATGTGTGTACTAAGTATAAGTAAGCATCTGTAGGACATGTTAGAAATGTTTCATTTAAAATAGTTTTTGAAGTTTTGGTACTTAAAGGACTAATCTAGAAAATTCAGTTAAGTGTAATAATGTAATAGCTTGTCAAAGGAATCATTGAAATTGACTTGAATTTGGAAAATATTTAAGTTTTGGTATACATTTTGAAGGTTTAGCATATAATTGCTTCTAATTTCATGTTATCTATTTGATTTTTTTTCTTTTATTCCTCATGATTTAGGAGTTTTTTCATCATAAATGTTTAGTAAAAAGCTTCCAAAAAGTTAAAATAATGTTCTGTTGAATTTTTCTTCTTTTAAAGCATTATCTAAAAATGAAGTGTTATATGACGGAGAAAACCATGATTGTGAGGAAAAGCCACAAGACATTGTACAGAACATTGTAGAAGAAATGGTGAACATTGTTGTTGGAGGTAGTATACTTCATTCAAAATTATTTTACTCTGTCTATGGGATTTCATCTGACTGTGGAGACTTTGTAATGTCTGGAATAGAAAGGGCAAAATTAAAACGTTTGGAGCCAACCAATGGAAAGTTACAAATTCCACATTTAGGATTTTGGCCTTGATTCTAGAACAAATGGGTTAATATGGAAGATTTTAGCACTGAGAAATGAAATGACCAGAACTATGCTTTAAGAAGCTAAGTCTGGAAATAAGAATTCCCAGTAGGATACCAGCACAGTATTCAAAGCCTGGATAGGACAGAAACCGTCTAAATGGAGACAAAAATATGGATAAGTGATATAATGTATATTGAATCAAGAAGACTTTGTAACTGATTAAGTAGGTAAGGAAAAGAGAATAAAGTGTGTCGGAGGCCTTCAAGATTACCCCAAGGTTTGGTGATTTCACTGGAAGCCGTCACAGGACCCAGCATATAGTTGTACTCACTGCATGATTTATTAGTGAAAAAGTACAAAGCAGAATCATCAGTAGGAAGAGGTATATGGGGTGAAGCCTGGAGAAAATCAGGTACATGCTCCAAATGTCTTCTCTCAGTGAAGTCATACAGATTCTCTTAATTCAACTTGTGAAGTGTTTACCAGGGAAGCTCATTAGAGACTCAGGTCCCAAGGTTTTTACTGGGGGCTGTTATGTAGGCACCTACCATGTACGAAAATTCCAGGATACCAGAAGGAAGGTTGGTGTTCAGCATAAATTACACTCTTTGTACAGTTTAGACACAGTGAGTCACTTTTATCAGTTCTGGGAATAGTGGGATCCCTCCCAAAATATAAGTTCCCAGGTGCCAGCCAAAGGCCAGTCTTGCAAGTAGGCCTTTCTAAGGATAGGCAGTCTCTGGCCTGCTATGTTACCTCTTTCCTGCACAGGTAGTGTTTCAGTTTTTGAGCCTAAATGGATAGGTGGATGGTGGTGCTATTGGTAGAGTTGAATCATCTTGGAAGATAAGTCACTTGGGAAAAAAGGCACTTATTTACTTTTGGTATACTGAATTTGACCTTCAAGTTGGCCATCTGTGTGGAAATGATTATGAAATACGTAATGGAAAATAAAACTCTGGCTCAAGAGTTGCCAAGGCAGGTGCTATAGATGGGAGTCATTCTGTTAAAATTAATAGTGAAGCCATGAGATTACCAAGTGGGAAATGGTAGAGAGTGAAGAACCGACCATGATTTGAAGAGTATGAATTTAAAATATATATTAAAAAAATAAAAAATAGAGAAGAAAAAATAGCAGTACATGCCCGTGCATTCTTTAAACATATAATAGTATAGTTAAGGAGTTGGCACATTACGGCCTGTGGGCCAGATTCAACCCGCTACCTATTTTTGTATGTAAAATAATACTGTGACACAGCCATGCTTATTTGTTTTTATACTGCCTACAGAGGTCTCCTGTTGTACTTCATAGGTAAAGTTGAATAGTTCCAGTAGAGATTGTACGACCTCTAAAGCCTAAAATGTTTATCATCTGACCCTTTATAAAAAAAATTCACCAGCATCTAACAATACAGAGTCTGAAGTGAAAGTTTTCGTTTTTCTGCAACTTTTTACTTAGGAAAAACATCAAACCTAGAGAAAAGTTCGAAAAAAGGAACAGTGAACACCTGTGTGTCCTTTATCTGGATTCACTAGTGGTTAACGATTTTGCTATGTTTACTTTATGTATCTTTAAATACCATGCACATAATGTATGTGTCTTTGCTGAACCATTTGAAAATCGGTTGTATACATCATGACATTTCTCCCGTAAATACCTCACAGCATATATCTTCTCCAATAAGAGCATTCTCATACAATAAGCACAATTCCATTTTCATACCTAGGGAAATTAACACGATTTCAAGAATATCTAATATACATATATTTTTCAGTGTTCCCAGTTTTCCCAAAATGTGTCTTATATCCTTTTTTTTCTTTTCTAAATCCAGAACTCAACCTGGGTACACTCGTATTTGCTTATCTGTCTCTTTGGTTTAGAACAAGTCCTCTTGATTTTTCCCCCCAACTTTCATGACATTTGCTTTTTTGAAGAATCTTTTGCCTTGTAGAATATTTCAAATTTTGGATTTATTGGATGGTTTCTTTACCATCCTATATGAGTAGATTGAGATTGTCATCTACATGATTAGTTTAGATTAAATATATTTGGCAAAAATACTGCATGGTGATATTAGTACTTAATACCACATCATATAAATTGGTACATAATGACAGGTTACCCCCGTTGGTGGTAGGGTTGGATCATTTGGTTAAGATGGTGATTATCAGCTCTCTGTAAAGGAACATTTTTCACTTTGTGATTAATAGCCAATCTGAGGTGATACTTTGATACTTGGAGATGATATGAAAATTTATTCACCCAGTGTTTTTTTTTGTTTTCCCCCCAAGATAAGGTCTTGCTCTGTCACCCAGGCTGGGGTATAGTGGTACAGTCTTGGCTTACTGCACCCTCGGTCTCTTGGGCTCACGCAGTCCTCCTGCCTTAGTCTCCTGAGTATCTGAGTCTACAGTTACACACCACCACGCCCGGCTAGTTTTTGTATTTTTTTGTAGAGATGGGGTCTTGCTTGTGTTGTCCAGGCTGGGCTTGAACTGGCCTCAAGTGATCCTCCCACCTCAGCCTCCCTAATTGCTGGGATTACAGATGTGAACCACACACCTGGCCCACTCAATGGTTTTAGCACCCATTGATGATCCTTGCCTTACTCAGATATTGGGTTGCAATATAGCAATTTTCTAATTCTTAACATTCATTGACATTTTTCTATAGAGAAGAGCTCTCCCACCCTGCCCCACCCCCCCCTTTAAAAATAATACCATGGGCTTAATGAATTCTTTTATTATTTGATGTGTTATAATCCTGTATCATCATTATTTTTATTTTTTTGTCTGCCAGTAGGAATCCGTTCAAGCTAACACCCACGTTCTTTTGATGTGATTCTGTTAGTCTTTGAGCTTTTCCTTTATGTTTGGAACAGAAAGATGTTCCAGGTTCACCTTCAACTTCCCTTTTCCTCAGCCCTGGAATCAGCTAGTTCTCCGAAGAGTCTTTGTCCTTTTTAGTGGGCAGTTGTTCTTAGAAACCAAGAATTGGTTACAAGATGCTCTTGTTGCTAGCTGCTGAGATGTCCTTACTTGCAGGCCCTTCCAGTGGATAGAGAGGGAAACATACAATTAGTCTTAAGTTCCTATTTGTAGTTCTACTTCACGTCCAATACCACAAGGTTGCTCCTCATCTTTCTGTACTTTCTATTTGTATCTTCCGTTTCCTACATTGAAAACCCAGATCCCCAACAAGATGCCATTACTAACAGCAAACTTATAAAGTTCAAGATTTTTCTGTAATTATATGTATCCTTAAATATATCCTACTAAAGATGAGTGAGAGTAC
Source organism: Homo sapiens (assembly GCF_000001405.40). Lineage (NCBI taxonomy): Eukaryota > Metazoa > Chordata > Mammalia > Primates > Hominidae > Homo > Homo sapiens. Next base: position 67,284,510 of record NC_000008.11, on the reverse strand, counting down.
TGTTTTGAAAAAGTTACTTGTATTATTTTATTGGTTCGTTTTTTTAAATATGAAGAATATTTACATGATTCAAAGTCAAAATTACATAAAAGGCTTACTTGGAGAACTCCATCAGCTCCTTCCTTCTCTGATCCTCCTTCTATAGGTAATCAGTTTCACTAGCTTTTAGTTTATCTCTGGGGGTTAGGGGGTTGTGCGTACATGTCTGCTTGTACATAAGAGATGTAAGCAAAGGCGTTTTTTATTTCCCTTTCTCTCATTTTTTGTTAGAGTACTGCATGTATGTGTGTGTTGCATTTTTTCACCTAACATATTAGAAATTATTCTATTTCAGTTGATAGAGATTTTCTTCTTTTCTCTCATGGTTTTCTGCATAATACTACCTTATGCAGATATATCATAGTTTATTCAGCCAGCCCCCTGTTGTACTTACGTTGTTTCCAGTGTTTTGCTGTTACAAATAATGCTGCAGTGAATAACTTTGTACATCTGTATTGTTTCATATTTATGGAAGTTTATTTTGAGGGCAAATTCCTAGAAATGAGATTATTGGGTCAAGTGGTAAATGAATATGAATATCTGTTAGCTATTGCTAAATTCCTCTTTATAGGTGTTGTGCCATTTTGCACTCTTACCATTAATGTATGAGAGTGCCTTTCTCTCCACAGCTGGTAGTACTAAAAGATTTTGAGTTTTTACCAACCTGATAGGTGAGAAATGTATCTCAGTTTGGTTTTAATGTGCATTTCTCTATGAGTGAAATTAAACATCTTTTCATATCTGTAGGATCATTAGTATATCTTTTAGTGAGTCATTTATTCATGTCTTCTGTTCATTTTTCCATCAGATTTTTATCCTTTTCCCCTTAAGAATCCTTTATGTATTAGGATTCTGTGATATATTTTACAGATACTTTCTCTCAGTTTATCATTCGCCCAAGTCTTTTGATCTTATTATGGTGTGTTTTGCTGTACATAATTTTTTAAATAATTTTTTTCACACATGCCTGCATATATATTACATATGTTTAAGATAAATGGGAATATATTGTACTTACAGTTTGATAATCTGCCTTTTTCACATATTAAACTATATCCATTCACATCCATTTGAATTTCATTATATCACTGGGCCATAATTTATTTAAATAATCTCCTGTTAATACTAGCATTTAGATTATTTTCAGGTTTTTGCTTTTTATAAACATTGGTGTGATATACATTCTTACTATAGACATCTTTTTGCACTTATCTTTTGGCTAAATTATAAAGAAGGAATAGCTTGATCAAGGTGTATGAATATTAAAAAATTTGTATACAGTGCTATAATGTCACTGTAATGATGGTATTTATTGTATTGTTTTAATTTGCATTTGGCTATTTCCAGGGTCAAAATATAGGCAATTATTTTTATAGGTCAAACATTGGCCATTTTGTATATTCCAACTAAATATCATTGGACTACTTATCTTTTTTTGAATTACTATTCTTGTCTTTTGCCTATTTTTTCCTTTTCTTTCTTTTGTTCTTATTTTCAGGAGTTCTTCATACTAAGAAATTATTCCTTGTTCAGTGTATTGTAAATATTTTTTCTACTCAGTCTTTGTTTTGTTTGAACCTTTGCTTATATTATTTTCTTTTTCTTTCTTTCTTTTTTTTTTTTTGAGATGAAGTCTTGCTCTATCATCGAGGCTGGAGTGCAGTGGCAAGATCTTGGCTCACTGCAAACTCTGCCTATCGGGTTCAAGCAGTTCTTCTTCTTCAGCCTCTTGAGGAGCTGGGATTACAGGTGCACACCACCATGCCCGGCTAATTTTTGTATTTTTTTGGTAGAGACGGGGTTTTACCATGTTGGCCAGGCTGGTCTTGAACTACTGACTTTGTGATCCACCCGCCTTGGCCTCCCAAAGTGCTGGGATTACAGGCATGAGCCACCGCGCCTGGCCTATATTTTTATTTCCGAGCACATACTTGACCACAAAAAAAATTTTTAAGATTATCTTTTTATTTGTGGTTTCTGTTTTTGTCTTGCTGAAAATGGATTTTACCACCCTAAGATTATAAAATACACTAAGATACCTTTTTCTAATATTTTGTTTTTATTTTTTGACTTTAGCTCTTTAATTCATCTCAGATTTATTTTTCTGTGTGGTGTGAAATTCTATAGCTAATTATAAGCTATAGAAATAATCATTTCTCAATTAATTTGAAATGAAAACTTTATCCTAAATGGTTCTGTTTTTTGAGTTTTCTGTACAGTTGTAATGAGCTATTTGTCTATTCCTAACCAGTGTTGAATTATGTAAAATATTTTGGCTTTATAGTACATTTTGATTTTCATAGTGCAAGGCCTCCCTCTTCAATTTTTTTTAGTTTTTAATTTTTGTATTCTATAGTATCAATTTTTAAAATATCTATTAAATGTATGTTGTTAGGTGAACTTTAGAACCACTTTATTAAGTTCAAAAATTAAAGCTTACTTAGTAATTGAAATTGTAATGTGCTTATAAATTAACTTGGGAAGATAATATCTTCTTTGCAACAGTATCGAGTCTTCTCCTCCAGAAACATAAAAAGTTCATTTAGTCAAGTCTTTTACGTCATTCAGGAAAGTTTTATTGTTTTCTTCCTTTGGCTCATGCACATTTTTTGTTAAATTATTTCTATATTTTTGGTTTAGTTTTGATAATATTTTGGTTGAGTCCTTTCTTCTCTATTCCCTAATTTAATTGGAATATAGAAAAATTCTTGTTTTTCCATATTTATCTCCTATTTGGTCACCTTCTGAACTCATATTATTTCTAAAAGTTTTTCATTTGGCTATTTTTTCTAAGTGAATAATGATATTTTTATCTTTGTCTCTTCCTTTACAGCATTTATACCTTATTTTTGTTTGTTTCTTTTTGTTACATTACATTGGCTAGAAGCTCCAGAAAATGTTGAATAGTGTTAATGATGGCAAGGATATTCATTTTTTTTTTTAACATTATTGCTATATTTCACCATTAAATTTGATGATTGCTTTTGTTTTTGGAGGATACTCTTTATCAAATTAAGTAAGTTTTCTTGTTTGATTAAAAGATGCTTTTATCTTTTGTATATACGTGACTGTGTGTGCATGGGTATGAATTTTACTTTTGTTTTTTTAAATCAGGAGTAGCAGTTGATTTTTTTATGACTTTTCATCATTTTAGAAAGTTTTTTTGTTGTTATTGTTAATTCTTCTTCATCCTTTCTGTTCTTTTCCACATCTCACACTATACAGATGTTGAATATTCTAGATCATGTCCTTGATTGCTATTGCAGTCTTCTCTAATTTCCATCATTTTGTCTTAGGGTTTTACATTCAACGAGAATGTTACAAGGGTTTTTCCATTTTGCAAATATTTTTTAGTAATATCCATTCTACTGCTTTTTCCAGTGTAGTTTTTGTTTCAGTAATGTTTTTGTCCCCAAGAACCCCATTTTTCTCTGAGCTTTTTTTTTTTTATAGCACTTTGCTCTTGTGTATTATTGCAACATTCCTTCGCTTATCACTGACTATACTAACTGGAACTATCCCAGCTGTGAAATCTAATTCCCCATTTGCTCAGATTGCTGTCTTTTGTCTTCACTTTTGAGCTGTAAACTTTATGTTTTTGCCTATTTGTAGAAACAGAGACTAGATTTGATCAATCTACTCTCAGTAATTGTATATGTTTTTTCTATTTCTTGTGAGGCCTTCCTTTCCAAAATTCATGAGGTGTCTGTGGTCCAAAGGCAGACCTCATTTCTAAGCTGAGATCAAAGAAGCAGGTACCTCCCTTGAGCAGGGTATGGCTCTAGTGGCCCTTGGGCTGTGTAGCCCCTTATCATTCACCATGTTGTCAACACAAACCAAAGTCAAGCTTGGGGTGAATGCTGTACACTTTTTATATATTCTACACTGAGGAAGATCTTCACACTTGTTGATTTGTTCTCACTCTCCCAACCCTTGCCAGGGAATCTTAAGCTGGCATCATTCAGTAATGGCTTTAATTGGAAATAATTAAGTAGAAAGAGAGTAGGAGCCTAGAACCTTAGTTGGTTTTCCTTCTGTGTTTATTGCAGCATTCCCAGTTAGCTGAGATGCTGCTCTCTCCTTTCCTGGCCTACTTGTTATGTTAGGAGACCTACTAAACAAATAATCTACTTTAATTAGCAGGCAGTGATCAAATACAGTCTAGATGATCATGGCTGTGGTCAGCTCTATTGATAGACATTGGCATGGTTCCCCAAGCTCTTTGATTTGCATCTTCCCTCTTACCTCATAGCACCTTGCCATTCTAGGCTTTGAAGTCTTTTAGAACCCAAGTGGTAAAACAATCATATCTCTCAGGTTGGCCTATTCTTTGCATGTGTTCAGTCATAGGCAATAAATTAAATAGGTTTTCCTTTGATTTCAACCTACTTTCTAGGATTCCTCAAAGTTTATGATCCAGTGATATGCTCCTTAGTTTATCAGCATCATTAAAAGTACATCTCTTGTTTATTTTTTTTTTGTAATTTCAGTGGGATTTGTCAAAGGAGAAAGTAAATTGGTAGGCTCAATTCACCACCTTGAAAGTAGAAGTTTGCATCTATGTTTAAAGGATAATTAGAGGAGAAAACATGAGACAGTTAATAATACTAACTGTATTAAGTGCTTCCTGTATATCTCAAATGATTTTATGTGCTTGTATTTATTCATTTACTCTTCCCTCAAACACTGGGATGTTTAGGTACTATTACTATCCCCTCTTTACAAATGAGAAAATTGAAATAATGAGTGATTATTCCTTTTGAAGAAGTGATAAAGTGAAGATTTCAAGCCACGGGGGTGTGGCTTCAAAGTCTAAAAAGAAAATCAGGAAATGTTTTCAGTTTCTTTGAGAAATTTCTTGAGATGGAAAGGAGGAAAGTAATATCAAATAATATTGAGTATTCATTTGAGAGATTTAATAAAAAGAGGGAAGAAAATGAACACGAGCTGAGGTGTAGCAAGAGGTGAAGGAAGATTTTGTGTGTGTGTGTGAAAATATTTGAATGTTTATTGGATAATGGGGAAGATCCAGTTGTGTGCACAAAATTGAAAAAGGAATGTTAAAATACTTAGTGGAGGAAGATACTGTTGAAGGCAGGAAGAGATGTATTTTTGTGGTGCTGCAAGAGACAGGGAGCCTGTGTTAAATTACCTGATTTTTAGCTAAGTAGTAGGTGGAAGTCATTTGTTAAGGGGAGGTGGGGAGAGAATCATAGGAAGAGATGTAATTGGGTGCAGAGAGAAAACGTTTTGGAATAAGTACTCTGGGGAATGAGATAGGAACTCAGTTTCTAATAATCATTGTTAGTTTTTTTCTGAGTCTTTCCACAATCTTTACATATGTAAATTCTTTTTTTAAAAAAAATTTTTTGTAGCAATGGTGTCTCACTATGTTGCCCAGGCTGGTCTTGAGCTCCTGACCTCAAGTGATCCTCCCACCTTGGCCTGCCAGAGTGCTGGAATTATAGGCATGAGCCACCGTGCCTGGCCTATGCATTTTCTACATATGTAATATATAAAAGCTATAGTGGTATTTAGCACATCAAACATTAGCATATTGAAGCTCCAAAAGTCCTCTTAAGAAAGCGTCTGTTTTCAGTGTAACAGTTTTCATAATGTATTTTATTACTGAATATATTTTTCATGTTATACTTATTAATGCAAAACTTGCTTCGGAATTATCCAGTTTTTTTGACCTCTCAGGTTCAAGTGATTCTCCTGCCTCAGCCTCCCGAGTAGCTGGGATTATAGGCACCCGCCACCGTGCCCAGCTTATTTTTGTATTTTTAGTAGAGACGAGGTTTCACCATGTTGGCCAGGCTAGTCTCGAACTCCTGACCTCGTGATCCACCCGCCTCGGCCTCCCAAAGTGCTGGGATTACAGGTGTGAGCCACTGCACCCAGCCTATCCAGTTTAATCTATTCCAGGGTGTTCTAATTTGGAGAGGAGAAAGCAACTTCTGGGTAGGGGAACCAGAAGCTGCTACTCCTTTCATATTACTCAAGTCACTCAAAAGTTGGAGACATGTTATCAATTAGTAACAAAATTAGTAATAACTACCACTTATTGAGTACCAGTTTTATTCTTTATGTCTTGTATGTGTGTTTTGGTGGTTCCTCATAGACCTCATTATTTCTGTTACTCATGAAGAAACCCAGGCAAAGAAATATGAAATAATTTACCCCATTAACTGGTGAAGACATGATTGAAACACAGGTCTTTAATATTTCAGAATCTATGTTCCTTATAGTACAGCATGTGTCTCTCGTACTATCTTATAGTTTTCTTTCAATTGGTAGCATGGAAGAGTTTCATTATACCTAGATTAGTTCTGGAACTTGGTATTATTTTCATTATCTCTGTTTGTTCTACCAGAAGTCACTTGTTTCTGTTTATATTAATTACAAGTATGATTACTCAAAGTGACCTAGTGAAAAATTTTCAGTGGTGTAGGTCATTATTTCCCTGGCTGTGTTCCAAAGAACATAAATTGTTAGAGATATTCATAGGAATTCTAAAAACGGGAAGGGGGCTTATGGTACAATAAATTTTGGAAACACAACATACTGTATATCCTTGGAGAGTTTTGTACATATTAGCAACTTAAAGGCTACAATAAAGAAACCTATTTCCCAGCATTTCCTGAACTAATTTGACAATGAGATATTTTTTCGAGGAATTTGTCTTCACATCTCAAGTCATTAGCATTCATCAAAACCCAGTTCAGTAAATGCTAATATAGACTAAAAGTAAGCTTCTGTTTTGGCACATCCTGGTTAGCCTTTCATCAGCTAAGTGTGTTTCATTGCCAGAGCAACTTAAGGATTGTATTTGGAAGTATGCCAGATGCATACTTATTTAGTAGTAAGTATGCTAACCTTTAAATGGTGCCAATACATATTTTACTTCACATTGCTTTCCTGCCACTGTTTCATTTTAAATACTCTGTGCTTTTTAAATACACTTCGGTTAAGTCAGATATATTTGCATGGTTTTTATTCTTATCATTTTAGATATGGGAGAAGGGACTACTATAAATGCAAGTGCAGATGGCAACATTGGAACTATAGAGGATGGTAGTGACAGTGAAAATATTCAAGCAAATGGAATTCCAGGAACACCAATTTCTGTTGCATATACACCATCCTTACCTGATGATAGATTGTCAGTCTCTTCCAATGATACTCAGGTATAAATGGAGGGGTGGGGAGGGGGAGAAATCCTGTTAATCTTACAAATTTATAGGCTACCACCACCTTGTCATGAGTATTTTCAGCTGATGATGCTGCCTGATTTTTATTTAGTTTGGGGAAATAAGAAACTTGGGGTTTTTTTTCCTTCATTTATATAAATTACAGCGATTTTTTCCCCTTCATATTTTGATAGTTACATTTCCAACTTTAAGGTAGGTCTCATCTATGTTTACATCTTCTCCACACCCATCTACCAATTGAATTAACATTTAATAAGAACATTCTTATTACATATTCACAAGATAATTCTGGTATGGGCTGAATATTTCTAATCTGAAATTCAAAATGCTCCAAATCCAAAACTTTTTGAGTGCCAAGATGACGCTCAGAGGTCATACACAAAGGAAATGCTCATTGGAGAATTCCACATTTTGGATTTTGGGATTAGGATGCTCATTCGGTATAATGCAGACAGTCCAAAATCCAAAAAAATCTGAAACCCAAAACACTTCTGGTCCCAAGCATTTCAGGTAACTCAACCTGTGTTGTAGGGTGAGAAAACTTTTAGAAATTTAGGGAGCTTCACCTTAACCTTTGTTCAGGGCTGCAAAGAAATCAGTACCATGGTAATGACAGGTTCTTTTCCTCCTTCCTACCCTATATTTTGTGTGTAAAAGATCTGCCTTTTTAGGTAAAGGAGTTCTCCACTAAGTGTCCCATATTTAGGAGTACATTTTTTTTTGGCTTGGTTGACCTTCAGTTTATATTTGCCCAGAGTGAGAGAAAAAATAAAATAGGATAAAAGCATAAAATAAAACAGTCAGTGACAGGTAGTAGGGAGTATAATTTAGGTCTTTGGATAGGATCTTGTCAGGCATGATATATCAGTTTTTTGTCAGTAATAGTATGAGCTGGGTAAATTTTAAGAGTTTATTTGGTTTATTAATAAGGAATATTTTTAAAGTGCATTTTTAAAGGTATTTATTGTTGGGTGTGGTCCGTGGAGTATAAAAGAAAAACAACGTGGCAGATTCCCTCATCTGGTTCCCCTTCCAACAGTGGGGGAATCTCCACCTGTTAGTGAATTGAATGAAATACAGTAGAAGGCTGAAGCGATTTTACACTGGCAAATATCTCTAAAATTTTCATGGTATGTTAACTTGTTTAGGAATCTGGAAATTCTTCAGGACCTTCACCTGGTGCTAAGTTTTCCCACATTTTACAAAAGGATGCCTTTCTAGTATTCAGGTCATTGTGTAAACTGTCAATGAAACCACTGTCAGATGGACCACCAGATCCAAAGTAAGTTATTAACTGTTTTGCCTGACAAATAGAGGTTTTTAGGCTTGAAACTTACTGTTAAGGTAATGTTTGGATTTTCTTTTGTTCTTTTTGTCCTATAGAACCATAAAAAAAAATTGGGTGGAGGGGAGGTATTTTACGTTTAAGAAAAAAGTATTGAAAAACAATTCAAAACTGCTGGAGTAGATAACTTACACTATTTCCTAAAGGGTATGTGACTTATACTATTTTCTAAAAACAAAAAGTTTCAGCATTGCTGGAATAGATAACTTATGCTATTTCCTAAAGGGTATGACAGCATTCTAGAATAGTGTCTGGTGCATAGGAGGGGCTCAATAAGTATTACCAAATGAATGAATTAATGAATTCTTATTTCCATATAAGTAACTTTGGAGCTAATGTAACCCTGTATCCCAGCCCTAGGTTTCTAAAAACTGCCAGTCAAAAGGTACTAAAACCTAAAAGAAATCTTAAAAGTTGTAATGAAAGATAATGCATATTCATTAAGGTCTGACAAAATGCCCTAGGATGATGTCTTTGTCTATTGGGATCAGGAAGAACTTTGAGTTAGGAGCCACTTGTCTAATTTTCATGAAATATATTAGATTAAACCCTAGGAAAGTGCCATTTTTGTAAGTCATAAATGGTCAAGTATCTCTCGTGATTCAAATGTAACTAATTACTTTTGAGACTGAGTTTGGAAGTTATATGAGTCGCCCACCTCTAATATTGCAGCATGATGTATTGCAATATGACAATTTTAGAACTTTCTGGAGAAAGAAACCTTGGAGCAGACCATAACTTTAAGAAAGGGATATTGAAATAGAGATGTAAGGAAACGGTACTTCAATTTAAAAAAATTCTATAGAGTGTTTCAGTTTCTGAGTGCCAGCTGAGCAGACCAGAGACAGTTGCTGTGAAAACTTCATACATATGTGGAAACTACATTTGTTATATTTGTTTAATTTTGTCAGATTGTACCAGTTCAGGGAGAAACATCCTTTAGTCCCAGAAGCCTAAAATCATAAAATCTTTTTAGACCCAAACCCTAAGTCAGAAATCAACATTCAAAAATCTCATTAAAAAATCGACAGTTTTGAATTTTAAAAAGTCTCATTCAAAAATCACCAGTTTTAACATCTCATTCTGAATCAATGAAGACCTACTTTGAGAAAGAGATAAGAATTTGGTATTATTGCTGAAGGGCATTTTTGCCATGCTTTAAAAATGTTATTGACCATTAAAGCCTCAGATGCTTTTTTCCAAATCAAATGTAAAAATTGTGATTTGAAAGAATGCTAGAAACAGAAAAGAAGAAATTCTTTAAAATGCTGAGAATGAAAAGGACACAAAGGAAAATAATATGAATTTTGAGGAGTATGTTCATTTATTCCTGAAAAAAAGAGTGATCTGGTTTTGAAAAGATGCTATCTTTAATGTTACAAAGGATTTTTATGAGGAATGATGTAAATTAACAAGCCTTATACTTAGTGGGTTTAAACCAAATATTAGGAAATTTTGTTTGAAGACCTTCTTGACTTGACTGTCAGGGTCATTAAACAATGGAATTGAATACTGAATACACCCTTAGAAGCTATTATTTTTCCAAAAGAATATGTAGTTTTCTGTTTTTAATGATTTTTTTTTTTTTTGCCAAAAGTCAAGCTTTCGTAGTTACATCATTTTCTTTTTTTTGTCTTTGCTTCCCCTTATATTTTCTGGTCTTGCTAAAATGATGATCCAGGAAATGTTCTTGAAGCCTGAATCATAATTTGAAACTACCCCATGAAAAACTGCAGACCTGAAATTTCCAGCCTCTTTTGCCTATCAAAAGTATAACTTATTGTGTCATAAGACAGTTGTCTAATCATTTCTTCATTCATTATTGCCTTGTACACAGTAGGTATTTAATAAATGGATGAATACAAGAATAAGTCCATTAATTTTTTTTAGCATGTACAGTGTACAAGATATTTTGTTAAATGTTGGGAATACAAATATAAAACATACTTAGAACAAACACTCATTGTTATAGAATGGTAAGCTGCAGGATTTAATTACAATAGGAATTGAGCATAATAGGTGATAAATGTGAGCTAGAATAGGAAGTAGTGTGTAAGCCTTGGAAGACTAGAACAGGAGGGGAGGTGGTGGGTTAATTTGTAGTTCCCTGTAGCTATTTGAAGTCTTAGTTCTTGCTGTCTCTACTTGATTTATCTAAGCATTTTTTTTGGTAATTATCTATTTGCTGCATATATTCTTAGATTCAAAGGAAGACTCAGCACAATGGCCATCTTAGAAACATGACTGTGTAATAATGAGCCATAATATTATTGGCTCCAGTTTTATTTCAGAGAAAGTAGTATTTTTTTGTGATACCCATTTACGTGAAATTAACAATTCCTTATTAGATTTACGTAGCTTCTTGAATTACTTGACACTTATAACCATAAAATTTTTCAGGTGGAAATCAAGGGCAATTAAGTTTACTATATAGTGTAAATGTGACTGAAAGCAGCATTTGGGCTACTTTTTTTTTTTTTTTTTTTTTTTTTTGGGAAAAAAAAAAAAACCAACTGCTAGAGCATTTTGGTGTGTTCCGCATTTGAAATGTTGCCTGGGTTCAATGTCCTTGGTCTGTTGGGCTTAAGAGATCAGTTTCAATGGGAGGAAAATTGTGTTTGCAAAATCAAATAATTAAAACACTAGATAGTGATCAGAAGCATGCCATAGTATATTGATTGGGAAAAAATTTAAAAATTTTAAGCCAAAAACTACTTTTTCAGCTTTTCATTACAGAATTATTTAGAATAAGTTGCTAAGCTATTTAAGTTTGTATTTTTATTTTATTTTATTTTATTATTTTTTGGACACGGAGTCTCACTCTGTCACCCAGGCTGGAGTGCAGTGGTGCAATCTCAGCTCACTGCAACCTCCACCTCCCAGGTTCAAGTGATTCTCCTGCCTCAGCCTCCCGAGTAGCTGGGGTTACAGGTGCCCACCACCACACTCGGATAATTTTGTATTTTTAGTACAGACAGGGTTTCACCATGTTGGCCAGGCTGGACTCAAATTCCTGACCTCAAGTGATCGACCTGCCTCAGCCTCTCAAAGTGCTGGGATTACAGGCATGAGCCACCACGCCTGGCCTTAAAGTTTTTAATTGTTCTGAATACCTCTATATTTATTTCAAAAGAAAAAAAAATCTTTAAATGGTTACCGAAAAAGTAAGCTTGAATTAGTGCTGTCACTTGTTAATGCAACCAAAACTTTTTTATTATTGTTTAGGATTTTTGAGTAGCATAACCAGAAAAAAGTCCATTGGAACTGTTGTGTATTAATACTAAATATGGCATTTAATCTGACAAGTTGATGATGATTTGTAAGAAGTATGGTTGTGAAAGAAAGGAACACAACATATATCTTCACACTATTTTTTTCTTTTCCAGTGAAACAATACGTTGATGTTAAATATTTGTGAATTTTTTTTTTCTTTTTAAAAAGTTTGTGGGCCAGGCGCGGTGGCTCATGCCTGTAATCCCAGCACTTTGGGAGGCCGAGGTGGGTGGATCACGAGGTCAGGAGATCAAGACCATCTTGACTAACACCGTGAAACCCCATCTCTACTAAAAATACAAAAAATTAGCTGGGCGTGGTGGTGGGTGCCTGTAGTCCCAGCTACTTGGGAGGCTGAGACAGGAGAATCGCTTGAACCCGGGAGGCAGAGGTTTCAGTGAGCTGAGATCGCTGCACTCCAGCCTTGGTGACAGAGCAAGACTCTGTCTCAAAATAATAAATTTAAAAAGTTTGTGAAATTATAAATATATGGTTCAGGGGAACATCAGTGAAAGCACCTGTTGTTAGTGCCTAAGTTGTTCATGTACTGTACTTTTTTTATGTTATAGAATTTTCTCTTCCTCTCCATTTACAAAGTTTATGAAATTATGATTATGTGTATCTGGAAATATTTTTGGAACAACCTGTTATTACTATAATGCCAACCTTGTTCATATACTATGCCTTCTTTTTTACATTTTAGGTCTCATGAACTACGATCCAAGATTCTTTCATTGCAGTTACTTCTATCCATTCTGCAGAATGCAGGACCTATTTTCAGGACAAATGAGATGTTTATTAATGCTATTAAGCAGTATCTTTGTGTTGCACTCTCAAAAAATGGAGTCTCATCTGTTCCAGAGGTTTTTGAGCTTTCTCTTTCTATATTTCTTACTTTGTTGTCAAATTTCAAGACACATCTGAAGATGCAAATTGAGGTACGTTTTGCATTTAGGCATAATGTTACTATTGGATATTTCATTTGTTTCATGTTAAATTATATTTGAATACACTGCAAAGTTCTCCAGAATGAAATAATATTTGTATATTGCCATGCACTTATTTTTTTTCATTCACCTGTTCAACTAATATGTGCCAACGAAGTACTAGGCACTGGATAAGCACTAAGAATGCAAAATGAAATAAGATGGAGCCACTGTCCTCAAGGAACTTATACTAGTTGAATAAATGGTTCTTGCTCTCTTGAATTAATTTGGTCCTCATAATAGCTTTGCCATTGTCTGTGTGGTATATTCGAATACATTTGTTTATCTTAAAAGAAAGTTCCAAATATATATTGCATCTCCATTATTTTAAACCATTTGTAAGTATTAGGCATTTTAAAAGATGTGATTGAGGGGCATTATATTTTGGGGTTCTATTTTGGATATTTGAAAAAATTAATATTTGCTTTGTACTTTTTTTTTAATGTATATATTCCTAAAGTTTTCTTCCAGGATCTTTGGAAATAGAATAGCAATCATGTGGTCCTAAAATATTGTCAGAGATTTAGTAGAACTAAATTAGGGATGTTTTCAATCGTGTCTGCATGTGTTGTGCAAGTGTACCAGTTTCTTTTTTTTTTTTTCTTTTTCCTTTTTTTTTTTTTTTTTTGGAGATGGAGTTTCCCTCTTATTGCCCAGGCTGGAGTGTAATGGTGCGATTCCGACTCAGCACAACCTCCGCCTGCTGGGTTCAAGCGATTCTCCTGCCTTAGCTTCCCGAGTAGCTGGGATTATAGGCATGTGCCACCACGCCTGGCTAATTTTGTATTTTTAGTAGAGACAGGGTTTCTCCATGTTGGTCAGGTTGGTCTCAAACTCCCGACCTCAGGTGATCTGTCCGCGTCCGCCTCCCAAAGTGCTGGGAGCATAGGTGTGAGCCACTGCGCCCAGCTTTATGTGGTTTTTTTTTTTTTTTTTTTTAAGGTGTACCAGTTTCTGATTTTTTGTTTTCATCTTCAAATAAAACTTAAAAATAGTACTTTATGTTTTACCAATTTAATGAATGCTTTTTTCAATTTGTTATTTGTTGAAATGTTGTTTTGGTTGTGATGTTGTATGGTTTTGAAATACTCATTTTTATGTTGTCAGTTTTTACCTTCATATTATGTTTGATATACAGGTTATATTTTAATTTTTGTTAATTTTATATTTAATCCTAACTCAAGACTCATAATTCACTAGCTTGTTAGAAAGGATAAATTATTTTTCCAGAATTTCGAAATGGCTAAAATAGTCATATTATCCTTTAATGTTAATGTTCTGTAATAGCTATCAAGATTGATTTAGAGCATTGTTATGAGAATGAAACAGAATTAGGCCTTGGTATTTTAAGTGAAAAGCTTTTTAATTTGGGCCATATTTTTGGACAGGAAACCATTTTTGGTGCCTATATGATGTATGATGTCAAGTTTTAAGAGTTTGCCATATGTCTGTTAAGATAATACAAGGCGTTTAACTAGGAAGAGTTGCCGTTTTTAGATAGTTTTTCCCCATTATCTGTAGGAACTATAAATAAAAGACAGTTAAAAAAACTTTTAGAACTTTTGCTTTTGTAAAAAACCAGAAGTCTTTCATCTGATGATGAGACATTTAAGTTGGCATTAGAAAATTTTGTAATACTTTATGTAACCAATTACAGATTTTTTTGGACACTGAGATTCTGCTTCTGTAGGTACTGTTTACCGACAGTAAAATATAAATTCTTAGATCTAGATATCAAAAATTATTTAAGTTGAGATTACTATTTTTGCACAGCAAATTCAACTTTGCAAAAATGAATTTGAAAGGAAAAACTTTAAGAAATTTCTTGTCAATTTGTAGATGTCAGATTCTCATTACAAAATTATTATAATATTCTAATTTTTAAAAATTAGGTTTATTTCACTCCTTATTGTCCCTCAGGGGGCGATAATGAGGGTAAAATGAGATAAATATAGATATACTTTCAAAAATGTTATACACACTCAAATTATAAATGAGTTGAGCACCGGGCACAGTGGCTCACACCTGTAATCCCAGCACTTTGGGAGGCCGAGGCGGGTGGATCACCTGAGGTCAGGAGTTCGAGACTAGCCTGACCAACATGGAGAAACCCCATCTCTACTAAAAATACAAAATTAGCCGGGTGTGGTGGTGCATGCCTGTAATCCCAGCTACTTGGGAGCAGAGGCAGGACAATCGCTTGAACCTGGGAGGCCGAGGTTGCAGTGAGCTAAGATCGCGCCATTGCACTCCAGCCTGGTCAACAAGAGCGAAACTCCATCTCAAAAAAAAAAAAAAAAAAAGCTGAACGTGGAGAAAGCCCAGCTATGAAAACCTAAATTTGCAAAACAAAATTAAGATTGTTTTTACATGAAGATTCATTTTATGAGAATATTCACTTCAGAGTTTCTGTGATGTGATTTTTTCATGGGTCTTAAATTATATATCTATTCCAGAAGATACAGTTTATGTACAACTTTTCAGGAGAACATATGTGAAGACAGCATACTTAAGATATAGCTGTTGTTCCACATACATACATTATAGGTCCTCGATAAATTATTAAAAGGTTGATTTTTTTAGAGCCCCTATTATGATAGGCATAATATCTTATATTACAGCAATAGACTTTTGCTTATTAGTGCAATTTGATAAACCATTGATAGTAGCTAAAATTTTTTCTTCCCTCTCTCTTCCAGTCTATATTATTTATTTTGTCAATCAGAGGATCCCAAAAGTTTTTGATTCACAAGTCTGACTTTTCATGAAAGTTGCACTTTGGCCAGAGGAATACCTCCAGTTCTATGTTCTATTTATTAAGCAGGCAGGGCCAAACAACTTAATGGATATTTGTCTTCACAGCCTACTATGTATTTCAAAGACAATAGTATGCATAAAGTAAAAGAAAAATAATGTTTTTATTTTATTCTTTACCGCAATTACTTACCACTGGGATGCGTGTGCCTATTAGAAACTGCACACAGCTTCTTAGATCTTGGAATTGAATACTGTCCCCCTCATTCCTGTACTTCATTGATTTTCATTCAGTACTTGGTTTTTTATCATAGCAACTACCAAAACCCAGCTTTGCGGAGATAATTATGTCATTGAAGGGAATGTAGTGTGATTTATTTGAAACCATGAGCAATCTTTTGAGGTATCCAACAGATGTATCTCCCTCTGAATTTTGCCTCAGAATTTTTTCAGGGCACCCTCATGAGTTTGCTACAGCATTCTGGGGTACTTTGATGCAGTTTTTGGGAATTGTGGCCATGTTGCCATAAGTATTTATTGAACACCTACTATGTGCCCTGCAATATGGACGTGATCTTTATCAAGAAAGACCTGGTCATTACTGTCTTCAAGCTTACAGTCTATAGGAGATACTGATATTAAACAAGTAAATAGAAATATGCTGAGTTTTGTGAAAGAAAATCACATTACAGGGGTACCTAATCCAGTTAGGGGGAGATACTATAAATGTGATTTTCTGGGTTCATAATGCATATGTTTCATAAATGTTAATATGTTGGTTGTTTCAGTCATTCCTTCTTAAAGTCACTTTTATAGAATACATTTAAATCTGAAAATTCTTATCTGTTAAATTGAAATTTATCTCATTAGGTTGATTAACTCACTGCTTGATTATTTGGTGTAAAGAGTAGTGAGAAATAGTTCATATGTAGTTTTCAAACAGTAGAGATTTTCACTTTTGTGAGTAATTAGAAAAATAAAACCGTATGAGACTTAGATTGTTTTTATTGTGTTGATTAGAGTATCAGTTACATTTAAATCTACGAACAGTTAGGCCTCTCAGTACTAGAACGTCTCTGAAAAATATAACTGATGAACAGAAGTATAAATTACGCTTTTGGAGGGGGATTAAAAAAGCGTAAGTTATATTCTGTAAAAATGTTAAAGAAATTATCACCTAGAGGAACTCTAAATCTTTGCATATTTCTTTTGTAGCAGCTGTGTTGAGAACAAAACACATCAATGTGAATTGCAGTACTGATAACTAGAAGGGCAAGTTTAAGTCACTTACCCAAGATATTTTAGTCCTGAGGATTCAGAGATGGAACTCAAAAGGAGTTGAACTCCATAAGAGCCTGGGTCCTAATACCTGCTCTATAGCTCTGGGATGTTTAAAAAGTGATCACACATATGAATTCTAAACAATATTTTAAACAGAAGTTTTCTCCTAATCACAGGTGTTCTTTAAAGAAATTTTCTTATACATTTTGGAAACTTCTACCAGCTCATTTGATCACAAATGGATGGTTATTCAGACACTGACGAGGATTTGTGCAGGTATTTTAAATTATCCTTTTTATTATCTCTTTCTTATTATTAGATATTTAAAAGGCCAAATGTACTCATATCCTAGATGTACTTTGTTGAAATTAATGTTATATTGTTACAGATGCTCAGAGTGTAGTGGATATTTATGTAAACTATGACTGTGACTTAAATGCAGCCAATATATTTGAAAGACTAGTAAATGATCTATCAAAAATTGCTCAAGGAAGGGGCAGTCAAGAACTTGGTATGAGTAATGTTCAGGTAAGAACTATAAAAACATTTTCAAATTTAAACTTTACCAGGAAAGAGTCATGTGTTTTCCTTAAAAGACCTTTAAAAAAAATTTTGTTTTTGAATTACTTTGTAGGAATTGAGCCTGAGGAAAAAAGGTTTAGAATGCTTAGTGTCGATTTTGAAGTGTATGGTTGAATGGAGTAAGGATCAGTATGTGAATCCCAACTCCCAGACAACTCTTGGTAAGGTGATATTTTGAGCTGTAATTCTTTGTCATTTTAAGTGAATAATACTTTGGAGGATAGTTGCAGCTGCTGTTAAACCAATTTCATGACATATTTATTCATTTAACTGATGAGGAAACATTCTCTGTGAGTTAAATGTCTAGCTTTAAAATTGTGAGATTTTTAACTTAGTTATCCAAACTATTTTTTTCTAAATCTTCTTAGAAATATTTTGATTATGTAAAATGAAGCATATTTATGCAACTTTCTTGTATTATAATTATAGAGGAAACATATAAAAGGCAGTATGTTTTAAGAAGGTTGAATTGTTCATCTGTGTTTGATGTTTACCCTCACTCAGAGAAAAACTCATAGCTGCAGGGCTACACTGGTATTATCGAAAACAATTCCTCATGAGGAGTGAGCTGAGAGCAGAAATCCAGTGGATACTCAGCACTGCAACTGCAAAAAGAACTCCTCCTAATGGTGCAGACTATACACGTACAAATTACAGTGTGTTTTAATATCAAAGTATGTTGTTTACTATGTTACCTAATAGTTATTTTGTATTAAATAGATATCTAAGCAACATTGAAACGCCTTGCCTTATTCAAGAATTTGTTTGCCCTTACACTTTTTTTTTTCTTTGATAGAATAATGTACTCTATCAATTTTTCTTCTTTCAGGTCAGGAAAAACCCTCAGAGCAAGAGATGAGTGAAATCAAACACCCTGAGACAATAAACAGATACGGAAGTTTAAATTCCCTGGAGTCAACATCATCATCAGGAATAGGCAGCTACAGTACACAGATGTCTGGCACTGATAATCCAGAACAATTTGAGGTCCTAAAGCAACAAAAAGAAATAATAGAACAAGGGATAGATTTGTAAGTGTCATAGCTTAAGGAGAAATGTTATTGAATATCTCTCTGCCAGTATAGTGCCACCCCTGCCGTGGGTTTATCACCTTATAATGAGTAAAATGGAGGATAGTTCTCATGGATCTAATTCACGAGGCTCCTATTCAGCCCCCCTTGTTCATTGCAGTCTAGCCCAACTAGATTCCTGTAATGCCCAACCACTCTTGTCATATAAATTAATTTGTCACCATATTATAAGTGCTGTTGATGGGTATCATCTGTGCAATTTTGCACTGTTTAGCTCATGACATCCCCCCATTATATTTTCTAATCATGTGACAACTCAAAACATTTAAAATATGAAACTTCTAATAGCTATCAGTACTCCTTTATAGGTCTTACATTTTTTCCAGCTGGCTTACAAATGTACTATTCTTGTTATTGATTTCATTTTTATATGTTGATGAGGTGATCACCTCTCTTCCAGCCTGGCTAGTGTACCGGATCCTAATCTTGTGAAGTCAGTTTTCCCACTAAGCTTTGTGATACCTGCCTGCTCCTGGACTATTTCCTTTGTGAATGTCACCATGCTGCCTTCCTTTCTCTTGTTGCCCATCTCTTTTTTTCAAAGAGATGCCATAAGGAAAAATGAAATTGTTTGCCGTCTCCATGAATCTAACTATTATAAACTTAAAAATTCCCCTGTGTGCTTACTTGGTTTGCTACTTCTGTAAAGCATTTCTTCCTGATACTTAAGCAGTGCCTTTTAGTGAATGTTCAGGTGTCTTTTTTCTCCAGTGTTAATATGAAAAACAGTTCAACAAAAATGTACACATATTCTATTTTAAAATTACAAAATCTTACCAAATTGCCTCAGGAAATAGCTGTCACTACTGCATTAATTCTAATTGTTCAGTCAATATTTATTAAAGTCTCATCTTTCCAGATATTATGCAAGATCCTGGGGAAACTAGATACATGGAAAAGCCCTTCCTTCTGAGAGGCTCTTGGTCTAGTGTGTGTAAACAAATATGCATATTGAAATTCTGCTGGTCACCCAGTAAACACATATTTGGTACTTGGGACTATTGCCAAGCACCATGAAGGCATTGGTCCTTGTATTCAAGATTGCATTCTAAACATGAGCAATTTTTAAAAATAGTACTGTGTAAATGTTTATAAAAGAGTGTCGTACAGAGTAAGTACTGCCAAGGTACTTATTTTGAAGTACTTGAGAAATGAGAAGGAGTAGTCAGAGGGCTTCGAAGTGGAAGTCTCCCAGTCCTTCTCTCAGCAGCTAGACTTGCTTTCTACTTAATACAGCCATTGATGAGAATGCTTTCATGGAACTGTATTCCTAGTATACTTGTCTACAACTGTTTCATGACACCAGTCTATCCTGTTTCTCTCCTACCTTTTTGACTATGCCGTCTCAGTCTTGTGGGCTGTTTTTTCTTTCTTCCTGCGTGCATCTTAGCATTGCCAGCGTTCTGTTCCTCAGCCCTTTTCCAACATCAGCCCCTTAGTTCTCCTACCCAAAACAAAAGACAAATAGAGAAGCCTGTTATTTTTGTATTTCTTATTTATGGTAGTAACCCCAGCATGCTACTAAATTTATAAGCTAAAATCCTGGGAGTTAGCTTAGATTTTCCCCTCAAAGGATTAGATTCTCGAATCTAATCTGTCACTAAGACTTGTTGATTATACTTCCTAATATCCCTGCAATCTGTACTCTTTTCTCGATCTCCCACCACTATTCTTGCAAATCAAATCATGATTATTTATTTCCTCAACTAGTATAATCTTTCAATTGGCTTACCTTTTTCTTTGGTTTTGTTCATTCTTCAGTCTTTTCCCATGCTTAACTAGAGTAACCTTTCTTGAATGAAAGTCTATTTTTTCCCTCTCTTAGAGAATAAAACCAAAGCTGCTTTGAAGGTATGATAATACCTTCATGATTTGGATCTGCTGGACTCTAAGCTTCATTTCCTGCCACTTTTCTGTCTCACCTCACTTTCCAACAATGCAGAACTATTTATTATATAATACTGTCTTGTGCTTTTGTGTTTTAGTATGGCTTCTTCCTCTCTTGCATGTTTTTTCTTATTGTTTATAAAAGATATAATTGTTCTTCAAAATAGTTCCAGAGTCACCTTTCCCAGGAAATATATTATGACCATCTAAGTTAGTTACTTCTACTGTGTTATTTTCTTACCTTGTGAATACATCTATTTGTCACAGTTTTAGTATTATAATTCTTTAAAATTGTGTTTCTTCCATTACAGTGAGAGCTTCTAGGGGTAGGGGGATTATGTTTAGCTTAGTGAAAAGTGTTTCATTTTATGAATGTTAAGTGGTTATGGTTGGATGAGAACTTGACAAGGGAACCTTTAGGAAGAGCATCCCAGACTAAGAGAATGGCATGTGCAGCAGCAGAGGAAAGGGAGGACATCTGAGCACTTGTTCAGCATGGCAGGCTAGAGTGGAGGGGGAATAACAGGAGGTAAGATTAGAGCATTGGGTTGGATCTAAATTACAGAAGGCCTTATTCTCCATGTAAAGGACTTTTTGTTGTCTTGTTCCTCTTGGCGCTAGCGTGCTAGTGAAGGACTTTAAGCAGAGGAGTAGCATCATCAGATTTCTGTTTTGTAATAGGACTTTGCTGGCAGCCTGAAGGGTGCATTAGAATATGGGCAACATGAGCTAGAGGGAGACCATTTAAGAACTCTTGCAATAGCCCAAATGACAGGTGTTGGAGCACCAAAGTAACAAAAGTAGGAAGTAAATGATCTGTAAACAGAGAGGTAACATTTGAATTGGATCTTTAAGCCTGAGGGAGACTCCCCTGTGAATGGAGCAGGTAAAAGACATGCAGAGGAAATAGACTCTAAAAATAGATTTAGGGAATGGGATATGATATATGGGAGCAGAGGAAGGAGAAGGGAGTGAGAGAGAATCTGGAGCTGTATTGAGAAAGGTTTTGTGTGGTCTAATTAATTTGGACAAATGAGCCAAGATTACTTGAAGATTAAGTAGAATGTATATTCGGAGTACCTTAGGGATATTGTGGGTTCAGTTCCATACCACAGCAGTGAAGTAAATATTGCAATATAGTGAGTCACACCATTTTTTTGATTTCTCAGTGCATTAAAGTTATGTTTATACTGTACCATAGTCTATTAACCTATAACCCCCTTATGTCTAAAAAACAATGTACACACATTAATTTAAAAATACTTTATTGCTGAAAAATACTAGTAACCATCTGAGCTTTCAATGAGTTGTAATCTTTTTGCTGTAGAGTGTCTTACCTGAGTGTTGATGGCTGCTGACTGATCAGGGTGGTGATTGCTGAAAGCTGGAGTAGCTGTGGTAATTTCTTAAAATAAGACAGCAGTAAACTTTTTTGCCTTGATTGTCTCTTCCATTCACGAAAGATTTCTCTGTAGCATGTAATGCTGTTTGATAGTATTTACCTACAGTAATATGTCTTTCAAAATTGGAGTCTGTCGTCTCAAACTTTGCTGCAATTTTATAAACTAAATTTATGGAATATTCTAAATCTCTTATTTTCTTTCCACCAGTGTTCACAGCATCTTAACCAGTAGTAGATTGCATTTCAAGAAACCACTGTTTTCACTTGTCTATAAGAAGCAGCTACTCATATGTTAAAGTTTGATCATGAGGTTACAGCAATTCAGTGTCATCTTCACACTTTACTTCTAAGTCTCTTGTTACTTTTACCACATCTGCAGTTACTTCCTCCCCTGATGTCTTGGACTCCTGAAAATCGTCCATAAGGGTTAGAATCAGCTTCTTCCCAACTCCTATTGATGTTGGTATTTTTACCCCTCCCATGAGTCACAAATGTTCTTAATGGCATCTAGAACAGTGAATCCTTTCCAGAAGGTTTTCAACTTACTTTGCCCAGATTCAACAGAAGTATCTCTCTACATGGCAACTATAAGGCAGCTCTCTACATGGCAGCTTTTAAGTAGTATCTCTTTTAAGTAGTATCTCTACATGGCAGCTTTTAAGTAGTATCTCTCTACATGGCAGCTTTTACGACTTGAAAGTTAGCCTGGCATGGTAGCTTATGCCTGTAATCCCAGCTACTCATGAGGCCTGAGACCAGGAGTTCAAGATCAGCGTCGGCAATGTAGCAATTCCCCATTTCTTTAAAAAAAAAAAAAAAAAAAAAAGACTTGAAATTCAGAGTTACTTCTGAGGAAAGGGCACGGTGGCTCATGCCTGTAATCCCAGCTTTGGGAAGCCAAGGTGGGAGGATCATTTGAGCCCAGGAGTTTGAGATCAACCTGGACAGCATAGTGAGACTGCATTTCTGCAAAAACAAAATCACTCTTTCATCCAAGGGCTGCAGAATGGATATTGTGTTAGCAGGCATGAAAACAACACTAATCTCATCGCACATCTCCATCAGAGCTCTAAGGTGATCAGGTGCATTGTCAATGAGCAGTAATCTTTTGAAAGGAATCTTCTCTTTGAAGCAGTAGATCTCAACAGTGGGCTTCAAATATTCAGTCATCTATGTTGTAAACAGCTGGTGCTGTCATCCAGGCTTTGTTGTTCCATTTCTAGAGTGCAGGCAGAGTAGATTTAGCATGTAATTCTTAAGGACCCTGGGATCTTTGGAATGGTAAATGAGCATTGGCTTCAAGTTAATATCATCAGCTACATTAGCCCCTAAGAGAGCCAGTCTGTCCTTTGAAGCTTTGAAGCCAGGCATTAACTTCTCCTCCCTTGCTATGAAAGTCCTAGATGGCATCTTCTTCCAGTAGAAGAAAGACTGTTTTATCTACATGGAAAATCTGTTGTTTAGTATAACCACCTTCATAAATGATCGTAGCTACATCTTCTGGATAACTTGCTGCAGCTTCTCCATCAGCACTTGCCATCAGACCTTGCACTTTTATGTTGGGAGACTGCTTCTTTCCTTAAATCTCATGATCCAACCTCTGCTAGCTTCCAGATTTTCTTCTGCAGCTTCATTACCTTTCTTAGCCTCATAGACTTGAAGAGAGTTGGGGCCTTTTTTGGGATTAGGCTTTGCCTTAAGGTAATGTTGTGACTGGTTTGATCTTCTTTTCACACGTGAAAACCTTCTCCATATCAGCAGTTAGGCTGTTTTGCTTTCCTACTGGTGTATTCACTGGAGTAGCACTTTTAACTTCCTTCAAGAACTTTTCCTTTGCATTCACAACTTGGTTTGGCTCAAGAGACCTAGCTTTCAGCCTGTCTTGGCTTTTGACATGCCTTCCTCACTAAGCTCAATTATTTCTAGTTTTTTATTTAAAGTGAGAGATGTGCGAGTCTTCCTTCCACTTGAACACTTATTGTAGGGTTCTTAACTGGCCTAATTTCAGTATTTTTTTGTCTCAGAATAGGGAAGCCCAAGGAAAGGAAGAGAGATGAGCCAGTCAGTGGAGCAGTCAGAACACACACAAGTATTGATTAAGTTTACCATCTTATATGGACGTGGTTTGTGTCACCCCAAAACAATTACAATAGCAACATCAAAGGTCACTGATCACAGGTCACAGTATCAGATATAATAGTGAAAAAGTGTGAACTATTGTGAGAATTACCAAAATGTGACACAGATACAAAGAGAGCATATGGTTTTGGAAAAATGGTACTGATAGACCCTCAATGCAGGGTTGCCACAAACCATGAACCTGTAAAAAACACGTATCTGTGAAGTGCAATAAAATGAAGTATGCCTGTATGAAATATTTAGTATTACTCAAAGTTCGTCTACTACATGGCATTCTCTCTAATAGTCTCTCATAGTCTAATTTCCCACTGTGGATATGGATAAAAAAATACTTCATACTGTAAAAAAGTAAGTAAACAAGTCAGTGAAATGATAGTAATAAAGATGGCCTTCCATATGAGACTTATTTCTAAAAAGAAAAGAATAAAGAAAACTTGGCACAATGTAATTATTTTGTACATTCATGTACTGATGTGTATTAAATAAGCTACTATTTTCTGGGTGCTATTAGAAAATTTACTGTGGTTTAAGATCTTTTCAGGGACTACGAATGGTTTTCTATTTTTAATGTTCTTATTTAACATCATCTAGATTTAATAAGAAACCAAAGAGAGGAATACAGTACCTCCAAGAACAAGGGATGCTTGGCACCACACCTGAAGATATTGCCCAATTCTTACATCAAGAGGAAAGATTAGACTCTGTAAGAATACCATTTTCATTCTAACCTTTTCTGTAAAATTCTTGGGATTTTTTTTTCTTTTTATTAGAGACAGGGTCTCGCTATATTGCCCAGGCTAGTTTTGAACTCCTGGGCTCAGGCAATCCTCCTGCCTCAGCCTCCCAAAGTGCTGGGATTACAGGCGTGAGCCACCACGCCTGGCCCCGTTTCTGTAAAATTCTTTTTTAAGTTAATAATACATATTGTGACTCCTTTAAAATGCTTTCCTAAATATAGAGGTAAGTAAAACGTAAAGAATAACCTTGGTTGGCCGGGCACAGTGGCTCACATGTGTAATTCCAGCGCTTTGGGAGGCTGAAGCGGGTAGATCACCTGAGGTCAGGAGTTCGAGACCAGCCTGGCCAATGTGGCAAAACCTCGTCTCTAATAAAAATACAAAAAATTAGCTGGGCGTGGTGGTGGGCTCCTGTAATCCCAGCTACTCAGGAGGCTGAGGCAGGAGAAACACTTGAACCCAGGAGGTGGAGGTTGCAGTGAGCCAAGATTGCACCACTGCACTCCAGCGTGGGCTACAGAGTGAGAGTCTGTCTCAAAAACAAACAGAAAGATGTCTTGGTTATAATATAATCATCTCTAATTGGTCCTCCGTAGCCATGAGTTCTGTATCCATGGATTCTACATCTGTGGATTCAACCAACCACAAATTGAAAATATTCAGGGGAAATAATGGGTAATTGCATCTGTACTGAACATGTACGAACTTTTTTTCTTGTAGTTATTTCCTAAGCAATACAGAAAACCTATTTACATTGTATTACCTATTATAAGTAATCTAGATATGGGAGTAGAGTATATGGGAGGACGTGTGTAGGTTATATGCAAATACTGTGCCATTTTTTATAAGGAACTTGAGCATCCATGGATTTTGGTGTCCATGCAGGGTCCTGGAACCAATCCCCCACTGATACTGAGTGATGACTGGTGTGTGTGTGTGTGTGTGTGTGTGTGTGTGTGTGTAAAATCTGCTTTTTAAATTTTCTAAACTGAAAAGAATATCCTGATATATTTATGAAGGCATTTAGTGTGTTTAACTTTTAGCTTTGTGTTTGAAATTGTTAACTCTATAATCAAAAGTCTGCGGATCTTAACAAAATTTTCTGCTTTTTAAGTGGCTGTGTGGTGAATGTAAACATCTCATGAAAATCTCAATTTCTGGCCGGGCACAGTGGCTCATGCCTGTAATCCCAGCACTTTGGGAGGCTGAGGCGGGTAGATTACCTGAGGTCAGGAGACCAGCCTGGCCAAGATGGTGAAACCCTGTCTCTATTGAAAATACAAAAAAAATTAGCTGGGCGCAGTAGCAGGCGCCTTTAATCCCAGCTACTCGGGAGGCCGAGGCAGGAGAATCGCTTGAACCTGGGGGCAGAGGTTGCAGTGAGCCGAGATCGTGCCACTGCACCCCAGCCTGGGCAACAGAGCAAGACTCTGTCTCAAAAAAAAAAAAAAGAAAGAAAATATCAATTTCTATCTCTGTTTTTACTTTAGACTCAAGTGGGTGAGTTCCTGGGAGATAATGATAAATTTAACAAAGAAGTCATGTATGCATATGTGGACCAACATGACTTTTCAGGAAAAGACTTCGTTTCAGCCCTTCGTATGTTTCTAGAAGGATTTCGTCTTCCAGGGGAAGCTCAGAAAATCGATCGATTAATGGAAAAATTTGCTGCAAGATACCTAGAATGCAACCAAGGGTAAATAAGGTTCAAATGCTCATTGATTGTCTGTTATATCCAAACCACTGTGCTAGGTAGCATCCAGGGATTTACAGATAATAGGACCTAATCCCCTGTTTAGAGAATTTAGATTGTCTACAATCTGGAAGTCGTAAAACAAATCCATAAAAAATTGTAATGTGAGATACTTAGAGAAATAAAAGTGCTATGGGATTTGAGGTGACTTATTTAAATGAAACTATATAAAACAGTAGAAGTTTATAACATGATACATTTATTTTTCCAGACAAACTCTCTTTGCTAGTGCGGATACAGCTTATGTTTTGGCTTATTCAATTATCATGTTGACCACAGACCTTCACAGTCCACAGGTATGTTTTCTTTTAAGTCAGTTTTACAATAAGCGGTACAAAATAAGTACATTATTCTGAATTCAGTAAGTAATAGTTGAAATTTTAGTTTTATTCAGTTAAACCAGTCACCATATTTGGGTATTTAATTTGGGATGGTGAACATTTTACAAAGGCAACTTCTGGTAGTAATTAAAATTAGACTTTTAGGTATCTATAAAATGTTTCTGTATTTGTCGTTCATGATTGACAACTGTATAAAGCTTAAGATAAATTTTAATCTAACAAGACATTTATAGGTCTTATGTCAGTTTGTCACAACATGGAAAAACGCTGTGTATAAACCATCCTTCTAAAAAATATAATGTTTCAGGCCAGGCGTGGTACCTAACGCCTGTAATCCCAGCACTTTTGAGTGGCCGAGACAGGCGGATCACATGAGTCCAGGAGTTAAGACCAGCCTGGGCAACATGATGAAACCCTGTCTCTACAAAATATGCATAAATTAGCTGGGCATGGTGGCATGTGCCTGTGGTCCCAACTACTTGGAGGGCTAAGGTGGGACGATCGCTTGAGCCTGGGAGGCACAAGTCATACAGTGAGCTGAGATCGTGTCACTGCACTCCATCCTGGGTGACAGAGGGCAGACCCCGTCTCAAAAAAAAAAAATGTTTCAAACTTCACCAGTAGAGGGATTAGCGTAATGAACTCTAATGTACCCATTACCTGCCTTCCACAGTTATCAACTTATGGCCGGTCTTGTTCTATCTATATCTCTTTCCTCCCCTAGATAATTTTGAAGCAGATCTCAGATATCATACCATTTCATCTGCATTTATCTCAGTGTGTTTCTCTAAAAGAGAAGTACTCTAGTTAAACATAACCATACCAGCATACCTAAAAAGTTAACAATAATTTAAAAATACCTGATATCTAGAAATGTTCTTTTGCCTCATGAAATTCATATTTACTTCTTAAATATTGAAGAACTGTCACTTGATTTCTGATACCTACTTAAAAAGTTTGATTTAAAGTTTTAGTATTTTTTGCTTAGTTTCTAAAAACACACATTGACATCCTTGGGTAAAATTACATTTATAAATTATTTGCAAGGATTTCTTAGTACTTCTAGGGGTAGGTATCTGATGATATTTGTTATGCTTAGGTTGTAAAATAAATTACCTACTTTCTAATCTGAGATGTATTGGAAAAATTAAAATTCATTTGAATTTTGAGATTAACCTTTGCAGTATAGGGATTTTTTGTGTCTGTTTTGAGATGTTTAAAGCAGAGTAGATAAGGAAAGTATATACCAAACCTAAAGTAAGAATATATACGATTATATACATATGTATATACATATGATTATATGTGAAGTTACTCCTGTTTTAAACACAATATTGAGCAACTATGCATTTACCACAAATTTACTTGATTTTATATAGGACTTTAAAAATTTATTAAAGAATTTAATAATTCAAGATTTGCCTCTGGCATATTTTTGGCAGTATAGTCAAAGCAGCTCACCTTCAGGGCTTTTATTATCGAGCATGATGACTTCTATTCTACGGCTTTATAAGGTAGTTCACAGTTGGGATTTGTTTAGATATTTTTACACCAGAATTTTCAGTCTAATTTTTTCATTTGATTTTTCAATCTACACTAGAGTATTTTGACCTGGGTTTACATATGTTTGGTTTTAAAAAGCTATGCTTTAAAAGACATTTGGTTCTCTAAATGAATAAGCAATATTATATGCACCTGTGCAATGTCTTCCTATACATATGTACATACTCATGTTATTTTGAAGAAATATTAAAAATTCCTTTTATGTCTTTTCATAAGTACCTAGACTGTGAAAAGTTTCTAAGGACATACCAGTTAGGGAGTATTACCTTCACAACAGTGTCCCGTCTTTAGCATAACAGTGCCTGTTTGCAGAACATGTGCTTGGAGTCCTAGTCTAGCGGTGGCAACTGCTTGTTGTCCAACTGTTCCTTATCAGCTTGCTGCCTGGTGTCATGTGCTGCTATGCAGCCTGCAGCTGTAGAACAGCTTGTGAGTTTCTATGAAGCTAAGTAATCTGTTAGAAAATTGTACCCGTGATCTTGGCCTCAGTTGATTTAGATAACTATAACAAATGACAACATTTTAAAATACAAATAACTTTAAAGGAATTTCTTAAAACTAATTCTCATTCTTAGTTCTTTTCAAACTTAAAAAATAGGTGGATTTTAACAAGCTGTTTATGTTCCCTTTTCACCCAGAATATTTATAGTTAGGCTACTTTTTATGTAGTGTGTGGTGAGTCAGTGATTAAAAAAAAATTTTAGGCATATTTAGAACACAATTTTTGTGTATACAATAATCATCAGTAGTAACAACTGGCTTTAAGTGATTTAAACACTAAATAAGGCACAGCTTAATACAAGCACACGAGGATAAAAGTCAAGAGTAGAATGTTCCATAAAAGATGGCAGGAGAAGAAAAGTAGGATTTTGTTTTATACAGCTTCAGAATCCCACTATGGCAGAAGTGTTCTGTGTGAAGCAGTGCACTTATTTTGGGGACCTCAAAGCAAAGTATTCTGTACGCCCACGTATGGGATCCCTAACCCAGATCCACAGGCAATTAACTGCTACTTCAGATTTTCTGTCAAGACTTTTCTCTGCCTCTGATTGGCATAATGCTAAAACATTTTGCCATGCTTAAAATTTCCAGGTGATTTTAATCTTCCTTTACTTCTTATTGGCAGCAGTGTGTAGTCTTTTATTTTGTTATTCCTGGTGTGTTTTTTAAGCATTCACCTGAACTTTAGGTAAAAAAGCTTCTTTCTTTCATTTTTTTTTTTTAGTGCCATGACTTGAGTTTTTAAAGTTATAAGATAGTAGGGTTTTATTCCATTAAATGATACGTTAAACACTTGAAAACTTTCATGGTAATATTTTTACATATTTGTAGGGAAAGCACTCCTGCCTCCCTTTCTGACATGTTAGAAAAATCTGTTTGCAGAATAATCTGAAGTAAATAAGTGTATATATCCCAGTTACATTTTCTGAAAGTTTTGGTTCCTCTGTACTTTTGTTTTTGTTTGAGACAGGATTTTGCTATGTTGCCTAGGCTGGACTTGAATTCCTGGTCTTGTGCCATCCTCCTTCCCCAGCCTCCTGAATAGTTGGGACTACGGGCACATAACACCACACTCTCTATAGTTTTTGCAAGCTTCTGATGACTTGCTTGATTGTTTTTCTGTGTACTTTCATGTAAATTTACAGGAATTATATCTTAAGAGTTACCTTAAGTTCTTTATGGAAGGTGGTAGAAATATATTTAATTAAATAAATACCTCTTCAGAGACATCATATAAGACGTAGAAATATATTTAATTAAATAAATGTCTCTTCAGAGACATCACATAAGACTTCTGGGTTTTATCTATCTAGGTTTCTGGAGGTAAAGTGTAAACATTTTGGCTATGCTAGTTCCCAAGTTTGGTAATGGGGTTACCGTCTTACAGACTCCAAACTTGTATTCCACAGCTTTATCAAGGTGCAAAAGGCATTTCTGTTTAGGGTACTCTTATACAAGACAAAACATTCCAAGGATACTTTGTACAGATCACCTGACATAATTCAGTTGCCACAGTGACTCAGTCAGAGAGATTGTTAACTGGTTTTAAATAAATCTCAAGTATTGTTACTCTTATACCCACTGTATATAAAGTCAGCTTTAAATTCATTAACAGCACATTTATGTTCTTCTAAACTAAGATTTGAATGTTTTTGATATCTTTATTTCCAATAATTGTCATGGCCCTTTTGAGAGACTGCAAAAGCTCTTAAACCTTGAGCAAAAACAAATATTTTCATTGTTCAACTTCCCTCCTTTCTGGTTGCACATTACTCATGTCCACCTCAGAGCATGAATTAGTTTATGCCAGAATGGATCTTTTCTGTATTGCCTTCATTTTCTGTGATTTTTTTCATTTTTATCTATATTTTGTTGAATACTTTCCAGTTTCTATCCTCAAAAGTATTTACAAAATCTCTTATGTAAATATTCATATCCTTAAAATACAAGTGTAACCTTTATGTTAATTTTTAGGAATTATAATGGTTTTTCATATCTAGGTGAAAAATAAAATGACAAAGGAACAATACATTAAGATGAATAGAGGTATCAATGACAGTAAAGACCTTCCTGAAGAGTATCTATCAGCCATCTATAATGAAATAGCTGGGAAAAAGATATCAATGAAAGAAACAAAAGAACTAACAATCCCTACAAAATCAAGTAAACAGAGTAAGTATCTAAATTAATTGAATTCTGATTGTTCAAGGGGAAAAATATGGGTTCCTAAGAGTTTTTCACTTATGGTCAGGTGTGGTGGTTTGCATTTATAGTCCCCAGCTACTCAGGGAGGCTGAAGCAGAAGGATCACTTGAACCCAGGAGTTCGAGACCAGCATATGCAATATAGCAAGGTTCTTGTCTCTAAAAAAGAAAAAACTTTTTAATTTAAAAGAGAGTTTTTCACTTGATTTAGAATAAAGTAACCTTAGAAATATTGTTTAGAACCATGTTTTGATGAGAAATATTATAATAGAGTTTGGTGATATGATTGTATTTTTTCCCCACATTCTGAAGAAAGATAACACTGACCAGTGATTAATGGAAAATGGTATACATTATATGCATGTGTCAGTGTGCATTTAATATATGCTGATCCATTTAGTAGTTAACCTCAGCAGGGATTTGGAGGTCATAAAGAGTAGTTAGACCCAATAGTCAGGCTTCAACCCTTGTCATTTTTTCTTCTTCCTCATCATCTTCAAGCAATATATTTCCATTTGTTCATCTTTTGTTACACATAAATGGAAGCTGGAAGTAGGGATGATTGGAGGAGGTGGGGAGGTTTAGGATCAGGTGAGAGCTCATAGAGTTAGAAATTTCTACCTCAAACAGACCACAAGTTACATCACTGTAGAGTCCTTAGGTCTAACTAACACCAGGAGGCAACTGTGAACCCAGCCCCCTTCTAGACACTCTATACCTGTGGACAGTGGTAATTAAATTTGAGCTGAAATCTGACTACAGGAATGAGATGAGGGTAGTGGCTCAAGAATATAACAGTAATATAGAAAGAGGATTCCTGCATTTCTGAGCCCTTCCACTTGGAACTAAAATCTCAAGTTTAAACAGAGTACAGTAGTAAAATCCAAATGGCAGGAGAAAAGAATATTATATATTGTATCATCCTCATATTCCTCTTTTTCTGTCCTATTTTATATATGGTGGTAGGAAATAAGAGAAGCTGGAAATGGAAAGGAGATGGTGGTGTGCCGAAAACGCCAAAATTACCCTGGAGTGTTATGGCCAGTTGTTTTCTTGTTAACTCAGGAGCAGTCATTCAAGCCTATGTGGTACAAAGATGCCATTGCCTCTTTTTTTTTTTTTTTTTTTTTTTTTTTGAGATGGAGTTTTGTTGCCCAGGCTGGAGTGCAATGGTGCGATCTTGGCTTGGCGCCACCTTGGCTCACCACAACCTCCGTCTCCTGGGTTCAAGCAATTCTCCTGCCTCAGCCTCCCGAGTAGCTGGGATTACAGGCGTGCGCCACCACACCTGACTAATTTTTTTGTATTTTTAGTAGAGACAGGGTTTCTCCATGTTGGTCAGGCTGGTCTTGAACTCCTGACCTCAGGTGATCCGCCTGCCTTGGCTTCCCAAAGTGCTGGGATTACAGGCATGAGCCACCACGCCCAGCCAGATGCCATTGCATTTTACCTCTCTTCTGCTCTTCTCCCATTCCATATTTGGGTTGTTTCCCTGATAATTGTATTCTGAAAGTGGTACCTACTCGTTTCCCTTTTCATAGGTTTCCACTTCCTGACTCCCAGTCTAGGAATTTTTT
The DNA here is from genome assembly GCF_000001405.40 of Homo sapiens. Lineage (NCBI taxonomy): Eukaryota > Metazoa > Chordata > Mammalia > Primates > Hominidae > Homo > Homo sapiens. The sequence goes on along the minus strand of NC_000008.11, from coordinate 67,251,841 downwards.
TTTTTGAGGTGAAATTCATAGAACATAAAATTAGCCATTTAAAAATGAACAATTCAGTGGCATTTAGTACATTCATAACGTTGTGCAACTACCACCTCTAATTCCAAAAGATTTCATTATCCCAAAATGAAACTCCAAACTCATCAAGCAATTACTCCTTATTCTGTCTCCCCCCAGCCCCTGGAAAATACCAGTCTACTTTCTATTTCTATGGATTTTACCTATTCTGGATTTTTCATATAAGTGTAATCATATAATATGGGATCTCTTGTGTCTTGCTTCTTAGGATTACTTTTAATTACTGGTGGTGTTTATTATTTGATAGTAAAATATCAAAATAGAATTCTTAAATGTTTTATATTTAAAATGCTGATAGTGTTTATTGTTTCAGATGTAGCCAGTGAAAAACAAAGAAGACTTCTGTATAACTTAGAAATGGAGCAGATGGCCAAGACAGCTAAAGCACTCATGGAGGCCGTGAGCCATGTTCAGGCACCCTTTACAAGTGCAACACATTTGGAGCATGTGAGGCCCATGTTTAAGGTTAGAATTTTCAAGTAATGTTTGATTGCAGTGTACATTTATATATAACTACATTTATAATATTTTTAAGTTAAGGAAGCGATACAGTGATATAACACATTAGTGTAGACATATTGAGGTGAAATTCATATAACATGTTATTTAGGACATAGTAGATACAAATTTTCTATTACTTAAAGAGAACAAGAGGAGTTACTCACTATAAGTAATTAATAGTTGTGTAATCTTAGGAATTAAGCAAAGAAAAGTATTGGAGAATGATCATTAATCCTTGGCCTGATTTTCTCTAAATGAGTTATGCTTAAGCCTTTGGAGTTAACTCACATTTCAAATGATCATGAGGCTCTTGTTTTCTTTAAGTGTTTTGGGCCCAGGAACTTATATCAGGCTTCTGAATATGCCTGGGGCCCAGAAAGTAGGGTAAGGAACAGAAGACAATATTATTTGTGTTTGTGGGTTGATTTAGTGAGAATGATACTTATTCTTTAAAATTTGATTTCCCATTCCTTCTTCATTCTCTATCCTTTCTCCAAATTCCAGAGTGAGTAAGCAGTGCATTACTACAAGGGTTGTAGCAAAGTGGAGTAGTGTCTAGTTAAGTTTGAAAAGAGGAAGTGGGTAAAGTATATTCCTGTTCATGAGACAATATGGCAAGGTGGTCTGTGGAGGCTAAAGATCATAATCCGATGCTCACTCTGATTCTAACTACACGTATGTGTGGGTAGTAAAAGATGACTACAGGATTCTTGTGCTTCCTTTTAGCTCCAAAATTTTGTAATTACTCCTACCTCTTCTTCAAGGTCCATGTGATACACTATTTCTAAACGTTGATGAAGAATCACGATGATGAGAGTGAGCTTTTATGATCTGTTCTCTGGATTTGTTATAGTTTATTTAAACATCCTCCAAGCTAGAATTAAGAATCTTTTCCCTCAGTGCCATTTCTGCTACCATTAAGCTACTGCAGACACCCTCATTTCTCCCTCAGATTACTGCGGCATTCTCCTAACAGGCATCTTCATGTCTACTTTTTCACTCCTCTTACCCGTTTATAGAGACCGGAGTGATCTTTTTAAAATACCAAATGAAATGCCAGCTTCTTACTTGAAGCTTTTTATTGGCTTTGCATGATACCATGAAACCTGACACACCCATAGTGTCTGTAGACTTTCTGTGACCTGGCTCCACCTGCCTCTCCAATTCCATCGCTAGATCTCTTCTGTTTCTTACTATGCTGCACTCACACCAGCATTCTTTTGGTTTCTAGAACATCTTAAATTATTTTCTCTTCAGGGCATTCATATGAGGTATGTCCTTTGTCTAGAATGTTCTTTCCTTCTTTGCCTGAGTAGTTTCCAGTTTAAATATCACCCTCTCAGCTAGGCACGGTGGCTTACGCCTGTATTCCCAGCACTTCGGGAGGCCGAGGTGGGTGGATTGCTTCAGGTCAGGAGTTCAAGACCAGGCTGACCAACAAGGTGAAACCCCATCTCTACTAAAAGTACAAAAATTAGCCAGGCTTGGTGGCATGCACCTGTAGTCCCAGGTACTTGAATGCTGAGGCAGGAGAATTGCTTGAACCTGGGAGGCAGAGGTTGCAGTGAGCCAAGATCAGGCCACTGCACTCTAGCCTGGGCGACAGAGTGAGACTCTGTCTGAAAAATAAAAATAAAAATAAAAATAAATATCACCCTCTCTGAGAGTTCTGCACTGTCCCCTCTAATCTAAACTAGGTCCCTAATTCATAATATTCTATGCCTTTCCTTCAGTATATCTGTAGATTTATCTATCCGTCTGTCTATCTGTATATCTGCCTATCTGTGTGCAGACTTGTATGCTCCTCGACTTACGATGGGATTATGTCTCAATAAACCCGTTGTTTAAGTGGAAAATGTATTTAATACACCTAACCTACAGAACATTATAGCTTAGCCTTGCCTGCCTTGAACATGCCCAGGATACTTACCTTAGCCTACAGGTGGGCAAAATCATCTAACACAAAGCCTGTTTTATGCTACAGTACTGAATATCTCATGTAATTTATTGAATACTATACTGAAAATGAAAAACAATAGTTGTATGAATATATTGTAAAGTCAAAAAATGGTAAGTTGAACCATTGTAAGTTGGGAACTGTCTATATATACATTATTTATATACATGTACGAGATAAGGAACTACATCTCTTCACTTGTCCCAACATCAACCATAGTTCCTGGCTTGTGTTAAGTACTCAATGAATAAACATTGGCTGGGTGGAAGGAATGAATGATATATTCCTGGAATGCAATGTATAATATTAAGGGATATAAACTTTTTAAGATAAAGCAAAGACAAAAAAAAGTTTATCTTATTAGAAACAAGATACAGTGTCACTTATAGTCTTCAAACATTATTGCACTTTGTCATAATTTGACAAAGCATTCATGAAACAATCTGTAGACTAGTTTCAACAGACAACACCTGTAAGCAGGCATGACCGTCCTAAATTGTTTACTAGGTATGAATTTTACAAACATTATTTATAGTAATGGTAATGGTGGAGCTGGAGAGTATTGCACCTTCTCTGAGCTGCACAATGAGAACCACTATTCTGTGGGATGTTTCTTCACTTTGTTGATTGTTTCCTTTGCTTTGCAGAAGCTTTTTAACTTGATGTGTCCATTTGTCCATTTTTACTTTGGTTACCTGTGATTGTGGGGTATTCTCAAGAAATCTTTGCCCAGCTTAATGTCCTAGAGAATCCTCAATGTTTTCTTACGGTAGTTTCATAGTTTGAGGTCTTAGATGTAAGTTTTTAATCCATTTTGATCTGATTTTTGTATATGGCAAGATAAAGGAGTCTAGTTTCATTCTTTTGTATATGGATATCCAGTTTTCCCAGCACTGTTTATTGAAGAGACTGTCCTTTCTCCCAATGTATGTTCTTGGTTCCTTTGTCAAAAATGAATTCACTAGATGTATGGATTCATTTTTGGGTTCTCTATTCTGTTCCAGTGATCTACATATCTCTTTTGATGCCAGTACTGTGCCATTTTGGCTACTATAGCTCTGTAGTATAACTTGAAGGCAGGTAATGTGATTTCTTCAGTTTTGTACTTTTTGCTCAGGATAGCTTTGGCTATTCTGGGTCTTTTTTGATTCCATATAAATTGTAGGATTTTTTTTTTCTATTTCTCTGAAGAATGTCATGGTATTCTATAGATTGCTTTGGGTAATATGGACATTTTAGCAATATTGATTCTTCTAATCCATAAACATAAAATATCTTTCAATTTTTCTGGTGTCCTCTTCAGTGTCTTTCATCACTGTTCTGTAGTTTTCATTGTAGGGATCTTTCACGTCTTTGGTTAATTTTTAAAATTTCTTTCTCAGATTGTTCACTGTTGTCAAATAGAAATGCTACTGAATTTTGTATGTTGATTTTTGTATCCTGCAGCTTTACTGAATTTATCAGTTCTAATAGTTCTTTGGTAGAGCGTTCAGGCTTTTCCAAATATAAGATCGTATCACCTGCAAATAGATAATTTGACTTCTTCCTTTCAAGTTCGGATGTCTTTTATTTCTTTCTCTTTTCTGATTCCTCCAGCTAGTTCTTTCAGTACTTTGTTGAATAACAGTGGTGAAAGTAGGCATCCTTGTTGTGTTTCAGACCTTACAGGAAGGGCTTTCTGTTTTTCCCTTTTCAGTACAATACTAGCTGTGGTCTGTTGTATATGGCTTTCATTGTGTTGAGGAATATTCCTTCTATACCTACTTCTTTGAGAGTTTTTATCAAATGCTTTTTCAATCAATTGAAATGATCATATGGTATTGTCTTTCATTCTATTGATATGGTGTATCACATTGATTAATTTGTGTATGTTGAACCATCCTTGCATCCCTGGGATAAATCCCACTTGGTCATGATGAATAATCTTTTAAATGTGTTGTTGAATTTGGTTTGCTGGTATTTTGTTGAGGATTTTTGCATCAATATTCATCAGTGATATTGGCCTGCAATTTTTTTTTTAATGTGTCTTTGTCTGGTTGTGGTATCAGGGTAATACTGGCCTTGTAGAATGAATTTGGAAATATTCCTTCCTACTCTGTTTCTCAGAATAGTTTGAATAGGATTCGTATTAGTTCTTTACATGTTTGGTAGAATTTAGCAGTGAAGCCATCAGATTTCACGCTTTCTTTTGCTGAGAGACTTTTTGTTATGGCTTTGATCTCATTGCTTGTTATTGGTCTGTTCAGGTTTTGAATTTCTTCTTGGTTCAATCTTCATAGATTCTATGTGTCTAGGAATTTATCCATTTCCTTTAGATTTTCCAGTTTACCGGCATGTAGTTGCTCAGAGTAGCCACTAAGAATCCTTTGAATTTCTGTGGTATCAGTTGTAATGTCTCCTTTTTCATCTCTAATTTTATTTATTTGTGTCTTCGGTCTTTTTTTCTTAGTCTTGGTTAAGGTTTGTCAAGTTTATCTATCATTTCAGAAAACCAACTTTTTGTTTTGTTGATGTTTTGTATTTTTAAAATTTCAATTTCATTCATTTGTGCTCTGATCTTTATTTTCTTCTACTAATTTTGGGTTTGATTTGCTCTTGCTTTTCTAGTTCTTTAAGAAACATCATTAGGTTGTTTATTTGGAGTTTTTCTTCTTTTTTGATGTAGACACTAACAGCTATAAAATTTGCTCTTAGGACTACTTTCACTATATTCCATAGGTTTGGGTACGTTGTGTCTTCATTATCATTTGTTTCAATAAATTTTTCAATTTCCTTCTTAATTTCTTCATTGACCCACTGGTCATTCAGGAGCATATTCTTTAATTTTCATGTGTTTGTGTTGTTTCTAAAATTATTCTTGTTACTGATTTCTAGTTTTATTCCGTTGTACCAGAAAGAGGCTTCAGATTCACTTGTTTAAAGTGTTTTCAGATTTGTTTTGAGTCCTAACATATGGTCTATCCTCTAGAATGATCCATGTGCTGAGGAAAAGAATGTGTATGCTACTGCCATTGGATGAAATATTCTGTAAATATCTGTTAGATCCATTTGTTATGTAGTGCAGATTAAATCTGATGTTTCTTTGTTGATCTGCTGGAAGGTCTGTCCAATATGGAAAATGAGGTGTTGAAGTCTCCAGCTGTTACTGTATTGGGGTCTGTCTCTGTCTTTAGCTCTAATAATATTTGCTTTATATATTTGGGTGCAGTGCTGGGTGTGCATATCTATATATATACACACACACACATCCACACACAATTGCTGTATCCTCTTGCTGAATTGACCTCTTTATCATTGCATATTGGCTTTGTCTCTTCCTAGTTTTTGTCTTGAAATATATTTTTTCTGATACAAGTATAGCTACTCCTGCTCTTTTTTGCTTTCCATTTGCATGGAATATCTTTTTCCATCCCTTTATTTTCAGTCGGTTTGTATCATTACAGGTGAAGTGTGTCTCATGTACACAACAGATCATTGGGGCTTGTGTTTTTGTTCATTCAGCCACTATGTATCTTTTTATTGAAGAGTTTAGCCTATGTATATTCAGTGTGACTATTGATAAAGACTTACTCTTCCAATTTTGTTATTTTCTCGTTGTTTTGTGGTCTTTTCTTCTTTCTTTCCTTCTTTCCTGTCTTCCTTTTAGTGAAGGTTATTGTCTCTGATGGTTTGATTTAATTTCTTACTTTTTATTTTTTGTTTATTCATTATAGGTTTTTTTGGTTTGAGGTTACCATGAGGCTTGCAAGTACTATCTTATAACCCATTATTTTAAGCTGATAACACTGCTTGCATAAACAAATAAACAAGCAAAAATAAAACTAATAACTCTACACTTTAACTTTGTTCCCCTGCTTTTTAACCTTTTGTTGTTTTTGTTTATACCTTATTGTACTGCCTGTGTCTTGAAAAGCTGTGAGTCATCTTTCTGTCTTTCTACTTAAGAGTATTTTACATGTCCACAGTTACACAGTGTTATAATACTATATTTTTCTGTGTACTTTTTATAACCAGTGAGTTGTGTACTTTTAGATGATTTCTTCTTACTCATTAATGTCCTTTTTCTGATTGAAGTACTCCCTTTAGCATTTCATGCAGGACATGTCTGGTGTTGATGAAATCCCTCAGCTTTCATTTGTCTGGGAAATTATTTCTCTTTCATGTTTAAAGGATAGTTTCACCAGATATGTACTATTTTCAGGTAAAAGTTTTTTTCCATAAGCACTTTAAATATGTCATACCACTGTATCCTGGCCTGTGTGGTTTCCACTGAATAGTCTGCTGCCAGACATATTGGAGCTTCATTGTATGTTATTTGTTTCTTTTCTCTTGTTGCTTTTAGGATCCTTTATCTTTGACCTTTGTGAGTTTAATTATTAAAAAGCCTTGAGGTAATTGTCTTTGGGTTACATTTGTTTGATGTTCTATAACCTTCTTGTACTGGATACTGTTATTTTTATCTAGGTTTGGGGAGTTCTCTGTTGTTATCCCTTTGAATAAACTTTCTACCTCTATCTCTTTCTCTGCCTCTTTGAAGACCAATAACTTTTAGAATTGCCCTTTTAAAACTATTTTCCAGATTTTATAGGTGTGCTTCATTCTTTTTTCTTTTGTCTCCTCTGACTGTATTTTTTTCAGATAGCCTGTCTTCACGCTTACTAATTCTTTCTTCTGCTTGATCAGTTCTGCTATTAAGAGACTTATGGGGCTGGGAACCGTGGTTTATGCCTGTAATCCCAACACTTTAGGAGGCTGAAGTGGGCAGATCACTTGAGCCCAGGAGTTTGAGACCAGTCTAGGCAACATGGCGAAGCCCCATCTCTACAAAAATTAGCCAGGTATAGTGGCTTGTGCCTGTGGTTCCAGCTACTAGGAAAGCTGAGGTGGGAGGATTGCTTGAGCCTGGGAGGTGGAGGTTACAGTGAGCTGTGATGTCACTTCACTCCAGCCTGAGTAACAGAGTGAGATCCTCAAAAAAAAAAAAAAAAACAACAACAACAACAGAGAGAGAGAGACGAGAGACTCAGTAGTCGAATGTTTTTTTTTTTTTTTTTTTTTTTTTTGAGGTGGAGTCTCGCTTTGTCGCCCAGGCTGGAGTGCAGTGGCATGATCCCGGCTCATTGCAACCTCCGCCTCCCAGGTTCAAGCAATTCTCTCTGCCTCAGCCTCCTGAGTAGCTTGGATTCCAGGCACCTGCCACCATGTCTGGCTGATTTTTTGTATTTTTAGTAGAGACAGGGTTTTGTCATGTTGGCCAGGCTGGTCTCAAAACTCCTGATCTCAGATGATCCACCCACCTCGGCCTCCCAAAGTGCTGGGATTACAGGCGTGAGCCACCACGCCTGGCCTGCATTTTTCAACTGTGGAATTTTGTTTGATTTTTTTTTATTATTTTAATCCTTTTAAAAATTTATCTGATGGAATTCTGAATTTCTTCTGTGTTACCTTGAATTTATTTGAGTTTCCTCAAAACAGCTCTTTTGAATTCTCTGTCAGAAAGGTCACATATATCTCTTTCTCCAGGATTGGTCCCTGGTATTTAGTTCGTTTGGTGAGGTCGTGTTTTCCTGGATAGTCTTGATACTTACAGATGTTCATTGATGTCTGGGCTTTGAGTAATTAGGTGTTTATTGTAGTCTTCTCAGTCTGGGCTTGTTTGTACCCATCCTTCTTGGGAAGGCTTTCTAGGTATTCAAAAGGACTTGATGATACGGTTTGGCTATATCCTTACCAGTCTTGAATTGTAGCTCCCATAATTCCCATGTGTCATGAGAGAGACCCAGTGGGAGGTAATTGAATCATGGGGGCAGGTCTTTTCCCGTGCTGTTCTTGTGATAGTGAATGAGTCTCATGAGAGCCGATGGTTTTATAAAGGGGAGTTCCCCCACACAAGCTCTCTCTTGCCTGCTGCTGTGTTGTAAGACATGATTTTGCTCCTCCTTGCCTTCCACTATGATTGTGAGGCCTCTCAGCCACATGGAACTGAGTCCATTAAGCCTGTTTTTCTTTATAAATTACACAGTGTTGGGTATGTCTTTATTAGCAGCTTGAGAATGGACTAATATACTTGAGTATTGTGATCCATGCCGTATCTGCTTTAGGGGACACCCCAAGTCCAGTAACGGTGGGTTACTTGCAGACTCTGTAGTTCTTGCAGACTCATAGAGGTATCACCTTAGTGGTCTTCAATAACATTCAGAAGAATTCTCTGGATTACCCCCCAGGTTCCAGGCAGGTCCAGAGATACTATCTTGGAGCCAGGGACATGAGTCAGAAACCTTAGGAATCTACCTGGTGTTCAATTCTACTGCAGCTGAGCTGGCACTCAAACTACAAGACACAGTGCTTCCCACTCTTCCCTCCCCTTTTCACAGGCAGAAGAGCCTTAGCCCGTGGCCATCACCACCACAGGCCCACGGAGAGTACTGCCAAGCTACTGCTGATGTTCACAAGGGCCAAGGGCTCTCTCATGAGCTTGTCTTGAATGCTGCCAGGCCGGGACTCACCCTTCAGGGCAGTGGGCTTCCCTCTGGCCCAGGGCAGGTACAGAAATGCCATCCCAGAGCCAAGGCCTGGAATAAGGTCTCCAAGAGCCCACTTGTTGCTCTACCCTTCTGTGGCCAAGCTGGTACCTAAAGTGCAAGACAAAATCCCTTTACTTTTTCCTCTGCAAGAAGAAGGAGTCCCTCCCCATAGCCACCACAGCTGGGAATGTACTGAGTCTCACCCGAGTCCCACAGTGTACTATCTGGATATCACTCTGGCTATTCAGGGCCCAGGGGCTCTTTAGTCAGCAAATAAGGGATCCTGTGAGGACTGGGCCATTCCCTTCAAGGCAGTGGGTTCCCTTCTGGCCTAGGATGTGTCTAGAAATCAGAGCTAGGGCCTGGAAAGGAGGCCTCACACCTCTGCCTGGTGCCCTGTCCTGCTGTGGCTGAGCTGGTTTTAGAGATGCAAGACAAAGTCCTCTTTATTCTTCCCTCTCCTTTCCTTAAGTATGAGAAGGGAGTCTGTTTTGGAGCTACAAGCTATGCTTGGGGGAGGGGTGATGCCAGCACTCCCTTAGCCACTCTAGCTGGTGTCTCAGTAGGTTGTGTATCCTCCACGTCCACTGCCTCCAAGCCCAGCACAGCTAGGCCTTGCCTAGGAGTTGCAGTCCTTGTGGCCTAGACTGACTTTCAGGTTTATTTAGGGCCCCAGAACATTTTAGTCCATGCTGGTGTGGCTTGCTGGAACTCAGGTTCCTACTGCTAGGATGGGTGATGCCTGTCTGGCTGTGGCTCGTCTGAATGCTTCCTCTGTGGGTGGGCATCAGCTCAGTTCAGCTCAGTTTTGCTTTCTACTGTGACAGGATGGCACTGAGTTCAATGTAAAGTCTCACAGTTGCTGCACTGTCCCTCTCCCAAGTACACAGATTTTCTCTCTGCAGCATAGGGCCGCTGATGGGAGACGGGGGAGGGATGGCGTTGGGATTTAAGACTGTCTTTCCTACCCCTTCAATGTCCCTTTCAGTGATATCAAGTTAAAACCAGCTACTGTGAGTGCTCACCTGTTTCTCGGTTCTTATGAAGGTGTTTTTTTTGTGTGTAGATAGTTGTTAAATTTGGTGTTCCTGCATGGGGGATGATTGGTGGAGCTCTCTTTTTGGCCCTCTTGTTCCTGCATATTATCCATTTTTAAGAATTTTTTAATGTATTGCCAAACGGTGTTCCACAAAGGTTCGTACAGTTATGAGTGCACAGTTTAACTATTGCCTGGATATTATTTAGTTGTAATTTGATAGGAGGAATCATTGTCTTTGATTCCTAAAGGAGTTAAACATTTTTTTTTTCACTGCCTTAAGAACCGTTTGTATCTCTTCTTGTATAAAATATAACACAGGCTTCCAAATAGATACACTGTTTCTCCACAGAATGTGTAAGTTATTGCTGTCATATGGTACTTTGTAGTTTAGAAGTACGGCACTTATGTTTCTCTCAGCTTCTCTCTGTAGTGGCAGTTCAAATATAATAGATGAAGAAAAGTGAGGTTCAGAGAGATTAAATAAGTGGCGGAGCTGAGACTAGAACCTAGGTTCTATGACTTATGTTTTTTTTGTTTAGAGATTATAAATGTTTACTTCTCAACTTTCTGAAGTTTAGAAACAAAGCTCTGGGTAATTGTTTTCCTTAGTAATGCTAAATGCTTTATAGATCTTTTAGAAATTCGATTGTAATTTCTATAGCGCACTGATAGAAACATTTTTCATCTTTATGGCTATATGGCTATATAGTTTTTCTTTATGATGACCACTTAAAAGCAGTTGAATACTTTCACATGAGACATTTCAAGGTTATGTATTTTATTAGAATTTTCAGTGGCCAAAAAGTAGCGTCTTTTTTGCTTTATATTGTAACTTCATTCAGGATTCAAAGTTTTGATAGTAAAATTTCAGTAAGTATTTGTTGTCTTCCACAGTGTATAATGAGGAAGTATTTTATTTAACTACTTTTTAAATATTGTCCAACTGGAAACCAGAAATATCACTGATGTCTCAATGTAAAATATTTAACTATTTTTTAAAAATTAGGCTAAATGATGTTCAGGGAATGGGCTTAAAGAAAAGATAATAATGTTGTTTGTTGCAAGTAGGAAAATGATTAACAGGATCTTACTGGAAATAGTGTGAAATATTGCAAGAGACAAAGCTTACAAAGAGAGAGGAGTTCTGAAGTCGGGTAAAACTAATATTTTTATGAATATTGATTATTTCCATTTTTAAATTGATGTGAATAATTTATAGGTACAGTTCTTAAAATATGCCTAAGGTCCTCTATTGAATGTATTATTTTGCTCTCCCATTTATTCAAGCCCAGGCAGCATTATATAGTTTTCCCCCTTTGTTTAAGAAAGCTTTCTAGATAACTGCCAAGAATTTCATTTCTTTTTTTCAGAACTTGTATTGTCTAAAAGATTTGAGAAATTTTAATGTGTTATCATAATCTTTAATTAAAATACAATTTTTAATTTTTGTAGTTGGCTTGGACGCCTTTTCTGGCTGCATTCAGTGTGGGTCTACAAGATTGTGATGATACTGAAGTAGCCTCTCTTTGCCTGGAAGGTATAAGATGTGCAATCAGAATTGCATGCATTTTCAGCATTCAGGTAACAGAGAATTTTGTCTTTGTAGCCAGTTTGGAACATTAATTACCTATGCCATTACAATAGTTTAAATTACAATAATTGTTTATGTGTGACATTAAAAACTAATTTCAAGTTTATGATGGAATTTAAATGAATCTTAATGTTTAAGCTTCTGAGAAGCTGTTATAGAAGGGGTAGTTCTATACTGATCTGTCTAAGTTTATCATTATAACTTTGGTTACAGTTTTTTTTCTCTATTGAAGACTATACAGAAAGTTTTCAAGACTTTGAATTCCTATGTTAATTTGAACATCTTGTTTAAACGAATAAAATATCTTGTTGAATCATAGTTTATATACAAGGTTGTATATATTTTATATGATTTCATAACTTAAGCCTAAGAACAGGTTATCTTTAAGACATGTAAATATTGAATACATAATTTTCATGAAAGAAGTCCTTTCTAGTAATTTATATGCTTTGAGGAACTTTTAAAAAAAGAAAAATTCATTCAACATTTAATTATAAATGCTAATGGCTTGCAAAAAGTATAGCGTAGCTGTGGAGAAAATGAGCAAATGTATAAATCATGTTTTTGCTAATCTAGTAATCAAAACAAAAGTGCTTAATGAATTTTTTTTTTTTACTGTGTGAATTCATTGGTTATCACTAAAAATCTCAATTTGACACCACCACTGCCTTTGGATTTTAGAAATGTATGTCGTTTCTGCTTCATGCATCATCTTAAAATGAATGAAAATAAAAAACTTGTGGAATTATATGTAATTCATGACAAGTAAAACTTACTAAACTTACAAGTTACTGAACTTACGAGTTTAGGAGTGGAGGTTTAATAGGCAAAAGAAAGGGAAAGGAGGGCCAGGCATGGTGGCTCAAGCCTGTAATCCCAGCACTTTGGGAGGTCGAGGCGGGCAGATCACGAGATCAGGAGTTCGAGACCAGCCTGGCCAACATGGTGAAACCCCGTCTCTACTAAAGATACAAAAAATTAGCTTGGCATGGTAGTGGGCGCCTGTAATCCCAGCTACTCGGGAGGCTGAGGCAGAAGAATCATGTGAACCTGGGAGGCGGAGGTCGCAGTGAGCCGAGATTGCGCCATTGAACCCCAGCCTGGGCGACAGGGTGAGACTCTGTCTCAAAAATTAATAAATAAATTAAAAAAAAAAAAAACAAAATCTTACTGAACAAGTAAACAGAGTTTGTTGGTGGGGAATTAATCAGTCTGCTCTATTTAGAACTGTGTAAACATACTTTTCTCTTTTTTATAGCTGGAGAGAGATGCATATGTCCAGGCACTAGCAAGATTTACCTTACTCACAGTGAGTTCCGGTATTACTGAAATGAAACAGAAGAACATTGACACAATAAAAACACTTATCACAGTGGCTCATACAGATGGAAATTATTTAGGAAATTCATGGCATGAGGTATAAGCACTTTATTTTCAACTTTGCAATTTGGTTTATAAAATGAGCTAATGCTAAATAGTCCATCATTGACATGCCTAAATGTTAGGGGAGAAAATTAGTACATTTCGAATAAGTACGTTTAGCTTTTTAAAATAATCTATAGTGTAGTCTGTGTTTAAGTCCTGGCTGCATATATTTAAATCTTTTTGAAGATATTTTTAACATGGAATTTAACATTTTTTTCCTTTTTGTAATTAAGATTCTGAAGTGCATCAGTCAGTTGGAGCTGGCACAGCTTATAGGAACTGGAGTGAAACCTCGATACATTTCTGGAACAGTGCGAGGCAGAGAAGGATCTCTTACTGGAACAAAAGATCAGGCTCCTGATGAATTTGTGGGTTTAGGGCTAGGTGAGAATTTTTACAAAGTATCAAAAATTGTTTTTAACTTCCTCATTATAAGTCACTTTATTGTAGTAATGAAATATAATTAGAAGGAGAAGATAAAATGCCTTTTGTCTAACCTTATGAGAAAAAGCAAGATGACTAAGGAACTAAATCTTTTTTGCCTGGTCTGGTTTGCAACATTAAATGACCCTTAGTTTCAGGCTTCTCTCTGGTTGTTGGAGAAGGATACAGTGTGTAGAGTTTTTAAATTACTTGCTTTTAAAAATAAGCAGGTAACTTGAATGTGTGAAAGCTGGTATCAGGTAATAGTTGGGGCAACTGGAGAAAGCATTCACATTTAATTGTTAAAGCAATGAGCAGGCCTAACCAGCCTTTCTGCCAGTATGAAACCTCTCCCCATGGCTCCCCATGCGCTCAATATGACCAGGAACTTCCACATTTAAACCAGTAGAACAAAAGAAAACATTAGCAAAAATGGGTAGAGAAGAATGAAAAGCAATACATTTTTTAGTCATAAATGGAAGGAGTTCCACCAGGGAAGAAACAGAGCTTATTAGACTTTGACCTTAAGTATTTCTGGGTTTGAATTCTTCTGTATTTTTTCCTTATTATGTGTAAGTTACTTTAGTTCGCCGAGATTCAATTTCTGCTTTTGCAAACAAAGTAATATCTAATCATAGGATTGTTAGGATTAAATAAGAATATATATGACTGGACTTAGCATAATGGCTGGTATATTCGAAGTTTCTAGATATTCTCTGTCCATCCCTCCCCAACCCCCCACCTCCAACCAATCTGGACGCATTACTTAGAGCAGGAATCTTCTATCTTTTAGTGATTCCTCTGTTGCTGCTAGCAGTGAAAATTCTTAGAAACCCCAAAAGAATTTCAAACTTTATAAAGGATCCATAGGAAAAGAATTAAAAACCAGGACCATGATATGGCTTCAAGTTGGACTGGGGAAAACTAATTCCCAGTGGTAATCAACTGAAGCAGCTAGCAATGCAGTCTGTCCCTCCATGATAGCATAGATGCTATAGTATTGTAAGGTCTGGGAGGTGCAGGTGTAGACTTGATACCTTGGTGATCTAGCAGTAAGATTTAGAACTACCTGAGCACCTGCACAATGATTAGAAGCCCAACTTTATACATTAGAACTGTAATTACTCCATGGGGTAACATGAGATGCAGATGAAAACTATTTTCAGGCAAGGGAAGTGAATGTGCACTGATTGGCTCAGTAACTTTGAAAAGGCCTAGAGAGTGTGGGAATGCCAAAATAATGACAGGTGTTAATTGCTGGGCCTGAGTTTTGGCAAGTAGGACTACAGAATTAGGTTACACTAAAAATAAAACACCAGTGGGATATCTTCTAGAAGTTTTAGTCAAACGAGAAATAATGATACTTGCTGATAATATTTACTGGTATACTTGAAAATGAATTAAAATTAATTCATGTACTGTGCTACTTAGGTTGCAAGGATATGAGATGAACTGTCTTCTCCCTTCAGAAAAAGGGAATTTACAGAAAGATACACACATTGAGGCCTAGAAATGAAAAACAGTTCAGGCTTCCAGACCATTCTCAAGACCAGTAACACTTATTTTATGCCTTATTTAGGTTTTCTCTGTTATGTACTTCTCTTTTTGGTCTGCACCATTCTCTGCTCAGTCCTGACTCCATGCTCCATTTTGAATCCACATCCTAGAAGGAGCTAGTCTGTGGACTTGGCCCCTGTTGGGCAGAGCCCTCCCGTTGGGCCGTCCCGTTGGATAACCAGCCAACCCATGTGGCAAATGGCTACCCTTGTCCCCCTGTGCCTACCAAGGTCAGACAGCAGATGCTTTCTGGAGCAGAATGTTGTCATCAGAATTTAAGCTAGAAGAAGATGTGGTACAGTCAAGCCAGTTTAGTCTGCATATACAGTGGATACATATATATATATATATATATATATATATATATATATATATATATATTTTTTTTTTTTTTTTTAACTAATATCTTTTTTTTTTTTTTTTTTTTTTGAGTCACAGTCTCACTCTGTCACCCAGGCTGGAGTGCGGTGGTGCGATCTCAACTCACTGCAACCTCTGCTTCCTGGGTTCAAGTGATTCCCCTGCCTCAGCCTTTTGAGTAGCTGGGATTACAGGGGTGTGCCACCACACCTAGCTAATTTTTTTTGTTGTTTGTTTGTTTGTTTGTTTGTTTTAGTAGAGACAGGGTTTCACCATGTTGGCCAGGTTGATCTTGAACTCCTGACCTCATGTGATCTGCCCGCCTTGGCGTCCCAAAGTGCTGGGATTACAGGTGTGAGCTACTGCGCCCGCCCATATCCTCTTTTATTAATGGTATCTCTGCCGTGAGTATTCCATGTAACCAAGTTGACCGGGTTGAGTATATATTTATCATACTTTCTGACTGATAGAAAAAAAGTCTGTACTTTCACTTTTTGGAAATACGAAACTTTCAGTTATTAAGAATACATAGTAGATAATTATTAGATTTGAATTATATGCATTCTTTTTTTTCTATTTTTTTAAAGACAAGGTCTCACTCTGTTGTTGAGGCTGGAGTGCAGTGGCATGGTCATAGGTCACTGCAGTCTTGAACTCTTGGGCTCAACTTTTTTTTAAATTAAAGTTACTAAAGTAAAAGCCTGTCCCAGGCTTTCACTATGTTTTTTTCCTATTTCAGTATGTTGCCCGGGCTGGTTTCAAACTCCGGGCTTCAGGTGATCCTCTCACCTCGGCCTCCCAAAATGCTAGGACTAGAGGCACGAGCCATGGCACCTGGACTGCATGCTGGTCTTTCAAGAGATACCTTAACATTTAAAAATTCAATGGCTTTGTCACATAAATGTTCAGAGAGTATTCATGACACATAGTTTAAAAAATCTTATTTAACCTAAATATGCCCTCTCTATTGTGATTGCTTTTCTTTCTGCTTTCTTTTCTACATAACCATCCTTCTAGGTCTAGGTTGAATTAGTATTTCATCATACGTGAAGCCTTTCTTGAGCTAACACCCCTATTCTCTTGTGTTGTGTGCTTTTGAGTAAATTTGTTTGACAAAACTGGAACTCTCATTAAGGGATTTCACATATTTGTGAAATGGGTTCTTTGGATTCCAAGACATTTTTTATATTCTTTGATTCCTTTAAATATTTTATTATTAATGATTTTAAATTATATTTAAATATAAAGGACATATTTTGACACGTGTGTGTGTGTGTATATATATACACACACACACACACATATATATATATATACACACATACACATATTTTTTCCCCACAGAACATATATATATTTCCTCTGTGGAAAGGATATCCTGTTGATACACAAAGGAAGTTATCTTATGATTGGCATTGTTTTTTTCTCATAGGTTTTTCTTTGTAAAATTCCTGTAACATGCTGTGCGTGTCAAGTTTGCCTTGACACTATTTCCCTACCACCCCAATACTGTGTCACTTACTTCAGGCTTTCATTCTTGTTCACTTGTATTATAGCAGTAGACTTTTAGTTTATCTCTCTGATTTCAATATTTTTTCCTATTTCAGTATGTTCTCCAGATATTATCAGTGTTGTCTTTTGGAAAATAGATTAGATCATATCAATCTTCTAAAAGACCTAACGGATCCCTGTTTTCGAAAGTAGTACATTAAACCTAAGGGTCAAGGCTCTTCACATTCTTTTTTCTAGTCTGTCTTTTCAGCTTTATCTCCTACTGCTGTTCTTTTCCCTTCTTCCTGGTGTCTGCCAATCCTTCATTATGGCTATACTACCAAGTATGTGAAAACATGATGTACAGTTGTATGTTTCCATTACTTTATATAGCTGCCCCTCTGTCTCAATTGCTTTTCTTTCTCCTTCCTTTTCTACATAGTTACCCTTCTAGGTCCAGGTTGAATTAATATTTCATCATATGTGAAGCCTTTCTATGAGCTAACACCCTGTTCTTGTCCCTATTGAAATTAGTTCTATTTAGCAAACTTTTATTCTATGTAGTTAGTTCATTTCAGCCATGAAGTAGTCATTACATTGCATTGAAGTTCATTATAAACATATCTGTCTCTCCTGGTGTAAATTATTAACTCTGTGAGGACAGGGGTTACATCTTTTTCACATCATTCAGTTCCTAGAATAGAATTTGAGTTCAGCAGGTTTAAATGATATCATCTGTTATGTTTGCATTCAGAAGGGCATTTATTGAGTGTTTGGTCACTCAGGTCAAGTGTTTGTAGAGCACCTGCTTTGGACTTAATTTTGAGTAAGGTAGGAAAGTACAAAAATGAATATTACTTGATTCCTAACCTTAGGAAACTTTATCTGGTTGTGAAGGCAACATTAACACACCTGAAATAATTTATATGCAACTGTATGAACGTAATTCTGATTTGAGTAGTACTTAGCTAAGTAAATGCTTAGTTCAAAGGCAGATGAGAACAATGGAGAGGAACTTTTCATTGAGAACCCAAATTGAGTCTTGGTAGGTAAGTTTTAGATAGTTGAGGGATGGCACATTTTGGCTAGACTGTTGAAGGGAAGTGCTTTAAATGCTAGGGTAAAGAGTTTATATTTTATCTTGTAAGTAACAGTAAGCAGAATGAAGGAGACGATTTAGGAAATAATCTGGCAGGGGGATGAAAGAGAGATTGAAGAGGGAAATAATTAATGGCAGGGAAATCACTCATGAAATGGTTTCAGTAATCTAGGACTGAGATTATGAGGGCCAGAACTAGGTAGGAATGGAAATGAACAGGTGATATGAAAAACAGATCAGAAGAAAAATTTAGTGACTAGTTGAATATTGATAGTGGAAGAGGGGAAGGATATCAAAGGTGATTCTGAAGTTAAGAATTTGAAGACTGGGAATATTGTTATTCTCCTCTCCAACATGTGGAACCAGTTTCAAGGGAAAAGATGAATGATTCTTTTCAATAAAAGGGTGTTAGAAAATACAGGTAGAATTTTCAACTGACCTTTGTAAATAGGGGACTAGAGATTAAATGACAAGGGAAGTCTAAATTTTTGGAGTTGGGATCATCCTCAGAAGGTATCATTGGAACTGAGATTAGTGCTGCATTTCTTTAAACATTAAGGGAAATTATATCTAATATCTATAATTTTGTGATATAAATTCACAGTGCCCCTACTTTGTGTGATCTTTACAAACATAGTTTGTGACTTATAACCATGTGTTGTATACTACTTAGTAAAGTTCATTTGCACATTTGGCCTTGTTCATGTCACTGATATCAAAAGAATTGTTCACCTGAAGCATTCTGTTATTAGGAAAGCAGTTGATTTCAGAAGTATGTTTTAGAACTTGTTAAGTGTATTCTTCTACTGAATTATTTTCAAACTGAAATGACTTTTTTTTATGTGTGGTAGTTGGAGGAAATGTGGACTGGAAACAGATAGCAAGTATTCAGGAATCCATTGGAGAAACCAGTTCTCAGAGTGTTGTTGTTGCTGTAGATAGGTAAGGTATTCATTTTATTCCCTTTTCAGATGATTACTATTTCAGTTCTTTAGCATTTAGGTGTTGGTAAAAAGAAAAATATTATTGCCAAAATCATTTTTCTAAAGTAATATAAAATTATATTGTGATATGCTGTGATTTAGATGATGAAGTACCTATAATTTTGCTTTTTGGATCATAGAATATAAGAAGATGATAAACAGTATGAAAATTTAAGTTACAATAGATACTAATGGGCATTAAGGAAATGGTAACCTCGATGGAAAAGAATACAAATGTTTTATTTTCTCGTAGAAAACTTATTCCCCTTATTATCCCTATTTGAAAATGTTGTGTAGTTTATTTTTCTGGGTCCACAATATAGACTGCATTATGGATGAAATGAAAGGTTTTATTGGCAATTCCCATTATAAACTTTTTTGGAAAGGACTTCAGAATTTATATATTATACACATCACCACATATTCCCCATTTTTAGTTTGTTTTCTAAAAGAAAACCCATGGTATGCTTTATTTACTACAGAATATTTCCAATTTTAAAATGTCCAGCACATAGAACAATGTCTCCTATTGTTACTTGAAGTTTAGCTTTTTCTAGATAAATGCCCCCAAAAGTGAAACATTTTACAATAATGTTTTTTCTTTTTCTTCCTCCCACCCCCTACTTGTGATGGAAACTTTCAAAAACATAATTTGTACAAATCTTTCCTTGATAGTCTGGAAACTCATGCTGATCCATTATTTTACTTTGCTTCAGATAAAACTTTTTGCTCTAAGTACAGGTAGAACTAGAATGTTCAGTGGCCACTGACCCTGGAAGTACTCCATGGAACTTTTTCCTTGAATTCTTAATGTCTACTTGCTGTTGTTTTTTGTGTTTTGTTTTTTTTTAAGAGGAGAGTCATTTGCCTATTTTTTTGTGAAGACTGAAGAAAGATTATCTCATACCTACTGTATAACAAACATGAAGGCTTGCCACAGATGAGGCACTTGCAAAACGCTTTACATTTAATCCTTTCAGTAGCCTCATGAGATGGGTATTCTTGTCCTCAATTTACAATGAGGAAACTGAGACAGAAAAAGATTAAATAACTTGCTCATTCCCACAACTAGGCTTGTGTAATAAGCATGCATACTTAACCTCTCCACCTTTCAGCCTGCATGTACTACTGCAGAGCTATGTAATAGCCCTTCTGCTACCGGGCTAGCTTTCTTGTCAATGATTTTCTTGCCTTCCAGAAAAATCATCTTCACTGTCATTTTGAGAATCTATTCAGGCATGATTTAACATTTTACCTACTGTTTCTGCTTTTATAATGTACTTTATATGACCACATCCAGTTCTAATTTATCTTCCTATCCACTGTTTGTTACAGAGGGACATGTTACTCATTTGAAATTACCTCTCTGTTTTAAGAATTTATGCTATTTCAGAGGAGATTTAGCATAAATTTTGTTAGTACTGTGTCATCACAATCTTGTCATCGCCAGATACTTCTAAAAACATAAATCCAATATCAAATTTTATACAAAACCTCAGTATTGCAAGTTTTTGCTTATAGTGAAAACACCGAAAGTTATATATTTGATCTCTTATAATGTTGTATTATTCTTAAGTGGTACATTTCACTTTCCCATTAAATGTTTTTTGAATATCTGAGTTTATTTTCATATCGTTATGTTCAAACTTTGGTCCATTACCCAACTCAGTGGTAGTCAAGACAGTAGTGAAAATAGTGTCAGGCATCAATCTGGGGAGTTCTGTACTTACCCAGCAGACAGTCATTTTCCTGTCCTTAGGCCTATTTTTCTGCATAACCTGTTATTACAAGTACAGGAACTAAAGAAAAAAATTTTTGTATGTTTAGTTCTTTATAGCTTCTGGTTTATTAACCAACAGAGAAGAGAATAAGATTTTATTACAGACTTTAAGGTGATAAAATTTTCTAATTATCTACTTTTGTATTAGGAATCTTGTATTATTAGAATATAGGAGAAGAATATTGGGCCCTTCAATCTGGGAATAACTGATCCTCTAGCATTTGCTAGGATAGAATTTTTTATGTGTTGTTAAATTAGACCAATTTCATAATGAATATTACTAAACTATGCAGGAGATAGACTTTATCCATGAATGGTTTATTTTTAATAGCTAAAAAACAATTATTTAGCATCATAGTTTTTCTCTTTATGGTTTTTTTATACATACCAGATCTAGCTATAAACTGGCTCACCTCAGACTTTGGAATATTTCACCTATCAGAAAATACATACAGCTTATCCCAACTTCCTTTGCTCATAAATACTTTTCATTTAGGCCTAAGAAATAAATGTTACCTCTGATATATTCATTGTGAAAAAACCTTTTACAGGTATAATAATATAGGCTGCTTGTGTATTGCATACAGTTTAAAAATTGATTTGATCCAGAATCTGCAAAAGTTTTGCAAACCATTTTTTGTTTTTGCATCTGTATTATAATGTGATTAAGCAGTAATCTTACCAATGTTTTTTTCTAATGCTTTTTAAAAAGCACATGATTTTTAATATTCACAAACAAGGTTCTTGTGCTTCTGTCCTTTGCTTTTCTATGGAAAATGTAGAAACCATTTCATAGGCTGATTTTATGAAACACAGCTCTGTTCTCTTGCCTTAATGTTAAGGCTTGACTTTAAATGCCCCCACAGACTGCTGTGCTCTACCATACGGCTTATCTTTAGTGGAGCATTACTAGAAATAGAGTGACCCCCTCAGAGACTATGGCAGTGAGTAGGAATTGGGATGCCCTTTCTCAGAATGGATGCTCCCCCAACCTTCCACCATCACAACAGTCCACAGGACCTGTCTTATTGCTGATGATAGTTCTCTCTCCTGTTGCCTTTGTTCTCCGTTATGTCAACACCTTCAGAATCTATTGCTTCCCTTCCCTGTGGTTCTATCTCTGCTTTTGTTCTTTCTTTACCCCTCTACTGTTTGCCATTTGCTTTCTTCTCAGTTAAAAACTCTTTTTTTCTTTGTTTTTGTTTGTGTGCCTTTTCTTGTTCTCCTATACTATTTACTTTTGACTGTATTCATGGTGTGGCTTGTTTACAGCCATTGCCTTCCATGAGAATACCTCTAGTTTGAGAAATCAGCTGACCAAATTCGTAGTCTGGCAGTTTTCATTTTTGTTTTGCGAGAGCTCTGTAGACGTTGTATATCTTTAATTTCTGGGTCCAGTCTAATCCCTGGATTAAGAGGGGCCATATTACTTTTGATTTTTCCCTCAGATTGTGTTTTCTGCCAGATTTTGGAATTACTGCTTCATTCTGCTGACGAACGATATAGAAAATCTTAAGACATTTCTTTAGCAGGACTTCACATTCTGAGTCATCATGTTACCCGTTTCTAAACTGTTTTTCCTATATTGTTTTTTACTCATTGTCAGGACACATAGACATGCAAGGACACTAGGGTTAAAAAATCATGATATACTCAGAACATTTAGATTGTGATAGTAGGAAAAAAGGGTTGAATATACCTTTTGCTCAGGTAAGTGTGAGGCAGTATAGAAAAGTGGTTAATAGGATAGACTGTAATCACCCTGTCCTGGTTTGAATCTTGGCTCTAGCACTTACTAGTTCTGTGACTTAGAGGAAGTTATTAAATATCTTTGTGCCTCAGTTTCTGTGTTTATAAAATTGGGGATTTAATAGTACATGCTTCATAAGGAATTTGTGATTATCAAATGAGTGAATATTGATATTACACTAGAAAAGAACCCATCTTGTGATTGGTAGCTATTACTGTTACTGCTATGACTACTGTGACCTGCTCCTGCCTTTAAAGTTTTCCTTTTTATCATGCAAATCCTATTTTGTGCATTCTAAGTTGAGGAATGTCATCCTTCTTGAAAGTGACGTCAAACTCTTGGTTGCAAACCCAGAATATGGGTTAAAATGCAGACTTTAAAAAAGGAGGACTAATGTGTTTATGCTGAAATTTTTTATGAAACTTTGAAACAAAAAAAGAGCTCAGCAAAGAAGAATGGGCAAAGCTGGGCAGTGTTAGCTTAACTCCAAACATTTGAATGCCCTAAGGAAAGTGGTTTGGCCAATTCTTGGGTAAACTGAGACTATTTGCAAGGTTATATTAAGTCACTTTTAGTGTAAATGAACTTTCTAATCAAATATACTTTACTGGTAAAAATACGTCAAATTTTTCATTTTAAGAACTTGCTTAATGCTAGACAATAATCAGGAAAGAATCTGTAGTGTGCCAATTATTAGTTTTACAAATTAATATTTTTCTTATTCTTAGAATCTCATATCTATCCGGGGTTTGTAAATCTGATAAAATTACAGCAGTATATACTTACCCTAATAATAATATTGAATGTAAACTGGTTCACATGGAGTAGAGGTGGAGGGGAGGGAGAAACATCCAGACTACACTTGTTACTAAACTAAATGATGAAAAATACTCATTTGAATACCCAATTTTTTGTTCCCTTAAAACATAAAAATAGCTAGTACCCCATGCCACATACTTTTCAATTGGAATAAGAACAGTAACTTATAAATTTTTTAAATTGTGTTTTATTTTCCCTAGAATATTCACAGGATCTACAAGGCTAGATGGAAATGCCATTGGTAAGTATGGGCATTTATTCTACTTCGGAACTGGCTTGGGGCTAAAATAACTTTAATGTTGAGCTAAAAAAAAAATGTATTTATATTACAGTGGATTTTGTCCGTTGGCTCTGTGCTGTGTCTATGGATGAATTACTTTCCACGACACACCCAAGAATGTTTAGTCTACAAAAAATAGTAGAAATATCATATTACAACATGGGAAGAATAAGATTACAGTGGTCTCGAATTTGGGAAGTTATTGGAGATCATTTTAATAAGGTATTTGAATAACTATGGTGTTTGTTTACATTTGTAGTATATTTTTTGTTTAGAATGTCCTTGTAATCAAATTGAGCCTTTTTCCCTTCCAAGCAATTATTTATTACTTTTTAATATTAAATTAGAAAACCCTGTGAATGGTGTTTTTCTTTTTAGAAATGATTGCTCTGGGCTTTAAGAATTTGATTTAAAATATCTGTTTTTCTTGTTGAGAAATAGTTTTAGCATACTTAATGCCTTTATGGAAAATCTTAGGATTTACCTATCTATGCTATTCTATACTTTTTCTAAAACAAAAAATAAAGAATTGTAGATTTTTACTGCTGATATTAATTAGCATCGTTTATTTCTGTCGCCATTACAGGTTGGGTGTAATCCTAATGAAGATGTAGCTATTTTTGCAGTAGACTCCTTGAGGCAGTTGTCAATGAAGTTCTTAGAGAAAGGGGAGCTTGCTAACTTCAGATTCCAGAAGGATTTCTTAAGACCTTTTGAACATATAATGAAACGGAACAGGTACTATATTTGTTGAATTGCTTAATAGAAGGAAAATCTTGTTGTTTTCCACAGCAGGGAGAAAAACAGAAGAAAGGGGGAAAAACTGATGAGTTTTATCGGTTTGCATATCCAAGCAATTATATTAATATTTTTAGGTCTCCAACAATTCGAGATATGGTTGTACGGTGTATAGCACAGATGGTTAATTCTCAAGCTGCTAACATTCGATCTGGATGGAAGAACATTTTCTCTGTATTTCATCTAGCTGCATCTGATCAAGATGAAAGCATAGTGGAACTTGCATTCCAAACAACCGGGCACATTGTCAGTGAGTATTCTCTTAGCTGTGTTCAAGTAAAAGGAAAAAAAAAAAGCAACCTTAACGTGTTCAGAAGATGATTCAAGTAACAATAAGATTATGGCCTTTAAGTTTACCAAGCTTTGTCTACAGAACCAGAGTAAATAAAAACAATTAAATTACTATTATAGTTAACATTTATTGAGTATTTACCATATGGCAAATACTGTGTGCACTTTTCACGTAATTTCTTTAATCTTCACAGTTAAACATTATTGTCCATCCCTTTTTTCAAAATAGATTAGGAAACTCAGCCCCAGAAAGGTTAAGCAGTCTATGTAAGGTCACAGAACTAGTGATGGAGATGGTCTTGAGACCCATGGAGTATTAAAGCAAAGCCTTTATTTTTGACCAGTAAGTACATTGCACAGCCTTCTTCAAGGAGGAGTCCCCTTAAGTTCAAGGGGGACTGACTGAAATACTAAGATTATAAGTTAAGCCTATATGGAAGATGACAATGATGACCATCAACATCAAGAATCATGGCATCATCATAGCTATCATTTATTGCGTGCTTGCTTAAGTATTACACTAAGCACTTCACTTATATTATTTTACGTAGTGCTTACAGCTATCTGTGTATATTATTATTATTTCCATTTTATATCAAGAAACCGAGATACAGAGAGGTTAAGTAATTTTGTATATTCATTCAACCAAAGTTGAATCAGTACCTACCGTGTACCAGTCACTGTATTAGGTGCTATGTTTATAATGTAAACAAAACAGACAAGTTTTACTATTCTCACCACTCAGGGCAGTCAGTTAAGTGGTAAAGATAGTCTTGAACTTCGTATCTGTTGGATGTCAGAACCTGTAACAACCTTTAAGAGGAAGTGCATTACATCTAGATGTTGGTGTATTTTTGGTACAGCTAAGAATAATTGAAAAATTATAGTAATATATATTTTTCTCTATTTTAGCCCTTGTATTTGAAAAACACTTTCCAGCGACCATTGATTCTTTCCAGGATGCAGTGAAGTGTTTGTCTGAATTTGCGTGCAATGCAGCTTTCCCAGACACAAGTATGGAAGCAATTCGACTTATTCGCCATTGTGCAAAATATGTGTCTGATAGACCTCAGGTATAGCGTCATTTAGTAAACAAAATTTTGCAGAGTATTCTTTCCAATTTGAAATCTTAAGTTTGTTTGGGAATTGAGGGTATATGAAGCATTTATTTTTCAGTAATTTGAAAAATAATCTGAGCAGCCTGATTCCAAGTTAGGATGGTTAGTGATTATAACTAACCATTATTGAAAGTGTCAGGTATTTTTCTGAGTGTTTTTCATTAACTTGTATTAACTTGTTTAATCTTCTAATGGCTTTATGGGGTAGATAGTGTTATAGCCCCATACAGACAAAGAAACTGAGGCACAGAGAAATTTTAAAATGTGCCCATAGTTTCAGGGCTAGTAAAGTAGAACTAGGGTTTGAGCCCCAGCCTGTGTTTCTAACCATTCCCTACAGTGCATCTTGTCTGTCTGTGCTGTGTAATACTGAAGCTGACTGACTATGGATGAGAATAGGCTTAAGCTCTAAAGTAAAAGGTTGAATTGAAAATCTAGCTGCCATATTTAACTTGTATATTTGAATCTATCTTTGTAACTGTCATAAGAGAAAGTGATGTATCGTAGATTTGGTAATAAGATTTTATTCCGTACTACCATGGACCGATCAGGTGCTTGGTACTTTTTAGATACGTCAACTCATTTCACCTTCATACTTCACCAGTGTGGTTAATGTGGCTGTCTGGTATCATAACCATTTAAGTGATAAAAATGGAAACCTGAATTAACCTGGCTAATAATGCAGAAAGCTGGTGACAGTTGAAAGTGAAGCTAACTTTTGGATTCTAGTCCAGAGCTCTTTATAGGCAGTTATGTTTTGCCTATTTCAGTGGCACATATACTAAAATTGTAGGCAGTTATAGTGTCCATTTTTTATAAATTATTTTTTATTAAATTGCTCACTGGTTATTTGTGAAGCATTTAAATTATTTTTTGAGAAGTTAGTATACTGAATGTATGGGTGTTATGTTTTGCCTTTAATAACCCTACCTTTTTTCTTGAAGGCTTTCAAGGAATACACAAGCGATGATATGAACGTAGCACCTGAAGACAGGGTGTGGGTGAGAGGATGGTTCCCAATTCTCTTTGAGTTATCCTGTATCATCAATAGATGCAAATTAGATGTAAGAACCAGGTAACAATCTATATTTGTAATTAAAATTTTGGATTTATTTTGACTTTAATCAAATTAACTCTTCTTTATAAACACAATCTCACAGTTAAAGACCATAAAATCAAGTGTTTTGTCAAATATATTAATTATTAGGTATATTTTAAAATATGTTAATATGATTTAAAAATATTAACTAGAGCAAAATAAAAATGGAAATACTACATTATTTTTAAAATATTTGATTATAGCCTCCATTTGATTTTAGCTTCTAAGTTAATTTAATCCTTTAAACATTCCGTCTTTTCATATATTTGTTTCCAATAATAAGTTGAAGTTAGTGGCAAAATTTATTTTATTTCCTGATGAATGATAGAAGAATTTTTAACTGCACATCCTTGCTGGGTTTTAGGTGAAGAACCATTTCTTTTTGTAACCTGGTCAGTAACATAGTTTGGAATAATATAGAGCTATTCAAATAGAACTCTTTCAAAAGTATATTGCCAATAAAAGATCATTATGAACATATAGTCAATCTGTAAAGGAACTATTATGGGTATTATGTAACTGGCCAAATGCTAACACACTGTTCTTAGGTCACGGCTCACATGATTCCCATAGTAGTTTTTTTACCCTGTACTTTGCCACATTGAAATGGCCAGCTTGTGTGTCCTAATATCTGTCAACCTCTAAACCCACCGTGAGTTCAATTTTATGGTAAACAAAATCTTTTAGGAATCTTTCCATCTTATTTGGAAGAATCTTCTGTTATTTGGATGTGTAACTTTATCGAATTTTTTGAATTTCTAAAGGTAGCACAGAATGAATCTCTCTTTTCTCACCTTATGCCAGAACCACCCCCATCCCCCACCAAGGTTAAATTTGACTTATATCCCAAGAAATTTTTCATTTTTATAGTATTATTTGTTACAACAGAAATTCGTATGAAATAGATAATCAAAATAGGACTTAACCCTTAGGGATTTTAATTATGAGAGCACTATAGAAAAACATTTTATTTTATATTTAGACATGGTGGATTGTTTATCAGTGGACCTGTTAGGAACTTGTTAAAATTCAAGATAGCCCCATTTCAGCTGTCCACCTGCCTCAGTGGAGCGGCTGACATATCATGACTAGCAGGTCATGAAAACTCAGCACCCTCTCCCCTCACCCTTTATTTATTTGTAGAAGTCTGTTTGATGGAGGATCCACCTGCTTTCTTAGCCTTCTGTTGCTTGGCACTGTGATACCTTATTTCTCACCATATTCCATGTTCAGATTATGGGTAGATTCCAGTTGTTAAAGAGGTTGTGTGTGTTCTAGTTAGTAAAGGAGAGAGAAAAGATCAGTAAACTTTGTTCAGTGATGGCCTTTGATTTTCCTACCTCATCCCAGGATATGTATGGGTTGCTATTTAGCTTCCATCTTAAAATGTGGGCCGGATGCCATGGCTCACATCTGTAATCCCAGCACTTTGGGATGTCAAGGTGGGAGGATTGTTTGAAACCAACCTAGGCAACATAGTGAGACCCCATCTCTTTGAACAAAAAGTTAACTAGGCATGGTGGTCATGCCTCTAGTTCCTGCTGCTCATGAGGCTGAGGCGGGATTGCCTAAGCACAGGAGGTTGGGGCTATGGTGAGCCCTGATCACACCACTGTACTCCAGCCTAGGCAACAAATTGAGACTCTCTGTCTTTAACAACAACAAATAGTGCAGCACTATAATTGGTATAACACTGTGTAGAAAGAATTTCTTGTGTGCATTCTTACTTAATTCTTCCAAAATTCTCTAGATTTGGGGATAAATACCGAAAATTAAAGTCCCAAATATAGTCAGGCATCATTTAATGACAGGAGTATGTTCTCTGCAATGCATTAGTAGGCAATTTCAGCATTGTGTGAACATCATAGCATGTACTTACACAAATCTAGATGGCATAGCCTATTGCTCCTTGGGTACAACCTGCACAGCATGTTACTGTACTGTAGGCAGCTGTTAATACGGTGGTGTTTGTGTATCTAAACATATCTAAACAGGCTGGGTGCAGTGGCTCACGCCTGTAATCTCAGCATTTTGGGAGGCCAAGGTGGGCAGATCACCTGATGTCAGGAGTTTGAGACCAGCCTGGCCAACCTGGTGAAACCCCATCTCTACTAAAAATACAAAAATTTGGCCAGGCATGGTGGCCATACCTATAATCCCAGCACTTTGGGAGGCCCAGGTGGGCGGATCATCTGAGGTCAGGAGTTCAAGACCATCCTGGACAACGTGGTGAAACCCCTTCTCTACTAAAAATACAAAAATTAGCGAGGCGTGGTGGTGCGCACCTGTAATCGCAGCTACTTAGGAGGCTGAGGCAGGAGAATCGCTTGAACCTGGGAGGTAGAGGTTGCAGTGAGCTGAGAGTGCCACTCTACTCCAGCCCAGGCAACAGAGTGAGACTCTGTCTCAAAATAAAAATAAAAATTAAAAAATACAAATACAAAAATTAGCCGGGTGTGGTGGTGCACACCTGTAATCCCAGCTACTTGGGAAGGTGAGGCATGAGAATTGTTTGAACCCAGGAGGCGGAGGTTGCAGTGAGCCAAGATGGCACCACTGCACTCCAGCCAGGGTGACAGTATAAGACTCTGTCTCAAAAAAAAAAAAAATACATACATACATACATACATACATACATACATACATACATATACATATATATATATGTGTGTGTATATATATATATATATATATATGTGTATATATATATATATGCATGGAAAAGGTACAGTAAAAACATGGCATAAAAGATAAAACCTGTAGGCTGGGCATGCATGGTGGCTCACGCCTGTAATCCCAGCACTTTGGGAGGCCAAGGTGGGCGGATCACGAGGAAAGGAGATCGAGACCATCCTGGCTAACACAGTGAAACCCCGTCTCTACTAAAAATACCAAAAATTAGCCGGGCGTGGTGGTGGGCACCTGTAGTCCCAGCTACTTGGGAGGCTGAGGCAGGAAAATGGCTTGAACCTGGGAGGTGGAGCTTGCAGTGAGCAGAGATCATGCCACTGCACTCCAGCCTGGGCGACAGAGCAAGACTCCATCTCAAAAAAAAAAGAAAGAAAAAAAAAAGCAACAACAAAAACCCATATAGGGCACTTACCATGACTGGAACTCGCCGGACTGGAAATTGTTCTGGGTGACTCAGTGAGTGAGTGGTGAGTGAATGCAAAGGCAAACACTGTAAACTTAGGCTACTTTAAATTTATGAGAAGATATTTTTCTGCAGTAAAAAATTAACCATAGCCTACTGTAACTTTTTTGCTTTATAATTTTTAAAATTTTAAAAAACTTGACTCTTATATTAACACTTAGCTTAAAACACATTGTACAGCTATATAAAAGTATTTTCTTTATATCCTTATTCTATAAGCTTTTTTCTATTTCTATTTTTATTTTTTACTTTTTAGACTTTTTTGTTAAAAACTAAGACATAGACACACACATTAACCTAGGCCTACACAGGGTCAGGATCATCAGTGTCACTGTCTTCCATCCCCACATCTTACGCCATTGGAAGGTCTTCAGGGGGAAGTAACACATATGGAGCTGTCATCTCCTATGATAACAATGACTTCTTCCTGAATACCTACTGAAGGACCTGCTTGAGGCTGTTTTCCAATTAACTTTTTAAAAATTTGTAAGTATAAGGAGTACACTAGCAAATAATGATGAGAGGTGCAGTATAGTAAATACATTAATTGTTAACATAATTGTTTATCATTATACGACTGGCAGTGCAGTAGGTTTGTTTACACCAGTATCACCATAAACATGTGAGTAAAGTGTTGCCCTACAATCAGTGAAAGCCTCAACTACAATGTCACAAGACAATTGGAACTTTATAGCTCTATTATAATCTTAGGGGACCACTGTCTTATATGCAGTTCATTGTTGACTGAAATGTCCTTACGTGGCACATGACTGTATTATTTTTCCCTATACCAACTACTTAAGTATGGCTTTAAAAAAAAAAAAAAAGAAAAGGAAAAAAAGACATTTTCCACAGTAAAAATCCTTGGAAACGATTGATCTTTGTGTTTACTTTGGGCCCTGGAAAAAACAGGATTGCCCATATCCACTTACTCCCAGCCATGAGAGGCAGCATCCAGTTACTTGGAGTGGAAGGGAATAGATACGGAGCTCAGCAGATGGAGGACGAGGGAGCCTTGTTCCATTGCAAGGAGGGAACTATGGGTTTAGCATCAGTGGTGGAACTCTGACAGGCGTCTCCTGTGGAAGACTTTCTTTCCCGGGAGTTTCTTTACTATGGTTTCTTTACCACTGCTAGTATTACACATTAGGTATCTTAGGGATCAAATAGACCAATGTGGACTTACTGTTGGCCTGAAGTATTGTAATGTTATTTTACCCAATCCTTTAACAAAATCTTGTTGAGAACCTACTGTGTATGAGCCATCTACTACGTTTGGGGATAGCATAGCAGCAAATGAGTTGAGCTCTGTTCCAGTCCTTATGAGAGCCTTTCAAAGAAAATTTTGTTCTGTTTTACTCTCAAACTTTTGGAAATATAAGCCATTTCTAAACTGGAGGATGCCTGTATTTTCCCAGAAAAAGCAACAAATAGAGAAAAGATTAAAAGTGTCTAATGGTTACATAAAAGTATTATTTCAAGAAACAGTAAGGAATGAAGACGGAAGTTTTGAGTTTCAGTTTTAACACTTACTCAAAAGCTAGTCCATCTGATACTAAGCAATTTATTCAGCAAATATTTATTGCTTGCCTCCCAGGCAATAAGCACTGCTGTGTGCCTGGGATATAGCAAGAAATAAACACAGACCCCTCCCCTCATGGAGCTTATGCCTTAGTGGCTTTTTTTTGTAAATCCTTTTGTTTAGGGATGTTGCATGAATAAGGCTTCTAGTATTGGGTAAAAATCCCCATTTGAAAAAGATTTTCCAAAATCTAACTTTTGTTTTGTTCTTAGACTGCTGTATATGTATTTTCTTTTTTGGCTACAGTGCCACAAAATTAATATTCACTCAAACGGTTATCCTTTTCAATTTGTAATTCCATTTACAGTTTTTTAAATGCTGCATTGGTGAGGTAAGAGTAAAGGAAAAGTAAAATAAAAAAGTTTACAGCCAAGACCTTTGGAGATTTTTTTTCCCGAATGATGTATCCTAAAGGAACCTGTTGTTCTTACAACTTAAATTTTTTAAAACCCAGTGTCATGTGTTAATTTCAGACTAGTTTTAAGCTTTCTGTTTTTAACTGCTTTGTGAACTCTAAAAACTATTTTAGGAGAAGTATGCTTTTTTGTATTACAGCTTTCTAATTGTGTTTTGTCATTTTAGGGGTTTAACAGTAATGTTTGAAATAATGAAAACATATGGCCACACTTATGAGAAACACTGGTGGCAGGATTTATTTAGAATTGTTTTCAGAATCTTTGACAATATGAAATTGCCAGAACAACAGACAGAGGTAAGAGGATACACAATTTTCATTTAGCTTAGTCAAGTTAAAAGATTCTCAGTATTATAATCAATACATTTTA
Source organism: Homo sapiens (assembly GCF_000001405.40). NCBI lineage: Eukaryota > Metazoa > Chordata > Mammalia > Primates > Hominidae > Homo > Homo sapiens. The sequence continues at coordinate 67,219,357 of NC_000008.11, read as the reverse complement.
GTGTTTCAAATTAAGTACAGAAAAGAATTCCTAGAAAATTTTTCTTTAAGGCATGAGAATGTAATACTATGTCTTTATAAATAAGAACACTGGCTGGGCGCAGTGGCTCACGCCTGTAATCCCAGCACTTTGGGAGGCCAAGGCGGGTGGATCATCTCAGGTCAGGGGTTTGAGACCAGCCTGGCCAACATGGTGAAACCCCATCTCTACTAAAAATACAAAAATTATCCGGGTGTGGTGGCAGGTACCTGTAGTCCCAGCTACTTGGGAGGCTGAGGCAGGAGAATTGTTTGAACCCGGGAGGTGGAGGTTGCTGTGAGCTGAGATCGCGCCACTGCACTGCAGCCTGGGCGACGAGCAAAACTCCATCTCAAAAAAAAAGAACACTGTGTGGGGGATAGAACTGAATTGATGAATTGATTTTTTTGTTCTGTTTTGTTTTCAGTGTTTTTCTGACTTTTTCGTTTCTTTTCCTCATTTTGATAGTTACAACTATAAAACATCAGTAACTTTCTTTAGTATTATATAGTGACTTCTTTTTTATATTGAGTAAAGAATACAAAGTAAATTTTATTTATTTCAACATATTTTACTATGAACCAGTTACAATATACATTTTAGGAAATGTGTCAAGAGAGCTTCATATTTTCCCCTTTTGTTCCATACAGCAGTATTAAATGCAGACTTCTGCAATTATTTTTTATGGGCTTGAAAAAAATAAATTACACTTACGTTGTATAGCCCTTTTTTTATGGTGTTTTCAGATAACCATACTTCAGGAAAGTCATTTTTATTTTAAACCTATGCTAATCCCATTTGGACAAATTCTTACCTCTTTATTTCCCTTTCATGTTCTGTCATATTCTAGAGCAAGGCCGGCGTTGCTATTCATGCACTTCGAAAAATCATAATGTTAGTATCAAGATGATACGGTGATGGTTTTTTTTAATAATCAAAACAAGCAGTGCCAAAAATGGTTAAATTATTGTATACATAGGTGGTTATGGGATAATAAGGAGCAATAGATATCAGATTTTAAGTTGAGGTGAATATAACGTTCTAGAGGGAATTCAGGGGTCTAAAAGGAACACTGACAGCCTTCCATTTTTAATATGAAAACATTTATATATATATATATATATATATATATTTTTTTTTTTTTTTTTAATCATAGTAGTTGATTAATGGCGTGATGTTCATTAATGACTTTTTTCCCCAGAAAGCTGAATGGATGACAACAACTTGCAATCATGCACTTTATGCAATCTGTGATGTATTCACTCAGTATTTAGAAGTACTCAGTGATGTACTTTTGGATGACATTTTTGCTCAGCTCTACTGGTGTGTGCAGCAAGGTAGGTCTGTACCAGATATGTGACACAAAGTGTTAAATGTGACCCTGGTAATATATAAATGAATTGCTCTTTTCTTTCCTAGACAATGAGCAGTTAGCGCGATCTGGTACAAACTGTTTAGAGAATGTTGTTATTCTGAATGGTGAAAAATTTACCCTAGAAATCTGGGATAAAACTTGCAACTGCACACTGGATATCTTCAAAACCACAATCCCACATGCGTAAGAAGATTTTATACAACTTTACATTTATATTTGTATATTGAATGAGTTGGAGAGTGACTAGTGATTAAAAGTTTGATAGTGACTACTGATTTCTCATAACAGAAATCCTTTTAAGCTTGTCTTACTCTTACATGGATTTAGATTTATTACAAACCAAACTGCTATAAACTATAACAAATACATAAATTAAACTATTTATAAACCAAAACCTTTAGTCTGGTTACCAAAATTTGGGACATAATGAAGTGATTCTGCTGACTTTTATAAGATTTTATTTATTCAGATCAAACCAAGCAGTGGTTTTGAATTGGAAAAAAAAAAATCTCAGCCTGTTTCTGTTACTGATCTTTTAATAATCTAAGGAAAATGTATTTACACATACTATATTTCGTATTTCGTAACAGCTTGTCATCTTTCTCTAAGGGATGAGTGTGAAATGGAATTATAGTGAGGTAGGTTTTTTTTTTTTTTTTTGAGATGGAGTTTCGTTCATGTTTACCAGGCTGGAGTGCATTGGCGCAATCTCGGCTCACCACAACCTCCGCCTCTTGGGTTCAAGTGATTATCCTGCCTTAGCCTCCCAAGTAGCTAGGATTACAGGCATGCACCACCATGCCTGGCTAATTTTGTATTTTTAGTTGAGATGGGGTTTCTCCACGTTGGTCAGGCTGGTCTCAAACTCCCAACCTCGGGTGATCCGCCCACCTTGGCCTCCCAAAGTGCTGGGATTACAGGCGTGAGCCACCGCGCCTGGCCAATTTTATGATTTTTTTTTTTTTTTGAGAAGCCTCTTACTTTGGAAAATATTTGATATTAATACTTAGGGAAAGGAGGTCTGAAATCTTTAAAACTTATCAGAAAGTGTTCTTTTAATGCAAAACTGGTGACCATATTACCCTTTTAATTATATTAAATGCCACTTAATTTTTTTCTAAAAGTACATATTTTAAACTTTTTACTAGATGTTTTTTAGGAAATTGCTAAAATTAGCAGTGGTCAAAGATGGACTGTTTAGTTGGTATGTTCTTGTTACTTTCTTGGGCCCATTTCAAAATATGCTGGATGTGGCATGTGGCACAGCCCCCTAGTGATTGACGTGGTTTTGGTATCTTAAAGGCTGTTGACCTGGCGACCCAATTCTGGAGAAACTGCCCCCCCACCTCCATCTCCTGTAAGTGAAAAGCCATTGGTAAGTTTTAATCAGTAAAGTATATTGAAATTAGTTATTTGTGATGAGTAATTTTATTATGGGTCAAATTCTTACATGTAATTGTCTTAATCCATTCCTGCTATTAAAAAAATATCTGAGACTGGATTACTTATAAATAGACATTTTTTTTTTACAATTACGAAGGCTGGGAATTGTATGATCAAGTGTCTGGTGAGAGCTGCTCTCTGCTTCCAAGATGGCACCACGTTGCTGCATTCTCACGTGGTGGAAGGAGGAGGGACAGAAAGGGGCCTAGCTAGTTCCCTCCAGTCCTTTTTTAAGGCACTAATTCTCATGGCCTACTCACCTCCTAAAATCTCTACCTCTTGATACTGTTGCATTGGGGATTAAGTTTTATTATGAATTTAGGAGGGAATGCAAACATTCATATCATTGCAATGCGTTTGACTCTTTTAAGAAGATGGTATAAATTTACTGTCCAGAATTGTGAAGTTAATTCTTTGGTCAATGTCACAGACAATTAATATGTGTCTTTGTTAAGTGCCATGAAGGGAGTATTTTAAATTATTTTTAAATATAGGACATAGAACAAAATGATTTTTTAAGGGTTGTGAGAGAAAGGTACCAGATTACGTAGCTGTCTCCATGCAAAGCTGAAGATATTGTTGGATAGTATTTAAACTTTTTATTTTTATATAATTTCACCTTATAGAAAAGTAACACAAAACAGTACAAAGAATTCTAACATTCACTTCACCCAGTGTATTGGTTTCCTAGTTCTACCATAAAAAATTACCACAAACTTGGTGGCTTAAAACTATAGAAACCTACTATCTCATGGTTCTAAAGACCATGGGTCCTAAATCAAGGAGTTAGCAGGGCCACATTCCCTCCAAAGGCTCTAAGGGAGAATCCTTACTAGCTTCGTCCAGCTTCTGGCGGCTGTTGACAACCTTTGGCATTATTTGGCTTGTTCACATATCACTCCAATCTCTGCCACCATCTATCCATAGTCTCCCTCACTGTGTGTGAATTAAATCTCTCCCTCTCCTTTTTGTTTTATGAAGACATTAGTCATTGGATTTAGGGTTTACCTGAAATCCAGGATGATCTCATCTCAAGATCGTTAATTACATCTGAAAAGACCTTATTTCCAAGTAAGGTAACATTTGCAGGTATCAGGGGTCAGGACTTGAACATACTTTTTAGGGGACAATATTCATGCCACTATGGTCTACCCACTGACACCTAAAAATTCATGTCCATCCCATCGGCAAAAGATGGTCACCCCATTCTAAGGTCCCCAAAAGTCTAAACTCATTACAGCATCAACACTATGTCCAAAATCCCTTATAAATATAATCAAAAGTCCCTAATCTGATCATCCGCATCTGCATTAAGGATGGATGACACTCTTGAGTATGCTCTATTCTGGGGCAGAATTCGTCTCCATCTGTGGACCTGTGAACCTAGAAAACAGGTTTGTAACTTTTAAAATACAGTAGTGGGACAAGCATAAGATATACGATCTCATTGCAAAAAGGAGAAATTGGAAGGAACAAAGGATCACCAGTCCTAAGCAAGGTTGAAACTTAGCAGGGACAATTCCGTTGAGTTTTAAGGCCTGAGAATAATGCTGTGTGGCTTGATATTCTGCCCTCTGGGGCTATGGCTGGCTTCTTCGGGCCTGAGCCCTACACTCTCAGTTGTTCTTCTTTTTCTTAAAGGTTAGCACGTTTGTAGCTCTGTTGACCCATTTTCTGCCTGTAGAATCCTAGAATTCAGCCTCCCTTCCTCTTATTGTTTCTGTCCCTTTCATTCTAGGCTGGCCATATGTCTGCTGGTATATCATTCTCAAAATCCTTGTGGGTCTTCTGTATGTGTTAAGAGAAACCATGCCATTAAACAAGAGTGTGATCCACACATCTTTCTGGATAGTCCTGTTATGTTCCTGGCTTCTGCTGAGATGATCGATTGGCTCCACTAGATATATACCTAATCTCTTTGGCAAAAAGTTGTCCAGCTATTATAGCCTTGGCCTTCTCTCCAAAGCATGCTTTCCTAACAATTCATTTCCTAATTGTAGCATCGTTTTCAATCTCGATAGGCACAAGATCCTCTCACATCATCAACTGGCAGTTTCTTTTTGCTTAACAGTTCTTTCATCAATATATCTTCTTCTTGCATTGTACTATAAACAGCAAGGATAAACCAGGCCACACCTTCAGCACTTTGCTTGGAAATCTCAACTACATATCATCACTTAGAATTCTGCTTTCCACCCAACAATTCAGCCAAGCTTTCTGCCACTTTACAACAAGGATCACCTATCAGTATCTAATATCATGTTCTTGATTTCCTTCTAAGACCTCACCAGAAGCACCTTTTAACATTCATATTTGTACCAATAATCTGTTTCATGGCCATACATGTCTTCTCTAAGATGGTAGATGCTTTCTCTCACACATTGCACTTCCTTGTGGATCCTCACCAGAACTACATTTGACATCCATATTTCTACCAACAGTCTCTTCAGGGCAATGTAGGTGTTTCCCTATCATGTGTCTCAGAACTCTTCCAGCTTCTACCATTGCCCAGTTCCAAAGCCACTTCTACATTTTTAGGTGTTTGTTACAGCCACATTCCATTTCATGGTATCAAAATCTTTATCAGGGCCAGCAAAACAAAACCAGCAGGAGAGATTTGTATAGATAGATTTAAGGAACTGGCTTACGTGATTGTGGAGGCTGGCAGGTTTGAAATTTTGTAGGGCAGGCAGGCAGGCTGGAAAGCCTTGGGCTGCTGCTGAAGCTGCAGTTCACAGGCGGGATTTCTTCCCCAGGAAAACCTGTTTTGCTCAGTTTTGAAGGCTTTCAACTGATTGGATAAGGACCATCTAGATTATTGAAGATAATTTCCTTAAAAAGTGAGCTGACTATAGATGTTAACCACATGTATAAAATACCTTCAGCTGAACACCTGGAATAGTGTTTAATTGAATTAATTGTTACTCCTTCGACTTAAGTATCTGGCTTAAGTACATAGGATATTGGTATTGTGTCCTAGCCAAATTGACACAAAAGTAATCATTACACCAGGTTTCTCCAAATGTTGTCATTTTACATTTGTTTTTACCAACCCCAGCTGTCCTCCCTCTTTTTATCTTGCTACCCTGCCTCCCAGACACACAATTTTCTGAATTCTTTGGAAGTAATTTGTAAACACAATGCCCACTTATCCCTAACAATCAAAAAATTATCCTTGAAACAATACTCTTATTTAATCTACAGGTCTTTTCAAATTTGTACTGTTCTCCCAATAATACCTTTGAATTTTAAAGCCAGGAGGCTGTAAAGTAGCAAACTAACGCCAACTGACCAGATTTGTTCCCCACAACTTTTAACTTTCTTAACAAATTGTCAACGGTTAAAACTTAGATTTCACAGAAAAGTATCATTCTGAATTGCCCTTGAGAACTGTGACATCTATGCTGGGCCCGTGTTGCTCCATGACTCTGTTGTGCTGACGTCCATTCAGAATAGAACCCACTATTACTTAGGACATCCCAAAAATTATCCTCATTTACATTGGTTAGTGAGAAAAATTGAGAAAACAATATACCTAACATCCAAAAATTCCTCTAATACAGAGCAAGGTTTTTAAATCCCTAATTTTTTGACCTAGTTTTTGTGTAGGTTTAGTTTTCTGGAGAGAACATTTTAGAAATCATCAGACTGTTCAAGAGGGCCCGTGACCAAAAATATTTAAAAACCAGTGCTTTCATTTATCTTCAGTAAGATAATACATTTTTAATTCTGAGAACTGAGTAATTTCTTCCTTAAAATACACTTAAGTCCAAGCTAACGTATTGTTTTGATTATTACTATTTCTGGTAACACAGGCCCATCTTCCTTTCACACAGCAGGTAAGGTTGCTCAGGCTGGGACTGTTACGTCAGAATAACAAAAGCTAAGCACTCCTCCTGAAACCAGGTTCTCTCATGTCTTGAGTGTGCTGTGCCTTTATAATGAAAGAAAGCTCGAGGAGGAGTAGGGTCAGCTGCCATTTATTGCCCAACACTGTGCTGCTAGTGTTTTGGATTTATTATATCTAGTTCTTAACAACCTGCAAGGAAAGTATATCATTTCTTTTTAGATCAGAAAACCTCACCTCAGGAAATTAATCATTTTTCCAAGGTTACACTCTTAATAATACTGGAACCTGTGGCTGGGCGTGGTGGCTCACGCCTGTAATCCCAGCACTTTGGGAGGCCGAGGCAGGCAGATCACCTGAGGTCGGGAGTTGGAGACCAGCATGACCAACACGGTGAAAACCCCCTCTCTACTAAAAATACAAAATGAGCCGGGCATGGTGGTGCATGCCTATAATCCCAGCTGCTGGGGAGGCTGAGGCAGGAGAATCGCTTGAACCCAGGAGGTAGAGGTCACGGTGAGCCGAGATCGCGCCATTGCACTCCAGCCTGGGCAACAAGAGCAAAACTCCATCTCAAAAAAGTAAATAAATAAATAATACTGGAGCCTAATTCTTGTGTAGGTCTGTTGGACTCCAGGGTCCAGCATCTCTTCATGATACGACACTCCTAGATAGTCACCTTCACATTGACCTTTCTAGTCCCTGGGTCCATGGGTGACAGAAGATCCTTTTCTAAATTCACCCCTGCAAAAGGTGTCTGTTTAGATTTCATGAACACTTGTGGGTATTGCTGACCAGTTTCTCTACACTTTGAAGTTTCGCATTTTTATCTGTTGCTGTTGGATGGTTTCAGACCTGAGCCCAGTGAGGGTCAGAAAGTCAACTTTTCTCTATGTACAGGTAATTTTAAATAATTTTCTGATTGTGTTATAACTGTAATGTGTAAAACATCATTTTCATAGGGACATAATATAATTTTTTAAAATAGCGTTTTAGAAAATATTTTCACCCATAAACTTTATTAACCATACTTACAGTGATTTTTTTTTTATTTATTAGGATACAATATCACAGAAGTCTGTAGATATTCATGATTCTATTCAACCAAGGTCTGTGGATAACAGACCACAAGCACCACTGGTTTCTGCGTCTGCTGTTAATGAAGAAGTCAGCAAAATTAAATCTACAGCAAGTGAGTTATTTCTCTAAATAAAAATAAATTTGTGTTTTATGTAGGAAAGGGTTAACATTTTTGGTTTTACTTTTATTATTAACAAGCATATACTATAATTGATTGTGTCATCACTTCTTTTTTTTTTTTTTTTTTTTGAGACGGAGTTTCACTCTGTCGCCCAGTCTGGAGTACAGTGGCACGCCATCGTAGCTCACTGCAACCTCCGCCTCCCGGGTTCAAGCAATTCTTCTGCCTCAGCCTCCCGGGTAGCTGGGACTACAAGTGTGTACCACCATGCCCGGCTAATTTTTGTATTTTTAGTCGAGACGGGGTTTCACCATATTGGCCAGGCTGGTCTTGAACTCCTGACCTTGTGATCTGCCCGCCTCAGCCTCCCAAAGTGCTGGGATTACAGTGTGAGCCACTATGCCCGGCCACTTTTGTTTTTTTTTTTTTTGAGACGGAGTCTCACCCTGTCGCCTACGCTGGAGTGCAGTGATGCTCACTGCAACCTCCACCTCCCAGGTTCAAATGATTCTCCTGCCTCAGCCTCCCGAGTAGCTGGGATTACAGGTGCCCACCATCACCTCCAGCTGATTTTTGTAGTTTTAGTAGAGACAGGGTTTCACCATGTTGGCCAGGCTGGTCTCAAACTCCTGACCTTATGATCCGCCCGCCTCAGCCTCCCAAAGTGCTGGGATTACAGGCGTGAGCCACTGCGCCTGGCCATGTCATCACTTCTTTACTGTGTTTATCCTAATTTGGACATCCTCTGGTAGATAGATGCCCTCTTGCAGAAGGTCAAGAACTCTGCTGATCCTGAAATGTCAGCTTTTTCCGCCAACGAGCACCTGAGTCTTCTTTCTCCACCCCCTTCTGCATGCCAACCAACCCCATGTTCTGTCTGCAAAAGTAGGGCCTAGCATGCCTTCCTCTACCCATCTGCAACGGGAAGTAGTGAAGGACCGTTGCTTTCTAAGCAGGAGCACCCCACTTGTTTTTGTTGTTGTTTTTGGTTTTGGTTTTTTTTGAGACAGAGTCTCACTCTGTCACCCAGGCTGGAGTGTGATCTCGGCTCACTGCAGCCTCAACCTCCAGGCTCAAGCGATCTTCCCACCTTAGCCTCCCGAGTAGCTGGGACTACAGGCACACCTCATCACGCCCAGCTAATTTTTTATATTTTTTTGTAGGGACAGGGTTTTGCCATGTTGCCCAGGCTGATCTTGAACTCCTGAGCTCAGGCCATCCACCCACCTCAGCTTCCCAACATGCTTGGATTACAGGCTTGTGCCACGACGTCTGTCCAGGAGCACCCTATTGTTTTTCTTTTTTTTTTTTTTTTTTTTGAGACGGAGTCTTGCTCTGTCACCCAGGCTGGAGTATAGTGGTGTGATCTTGGCTCACGGCAAGCTCCACCTCCCGGGTTCACGCCATTCTCCTGCCTCAGCCTCCCGAGTAGCTGGGACTACAGGTGCCTGCCACCATACCCAATTAATTTTTTTTTTATTCTTTAGTAGAGACCGGGTTTCACCACGGTAGTCAGGGTGGTCTCGATCTCCTGACCTCGTGATCCACCCGGCTTGGCCTCCCAAAGTGCTGGGATTACAGGCATGAGCCACCGTGCCCGGCAGGAGCACCCTACTTTTTAAGGAGCAACCCTTTTCTCCACACTGCACCCCAACCTTAGTCGGCCTGTGCCCATTTCCCTCACTGCTGCCCACACCCCTGTCTCCATACAGGGATCCACAGGTCACCTGTATTCCTCCCCTCACCTTTTCACAAAAAAGAGGAACCCTTTACTTTTTTACTGGATCAATTCAGTTCCATTTGCTGAAGGAAAATTACAACACCTAGAAAAGACCACAGCCTCCTTAGAGGAGAACAGGACAGCTTTGAGAACTTTTTAAAACCTGAGGTGAAATTTACATAACAGAAATAACAATATGCAAGTGAATAATAATTCAGTGGCATTTAGTACATTCACAGCCACCACCTCTATCTAGATCCAAAGCATTTTCATCACTCCTAAAGGGAGCCCCCCAGCCCCATAACTGTTATACAGCCACTTCTTCTTCTCCTCTTCCCCAGCCCCTGGCAGCCACTAATTAGCTGTGTTTGTGAATTGCCTATTCTGCATATTTCATATAAATGGAATCATACAAAATACAACCTTTTGTGTCTGTCTTCTCTCACAGTGTTTTCAAGACGCATCATGTTGTAGCATAATCAGTAATTCATTCCTTTTTATTACTAATAGTCCACTGAATGTATAGACCACATTTTGTTTATCCATTTGTCTGATGATGGACGTTTGTATTTGTTTCACCTGTAGTTGTCATGAATAGTTCTGCTACAAACTGTTGTGTACAAATATCATTTGAATACCTGTTTTCAGTTCTTTTGCATTATCTACCTAGGAGTGGAATTGCTAGCTCATAGGGTAATTCTATGTTTAACTTCTTGAGGAACCACCAAGCAATTTTCTATAGCCAGTGGCTGCACCATTTTACATTCCCACCAGCAATTCCAGTTTTTCCACATCTTTGCCAGCGCCTTTTTTGTTGTTGTTAAATGATAACCATTCTAGTGGGTGAGAAGTTTACCTCATTGTGGTTTTGACTGGCACTTCCATAATGATTAGTGTTGTTAACCATCTTTTCATATGCTTGTTGACCATTTGTATATCTTATTTGGAGAAATTTGTGTTCATGTCCTTTGCCTGTTTTTAAATTTTGATGAAGTCCAATTTTTCTGTTTCCTTTTGTTAGTCATGCCTTTGGTGTCATTGTCAAAATCCAAGGTCATGAGCATTTCCCCCAATGTTGTCTTCTATGAAGTGTTTTTTTTGTTGGTTTTTTTTTTTTTTTTTTTGAGATGGAGTCTCACTCTGTCGCTCAGGCTGGAGTGCAGTGGTGTGATCTCGGCTCACTGCAACTTCCACCTCCTGGGTTCAAGCGATTCTCCTGCCTCAGCCTCCTGAGTGGCTGGGATTACAGGCACATGCCACTACACCTGGCTAATTTTTGGATTTTTAGTAGAGATGGGGTTTCGCCATGTTGGCCAGGCTCGTCTCAAACTCTGGGCCTCAAGTGATCCACCTGCCTGGCCTCCCAAAGTGCTGGGATTAAAGGCGTGAGCCACTGTGCCTGGCCTATGAAGTTTTATTCTTCTAGCTCTTTGATTTAGGTCGTTGATCCATTTTGATTTAATTTTTTTCAGGGAATTTTTTAATCCTAGATGCTTACAGTTCTTCATATCCTACTTGAAAGGACCTTCTATCTTCAGTCACTGTATTTTGCTAATTTCTTAAAGAGGAAATAGGTGGTAGTGAGTGGCCGAGTTTCATTTTTCATTTCTGTTCTCCAAAGAACAGAATGGTTCATGTAGGAATCCTTTGCAGCTTCAGTCTGCACCAAGAAAGGCCAAGAGGAAAGAATAGCGAGTGGCTTTTCTCACTCTCAGCCTCAAGACTGAATTTAAACACACTTAGCTTTGTGAGGGCAGGACTTGGTCTTCACATAGTGGAAAGTGTGCACTTGGCTACTTTTTCCTGGGGCAAGGGCTCTGCTTTCCTGCCACTGTGAGCTGTGGGGTCAGACTGCATCCTTAAGCCAGACATTCCACTCTCGCTCCCCTGGAAGACTTTTAGGCGAGGTTCATCCTGGAACTGTTGACTCAGAACAGGTAGAGCTGGAGGAAGAACAAGCGGCCACCCTGCTCCCATGAGCCCTCTTCCTTGGTGGATAGGTTGTGGTTCTCCTGTTTGATGGGGAGGCCGCTGCATCTGACTCTCCAACTCAGTGAAAAGAATCACAGCACAGACCAGCCTCAATTCTTTCTGCACCACTGCTCTGTCGAGTTGATTCAGTACCTGTAGTCCCACATAGTTAAAATCTGCTTAGCTTTGCTCTCTGTTGTGTGGACAATGAAATGGTTGACTAATATAACCCTGGCAGTGTCAGACCTTGTCATGACTGAAATTTGTCCAAATAGATATTGTCATCAAATGTGCTTCTGGTCCTTGCTAGTGAGACTGTAGTTAGGATCCCTGTCCAGGTCTCAAAGGGCACGAGAAACTATGAAGAGGCTTGGCATCCCTGTTCAGAGTACAGCCTCATCTGCCAAATTCTTGGGGTCACTAGAACTGTTTGGGTCCCTGCTGGAAGCTCTTAACACCCCTGAGCAACTCACGTTGGAACTGATGAAAATAGGTCTCCTAAGACCTCCATCTACTGCTAAGTCCATTCTGGAGTCCAGGTGCTACTAGGAGTCTTTTGCCCCTGGGACTGAGATGTTTTTCTGACTTGAATGAGGGAGTGAATGGATGACTGCCCATGCCGCTGTCACTGTAATAAAGGACTAAGAAGACAAGATTTAAGAGGAAGAGATAACCGTAGGACTTACAGGTTTCTTTGTTTTGTTTTTTTAACTTGTGATCTAGTACTAAGAACTAAACGTTAAATAGAATAGCATTTATGAACAGTATCTGGAAAGGAGCCTTCATTAATGATCTCAATAAGAATAAATGAAAGTAAGTTATTTTTCTGCCCCCCAAAATCCCTAAAACATGAATTTGTCTTCCACACATTAGTGCCAGAAAAGGGAATTTGTAGTAAAATGTTTTTCATAGTAGAAAGAAACAGGGATTGTAAGTCGCCCAGCATTGAAGCCATTGCCCCAAGACTGTCTAGTAGGCAGCTCCCTTTGGGCAGTTGTCTGCCTCCTGGAAAGCTTCCTGCCAAAGCTGCCCCTGAGAATCTGAGATGGAGGCGTGGCCGTGTGGTCTGGGTCCCCTGGGCTGCGTGGCAGCAGCATCTCAGGAGTTGAGTCCTCTTTTCTAACCTTGCGCTGCTGCATTGGCTTAGCTACTTAGCTGGCATGGTCAGACAAGGGGAGCACGCCCGTGAGTGTGTCCACATGGGCCGGCGGACTATCAGAAACGCCCTGTTGAACAAATGTGTTCAGGATAGAGGGATGTGACTGTGTATAGCTGATGAGGGGAACATGGGTGGCACTTTTGTTACTTTGCAGTTTGGTTACTTTTGAAGTAATGTGTTCAGCTTAACTTTTTTTTTTTTTTTTTTTTTTTTAAAGATAAAATCTGGCTCTGTTGCCCAGGCTGGAGTGCAGTGGTGTCATCTCAGCTCACTGCAACCTCCGCCTCCCGGGATCAAGCCATTCTTCTGCCTCAGCCTCCCGAGTAGCTGGGACTACAGGCACACGCCACCACACCCGGCTAATTTTTGTATTTTTAGTAGAGATGGGGTTTCACCATGTGGGCCAACCTGGTCTCGAACTCCTGACCTCAGGCAATCCACCTGCCTTGGCCTCCCAAAGTGCTGGGATTACAGGCATGAGCCATTGCACCCGGCCCCGGCTTAACTTTTTATAGACTTCTTTGCTGATGGATGTCTTTGAAAATAAGAGGTAATTTCAGTCACAACTACGAATCTGGATCCAAATAAAACATGTGCTGTGGCCAAACCACAGTATTGCATAGGTTAATCCGGAGTCTTGGCTGCCCTCACTTCCTGTCTCACATGGATCTGTTCTGTTATTTTCTTATGTCATAGGTTTTCATATAACCTATTTTTTTATTTTAATTTTATTTATTTATTTATTTATTTATTTATTTATTTTTTTGAGACGGAGTCTCTCTCTCTTGCCCAGGCTGGAGTGCAGTGGTGTGATCTTGGTTCACTGTAACCTCTGCCTCCTGGGTTCCAGCAATTCTCTTGCTTCAGCCTCCAGAGTAGCTGGGATTACAAGTGTGCGCAACCATGCCTGGCACATTTTTTTGTAGCTTTGTAAAGATGGGGTTTCATCATGTTGAGCAGGCTGGTCTTGAACTCCTGACCTCAGGTGATTCAACTGCCTCGGCTTCCCAGAGTGCTGGGATTACAGGCATGAGCCACCGTGCCCAGCCCCTTTATTCCCTGTTTTCAGAGGTCAGACTTGGGTTTACAGTTGATACTTCAGTTTTAGGTTTTTATCCATTTGTTACATTTTTATCCATTTGTTGAATTAAAAAATTTGTAGCGGGAACATCTTGAATATATTATTGTTCTAAATCAGGGGTGTCCAGTCTTTTGGCTTCCCTGAGCCACATTGGAAGAAGAATTGTCTTGGACCACTCATAAAATACACTAACATGTATAGTCCCAGGGGACCCAGACCACATGGCCACACCTCCATCCCAGATTCTCAGGGCAGCTTTGGCAGGAAGCTTTCCAGGAGGCAGACAATTGCCCAAAGGGAGCTGCCTACTAGGCAGTCTTGGGGCAGTGGCTCCAATGCTGGGCGACTTACAATCCCTGTTTCTTTCTACTATGAAAAATAGTGAGCTAAGAAAAAAAAAATCTCATAATGTTTTAAGAAAGTTTATGAATTTGTGTTGGGCTGCATTCAAAGCTGTCCTGGGCCACATACAGGCTGTGGGTTGGACAAGCTTGTTCTAAATTATGTAGGGCACTTTTATTTTAAAAATTACTTTTCCGAGGCTTTTCTAAATATCAGTTAAACTTTTACTGAGTAGTGCCTGTGTGCAAAAGCAGTATGTCCTTCTCAGTGTGATATGTGAATACATATTGATGTTTCCTTAGCATTGTAATATCATGGAAATTATAAAGGATTCAAAATAATTTTTTGTTTGCATGTGCATTGGGGGGGGTTTCCTCACAGAATTTCCAGAACAAAAATTGTTTGCTGCCCTGTTGATTAAATGTGTTGTGCAGCTGGAACTCATCCAGACTATCGACAACATTGTCTTCTTCCCAGCCACAAGTAAGAAAGAAGATGCAGAAAACTTAGCTGCAGCACAGGTAAGGAGATAGGAGGACAGCTGCTTTTTTTGTGTAAGTAGGAAGTTAGGTATAGCAGTCTGGGCTGTAGAGTTAGGCTAGAGAATTAGTTTGTGGGGCCTTCATCATACAGATGTCCTTTTAAACCATGAGACTGGATCCCATCACAAGGTAATAAGGTTAGCTAGAGCAGGGAGGAGGGTCAGCAACTGATTACTAGGGACCTCATCCTCTACAGCTCCTGGAGATGAGGCAGCTAGCAGAGACTGAAGACGAGAATCCATGAGGCATGGGGAGGCACGGGGAAGCAGGTGTCAGTTGTCGGGGAAGTCAGATGAAGAAAATGTTTTAAGAAGAAGCATGTGATCAGTCGCTTGTTAAATGCTCTGGATAGGTCAAGTGATATTACACCTGAGAATTGCCCTCTAACTGTTTGGACGACTTTGGAACCTTAACAGTGTGTTAAATGTTAAATTGAGGACAAAAGCATAATTATAATGGGGAGAGAGAGAGAGAAGAGAGAATGTGGACTCAGCCAGTACTCTGTTAAGAAGTTTTGCTGTAAAGGCACAGAGAAATGTGATAGCTGGATTGTGAGGGGTTCAAGAGAGGGGTTTGCTATGTTTTGTTCTCCAGATTGGTGATATGGCAGCGTGTTCACTGGTAAGAGCTTTCCAGTAGGGAGAGAAAAACTGACTGTAGGCAAGAGAGGGGCAATTTCTAGGGCCATGTTTTTGAGTGAGTGGAGATAGTACCTCATACAGAGTGGGAATCACCTGGGGTAGAAGCCCAGACAGTTCCCATGTGGCGGCAGGGGGAGGGCTGGGGGATGGGTTGTGGATGCAGGAAGTCTGGTACGTTTGGGGTAGGAGCTTGTGAGAGACCTCCTCTGCCAGCTTCTGGTTTCTCACTGAGATGGGAAGAAAAGTCATCTACCATGTGAGATTTGGAAGAATGTTTTAGCTACTTGAGAAGTGAAAACTTGAGCTGGTTGGCCAGGAGTGTGGCCTAGGCCAAGGTCTGCCAAGGGCTGGGCTAGCACCGAGCCCGCTGGTTTAGAGAGAAACCAGTCTGCTTTCTCCAGTCACACATGATGACATGGCCATTTTGCCAGCCAGTTACTAAAAAGAAGAGGAGGGGTTGTGAAAGAGAATAATTAAAATGATGCATGGACTCCATAGCAGTTGAGAAGAGAAGGGAGGACTTGAGGGGCTGAGGAACGCAGGGCCAGGGAGTTGGGAGTCCAGGAGGGTCTGGACTAATGGGAGGTGGTGCTTGGGGACGAGGATGCGTACTGGAAGGTGGACCTTCCCTTACTTTCTGTTAGGTTAGATCAAGCTGAGTATCTGTGGCTTTCTTGTAAAACTGGTCTTTGGGGAGCATTGAGTTGTAAATCAAGTAAAATTATTGTGACTGTGTGTATATGCTGGGGTGGTTTGTTTTCCAAAGAGAGATGCGGTGGACTTTGATGTTCGCGTTGATACTCAAGACCAAGGAATGTACCGCTTTTTAACATCACAACAACTTTTTAAGCTACTGGACTGCTTATTAGAGTCACATAGATTTGCAAAAGCGTTTAATTCCAACAACGAACAGAGGACTGCCCTGTGGAAAGCAGGTAAGCTGCACACGCCTCACATTTAATGTTTACTGTTGATGGATGTGGGACAGGTACATACAGGTCTCAGAACTCATTGACTGTCTGCTATAGGTCTGTGCATGTCACTATATGTACTCTGACCTTAACAGTAATAAAGTAACCTCACAACGAGGCCCTTTTCTGGTCTACAGTAAGCCAGATAACTGCTTGGGTGGATTTTTTCCCCCTTGGTCTATTATTTGACTTACATTGTTCTTTCATCTTGTTTACCCAACCTGGACCTTCTTGTTGATACTCATTGGCATGACAAAAGCTGTCTTTTCATTAGGAAATAAATATGTGTAAAAGTCGCACACACAAAACCTGGCATGTGTATTTGAATGGCTTCTCTGTTTACTGGGAGTGGCCAGAGCTCAGAGTGAAGGTGAATTTATTGGGATGTGAGGTATATTTGTTCTAGAACAAGTTAGACATTTTAAACAAAAAATAAGCTTTTATTATAAACCAAAGTGACATTGTTAATTTTTTAATTTAAAAAATAGAGCCAGCTGTGGTGACTCACACCTGTAGTTCCGGCTACTCGGGTGGCTGAGGCAGGATGATTGCTTGGGGCCAGAAGTTCGAAACCACCCTGGCCAACATAGCAAGACCCTGTCTCTACAAGAAATTAAAAATTAGCGGGGCATGGTGTCGCATACCTGTAATCCCAGCTACTCGGGAGGCTGAAGTGGGAGGATCACTTGAGCCCAGGAGTTTGAGGCTGCAGTGAGCCATGATCACACTACTCCCCTCCAGCCTGGGCAACACAGTGAGACCCCATCTCTTAAAAAAAGAAAAGAAAAAAGAAAGAAATATAATTATGAGTTGCAAAACAGTGCTGGGAGGATGAGGGGCTGCAGAATAAGGCAGAGAAAAAGAAGGGGCTGATACTTATCAAACTGTATCAAAAGGGTTTGGTGCTTAATGTTTGCTTATTTGAAACAGCTGTGCCATTCTCTTTCCTTTACAACCTAACTTCTGGAAAGAGTAGTCTGTACTTATTTTTCCCCTTTTTTTCTACCCAAGTTTTTGCCACCATTCCACTGGGCCTCTTCCTGCTGAGCTGATAGAGCCTCCTTGTGTCCACACACACCGGACCCATCAGACCTCTGACAGAGCAGTTCTCACCTCCTGGGGGTTGCCCCTGTTTATCTGAGGCCCCTGGCGCAGGCAGAGCACATGGCCCCTTCCACAGCTTTGGGGATTCAAGTGCAGTTTCATGTGAAGGGTTCCACCTTCCCAGGCCACAAGTTTTTTTATATCTCATATCCCCAGCTTGAATAGGGAGGGAATTCTGGACATGGAAATCACCTTCACATCAGGCTGCTGTGGCTCCGTTTTGTAAGCAGCAGATGCTGATGGCTGAGCACAAACAAAATGTGCCTCCATACGGGCTGTTTCACCTTTACATAAGATGCCTTCCCAAACTAATCCCAGAAACTTCCCTTTTCTGCAGGATTCAAAGGCAAATCCAAGCCCAACCTTCTGAAGCAGGAGACCAGCAGCCTGGCCTGTGGGCTGCGCATTCTCTTCCGGATGTACATGGATGAGAGCCGCGTTAGTGCCTGGGAGGAGGTCCAGCAGAGGCTTTTGAAGTAAGACTTTTGACTGATTTCCATCTCTGACCAGGTAGCCACGTGGTGCCGGGCAGGAAAGAGGCACCGGCGGGACCATGCTGACAGCTGAGGCTTTGGGGCCTGGATGCCCCTATTCCACAGAGCAGTTGTAAAAATTAAATTCAGTCTTAGAGATGAGTGTGCTTTAGTGACATGTGGCCAAATCATGTCTAACATGCAGGACAAAGGAGGTTTTCTGTTTTAAAACTGTGAACTATGATATCATTTATAGGCCTTTTTAATGTCATAAGATAGTCCCATTTTTACAGATCATTTGTATAAGTGAAAACTTGCCTGCCTGCATTTACTTCGAAAAAAATATTTGGAGTTTTTCTTAGCGTTACTTTTTTTACTCTTTTACTTTAAGCCAACTAACGTGTAAACTCAGGCTAAGAATGAAACATGCCATTCAGAAAGAATACGGTCATCTGCATTGTATTATCATATCTACTTACGGAATAGATGTTCTGAGGCCAATTAAATACATTTTAGAATTTTAAGGGATCACCTAGTCTCTGTTATCCCATTTGATTGACAAGACTGATTGATTAAGGCCCCACAGGGCCTTGTGATCTAGGGCCTCACAAGGGTCAGTGAAGAGAGGAGTCGCCTCAGATTCCAGTCCAGGTCTCTTGAAACTAAGCTTTGCATGTGCCACCTGCCACACGGCAGCTTTGCATTGAAAGAAACTTAGAAAATTAGGAAAATGTGGGTTTCCTGGTAAGTTACAATGGCTTCTTTTAACATGTTTGGTTTTCTTCCCAATTTGAAAAGCATGTTTATGTTGACACTCCAGCTAATGTAAACAGATGGGATCTAACATGTTCTTGAATAGTTCATATTCACTACTATGTTCATGATTGCTCTTTCTCGGTGAATATGGGGACCAGTAGATACGCAAGTAACATTAAAGGAAACCTTTTCTTTTGCAGTGTCTGCAGTGAAGCACTAAGTTACTTCCTCACTCTAACATCAGAAAGTCATCGAGAAGCCTGGACTAACTTACTGCTTTTGTTTCTAACTAAAGTTCTAAAGATAAGTGATAATAGGGTAAGTATGAGGCTTCGAATCCAGCCCCACATTTCTAGCCCAATTCGCATTGGGATGCGGGGTCCCAGAGCCGCCGTGCAAGAGCTCTCAGAGATGAATCAAGCAGTGCCCAGGCTGCACTGCTGCTTGTGCAAAGCCACCAGTGGCCTTGCTGTATCTTCCTCAGTCCTTGCTTTTCTCCCCCCTTACCCAGCTTTGTTCACTAATTAGCAGTTCTCTAGGGGATTCAGTAGGCGAGGGATCAGAATCCCTTGGGATACCTTGACAAGTTCCCATTATGACCCCAGGAATCTCCCCCTTTGCCCCATTTTGAAAACTGCTGTCCAACCACCTCATGGCCTTGTACTCTGCCTACTACTCAAGACTACATCTGGTTCCTGGGCCTGTGCTCTGGGCTGCAGCTGTTCCTTTGGCATATTTAGTGGTTCCAGGTAACCCAGAGTCCCTAGTGAATGGGCCTCATCTAAGAATTTTAAACCAGTAGAAATAAAGATAAAATACACATATATGACTGTAAATATAAGTGCATATTTAAGGTTTTCAAAAATGTACACTCTATTCTTAGAAAAAAAAATAGCAACTTACAGCTCACACATACAGGCTGCTTTGCTGTGACCCTAGAATAGGTTTAAAAATGCCTAGTGATGTGGCCCACTACTTGAAAGGCCAAGGGCTCTAAATCCCAGCCTCTGTTACTCCACAGCTGGCTTTTTTTTTTTTGGTCATAATATGTCTCACTGCTTCCCTGGATCTGGAGGGGTACAGAAGGGGTAGGAAAGGAGGCTGCAGACTAGAGTTCAGAGATGAAGGAACTACTGTGAAGATACAGCCAAAGTATAGCAATTGAACTGTACATGTGAAACGTATGTAGCTTTGCCTGAAGAACTGTTTAGATTTTATATTGCAGTGTTGGGTAGAATTTTCCCCAAAACTTAAAATTTTTATGTAACAAAAGATAAAATTTCAGTAACCCATAGCTTATAAAATCTCAACTCTAGTTTGTACTCACTTGCCTGCTGCTTATTACCCAGGAAAAACAGTGCTAAATTACTAAAAGTTTGTCAAAGATATACAGACAAATGTTTTTCAAAATAAGGATATGTAAGTGAATAGTGTTTGTATGAAGTGAGTTTTTCTAACACTTCTGTCTCTCAGTTCCACAAACCAGAGTCACTGCCTGCTGTGGACCCTGCTTTCCTGGCTCCTGTGATGGAGCCCCAGAGTAGTTTGACTCTAGGCAGTTTAAGGCTCTGCAGTTTGCAATCACTACTAATGGAGAAATTCATTTTCCCTGCAGTTTAAAGCTCATGCATCATTCTACTACCCTCTCTTATGTGAAATTATGCAATTTGACTTGATTCCTGAACTTCGTGCTGTTCTTAGAAGATTTTTTCTGCGAATCGGAGTAGTTTTTCAGATATCACAACCACCTGAACAGGAACTTGGAATAAACAAGCAATGATGGGAACTTAATATTTTTGTTGGCATTTACATCCCTCTGCTCTTTAAAAGGACGCTGGAGCTGAGGTTTCCTACCTGAAAAATGATTTCTCTGGATTGCAGTGTCTGAGTTACTGGTAAAGATGCTTAGAAGTCTTACTCAAACTTGCAACACTCCAGTCCCTTTTAGTGCTGGTGGATTTTGTGTGTTATATTGGCCTCATGTTGAGCAGAAAGCCTGTTTAAACAGTGTCAGCTCATGCTCACGGGTCCTTCCCTGTCTTCCACGGCAGGAAAAGCCCCACGTTTTTGGCAGGTGTGGAAGTGAAACTTACCCAAAGAACTATAGATGTAAAGATTGAACTTCTACAAGAAGTACAACTCAGGAGAGCTGTATTTTGAAGGATAAAATGTTTATAATTGGGGAGTGGGGAGAGAAGAAGAAATTATTGTTCATGGTAAAAGATATTTAGCAACTATGGTATTCTTATTCTGAAGATTTTTGCACACTCAGGCTATCTGAGATACTGGTAATCATCCTGTGAAAAATGTACAGAGATGCAGGTCTGTAATATAAAAATCTTAAAACATTATATAGTTCTTCCTGCACTGTTTTCTTTATTTTCTTATTCATTTGCTAAATACCCATAATATTTTGTCAAATGCACTAAACATTTGGGTGGAACTTTCTTTTTTATTTTATAGGGATTTTTAGTTTTGCCCTTTTTGGTAGGTGGTGATTTTGAGGCTGTAACATGCCCAGAAGCTGTTGTGGCCGACACTTCAACAATAGGGAAAAAAAGGTAGAAAATATCCCTACTGACAGTAACTACCTGTCACATATTTCTCTTAGGACTTTTAAAGATGAGCCATTAAAATAGAATGATCCTTTATGGACCAAAACTTGAATCACTGCAAAATGAATCCAGATTGCTGTCATTTTCTTTTCTTTTGGGTGGTGGGGCTTGATGTAGATTTTACTCTATGTACAGAATTTAACGTTGAATATATTAAAATAACAAATCTGGCATGGTTTGCGGAGGTTAGATTTACTGGAAATGTATTCATACTGTGAATTGTGCTCTGATGGTTAAAAGACAAGATTGTCAAGCATTCCGTATTAACAGTGGATGTAGAAAATTTTTTCAGATGGACAAAATGTATATGGTACAGATGTAAAGTTTTCTATGTAAAAAATTCTGTACAACTTTCTGTACAATATTGATTCCCATCTGGCATATTCTAATCAGGTTATAGGTCAATAAAGTTTTTGAATTATTTCATCAGTGCAATCAAAACCTGTATAACCCACCCCCATGTTTCATTGATTCTGGTCTATTAAGGCTGAACAACTATGGAAAAGACATTTTCAGCCAGAACTACAAATTCAATATTGTTTGGTTCTGGTATTTTCTTTCCAGCTTCTAGCATTAGATCCTCCTTACACTGTACTTACCATAGGATACTTATTTTTAAGGCAATTTTTAAAATTTTTATTTATCTTTTAGAGACCGGATCTCACTCTGTTGTCCAGGCTGGAGTGCAGTGGTATGAGCACAGCTCACTGTAGCCTCAAACTGGGCTCACGATTCTCACACTCCACCCTCCCCAGTAGTGAGGACTGTAGGCACACACCACTACACTTGCCTAATTAAAAAAAAATTTTTTTTTTTTAGAGATGGGATCTCACTATATTGCCCAGGCTGGTCTCAAACTCTTGGACCTGAAGTGATCCTCCCAACTCAGCCTCACAAAGTGCTGGGATTATAGGCATGAGCCACCATATCCAGCCCAAAAATCTTTTAATATTTTTTGCATATTAATAACCTAGCATCAGGCTACACTACTTGAATGCTGAAAAGAGCTAAAGTTCTCTTCAGCACAGTTTGCAATATTGTGTGTTCGAGGAGTCAGTTGAAGTTGTGTGGTACATGGCATTAAACAAAAAGGGAACGTGTCAATATCATCTAACATGGTTGTGTTAAAGAGGAAAAGTATTCAGTCTTTGCTTTCACACCTCTCTTAGATAATGAACAGTTACTGAACAATGCATTTGTAAGTAAGTGTGCTGTATTTGTTACACCCAAGACAGCTCTAGCTGTGTTCAAGCCCAGCTGGATGCTAGAACTGCGAGCCACTGTGACCTTGCCGTGTGAGGGTAAGTGCTCCACACAACCTGGCAGTTGATTATTTTAATGTTGTAGTATCAGGACTCTTCCCCTAGAAGAGTCAGAGGCTTTCTTCTTACTTTCAGATGACAACAGAACAAATTTTTACGAGTAAAGCAAACAAACAATGGTCCGATTAGAAAATCAAATAAAAATTTACAAGTAGCCAAAACTCAAAATATCAGTAATTTAATTGTGGCAAATTTGTCTGATATTGTCTACCAACCGTTAATTACATCAGAGGAAGTATTATTAGAGAGAGAAGCAGTGCCTGGGGATGTTCTCAGCTGTCATGGTTCTGAGATTCTAATCTGAGTCAGAATGTCACAATTATTTGAATGACTCTTTCCTTTTTTAGAAGTATCACTTACTGAGTGATTAGAAAACTCACATGGACTCACTTATCCAAGGTTCCATGGTGGAAGAAGAAGACTCCAGTCTCTCTGTCCTTGACTCCCGGGTGTCCCCACCTCTATTCAACCTCTAGAAAACTAGTCTAGAAAGCTCCATAGTAGTTAAAAAGATTTTAGTAATTAAAATAAAAATTTATTTATATCAAGAAGTAGTTACATCATGTAATTAGTAACAAGACAAATGCCTTCATTGGCATAAAAATAGAAGCAGAAAGATGATGTAACAAACATTTAACGTATGGCTTACAAAAATACAAGTAATTACAGTTCCCTTCATTTCTGCTGTATCAGTAGCTACAAATGACATGAAATAATAATTAATTAATAGGACATTTGATTGCATCACACAGAAACTGGAATAATCACAGCTACAATAGATGTACCTACTAAATGAATTCTTTTGCATCGAGGTAACAATGGAAAATGTGCATGTAACAAAGGGGAGTCCGGTTTTACAGGACGTTTAAGACACTTATTCACCTTATCTTAATGACAAGCAGAATTCAATATAATGCACATATAGTAGTTCAATCCAGTTCATTACCACCCTAATTTATGACAAAACTGTGCAAAAATAATCTATACAATTCTATTATATAAATCAATAATCATGGCCTTTTATTTATGTACATAATATACATCATGATAAAAATAATTTTATATACAGATGATGGAAAAAAAGTAACTTTCAGGTAGGGGCCAAAAGTAGGACATATTAAAGGTACAGATTTACCATTCCTTTCACCTTAAAAGGCACTACTGGGTCCAGTACAGGTTTATTTTAACCATGTGCAGTCGACAGGCCCTGCCAAGTGAAAGTGCCTGGTTTTCCAGGAATCTGCTGCTGCTCCTGGTTCAGCTGCTCTGCCATGAAACGTTTCAGCGTTTCTGAAGTGCCAGGGCGGAGCCAGGGCTCAGTTGCTACAGAGTTTGATCCGTCATCCCCTATGTGTTTCATGATGTCATCAGGGTCAACCAGTGAACTCTCATCATCTACAGGAGGCAAGGGACACGTGGCTCAGGTAACACAGGTGGCAGGCAGGAGACATAAGCGCAGGTCTCTTGTAGTCCAACTCATTACAACTCAGCATTTCCCCACAGTCTCATATCCTGAACTCTACTGTTTGTTTGTTTTGGTTAGACTCACCCCACCCCACCCTATTTTAGAGGGAGGAGAGTGGGCCCACAAAGGCCAATTTTGTAAAACAAAAAATGATCAACTGAGTAAGCTGACTCCATGGCACTAGCAACCAGAGGGATTCTAAGCATATCAAAGGCACCTCTCCATAAAACAAAGTCAACAGGAGGAATGTAGGTAGTCTTATTTTGTAACTGTTACCTCAGGAGAAGCCTAATGGCTACACATAAAATTTCTTTCTTTTTTCTTTTTATTTTTTTTAAAGCAAGGTTTGGGGAATACTCTTCAACCTACAACACTGCTATAAGGAAATTATTAAGTTATTTTGGGAAAACACTAGTTGGCATGAGATTACTTCCATTCTTAAAACACCTAATCTAACAAGGCCGTGTCCAGTCAATGAAGAGGTAGCTCTTGCTTCATTCTTTAATTGAATCTGATTGATTGTACGCAACTTCTATCTGTATTTTACTTTTATTTATTATTAGGTATAATAATAGGAAAATCTGTCTTCCTACCCTGTGATATCATATTCTTTTTTTTTTTTTTAATTCTCCTGGTCTGTGAAGGATTGGTATGTGCAGTCAATCCACATAATAACAAAAAGCTCCTGTTTGAAAGGACAATGTTAAAAAACAGTGTAGACATTAAAAACCTTCTGAAAAAGATTCTTAAAATGCTATCTTCCCTCAAATATATTCCTGTTAAATATTAATTCAGTTTGTTGGGTCTAAAAGAAAATGCCTTATAGCTGGAAAGACATCCTTTCCTACTGTCCCATCAATTAACCATGTCTGCTTTGTGTTTGGTGTGGAATTACCACCATTAGAACACACCACACCTTGACTGCTAGATAGATAGTATATGAGTACAGTTTTAAATTAACACAGTATTAAAGGTAGGATCTAAAAAAATCTTAACAGATTATTGTAATGTAGATTAACAGACTAAAGAGTATTTCCCAAATAGACCACTCCAGTAATTTGCTAAAACTATTATTATTACCAATATGAAAGTGTCCCATTATCCCGGTGACTAATAGCACTGGTATAGAAAAGGGTGGTGTAGGGCTGGCAGGGTAGCTTGTTAGGTGTCTAAGGAACCATCCTGCCTTGTGCTCTATGACTAGCTTTAACCTGCAAGTCACAAAAATGCACTCATAATGAGGAGACGACTAGCTTTATTTGACTTCTGAGACTTTGTCCATGGTGTGGAAAGCCAAAGAAGAAGGTAAAAATTTTCTTTGTAGTACTGCAAATATACAGCATAAGTGTTAAAGAACTCAAAGTCTTTAGGCTAATTTCTAATAATGTTTTACTTTAGTAAAGTGATTACTATTATCATATAGCATTTTCTTTGCTGAAAGCAAAGCCTGGATATGTTTAATAAGCAAAAACTATTTTACCTGTTTAGACTCCACTCTAAAATGGGCACCCTCTCTGATAGAGAAAATCTGATGCAAACTGCATCCTGAGGTCTGGTTTTGCTCAATAGTTACTATGTCTTGGGCCATACAACTCAAAGGTCTTCAAACTCATTCCATCTATCCCTCAGACGTTAGTGAAAGCCTTGAGTAAGAAAGTTTAAAAGTTCATACAGGATTCTACTATAGGCCATTACACTTGGTCATTTACCTGTATTAATAGGTTTATTGTGAAATTCATTCAGTCTTCGCATTCGTTCCTCATTTCTCACTCTAAGCTCATCAACATTTACACTGGATATAGATTTTAGAGAGAGACCATCTGGTGCTACATTAGGACGACTGCTATCCTGTAGTTAGAAAACAGAACTTCAGAAAGTCATTAACACAAAATATGTTCACAAATCAGTGAATCAGGGCCAGGCATGGTGCCTATCACCTGTGATCCCAGCACTTTGGGAAGCCGAGGTGGGCAGATCACCTGAAGTCAGGAGTTCAAGACCAGCCTGGCAAACATGGTGAAACCCCATCTCTACTAAAAATACAAATTAGCTGGGCATGGTGGCAGGCGCCTGTAGTCCCCGGCTACTTGGGTGGCTGAGGCAGGAGGTGGAGGCTGCAGTGAGCTGAGATTGTGCCACTGGACTCCAGCCTGGGAGACAGAGACTCTATCTCAAAAAAAAAGAAAAAAACCAGCAAATCAAAACATCCTCTTGCCCTCAAATGTACACTGTGATGAACAAAATAAAACATGAAAATATAGAGCACGTATATTATGGCTCCTATGCTTATCCATGCAAGCTCAGATGACTCTCAAGGATAAGGAGTAACATTTGTGATGACAGAAATGCTGCCAGTCAGGATAAAGCTTGAGAATTATAGGACACAAAAGGAAAAAACTGAAGCAGCAGGGGCTTAGTCCAGCTATAATCAAGACAGTGTGGTACTGACATAAGAAAAGACATGTAGATCAATGGAAGATTAAGAAGAATATAGAAATAAATCCTTACGTTTATGGACGGAGTTAACAAAATGCAGTGGGAGAACAGTCTTTAAACAAATGCTGCTAGAACAACTGGATGGCCACATGCAAAAGAATGGACTTGGACCCCTGCACCTCACACCCTGTGCAAAAATTAAAGTGTATCATGGACCTACAATTAAGAACAAACTGAAAGAAAACAAGTAAATCTTCATGATCTTGTGGTTGGCAATGGTTTCTTAATTAAGACACCAAAAGCCCAAGAAAGAGTGATGAGTTGGACCTCATCAAAATTAAAAACTTCTGTGCTTCAAAGAACACCATCAAGAAAGTTAAAAAGATACAGAATGGGAAAAAAGATCTGAAAATCACACATTGATAACTAGACTTGTAGTGAGAATGTAAAAGAACTCTTACAACTCAATAAAAAGACAATTCAATTTGAAAATGGACAAAGGGCTGGGCGCGGTGGCTCATGCCTGTAATCCTAGCACTCTGGGAGGCCGAGGCAGGTGGATCACCCGAGGTTAGGAGTTCAAGACCAGCCTGGCCAACATGGCGAAACCCCAACTCTACTAAAAATACAAAACTTAGCCAGGCGTGTTGGCATGCACCTGTAATCCCAGCTACTTGGGAGGCTGAGGCAGGAGAATCCCTTGAACCCCACTGGGGCAGAGGGTGCAGTGCACTGAGATCACGCCACTGCAATCCAGCCTAGGTGACAGAGCAGGACTCTGTATCAAAAAAAAAAAACAAAAAAAAAAACAAATCAGCAAAGGATTTGAATAGACATATCTCCTAAGAAAATATACAACTGGCTAATAAACCATGAAAAGATGTTCAATATCATTACAGAAATGCAACTCAAAACCACCATGACACCACTTTACACTCAATAGATGGCTAAAATCAAAAGACACTAAGTGATGGCCAGGATATACAGAAATTACAACCCTCAGTGGATGATGGGAAGGTAAAATGGTACAGCCACTTTGGAAAAGTCTGGTACTTCCTCAAAATGCTAAATACAAAGTGTCCATATAACCCAACAATTTCCTTCTAGGTATATATATTCGAGAGTAATAAAAACATCAGAAACTTCTACATGAACATTAATAGTATCCATACTAGCTAAAAAGTGAAAACAACCCAAATATCTATTGTTAAATGGATAAACAAAATGTGGGATACTAATACAGTGGAAAATTATTCAACACTAAAGAGGCTTCAGTACTGGCACATGCTACAACATGAATGACCTTCAAAAGAAAGACAAATCCAGTCACAAATAATCATACAGTGTATGATCTCATTTATACGAAATGTCCAGAAAAGGCACATCTATAGAAACCAAAGTAGACTGGTGGTTGCCTAAGGCAAAAAGCAAAGCTATTTTCACCTGGTAATGCTGTACATATAATAACGCTAATAGCAACATCTGTTACTTGGTGAGGTCTCTGCATACTTGGCTCAGTGCTAAATGCTTCACATATAACTGCATCTTCACGTCATATATAAGGAAACACACACAGAGTTTAAGAAATTGCCCAAGCTGCCTACTCAACAAGGAGGTGACATTGCTGGGACATAAACTCCAAAGCCTCTACTTTTTACTGGCTATATTGTAAAGCTGGGGAGCAGAGTGAGGAGAACATGGGTTTGAATCTCAGCCTTCTTGCCCATGTGACCTTGGCAAGTCATTTGACCGAAATGAAGGTGATGCCTATATCACAGAATTAGGTTATTATGAAGCTTTTCAATAAATGACATCAGTTCCTTCTTGTGCCTCTCTGAAATCCATATATTCTGCAGGAGAAGAAGGAAGGTTGGGATGAGGAGCTACTTACAGCCACCCCAGGAGACAAGAAAATACTATTATTATCTGGAAGAAGCCAAAGCAGCAGAATTCAATAGCTACCCAAGGTCATCCAGTCAAGGCAGAGCCTAGATTCAGACCCATGTCTGAATTTCAAGCAAGTGCTCTTTATTGGGCCACACAGATTTAGCACAGGTCAGAACCCAGACCTCTCATTCTTCTAAGTTGAAAAGGGGGAGAAAAGTCTCATACATACAATGTCTAGTCCTTTCCATTTGTTCCTCCTGCGCTCCCGTGCAGAGGGCAACTGTGATGGTGGAGGGAGGACGTCATCTTCAATGGCAGGATATGTCTCACCGTAAGCCCCTAAGAGGACCCCGAAAAGCAGAAGGAGTCTTAATACTGCTTCAAATCTTACCCAGAGCTAAACCAAGAGCCTTTTAATTACTAAGATTTTGCTTACAATACCATGAAACACACTCAATGTATGTACATACACAGTTCGGTGATTTTTTTAGTAAATTTACAGAGTTGTACAATCATCACTTTAAAGTAGAACATTTTCATCACCTTAAACAGCTCCTTTGTGCACACTGGCAATCACTCCCCACCTGCTGGCCCCGGGCAAACACGGCTCTGTTTCAACAGATTTACCTTACCTAACACCAAACATAAATGGAATTCTACAACTTAATCTTTTGTCTTTTCACTTAGCAATAAGGTGTTTGAGATTCATCTATGCTGTGCCATGTTTAAGTTGTTTATTACATTTTACTGCTGAATAATACTCCATCATATGGATACGTCATATTTTGTCTATGCATTTACCAGTAGATGGACATTTGCTAGCTGCTAGCAATTATGAATAACACTGCTATGAACATTCACATTCAAGTTTTTGTGTGTGGACATATCTTCTCATTTCTTTGGGTTATAGAACCAGAAATGAAATTGCTGGGTATTATGGTTAACTCTACTCTGCATTTTGAGGAACTACCAACCTGTTTACATTTTACATTGTAAGAGGGTTCCAATTTCCCCACATCCTCACCAACACTTGGTATTGTCGGTCTTTTTGCTTATAATCATTCTAGTGGATCGGTAGCTAATTTGACATGGACAAATAGCCTACAACATCTACGGTAACCTCCGCAACTCCTTTGAAAAAAATTATACCTAAAGAAAAGTTAGAATAATACAAATACTTAGAATCACCATTAGTTACTTTGCCAATTTCTATATATATTTGGGGGGATGATGTTATTGCCAAGCCTCTTTGCTACACCAATAAGTTGGTGACATCATGGCATTTTGTCTCTCAATATTTCAGTGTTTATCCTCATAAGAACAAGGACTGGCTCCTACACTGCAAAAATCTAATTATAACATTCAGAAAATTTAACATTTATACAACACTATCATTGTTTAACATATAATTGATATTCAGATTTTCCAAATGTATACTGTATGGGTTTTTAAAAATAGGAATAACTTTTATTGAATAAGATATGGGGCTTTCTATAATTCTAAAATAAGTTTTGGGTCCTTCCATGCCTTTTCATGGTTTAGTAGCTCATTTTGTTTTAGTGCTGAAAAATATTGCATTGTCTGGATGTACCACACTTTATCCATTCACCTACTGAAAGACATCTTGGCTGCTTCCAAGTTTTAGCAATTATGAATAAAGGTGCTATAAGTATCTGTGTGCCAGTTTCTTTATGGACAAGTTTTCAGCTCCCTTAGGCAAATACCAAGGAGTGTATACGCTGAACTGTATGGTAAGAATATGCTTATTTTTGTAAGAAGCTGCCATACTGTCTTCCAAAATTGACTACAATTTTGCATGCCCACCAGCAATGAATGAGAGTTCCTATTGCTCCATAACCTTGCCAGCATTTGGTGTCAGTGTTTTGAATGCTGGCCATTCTAGCAGGTATGTGGTGGTATCTCATTTTAATTTACATTCTTTAATGTGTTACCAGGCGGGTCCTTGTTCTTAGAACTCCCAAGATGGTGGAGGGCCGCTTCCAAGATGGCGGCAAGCCTCTTGTTCTCTGACCTGGGGTTCTTGGCCTCACAGATTCCAAGGAATGGAATCTTGGGCCATGCGGTGAATGTTAAAGCTCTATTAGAAGCCGTGGGTCACAGAAGAGAACCGTGGAACCCAGTGACTAGTGTTCAGCTCGATTAGGACAAACCCGGGCACTTAGCCGTGCAGGAACAATGGCAAGCCTTTAGCCTGATTGGGAGCAGCAGTGGGTGCCACCCCGCTGGATCAGAAGTGTAGAGGACATCCTGCCAGATCCGGAGGGGTGGAAGTCAGTGGCAGGTCTGCAACGGCGGCAAACAGCACTGGTGGACAGCAAGCGAAAGCTCAGCTCGAGCCGTAACAAACATGGACCAGAAGAGCATGCAGTTCCAAGATTTAATAGAATGAAAATAGAGTTCCCATACAATGGGAGGGGACCCAAAACGGGTTGCCACTCCCAGCTCAAATGCCTGGGGTTTATATCCCGATCATTGTCCCTCCCCCTGTGCTCTCAGGCGATATATGATTTCACTATTTCTTTACCTCCTGCTTTAGCCTAATTTGTATTTTAGTGAGCCCTCTTTACTACCTGATTGGTTGGGTGTGAGCTGAGTTACAAGCCCTGTGTTTAAAGGTGGGTGCAGTCACCTTCCCAGCTAGGCTTAGGAATTCTTAGTCGGCCTAGATTTGAAATCCAGCTAGTCCTGTCTCTCAGTAGCATCCTTTGTCTTGTTATCTGTATGGTGATGTGTGGTGCAAGTCTTGCTGAATCTTTTAATCAGGTATTTTGTTTTCTTATTGTTGAGTTTTAAGATTTCTTTGTGTATTTTGGATAACAGTCCTTTATCTGACATGTCTTTTGCAAATAATTTCTTACAGTCTCTGTCCTGTCTTCTCATTCTCTTAATTAACAGTGTCTTTTATAGAGCAGAGCAGGTTTTAAATTTTTACAAAGTCCGGCTTATCAATTATTTCTTTTATGAATTGTGCCTTTGGTTTTGTATCTAAAAGTCATCACCATACCCAAGGTCATCTAGATTTTCTGTTGTTATCATCTATGAGTTTTACAATTTAGCATTTTACATTTAGATGTAAGATCGACTTTGAGTTAATTTTTGTGAAGGGCGTAAGATCTATGTTTATTTTTTCACATGCAGATGTCCTGTTGTCCCAGCATTATTTGTAGAGAAGACTATCTTTTCTCCATCATAATACTGCCTTTGGTCCTTTGTCAGTACTGCCTTTGGTCCTCTGTCAGAGATCAGCTGACTGTATTTGCGTGAGTCTATTTCTTTCTTTTTTTGAGACAAGGTCTTTCTTTGTTGCCCAGGCTGGAGTTTAGTGGCGTGATCATAGCTCACGGCAGCCTTGAACTTCCAGGCTCAAGTAATCCTCCCACCTCAGCCTCCCAAATAGCTAGGACTTCAGGTGTGTGCCACCACATCGGCTAATTTAAAATATTTTTTTTGTAGAGACAAGGTGTTGTTTTGTTGCCCAGGCTGGTCTCAAACTCCTGGCCTCAAGTAGCCTCCCAAAGTTCCAGAACTACAGGTGTGAGCCACTGTGCCCAGGCTGCATGAGTCTATTTCTGGGCTCCATATTCCATTCAACTGGTCTATTTGTCTGTTCTTTCACCAATGCCACACTGTCTTGTTTATTATAACTTTATCATAACTCTTGAAGTCAGCTGTGAGAGTCCTCCAACTCTTCTCTTTAAACATTGTGCTGGCTATTCTGGATCTTTTGCCTTTCCAAATGAACTTTAGAATCAGTTTGTTGTTATCCACATAATAACTTGCTGGGATTTTTATTGGGATTGTACTGAATCTATAGATCAAGTTGAGAAGACCTGACATCTTGACAATACTGAGTCATCCTGTGCATGGTCATGAAATATATCTCCATTTATTTAGTAGTCCTTCAATTTCATCAGTTTTGTAGTTTTCCTCAGGCAGTTCTAGATAGATAGATTAGATAGATAGATAGATAGATAGATAGATAGATAGATAGATAGATGATAGATAGATTTATACCTCAGTATTCCTTGGGGGAATGCTAATGTAAGTGGTATTGTGTTTTTAATTTTTAATTTCAAATTTCACTTGTACATTGCTGGCATATTGTAAAGTGACTGACTTTTATATATTCATCTTGTATCCCACAACTTGATTATAACTGCTTACTAGTTCCAGGCATTTTTTAGTTGATTCCTTCAGATTTTCTATAGACAATCATGTCATCTGTGAAGAAAAACAATTCTATTTCTCCCTTTCCAATCACACCTTTTATTTCCTTTTCTGCCTTACTGCTAATATTAAGCTAGGACTTCCAGTATGATGTTAATCAGTGGTGAGAAAGGACATCCTGATCTTAGCAGGAAAGCTTCTAGTTTCTCATCATTATGATGTTAGCTGTAGGACTTTTGTAGATGTTCTTTATCAAGTTGCAGAAGTTCCCCCTCTATTCCAAGTTTGCTGAGTTACCATAAATGGGTGGTAGACTTTAGGTTATCAGATTTGTGGGCATAGAGTTGTTCATGGTATTCTTGGACTTTTTTTTTTTTTTTTTAATTTAAAACAGTGAGGTTTATTTCACATGTATATTTTTGTCTCCCCACCATTTCCATGTCTGACCACCACTACTACTATGGCCTATCATAACATTCCATACATATTTAAAACCAAGCAAAGGGTGGAGTTGCATCTTTAAAAACTAAACAGGTATTTTGGACAACACATTCTTGGCAATGGAACCTGGACAACATTTATCAAACACAGTAGGGAAAGTTCTCACTCTGCATTATAAAAAGGACAGCCAGATATCAACTGTTACAGAAATGAAATGATGGAAAATTTTTAACAAATTGTTTAAACTATTTTCCTAAAGAGACTTCCTCCACTGCCAGAGATCTTGAATAGCCTCCTGATCAATCATCCAGAAGCAATTCTTCACATAATTAATGAACTTGGCTTCTACTTTGGGAAGAGAACCACCTTTTCCTATACTTGCTTGCATTTTTGCTTTAAGTGCAAAGGACCTACAGAACTAGGTCCTTTTGGTGTTTTAGGAGTTTTTTCCTGTTTTTTTGAAGGATTCTTGTCCTTTTGATCTTGGTGTTGATGATGCTTTTGAGTCTTTTCCATTCTGATTTGACTTTTATGCATTTCTGGCTGGAGTATCTTGTATAGATTTCTTCACTGGTGCTTTTTCTTCAGCTTCCTCATCATCAAACTCATCATCATCATCTTCATCATCTTCAGCAGCAGCAAGTTTTACTTTTTTCTTTGGAACCTTGCTACCACCTCCAGGGGTAGACTGCTTTCCAGATATACTTCAAGAGTTTCACATCCTCCTCTTCATCTTCTGACTCTGCATCTTCCTCCACAGCTACTAATTGCTGTCAACTAATATGCACTGGCCCTGAAGCACACATCAACCGACAGACCACTGGTGATGTTATTTCAAAGCCCCCAAGGGAAACCATTGGCTGTACATTTTCAAAGTTGCCAGTGTTACTTTAATTGGACTGCCTTTGTAATTCATTGCCTCTGCTTCAATAATGTGCAATTCATCCTTTGCACCAGCACCAGCCCCTAAACTGAACGTTCTTTAAGATAACTGGTGCTCATTTTCATCATTATCCATCTTAAAGTGATAATCTTTGTCGGCCTTTAGTTCACAACCGAAAAGATAGTTCTGGGGCCTCAGGGCTCATCAAATCTTCCATTGGCTGGTGGCATGCACTTAGGTGGGAAAGAAGGTGGACGGAGATAAACAACCACTTCTCAAGAGAACAGCCATGCAGAACGGAATCACACCAGGCTCTTGGACTATGTTGTGTTTTTTGTTTGTTTGTTTGTTTGTTTTTGTTTTTTTTTTTTTGAGACGGAGTCTTGCTCTGTCGCCCAGGCTGGAGTGCAGTGGTGCGATCTCAGCTCACTGCAAGCTCCGCCTCCCGGGTTCACGCCATTCTCCTGCCTCAGCCTCCCGAGCAGCTGGGACTTATAGGTGCCCACCACCTTTTTTTTTTTTTTTTTTTTTTTGTATTTTTAGTAGAGACATGATTTCACCGTGTTAGCCAGGATGGTCTCAATCTCCTGACCTTGTGATCCGCCCTCCTCGGCCTCCCAAAGTGCTGGGATTACAGGCTTGAGCCACCGTGCCCGGCCGACTGTTTTTAACGTTCATGGGACCTGTAGTGATATGCCCCCCAACCTTTATTATTATTATTATTATTATTATATTTTTTTATTATTATTTTTTTAGACAGAATCTCACTCTGTCATGCAGGCTGGAGTGCAGTGGCACGATTTCAGCTCACTGTAACCTCCACCTCCTGGTTCAAGTGATTCTCCTGCCTCAGCCTCCCAGATAGCTGGGACTACAGGCACACACCACCATGCCCAGCTAATCTTTATATTTTTAGTAGAGATGTTGACCAGGCTGGTCTTGAACTCCTGACTTCAGGTGATCCGCCCACCTCAGCCTCCCAAAGTACTGGGATTACAGGTGTGAGCCACCATGCCCAGCTAGATATGCCCTGTTTCTGGTATTAGTAATTTGTGTCTTCTCTTTTATTAGCTTGGCTAGAGGCTTACTGATCTTCTCAGAAATAACTCTTGGTTTCATTGATTTTCTCTATTTATTTCCTGTTTTCAATTTCATTGATTTCTGCTCCAATTTTTATTTCTCTTCTTCTGCTTACTTTGGATTTAATTATTTTCTAATTTTCTTATGTGGAAGCTTAGAATACTGATTTTAGATCTTTCTACTTTCTTCATGTATGCACAGTCAATCCTATAAATTTAAGCACCTTAAAAATTTACCAATTTTTGGCCGGGCGCAGTGGCTCACGCCTATAATCCCAGCACTTTGGGAGGCCAAGGCCGGGGGATCACCTGAGGTCAGGAGTTCGAGACCAGCCTGGCCAACACGGTGAAACCCCGTCTCTACTAAAAATACAAAAATTAGCCAGGCGTGGTGGCAGGCGCCTGTAATCCCAACTACTTGGGAGACTGAGTCAGGAGAATCGCTTGAACCCGGGAGGCGGAGGTTGCAGTGAGCCAAGATCACGCCATCACGCTCCAGCCTGGGGACAACAGCAAGACTTTGTCTAAAAAAAAAAAAAAAAAAAAAAAAAAAATTCCCAATTTTTTACATAGTCTGGCTTATCAATTATTTCTTTCATAAATTGTGGCTTTGGTTTTTTATCTAAAAGTCATCACCATATCCAAGGTCGTCTAGATTTTCTGTTGGTATCTTCTGTGAGTTTTAGAGTTTGGCATTTTACATTTAACTGAATGCATACATTAGGAAAGTAGAAAGAAAGACAAGCATTATTTCTGCTACCTCCTACAAATTGAGAAGTTGTATTTTCATTTTCATTTAGATCAAAGTATTTTAAAATGTATTTTCATATTTTTTCTCTGACCTATGCGTTATTTAGAAATGTGGCATTTAATCTCCAAAGTATTTGGAGATTTTTCCAGCTATCTTTCTGTTATTGATTTCTAGTTTATTTCCATTGTGGTCTGGGGACAGATATTGTGTGATTTATCTTCTTTTACATCTGTTAAGGTTTGTTTTCTTGCCCAGATTGTAATCTGTCCTGGTGAATGTTCCATGTGACCCTGAGAAGAATATGGGTTCTGCTGTTGTTAATGAAGTTGTCTTTCGACATCCATTATATCCAGTTGGTTGATGGTGTTGCTGAACTCAACTACGTCCTTACTGATTTTCTGTCTCTGTCCATTTCTGATAGAGAGGTGTTAAAAATCTCCAACTGTAACAGTGGATTCATCTATTTCTCCTTGCCATTCTTTTGCTTTCTGACATGTATTTTGACACTCTGTGGTTAGGCATCTAAACATTAAGAGCTAAACCTATAGATAAAACTCTTAGAAGCAAGCATATGAGGAAAGCTTCATGGTATTGGATTTGGCAACGATGTCTTAGATGTGACACCAAAAGCACAGGCAACAAAAGAAAAGATAAATTGGACTGTATCAAAATTAAAAGCTCCTATGTATCAAAGGACACAATCAACACAGTGAAAAGGCAACCCACTATGCAGAAAACATTTGCAAATCATGTATCTGATAAGGGGTAATATCCAGAATAGATAATAAAGAACTCCCACAACTCAATAACAAAAAAACTCTGATTTTAAAAATTAGCAAAGGTCTTAAATAGGTATTTCTTCAAAAATGATGTACAATTAGTCAATAAGCACATGTAAAGATGTCCAACATCACTAATTATTACAGAAATGTAAGTCAAAACCACAATGAGATGCCACGTCACACCCGTAAGGATTGCTACTATTCAAAAAACAAAGTAACAAGTGTTAAGGATGTAGAGAAATCGGAACTTTTGTGCACTGCTGGTAGGAATGTAAAATGGTACAGCTGCTGTGGAAAACAATGTGGTGAGTCTTCAAATAATTAAAAATAGAATTACTATATGATCTAGCAAATGCTATCTCTTAGTGTATACCCAAAAGAACTGAAAGCAGTGACTCCAACAGATAATTGTACACCTATTCATAGGAGCATTATTCACAACAGCCAAAAGGTGGAAGCAACTCAAGTGTCTACTGACAGATGATTGGATAAACAAAACGTGGTACACACATACAATGGAATATTATTCACAGCATAAAAAAAAAAAGGGGAAATCTGGCTGGGTGTGGTAGCTCACACCTGTAATCTCAGCACTTTGGCACTTTGGGAGGCCGCAGGAGGATCACTTAAGCTCAAGAGTTCGCGACCAACCTGGGCAGCATGGTGAAACCCTGTCTCTACAAAAAATACAAAAATTATTCAGGCATGGTAGTGTGTGCCTGTAGTCTCAGCTACTTGGGAGGCTGAGGTAGGAGAATCATCTGAGCACAGGGAGGTCAAGGCTGCAGTGAGCCATGATCACACCACTGCACTCCAGCCTGGGTGGCAAGGGTGACCCTGTCTCTAAGGGGTAAAAAAAGAAAATCTGACACATGCTATAACATGGATAAACCTCAAAGATGTTATGTGAAGTGAAATAAGCCAGTCATCAAAGGATAGATACTGTATGATTCCACTTACATGAGGTCCTAGAGTAGTCAAATTTATGGAGATGGAAAGTACAATGTTGGCTGCCAGGGGCTGGAGGGAGAGGGCAATGGGGAATTACTGTTTCATATGAAGAGTTTCTATTTTCAAGATGAATTCTGGAGATGGATGATAGTGGTGGTTGCACAATAGAAATACTTAATGCCAGTCAATGTACACTTTAAAATGGTTAAAATGGTAAATGTTATGTTTATGTGTATTTTACAATTTTAAAAACCCTATTTTTTAAAATAATGCACTGAAACCATCAGCTTTACATTCCTTAGAGCAGTGGTTAACACAGCCATGACTTACTTATGCAGCATTTGCAGTGACTGTTAACCATAAATACTGCTGTATCTTTGCTCTAGTGTCATGCAATACTCCAACACACCATCTTGAGTGGCCCAGACCATCTTCACTGTTAGGAAGGAAGGTCTCATTTCCCTGACAAGCAATCTTCCCATCCCTGTCTCCTGCTGGTTTTATCTTTCCTTCTCTCCGCAGTGCATCTTCCTTGGAAAGGAAAAATTCATTAAAAAAAAAAAAAAAAAAAAAAATGGCCAGGTACAGTGGCTCATGCCTGTAATCCCAGCAATTTGGGAGGCTGAGGCAGGAGGATCCCTTGAGTCCAGGTGTTTGAGACCAGCCTGGGCAACATAGGGAGACCTCATCTCTACAAAAAAATAAAAAAGATAACCAGGTATCGTGGTGCATGCTGTAGTCCCAGCTACTGGGGAGGCTGAGATGGGAGGAGCACTTGAGTCCAGGAATTTGAGGCTGTAGTGAGCAATGATTGTGCTGCTGCACTCCAGCCTGGGCGACAGAGCAAGACCCTCTCTCAAAAACAGCAACAACAAAAAAAAAACCATTAAGAGAAAAATATAAGTTAATTTGGAATTTTATCACATGAAAATCTAAAGTAATTGGCCTGAAATACAACTAATATGTAGACTAGATCATTCCCTGATGGCCCTAGGATAGCAGAAACACTCATGATCAGAGTACATAATCGTAAGTGTATACTACTTTAAAAAAAAAAGAAGATCCCATGGTACCTTTACTTATCTTCTGAAGACTAAATAAAAGTCTTATGACTTTTTTGACTGAAATATTAAGAGAACTATAAATAGATTAAAATAATTAAGGTACACAGGTATAAGAAATAGTAGAGATTCCTTATACACTTTGTCCAGTTTCCCCCAATGGTAACATTTTGCAAAACTCAAGTATAATCTCACAACCAGGATATCGATACTGATACAATCCACAGATCTTATTCAAATTTACCATCTTACCAATACTCATTTGTGTGTTTTTATGTGTGTATTAAGATCTATTATTATTATTTTATTTCCCATTTACATGTATGTATCTACCCCTGCAAACAAGTTGTTAAAACAGTTCCCAAACCACAAGGATCCCTCTTCTTGCCCTTTTATAACCATATACACCTCTCCCTATCCCTCAACCCCTGGCAACCACTAATCTGTTCTCAATTTCTTAATTTTGTAATTTCAAAAATGTTATGTAAATTGAATCATACAGTAGTATGTAACTTATTGGGATTGTCTTTTTTGCTCAGACTATTTCCCTGAAGAGTCATCCAAGTTTCAAAACTTTGTTCCTTTTTATTGCTAAGTGGTATTCCATGGCATGGATGTACCAGAGTTTTTTTAACCATTCATCTACTGAAGGACATCTGGGCTGATTCCAGCATTTGGCATTAGAAATGAGGCTGTTACGAACATTCATGTACAGGTTTGTCAACTATTCCTAAGACTTTTAAAGTTCATTTCAGTAATTCTGATTTTGAAAACTTTCCAAGGCATATCTGATTAAAACAGAAAAAAGAATATTCCTTTTTTTTTTTTTACTACCTTGTACAACAAGGAATACAGTACTGGTTTTTAAGTGTGGAGAAAGGTTTAATATTTAAACAATATAGC
Source organism: Homo sapiens (assembly GCF_000001405.40). NCBI lineage: Eukaryota > Metazoa > Chordata > Mammalia > Primates > Hominidae > Homo > Homo sapiens. The sequence continues at coordinate 67,179,949 of NC_000008.11, read as the reverse complement.
CTTAATAAAATAAATATACTCACCAATAAAAGCACTATCAGATTCCAATAATGAGTTTTTCAAGAAATCACTAGTGTCATCTCTGGGCTAAAAGAAACATGTTTCAATGACTATTTTTATTAGTTTTGTGTACAAAAACAACAAATTTATACTAAGAAGAGGCACAAGTTTCCACACTGTTCTCCCTAAAAGCAGAGGATGGGTAGAGGTAGGACTGACTACATTCCAATGCTCAGAAAATACTGGAAAGCCTTAACACACACAATTCCTACGAAGACGGTGATAGCAACAGAAGACAGTCTCTCTCCAGGCTACAGATTCTACAAGCTAACACATTTACTCCCTAGCTCCACTCCTTCCTGCCCCTTTATGGTTGAAGTCAAATAAAAGGATCACATTATGACTGATGGAAAATATAATACAGTATGAAGCAAAGACCCCAATTAAACATTAAGTCTTTAAGCCACTGCCAAGATTCATTCATCCGAATTTCCATAAACCTGTATAGCCCACTTACTATTTCTTTCATGCTAGGAACTGGGGATACAAAGATGAATTAAGAGTTTCTGCTCTGGAGTAGATCACAGTGTCATGGGAGAGAGAGGGGTATACTCTCAGATTATGACAGCCCTATGTGACAGCAATTGCCACAATGATGCAGCACAGATATAGTGGAGCATATAGTATAGTAACGAAAAAAAATGCTAAGATTGGGCTTATTATAATGAGCTCCCAAATTAGAGAAAACTTAAATTTACATATAGAGAATTTTGCAGTACAGAATAATAACCAACATGTCAGAAGGAACCTAAAGTCATCCAACTCCACCTCCCTGCACCTTCTTACCAGATAATCTGGGCTTCAGTAGGACACTCCAGCAAAGAGCTGTCCATTAATTTTTAAGGCAATGAATTACAATGATGCACTGCATTCTTTAATCAGAAAGTGAGCTTGTCTCTTGCCTAAATTACTACAATAGCCTCCTGTCCCACTCAGTCAAAATGCACAGCAGTCAGTGGATCAAGTAAAAACCTCAAGCAGATCATGTCACTCCTCCACTTAAAGACCTTGGCAGCTTCCCATCACATGCACAAGTGTCAAAGGCAAAGTCCCAGAATGGCCCCCAAGGCCCTGCTGCCTCCCCTCGTCACCCCCTGCCCCATGTGCCCAACTGGCCCTTGCTCATGGCTCTCCCACTGCTCCTTACATGCACTAGGCCAACTTCCACTGGGGCCTCTTCCTGGAATGTTCTTCCTCCAGAAGTTCCCCCACATTTCCCATAGACACCTCCCTGATGTCCTTACTCAAATGTTGCCTACCCAGTGAGCCCCCATGCCCACTGTATTTCCAACTATAAACCCTCCCACCCAGGATCCTCCAGCTGCCTTCTCTGCTGTTGTCTTCTCCACAGCACCATGATTCAAAAAACTATTGATTTATTTGATTACTGTCTCTCCCTCCTTCTGGAATGTAACCTGTCACAGGACAGGGATTTTTGTCCCTTTTGTTTACTCCTATACCCCGGCACCTAGAACAGTTTCTTGTCCATAGGAAATAATAAATATTTGTTGATTGAAAAGAGCTCATCCTGTCCCTTTATTCAGTCTTGCACAAAAAGTACCCCCCTCAGGATACAGGTGGGTGTTATCATTCTCTGTTCCCTTCCTTTGCTTATTTTCTTTGTAGACCTCAACACTACTTCCATAACAGACTCCTACTCCCACTACTGCTCATGGTAATGACAGCAAACACTCACACTGCACTCATAATGGGCCAGGACTGCTGTAAGGGCTTTTAATATATTATCTCAGTTCTCACAACAGCACTTGAGCTATTTTTATTTATTTAATAAACACTTACATAAAACTTATATGCCAGGCCTGTCTCTAAGTACCTTGCAAATATTAATTTATGTACTATTATCCTCATTTTACAGATTAGGAAGCTGAGGCATAAAGAGATTAAATAACTTGCCCTAAGTCACGCAGCTAAAAATAGACTCACTGGAACAGCCTAGTGCTAGAATCTTGTTCTTAGCCATTACAATATGTTTTCTATATATATTACACTAACACTTCTCAAGCTATCCACTTTACTGATAAGACTTACGTTCTTAATTCAATATTCCTGAATAATTCAAAATTTGAATTACTTGATCATCATATGCCTAAAGATTTTTAATCCCCCAAAAACTAACTTGAAAAATTGTAACTGGTTGCTTACCATTCTTTGCTCTCGTACTTTAGCACTTGGGATGGCATCTAAGTCAACTGTAGTCAATGGAGAACAAAAGCAAATTAAAAGGTCAGAAAATGCTTACTATATAAATTAAATTTTAGAATATCTTTTTTGACTAGCTCTCTACTGGAAATTACTTTTCAACTATCACACTTCAGAGTATTTTAAAGATATCACTTATTAAAAAACATAGCCCTGCATCCATTCTAGCTGCATAAAATTCTCCCATTCACATGAATGAACATAACAAGTAAAATCATTGCAAATGTAAAACTAATGCCAACAGAAAAAGAAAATGATCAATGCAGGATCCTTCACCATCTTGTCAGATTTCTACAATCTGTAGAAAGTTGTTGCATGGAGTTAAACAGGGGCTCCCTCACATGGAACTGAAATAAGCTCAATTCCAGGCACTTAGTTCCAGAGGCAAAGATCTTGGATCAGGT